>NC_000004.12:168921381-169546381 GCF_000001405.40 Homo sapiens | reverse complement strand
AGCAAATGCAAAAGAATGGAAATCATAACAAAGAGTCTCAGACCACAGTGCAGTCAAATTAGAACTCAGGATTAAGAAACTCACTCAAAATCGCACAACTCCATGGAAACTGAACAACCTGCTCCTGAATGACTACTGGGTAAATAAAGAAATTAAGGCAGAAATAAATAAATTCTTTGAAACCAATGAGAACAAAGACACAACGTACCAGAATCTCTGGGACACATTTAAAGCAGTGTGTAGAGGGAAATTTATAGCACTAAATGCCCACAGGAGAAAGCGGGAAAGATCTACAATTGACACCCTAACATCACAATTAGAAGAATCAGAGAAGAAAGTCATTGGTAGCTTGATGGGGATGGCATTGAATCTGTAAATTACCTTGGGCAGTATGGCCATTTTCACGATATTGATTCTTCCTACCCGTGAGCATGGAATGTTCTTCCATTTGTTTGTATCCTCTTTTATTTCCTTGGGTGGTTTGTAGTTCTCCTTGAAGTGGGCGAAGGACATGAACAGACACTTCTCAAAAGAAGACATTTATGCAGCCAAAAAACACATGAAAAAATGCTCATCATCACTGGTCATCAGAGAAATGCAAATCAAAACCACTATGAGATATTATCTCACACCAGTTAGAATGGCAATCATTAAAAAGTCAGGAAACAACAGGTGCTGGAGAGGATGTGGAGAAATAGGAACACTTTTACACTGTTGGTGGGACTGTAAACTAGTTCAACCATTGTGGAAGTCAGTGTGGCGATTCCTCAGGGATCTAGAACTAGAAATACCATTTGACCCAGCCATCCCATTACTGGGTATATACCCAAAGGACTATAAATCATGCTGCTATAAAGACACATGCACACATATGTTTATTGCGGCATTATTCACAATAGCAAAGACTTGGAACCAACCCAAATGTCCAACAATGATAGACTGGATTAAGAAAATGTGGCATATATACACCATGGAATACTATGCAGCCATAAAAAATGATGAGTTCATATCCTTTGTAGGGACATGGATGAAATTGGAAATCATTCTCAGTAAACTATCGCAAGAACAAAAAACCAAACACTGCATATTCTCACTCATAGGTGGGAATTGAACAATGAGATCACCTGGACACATGAAGGGGAATACCACACTCTGGGGACTGTGGTGGGGTGGGGGGAGGGGGGAGGGATAGCATTGGGAGATATATCTAAGGCTAGATGACGAGTTAGTGGGTGCAGCGCACCAGCATGGCACATGTATACATATGTAACTAACCTGCACAATGTGCACATGTACCCTAAAACTTAAAGTATAAAAAAAAAAAAAAAGAATCAGAGAAGCAAGAGCAAACAAATTCAAAAGCTAGAAGACAAGAAATAACTAAGATCAGAGCAGAACTGAAGGAGATAGAGACACAAAAAACCCTTCAAAAAATCAATGAATCCAGGAGCTGGTTTTTTTTTAAAGATCAACAAAATTGATAGATCACTAGCAAGACTAATGAAGAAAAGAGAGAAGAATCAAATAGATGCAATAAAAAATGATAAAGGGGGTATCGCCATTGATCCCACAGAAATACAAACTACCATCAGAGAATACTATAAATACCTCTACACAAATAAACTAGAAAATCTGAAGAAATGGATAAATTCCTAGACACATACACCCTCCCAAGACTAAACCAGGAAGAAGTCAAATCCCTGAATAGACCAATAACAAGTTCTGAAATTGAGGCAGTAATTAATAGCCTACCAAGCAAAAAAAAAAAAAAAAAAAAAAAAACCATGACCAGACAGATTCACAGCCGAATTCTACCAGAGATACAAAGAGGAGCTGGTACCATTCCTTCTGAAACTATTGCAAACAATAGAAAAAGAGGGAATCCTCCCTAGCTCATTTTATGAGGCCAGCATCATCCTGATACCAAAGCCTGGCAGAGACACAGCAAAAAAAGAGAATTTTAGACCAATATCCCTGATGAACATTGTTGCGAAAATCCTCAATAAAATACTGGCAAACTGAGTCCAGCAGCACATCAAAAAGCTTATCCACCATGATCAAGTTGGCTTCATCCCTGGGAGGCAAGGCTGGTTCAACATCCACAAATCAATAAACATGATCCGTCACATAAACAGAACTAATGACAAAAACCCCATGATTATCTCAATAGATGCAGAAAAGGCCTTTGACAAAATTTAACAGCCCTACTTTCCAAATAATAACTAGGCATTGATGGAACAGATCTTAATAAGAGCTATTTATGACAAACCCACAGCCAATATCATAATGGACAGAAACTGAAGCATTCCCTTTGAAAACCAGCACAAGACAAGGATACCCTCTCTCACCACTCCTATTCAACATATCATTGGAAGTTCTGGCCAGGGCAATCAGGCAAGAGATAGAAATAAAGGGTATTCCAATAGGAAAAGAGGAAGTCAAATTGTCTCTGTTTGCAGATAACATGGATTGTATATTTAGAAAATCCCATCATCTCAGCCCAAAATCTCCTTAAGCTGATAAGCAACTTCAACAAAGTCTCAGCATACAAAATCAATGTGCAAAAATCACAAGCATCCCTATACAGCAATAACAGACAAACAGCCAAATTATGAGTCAACTCCCATTCACAATTGCTACAAAGAGAATAAAATACCTGGGAATCCAACTTACAAGGTATGTGAAGGACCTCTTCAAGGAGAACTACAAACTACTGCTCAAGGAAATAAGAGAGGACAGAAACAAATGGAAAAACATTCCATGCTCATGGATAGGAAGAACCAATATTGTGAAAATGACTATACTGCCCAAAGTAATTTATAGATTCAATGCTATCCCCATCAAGCTACCATTGACTTTCTTCACAGAATTAGCAAAAACTACTTTAAATTTCGTATGGAACCAAAAAAGAGCCCACATAGCCAAGACAATCCTAAGCAAGAAGAACAAAGCTGGAGGCATCCTGCTACCTGACTTCAAACTATACTACAAGGGTACGGTAACCAAAACAGCATGGTACTGGTACCAAAACAGATATATAGACCAATGGAACAGAACAGAGGCCTTAGAAATAATGCCACACATCTACAACCATCTGCTCTTTAACAAACCCGATAAACAAGTGGTGGGGAAAGGATTCCCTATTTAATAAATGGTGTTGGGAAAACTGGCTAGCCATATGCAGAAAGCTGAGACTGGATCCCCTCCTTACATCTTATACAAAAATTAACTCAAGATGGATTAAAGATTTAAACATAAGACCTAAAACCCTAAAAACCCTAGAAGAAAACCTAGCCAAAACCATTCAGGACATAGGCATGGTCAAAGACTTCATGACTAAAACACCCAAAACAATGGCAACTAAAAATAAAATTGACAAATGGGATCTAATTAAACTAAAGAGCTTCTGCACAGCAAAAGCAACTATCATCAGAGTGAACAGGCAACCTACAGAATGGGAGAAAAATTTTGCAATCTATTCATCTGACAAAGGGCTAATATCCAGAATCTACAAATAACTTAAATTTACAAGAAAAAACCCCATCAATAAGCGGGCAAAGGATATGAACAGACACTTCTCAAAAGAAGACATTTATGCAGTCAACAAACATGAAAAAAAAAAAGCTCTTCATCACTGGTCACTAAAGAAATGCAAATCAAAACCACAATGAGATACCATCTCACACCAAATGGTGATAATTAAAAAGTCAGGAAA
The DNA here is from genome assembly GCF_000001405.40 of Homo sapiens. Classification (NCBI taxonomy): domain Eukaryota; kingdom Metazoa; phylum Chordata; class Mammalia; order Primates; family Hominidae; genus Homo; species Homo sapiens. The sequence goes on along the minus strand of NC_000004.12, from coordinate 169,542,666 downwards.
GAACAGATGCTGGAGAGGATGTAGAGAAATAGGAATGCTTTTACACTGTTGGTGGGAGTGTAAATTAGTTCAACCATTGTGGAAGACAGTGTGGCAATTCCTCAAGGATCTAGAACTAGAAATGCCATTTGACCCAGCAATCCCATTACTGGGTATATACCCAAAGGATTATAAATCATTCTGCTATAAAGACACATGCATATGTATGTTTATTGTGGCACTATTCACAATAGCAAAGACTTGGAACCAACCCAAATGCCCATCAGGATAGACTGGATAAAGAAAGTGTGGCACATATACACCATGGAATACTATGCAGCCATAAAAAAGAATGAGTTCATGTCCTTTGCAGGGACATGGTAACCATCATTCTCAGCAAACTAACACAAGAACAGACAACCAAACACCACATGTTCTCACTCATAAGTGGGAGTTGAACAATGAGAACACATGGACACACGAAGGGGAACATCACACACTGGGGCCGGTCGGGGGCTAGGGGATGGATAGCATCTGGAGAAACACCTAATGTAGATGACAGGTTGATGGATACAGCAAACCTCCATGGCATGTGTATACCTATGTAACCTGCACTTTTTGCACATGTACCCCAGAACTTAAAGTGTAATAAAACAAAAAGAGTCTGGGAATTTAGCCATCATTAAAGAAATCATGGTTAAAGGAGCAAACTTGGAAGAATTGACTGACTTGTCATGTAAAAGAGGAACTAGACCCAGGGTGGAAATATAAAGACACATTTCGGTCAGATATGAGGACTGTTCAAAGGTTGGATCATCGTGGGGTTTAATGAACATCTTCAAACTGGAAGTATTAACCAAAGGTTGAAATGACAGTGTGTCATGGGCTATTTAGATGGGAATATGGGAATATTTTATTCAATGAAAACTTGGACTAGTTAATACCGAAGGTTGCTTCCAATCTGAATGGTTCTTTTGTCTTGTACTGTTTAGTGGTCACTGGCATTATAGGACATTTTCTCTGCACGCTGTCACAATTTCTGATTATTATAATTTGTATGTCATTTTCATTCTTGATTCATTCCTTTCCATGATTCAAACTGAATCAGCAAACTGAAATCTGTAGGCATCTAAGACTCTTTCAGATTCTCTTTTCTTCATAATCACCTATATTTGCCTGTTTCTTCTTTATGGTAGTAGTTATTTTTCCTCTTCCTTTCTTATCAGTAACTCTGACCAGTCTACCTTTGCTTATATGCAATTTCTTAATAACATACCTCTTCTGTTAGGATTTTTAATATTATAAGCTCAAGCCATGTACTGTTGAAATGGCTGAAGCCACTTTTTAATAAATTACAGAGTGCCACCTAACATTTGTGTTTTTATGGTGCTTTTACTTTTTCCAAGTCCTTCTGTCTGTATTGCTTCATTTAATTTGGATAAAACTAACAACAGTTTCGTTCCATTACATCGACATGCCCCTTAAGAGGAAGCTAAATGAATAAACCCTTCTACATCATTTTTTCATCTCAGTAATCCTGTACCACCCCATCTCTTCTGCCCAATACCACATTACTCATTTTTATTTCTCAGATTATCTCCATTACCTAGAGTGCTACTTATTTTTATGTTGTCTTCAACTTTATCCTTGAGAAGTTTTAAATTTTCTTTATCAGTAAAGAATTTGAACCATGGATGTGAGGCATGCAGTTCCCAGCCAAATCTTGTTGCTTATTCATGTGTTTACAATAAGAAAAGGAAAGAAAATAACTTACTCCCTTTTCCTCCCCTTCTCTTGTCAGGGCTAAAAAAAAAAAGGAAAGTTTGTCTTGGAATAATTATTTATTGATAAAAGAACACTATACTTCTGTTATCTCTTTGTTTGATGTCCCTTATCCTGTTACATTATACTTTTTAGTCCATTTTAATGTCTTTGTGTTTTACTATCCAATTCCTAATTTCTTACTATATTTGCATTTATATTATCATCCTCTTATCCTTAATCGGGGTCAGTGTTTTACTGATTTTAAGTGGTATAATTCTGGAACTCAAAAGAAATAGTCTAATTTTTGTAAAACAGAGCATGCTCACGTGAATTCTTAATAGTGTTTAATGAAGAAAATTACTATCAAGAAGTAAACTGACTGTTTTCTCTTAATCCCCATGATCCCAGCACAAGCGTACTTTATACCCATAGTTTAGTAGAGTTGTATTACTTTAGAGAGGACTAAGCATGTGGGTTATGGACTATTTTTGGTGTATGTGAAGTAGTAAACACTAATGCATATGAAAAATAAGGACACAGATTTTATAGGTTTTTAAACAGTGTAAGGAGCCATAAAATTGATTTTGTCTTTTATTCTATTAATATATGTATTACGCTGATTTTCATATGTTGAACCAACCTTGCCTCCCTGGAACTCTGTTTTATTCATCTTTATATCTTTTGGCAGATATAATGTGGCAAATAGTTGACACTCAATATTTGTTTAATAAATTATAGGAAAAAAGAATTAGTGTTAAACAAAAGCACTACAGTTATTAAGTTTGTGTTTGAAAGTAGCCAGTAATGTAAACCTGCTTATTTAAGCCAGCGTAGGAAGCAGCTGTTCAATGAAGCAAAATTTATAAATCATATAAATACATAGAGCAAGTAGTGTTATATATGCATAAATGGTGTGAAAATCTATAAATCAAAGCTGTTATACAGATGACCAGGTTCTTAGTAAACAATTTTGTGCAACCGCTGTTTAACCTATGCCAATTGTAAGTTCAGGCTAACAATCACTGGACACAGAAAGCATCTTAAGATGGGAAGTCAAACATGCTTTACTTCCGTAAAAGTTAGAGAAGGAAGTTGATACAATCAGGATACACAGCAGAGAGATCACCTATCTTGTCTACTTGCAGGTGGTGGTGTAAACTTCCAGGACCCCCCAAAAGTGCCTTATCTGTAACCATAGAGTTTCAGATGACATGTCTGAGCATCATACCTGAAGGTTCATCTGCCTTCCTCAGGCCTAGCCTTACGTAGACGGGCTATAGCAAAACAGAATACAGCCTTACCTTGATATATGCAGGAAACAAGTTGCATTACGACCAGATATACCTTATTAATTTTATGTCAGAGCATTACTCCTGAAGATTTATCTGCCTCCTCAGGCCCAGCCTTACATAGATGGGGATGTGGCAGAACAGGGTACAGTCCTACTTTGATATATACAGGAAATAAGTTGCATTCTGACCAGATATACCTTATTAATCTCATGTCAGAGCATCACATTTGAAGGTTTATCTGCCTTCCTTAGGCCCAGCCTTATATAAATGGGGCTATATAGCAAAGTAGGATATAGCCTTACATTGATATATGCAGGAGATAAATTGCATTCAGAACAGATATGCGTTATTAATCTCAGAATTTTCCAGTGGCTAATGGGACTGTTAGGGGATGGCACAGGTACACTACAGAGGCATTGTGTTCAGCCTACTCAAGCTAACATGGCATTGGTGAAGTGGATTTCTGGATTTAGCGATGTGAAACTAGATTAAGATTTAGCTACCCAGACACATCTGAGAGCAACAGTAATAGGCCTTCAAACCAGCTATAGAGATTATCTAATTCTAGAAAATTCCCATGATGGAAATTTCGTAAGAATCTTTTTTAAGTACTACATGAGGTAAATGAACCTTAGATCACTGTCATTCATAGTTATGTGATGGAATAGATTTTTAGGTTTTACAGCTTAGTTTCATATTTCAAATATTTTTATGTTTCAGTTAGTAATCGTTGCCAAAGAATGTAAAAGAAGCAGTTATTTGGTATATGAAAATCAGAAGTGCTCAAATCTTACTAGGAGACTGAGATTTATTTCATGTAATTTTCAGGACATAATTTAGTTATGGTCCCAAAGAAAGTCTTTATAGGAAGTTTCTGTGCCTTACTAGCCAAAATACAAGTAGAAACACGGCCAACAACTTGCTCATCTTTCTTCCTTACCTCCAAAATTAACTACAATTGATGCCATGCTATGAGTTCTCTGATTACTGGGGCTGGGTTTTATTTATATTTGTATCTTCCATACTTAGCAAGGTAACTAACACAATATATAGTAGATGCTTAATCAGTGTTTGTTATTGATACTTTTTATTTATAGTCTAAGATCAGCATGTTTACATTCTTTCATAATTGTCAGAGAAAGACACAAAAGTAAAATTGGAAAAGATTAAAACAAATAACTGTTTTTAATCTTTTCCCTAATCTATCCACTTTACTTTTTTATAGTTGTGATATTTAGGGAATTCAAACATAGCTTTTTACTGTATTTTTGAAAATTCATACTTAAAGCATTTGTTCTTTTTGTTAATTTTTTAAATTGCTGCTGTACTGCTTTTATTTGACTTCGCTGCTAAGATTCTTATTATATTTGATACAGAGTTCTGAAATAAACTTGGAAACTTCTCAGATTCTTCCGTAATTAAGTGTATCTAAAATAATTGTATATGTTTAAATAAGTAGAATAGATCAAATAAATATAAAAGAAACTATCTTGTGAAGACTTAGAGTAGAATTATAGATTTTACTTGTATTGAAAATAATAAAGAATGTGATTTAGGTAGTAGATGTCAATATATATATAGTGATTTCTTCATTACAGAGATAGTGTTTCATCAGCCTTCATATTCTGAAATGAAAAAAAAATTTAGGATAAATGTAATTTTTAACTTTTTAGAATATTTTCTGTTCAGGATGGCTGACTTTGTGATTTGTCCAAATTAGGCAAAAAGGGCAGCTAGCTGTAGAAAGAGCTAAACAAGTAGAAGAGTTCCTGCAGCGAAAACGGGAAGCTATGCAGAATAAAGCTCGAGCCGAAGGACATATGGTATGAATTTTGTTTGTTTCTGAGATTTTGAATGTATTAGTATTCCAAGTGAAGGTCTGGAATAAGGTAAGTGTAAGTAAAAAGAATGACAGTCTAACAATCTAGGCATAATAAGAGGCAGTAAAGATACTCAGAAGTCATTTGCAGAGTATAAAATTGTGATATCTTAACTCATTTACCTTCTCTTTTGCTATCTTTTATACCAGGGGTGGAATTCTATTGTTGCTTTGGTTAATTGGGAGTAAGTTCATACCTGTATCCTTCCTTTAAAAGAGTAGAAATGGGTATAGCAACCCAGATAAAGAAATAAGTTCTTGGATTGCTGCATGTTTTTTTTCCCCAATATGCTTTTGGTTTTACATACTTTTAAGTGGCAAAGAATTTTAGAAGAAAAATGGGAAATAAGTATTTGGGTAAGTATATATGTAAACTATGCATTTGCTCAAAAGCAAATTAGAAGTAGAATTTTAGTAAAGTCTCCAGTTATGCCATTTAACTAAATTAAGTTATGTATCCAAGAAAATATTAAGTTTTTAGGTAATCATTTCAATCATTAAAACTCTGTTTTCTCTTTGGTATTTAACAGGATTTGAGGTAGTTAAAACTCTTCATAGTTTGATTTGTAGAGGTTCACAAATGCCTTTTGACATTTTGTCTACAGAACAACTGATGATTATGTCTGTCCACTCAGCAACCCATGAAGCAGCACACTCATATAAGAAATAGGTTAATTAGATGGTAATATATTTTAATTAGACTTATTACATATCTGTTGTAAGTTCGTAAGTGGTATCTTTGTGAGTTAATGTAGTTCAATATAGTATGTTTTTTCTTTGAAACAATGTCATAGAAACATAGTTAAAATTTTTGAACAGTTACCCTTTATATTGTTAACACAGATACTTAAATTTGTTTTTCTACATCCGGAATTAATCTATATTTGTATCTTTCCTCTAGATAGTAGATGAGAACCTCCAGCCTTTTCCTTTGCTCATATCTCCCATGTTAATAGCAGCTGGAATTTTGGTTATAGATTTTTACTTAAAATATTTTTAAAAGAATTGGTAGGCTTACTGAAATTTACTAATTTATTTTCTCAACATCATTCCTTATGTCTTACTATTCCCCCCTCAGTTTATTTTTTTTCATGCTGGAGAATCTGGTAATTTTTTTTTAGAGGAACTTTCCAAGATTTATTGGAAAATGCTCTTATTTTGTCCTCATGCTTGAATGATAATTTGTAATGGTGGTCTGCTGGTGAATTTGATTAGCATTTGTATGTCTGAAAAAGTATTTTGCTTTTGTTGTTAACAAATATTTTGACTGGATATTGTATTATAGTTGAAACTTTTTACCTCTGGCTTGCCCTGTTTCTGACAAGAACTAAGCATTCATTCTTATCTTTTTCCTTGGTATATAATGTATCTTTTTTCTCTACTTTAAAATTTTTCTCTTTATCACTAGAATCAATTTGATTATGATGTGGTTTGTGTATTTTTTTTTTTTTTTTTTGAGACAAACTCTCACTCTGTCACCCAGGCTAGAGTGCAGTGGCGTGATCTTGGGTCAGTGCAACCTCTACCTCCCTGGCTCAAGTGATTCTCATGCCTCAGCCTCCCAAGTAGCTGAGATCACAGGTGTGTACCACCACGCCCATCTAAGTTTTGTATTTTTTTAGTAAAGATGGGGTTTCACCATGTTGGCCAGGCTGGTCTTGAACTCCAGACCTCAGGTGATCCATCTGCCTTGGCCTCCGAAAGTGCTGTGATTACAGACATGAGCCACTGCACCCTGCCTTGTGTAGTTTTCTTCATGTTTATTTTGTATAGGGGTTCATTGAGCTTCTCAGATCTGTGGTTTATGATTTTCATCAAATCTGGAAATTTTTCATCCATTATTTCTTTTTCTTTTCTTTTTTTTTTTTTTTTGACACGGAGTTTAACTCTTGTTGCCCAGGCTGGAATGCAGTGGCGCAGTCTCGGCTCACTGCAACCTCCGCCTCCCGGGTTCAAGTGATTCTCCTGCCTCAGCCTTCTGAGTAGCTGGGATTCCAGGCGTCTGTCACCACGCTGGGCTAATATTTTGTATTTTTAGTAGAGACAGGGCTTCACCTTGTTGGCCAGGCTGGTCTCAAACTCCTGACCTCAGATGATCCATCTGCCTCGGCCTCCCAAAGTGCTGGGATTACAGACGTGAGCCCACTGCGTCTGGCCCATTATTTCCTCAAAAAATGTTTTTCTGTTTGCCTCTCTCCCTCTTCTAGGTCTCTGGTACACATATATTAGACCAGTTTGTACACTACTAACCATTCACTGATGATGCTCCCTATTTTGTTCAGTCTTTTTTTTTTTCTCTGTGTGTTTCATTTTGGGTTGTTCTATTGCTGTGTCTTCAAGTGCATTAATCTTCTGCTGTGTCTGTTAATTCTATACAGACATTATATGTTTTCCATCTCAGAAATTGGTTTTTGTTTGTTTATTTTTTGAGACAGAGTTTTCGCTCTTGTTGCCCAGGCTGAAGTGCAGAGACATGATCTCCGCTTGCTGCAACCTCTGCTTCCTGGGTTCAGGAGATTCTTCTGCCTCAGCCTCCCGAGCAGCTGGGATTACAGGCATGTGCCACCATAGCCGGCTAATTTTTTTGTATTTTTTAGTAGAGATGGGGTTTCACCATGTTGGCCAGGCTGATCTCGAACCCCTGACCTCAGGTGATCTGCCAGCCTCAGCCTCCCAAATTGCTGAGATTACAGACGTGAACCACTGTGCCCAGCCAGAGATTGAATTTTTTATGTTAAAGTTGATTTGGATTGTTTTTATACCTTCCATGTCCCCCACTTTTCTTCATGTTGTTAAACATACGGAATATAATTACAATAGCAGTTTTCATGTCCTTATCTATTAATTCTGCCATCTTTGTCATTTCTGAGTCTCTGTTGATTGATTTTTTCCCCTAATTAGGGTCATCTTTTTTTCTTTACATGTCTGGTAATTTGTAGTTGGATACCAAGCGTTGCGTATTTTATAAATATTTGTGGACTTTTTTCTGGGATTGCAGTTAAGTTACTTGGAAATAGTTTGAGTCTTTCAAAGTTTGCTTGTAAGCTTTGGCCAGGCCAGTACAGAACAGTCTTCAGTGCTAATTTGGCCTCACTGCTATAGCACTACTCTTTTGAATACCCAATGCTTCATTGATTTGGAGGTCTTTTCAGTTTGGCTCTTGGAAACATGAGACATTTGCAGCCCTGATTGAACCTCAGGTATTATTGACAATATGCTGTTTGTCATTTAGCAGGAAGCTCTAGGGACCCTCTTTAGATCTTGAGCACCCTTCCCCCGTGCAGCTCTTTCTTCTTTGCAACTCTGTCCTGGAAATTTGAGTGTTCTTCAATTTTCCAAGGTCTGAATGATGTTTCCTCAACTAAGGGGACTGCCAAGCTCTGTTTGGTTACCTTCTCTCTGTGCTGCAGCCAGGAAACCCTTGCCAGTCAGTAAGGTGGGCAGCTGTTGGGTTTACCACCTTTGTTTCCCTTCTCTCAAGGATCACTCTCCTGTGCTGTCTGTTGTCCAGTGTTTGAAAACCATTTCATATGCTTTGTTCAGACTTTTAGTGTTTAAGATGGGAGGGTAGATCTGTTACTTCATTATGGATGCAAATGAGCCTCAAATGATAATTTGGCTGGATAAGGAAATATAAGTTTGAAGTTTATTTTCCATAGAACTTTAAAGGTTCTGCTTTATTATCTTCCTACTTACATTGTTGCTAATGAGACATGTGATGTTCTGGATCTTGTTGTTTTATAAGGAATTCTTTCCTTTCTCATAACTCTTAGGACTATTTTTCTGTCCTTGACGTTCTGAACTTCACTTGAATATTTCTCAGTTGTTTTGTTTTGTCTTACTGGCTTAAGTTTCCACTGAATGCTTTCAATGTGAGTACTTATCTTCAATTCTAGGGACATTTGAAATTAAAAGTTCTTCAAATATTGCTTCTACATTTTCTCCTCAAGAGGACTCCTATTAGACTGATATATTAGAACCTCTGCATGTAATGTACTTTAAAAAATCTTTTTCTCTCTTTTTACTGTGTTTTGGAAGGATTTCTAGGCCTGATGTTCCAGCTCACTGGAATATATTCTTTGGTTTTGTCTACTCTGCCATTCAGCTCATCTAATGAGTTTCCTTTTATTTCAAAAATTTACGTTTTCATGTCCATGAATTCTAATTAGTTTTCCCATAGAACTCTTTTCTTATGTTTTCATTTCGCTGGTAGTATATAATTGTTGTAAAGTCTTGTTCTTAGTGTGCTGTTGACTATGTTACTTTGGTTTCTTCCACTTTAAAGTTTGTTAGGTATTTCATAGTGTTGGTACTCCTCAAATGTTCTGCACCTTTGCTAGTGTGTTCATGATTGGGAGTATGAATTTTACTGTTCATTGCCTTTGTTTGGGTGACTCCCTGGGAAGATGGCATTGTGCTAGTGCCACAATCTGTTCTCTGCAGTTTTCAGTGAGAGTGAAGGATGAGTGGGACATACTGATATTCTGTCCTTTCTACAACCAGCCAGAGAAGACTATGATTTTAAAAGGCTCAGGTGATTAGGTCAGTCCCACCAGATAATCTCTTTATGTTAACATCAGTCATTGCATTTAACACAAAATCTGTCATATTCACAGTCCTGGGAATTATGCAGGGTTGACCCAATGGAGTACAGGGAGATAACAGAAACCTTGGAAGTTTCCTTAGAATTCTGCCTACTATACTCCCTTTGCTTATAATTTTAGAGCCTACATCTGGAGACAGTAGATTAGACTAAGTAGAGGAGCTACTCTTTTTTTTTCTTTTAGTTCCCTTTCCCTTTCTCCTTTCCTTTTTCCTTTCCTTTCCTTTCTTTCTACAGGGACTCACTCACTCCCTGACTGGAGTGCAGTGGCACAATCTCGGTTGATTCTTCCACCTCAGCCTCCCAAGTAGCTGGGACTACAGGCGCGTGCCATCATGCCCGGCTAATTTTTTTTTTCATATTTTTTTTTTCAGTAGAGATAGGATTTCACCTTGTTGCCCAGGCTGGTCTCAATCTCCTGGACTCAAGCAATCCACCCTCCTCAGCCTCCCTAAGTGCTGGGATGAGCCACTCAGGTATGAGCCACCATGCCCAGCAAATAGACTTTATTTTTTATAGCAGTTTTAGGTTTGTGGCAAAATTGAGTGGAAAAGTACAAGGATTTTCTATATACCTCATGCCTCCACATATGTGTAGCCTCCCTCGTTATCACCACCCTTAGCAGAGCAGTACATTTGTTACAATTGACGAACCTACATTAACACATCATTATCACTCAAAGTCCATAGTTTACATTACCGCTCACTCTTGGTGCTAACATTCTATGGATTTAAACAAATATATAATGGTATTTATCACCATTGTAATGTCATACACTGTAATGTTTCTCTGCCCTAAGAGGAGCTACTTTTAAGTGCTGTTTTTAGCAACATACTTCGTGTTAGAACATAGTAACCCAGGCTACCATACAAGAGCCTTTTTTTATAATTGGCTTTATTAACATATAATTTAAATGCAATAAAATTCTAAGTGTATATCTCAATGAGTATTGACAAATATATATAGTTACGTAGCCGCCACCATCATCATATGTAAACTGTTCCATTGCCCCCCTAAAAGTTTCTTCATGCCCCTTTGAAGTCAGTCACCTACTCACCGCCATCAGCCGTAGGCAACCACTGATCTATTTCCTGTTACTATAGTTTTGTCCTCTCTAGAATTTAATATAAAATTATGAATCATACAGTATATAGTTTTCTTGTGACTGGAGTGTTATCACTAGTTAGTTGTTTTTTATTCCTAAGTCATATTCCTTTGTATGGATGTGCCACATTTTGTTCAATTTCTCTGTTGATGAACATTTGTGTTGTTTCCAAAATAGATGCTTTTAAAGCTCATCGGATTTATGTGATCATTAAATTCACTTATTTATATACATACCTATATAATTGGCTAGCCTGTCTTCCCTATGGAACCCTATTTTCTGAGTTAGCATATCCCTCCTCGTTATGTGTAACTGAACTAGTGACTGTTACTACACTTAGACTTCTGAACACTGCTGGAGAAAATTAAAGCTATGATGATTAATAATGTCTGTTTCTCTGGTTTCAGCCATTTCCTTCTATTCTATGCCATACCATCTCTTACTTTCGGGCCTTATTCCATCACTTATCTGCTTAAGAAAGTTTCTCCTCGACTTTGCTTCTTTACCGGTACTCTCCTATAGCATATACACATACATATATATAATATATGTATACATAATATATATGTAATACATATATGTATGTAGTATATATATTTTCAAATTTCTCACATCATTAACTCTGCATACGTCTGTAGTTATCATCCTGTCTCTTTCCTCCTGTTCATAGCCAGACTCTTCAAATGAATGAAACACCTGCTGTCTCTCCTTTCTTATCTACTATTTAGTTTTCAATTTATTGTTAATAGTTTATCATCATATCAAAGAAGTCACTGCTATCCATCTTGCCAAATATAATAGACTATTTTTAATCCTCATCTTACTCTGCCGCTCTGTGACATTTGATCATGAACTACTACTTCAAAATTTCCTTCTTCCACGATACCACATTCTCTTGATTTACCCTTTATTTCTCTGGCTACAATTTCTTAATGCCTTCTATAGAATTATTTTCTTCTCAGTCTTTAAATGCCAATATTCTCTGCAGCTCTGTCCTTGCTATTTTCTCACTATAAATAATATCCTGGAGTGATCTCACTGATAATTCTACCAGATGACTTGAAAATCTATATCAGTAACTCAGATGACTCTCCTAACTTCTGTCCTGTTTATCTAGTTGCCTTCCGAATGTTGTTTCCCAGGTGGTGCACTGGCACCTCATTTTTTGCATATTTTATTTTCAAATGATCATATAGTGATATAGACTTTTTTCCAGGAATTTTAACACATGTATAAATTCATGCAGCCAGCACCACAATCAAGTTACAGAACAATTCCATCACCCCCCGCCAACCCTTATGCTATCTTTCTGTAGTCACATCTCTCGTTCTACCCCCAACACCTTGGCAACCATTTTATATTTTCCAGAGTGTCTTGTAAATTGTATGTATGTATACATACATATGTTCCTTGACTTACGATGGGGTTACATTTTGATAAACTATTGTAAATTGAAAATATTTAGTCAAAAATGTATTTATTGCACTTAACCTACAAAACATGGCTTAGCCTGGCCTACCTTAAACATGCTAAGATCACTTACATTAGCCCACAGTTGGGCAAAATCATTTAACACAAAGTCTATTTTGTAATAAAGTGTTCAATATCTCATATAACTTATTGAATACTGTACTGAAAGTGGAAAACAGAATGGTTGTATGGGTACTTAAGGTACATTTTCTACTGAATGCTTGTCACTTTCACACCATTGTAAAGTTGAAAAAGCATAAGTCAAACTATCATAAGTGGGAAACTGTCTGCACACGTAATGGTATGTTGTAACCTTTTGTGACTGGTTTCTTTCCTGCACTGTAATGATATTCATGCAAGTTGTTGCATGTATAAATAGCTTGTTTCATTTCGCTGCTGAGTAGTACTCCATTGAATGGATGTACAACAGTTTGTTTATCCATTTGCCAGTTGTGGGACATTTGAGATGTTTCCAATTTTTGGTAATTATGAATAGAGCTGTTTTGATTATTTATTTCCATAGGATAAATACCCAGGAGTGGGTCTGCTGGGTCATATTGTAAGTGTACATTTAACTTGATTTTTTAAAAACTCTTTTTTCCAAAAGTGTTTCAAACATTTTGCATTCCCATCAGCATTGTACTCGAATTCCAGTTGCTCTGCATCCTCATCAGCATTTGTTGTCAGTGTTATTTTAGCCATCTAAACCATGTATAGGAATATGTCACTGTGGCTGAATTTGGATTTCTCTAAATGTTAATGATGTTGAATGTCTTTTCATATTTGCCATCCTTATATCCTTTTAGAGAAAGGTCTTTGTCCATTTTAATTGTATGTTTTCTTATTCTTTAGCTTTGAAAGTTCTATTATATGTTCTGAATACAAGTCTTATATTGGATAAATGATTTGCCAATACTTTCTCCTAGTCTGAAACTTAGCTTTTCATTCCCTTAACAGAATCTTTTGCAGAGGATGAGGCTTTAACTTTGATGAAGTCCAGTTTGTCAATTTTTTTGTTTGGATCATGCTTTTCGTGTTATGTCTAAGAACTCAGCTTATCCAACAATCATGAAGATTTTTTATTTTTTCTTCTAAAGTTTTTATAGTTTTCATTTCCACCTTTAGATTTATGATCCAGGAAGAAGACGTTTATTGTAATAAAATACACATAACATAAAATGTACTCCCTTAATCATTTTAAAGTATACAGTTCAGTGGCATTAAGTACATTCACAATGTTGTCTTCCTTGATTTCTATTTTGCTCTTTTTTTTGTTTTTAAATTTTTATTGATACATAATAGTTATACATATCTATGGGGTACATGTGATATTTTGATATAAGCATACAATTTGTGATGTCTTGTTTTTTGAGGTAGCAACTTAAAACATTGAGTTGAGACCTTTCTTCTTTTCTGATAGTGGTATTGCATTTTATAAATTTCCCTCTAAGCGTTGCTGTAGCCATATTCTACAAATTTTCTATGTTGTGTTTTCATTCTCATTCAGTTCAAAATGTATTCTAATTTTTCTTGAGATATCGTCTTTGGCCCATGGATTACGTAAAAGTATTCTGTTTAATTTCCAAGTGTTTGAAAATTTTCTTATTATCTCTGTTGTCGTTTTCTGGTTTTATTTCATTTTGGTCATAGGACATACTTCGTAGGATTTCAGTTAGTCCTTTTACGTTTGTTAGGGTTTGTACTTTGATCTAGTGTATGATCTGTCATAGTGAATGTTCCACATGTACTTGAATGGAATGGTTTTCTGCTATTGTTGGGTGGAATATTACTTTTATTAGATCCAGTTGGTGGATGTTTTATTCTTCTTGATCCATACTGATAGCCTATCTACATTCTATTTGATACTAAGGAAGTCTTCAAATATAATTGTGGATTTGTCTGTTTCTCCTTTTAGTTCTGTCAGTTTTTTCTTTCTTTGTTTTCTTTTGCAGTGTAGCAAGTTACCACAATTTAGCAGTTTATCTCACAGTTTCTGTGGATTAGGAGTCTGGACACAGCTTAGCTATATCTTCTACCTGGAGTCTCACAAGACTGTAATATGGTCAGCCAGTATGCATTCTTATCTAGAAGCTCATTTGAGGAAAAATTTATTTCCAAGCTCTTTCATGTTAGTGAGAGAATTTATTTCCTCGTGGCTTAATGAACAAGGGTCCCAGCTGCTTGCTGGCTGTTGACTTGAGGTCTCTCTCAGTTCCTAGGGGCCACCTGCATTTGTAGAGACATTTCTTGACACATGGGCCTCTTCAACATGTCTGCTTGCTTTATCAAGCAAAGGCAACCTGTGGAGGGTGTATGCTAGCAAGGGCAGAATGGTATATAATGTGACAATTACAGGAGTGACATCCATTACTTTTGTCATAGTCTGTTGGTTAAAAGCAAATCACAGGTCCTCCCCACACTCTCAGGAGGGGATTTTACAATATTATAAATATTAGGAGCTGGGCATCATGGAGGCCATCTTATAGTCAGTAAGGCATATCCTTGGTAATTTTTTGGTTTGAAGATAATTTTTTTTATAGTATTATACCCATTCCAGCTTCTGTCGTGTACTGTTTGTGTGGTATATCTTGTTTCCTTTTACTTTCAATTTACCTGAATGATTGTTTGAGGTGAGTTTTTTATAGTGAATTTATAGTTTTTTTATGTGTTTTTAAAAAATGTAGTCTAACAATTCCTATCTTTTCATTGGTGTGTTTAAGTAATTCATTATTATACTTAAAGACGTTTAATGTAATTATTGATATGTTAGGATTTACATCTCACATTCTATTATTTGTTTTGTGTTTATACCCTATGATTTTGTTTCTCTCTTTCCATTTCCCTGCTGCCTTTAGATTATTTGAACACTTTAATATTCCATTTTAATTAATCTGTTGTGATTTTGACTATATTTTTCTTTTGTATAATTTCTTTGTGGTTGCTCTAGGGGTTAAAAATACATACTTTACTTTTTACAATCTGTTTATAAACAATATTGTACTATTTCAGTTGGAACATAGAAATCTTTCCAACATAGTAGCTTTACCCTCTCCCCTTTATGGTATAGTTGTCTTGTATTACGTTAGCAGACATTAAAATAACACCAGGAAATGTTATACCTTTTCTTTTAACTGTCAGACATGTTTAATAACAGAGAAAAGGAATACTTTGTTATATTTATACAAATACTTATTTCTATTACTTTTCTTTCATTCCTAATGTTTCAAGTTTTCTTCTTTTTCCCTTTCCCTAAAGAAATTCGTTTAGCAGCTCTTAGAGATCAGGTCTGCTGACTGTAGATTTCTTTACTTTATTTGAGAATGTCTATTTCATCTTCATATCTGAATGGTGTTTTCACAGGATGTAATATTCTTGGTTGACAGCATATTTCTTTTCTCACGTAAAAATGTTACTTTCTGGCTTTCTATCCTCCATAGTTTTCAGTGAGAAATTCTCACCTGAATGTTCAAATGCTTTTTCTCTTGTAGTTAATCTTTTGTTTTCCTCTGGACGCTTTCAGTATTTTTTCTTTGTCTTTAGTATTCAGCAGTATGATTAAGTCATCTCTGGAAATGGATTTTTGGGGATTTTTTCTATTTATGGTTTGCTAGTTTCTTGAATTTACAAGGTTATGGATTACACCAAACTTGTCATGTTTTAAGCCATTATTTCTTCAAATATTTTTCCAACACTGCGCTCTTTCTCTTCTTCTGGTTCTCTGATGGCATGAAATGTTAGACTTTTTGTTTTTCTCCCACAGGTTTGTAAAGCTTTTAAAGAGGTTCTAACAGATTCAGGTCTTAAACCCAATATGTGTTTTCTGATATTTTAAAATATCAAATAAGCCTGAACAATTATGATTAAATTCTGAGTCTGAAGGATTAACCCTCTGGAATTAGTAACCTGCTATAGTCAAGTTATTTGAACAGTATATTTATTAACTGCTTTGGGAAACCACAGTGAATTAAAACAGGTTTCTATGGGAAAATGTAAATAGTTTTTAGGTTGAATTATAGTTTAAAGAAATCGTGTATTTCAAAATAATTTTATGTGCTTTTGTTTACTTTTATTTTTGTTTTTTTTAGAGACGGGGTTTCCCTCTGTCACCCAGGTTAAATTGCAGTGTTGCAAATCTGTAGCTCACTGCAGCCTCACACTTTTAGGCTCAAGTGATCCTCCCACCTCAGCCTCCTGAGTAGCTGGGTCTATAGGTGCTTGCCATCATGCGTGGCTAATTTTTTAATCTTTTTGTAGAGTTAGGTCTTGCTGTGTTGCCCAAGCTGGCCTCAAACTCCTAGCTTCAAGTTATCCTCCCATGTCAGTCTACCAAAATACTGGACTACATGCATGACCCATTGTGACTGGTCTCATGCTTTTTGATGAATTTAAAATTTTCCCTGTATAGGTAACTGAAACTTTGAAACAAAAAATGCAGTTTAGGGAAACTCTATCAAGAAGACTTCAAGCCACATGTTTTTTGTTGGTGGTGGTTTCGTGTGTATGTGTGTGTCAGAGGGAAGGTGGGTTTGCTCTGAACCTTATTAATAAAATTAATTAAAATGACTGAAAATCTACTCCTGATAGTAATTCTTTGTAGTGGGGATTTTTATTCCAGTGTTACTGGTTTTAAAACTGGCCCAGAGTTACTAGTACTTTGCCCAAGATCACGTAGTAATGCCCAGAAACAGGGTGCAAACCCAGAATGTCTGACTCTCAAGATTATGCTTTTAGCTGTTTGACTATGTTGTTTGTTCCTTTTTAAATGGCATATTACTGTTTGCTTTAGTTTAGGTAAAACTTGTAGATAAGGCAGCATTGCAAAGTGGGGGCAGGCAGATATTTTCCTGTAAAAGGCCAGAGAGTAAATATTTTAAGCTTTAAACCATATGGTGTTTTGTACAACTGTTCAACTCTTACCATAGTAGTAAAAGGCTAAACAAATTAGTGTGGCTATGCTCTAGTAAAGCTTGATTTTGGAAATAAGACAGCAGACTAGATTTGACTTGTTGATAATAATTTGCTGATCTTTGCTATAGATTATCCTGTATAGTAAATTAGTTCTTCAACGCTAAGTTTATTTTGAAAAGATTATTTTTTTCAGATCTTCTTTAAAAATATTCCTTTATTATTCTAAAATAACGTTTGGGCTGGGTGCAGTGGCTCATGCCTGTAATCCCAGCACTTTGGGAGGCTGAGGCAGGCAGATCACCTGAGGTCAGGAGTTCGAGACCCGCCTGGCCAAACATGATAAAACCCCATCTCTACTAAAAATAAAAAAATTAGCTGGGCATGGTGGTGCGTGCCTGTAATTCTAGCTACTTGGGAGGTTGAGGCAGGAGAATCACTTTAACCCAGGAGGTGGAGGTTGCAGTGAGCCAAGATCGCACCACTGCACTCCAGCCTGGGTGACAGAGCAAGATTCTTTCTCAACAAAATAAAATAAAAATAAAATAAAATAATGTTTGGTACATGGAAAAGAATATGTGTAATATGTGTGTAAATTAAAAAGCAAAATAATATACCCAGAAGATTGAACACTAATAAGTAGCCTCTGTACTCTTCCCTAACTCAAGGATTGGCAAACATTTTTCTGTAAAGGGCCAGATAGTAAGCATTCGTGGCTTTGCTTGGCCATAAGGTCTCTATCATAGCTACTCAACTTTGCATTATGGCACAAAAGCAGCTGTAGACAATGTGTAAATCAGTAAGCATGAATGTGTTCCAGTACACCGTTTATGGACACTGAAATTAGAATTTCCCATAACGTTCATGTGTTGTGAAATATCCTTTTCATTTTTCCATACCATTAAGAATTTGAACACCATTCTTAGCTTTTGGACCATACAAAAACAAGTGATGGGCTGGATTTGGACCATGGACCATAGTTTTCCAACCCCTATTTCATCTTTTTTCTCCACCTTTCCCTGCAGGTAGCCATTATCCTGAATTTGAATTTATCATTCCTGTAGATTTCTTAAAATACTCTTTTTTCACACACATATGCGTGATTAATCAGTACCTTGTTCTGTTTGATTTGAGTATTATAAAAATTTTACTGTATATAGACTGAGACATTTTTCATTCAACATTTTTCTTTTTTTTTTTTTTTTTTTGAGATGGAATTTCGCTCTCATTGCCCATGCTGGAGTGCTATGGCACGATCTTGGCTCACTGCAACCTCCGCCTCCTGGGTTCAAGCAATTCTGCTTTAGCCTTCCAAGTAGCTGGGATTACAGGCATGCGCCACCACACTCAGCTAATTTTGTATTTTTAGTAGAGACAGGATTTCACCATGTTGGTCAGGCTGGCCCCAAACACTTGACCTCAAGTGAGCCACTGTGCCCGGCCCATTCAACATTTTTCTAAGATTCATTCATATTGTCAAGTATTGCTGTATGATATTCCATTGTGTGACTGTACCACAATTATTCTCCTGACAGTAATTATTTAGGTTGGTTCCAGTTCATCTTTGAACATTGTTGTAGATATATCCTGGTACACATGTGCAAGAGTTTTTCTTGGTTATCTTCTGTTGAATAACTTAACAGAAGAACCTCTGAATTTTACAAAAATGATGAAACAGCATTATTTCCCTTGAGAAATGTTACTTTCTTATTAACTCATCTTAAATCATACTGTGTTTATTTATACTAATGGAAAACCTACCTTACAAAATGTGCAGTTAACTGTTAAAACTTTTCATTCATTCTTTCATTGATTTAATTTTATACAGAAATTAATGACTGTAATATGTTAGGTTTCATGCTAGCAGGAACATATAAGCAGTAAAGGGAGATAGACAATAAACCAACAATTAAGTAATAATAACTATTTATTGAAAGCTTATTATGCCAGGCATCGTGTTAAGCAATTTATATGCATTACCTCTATATTAGTCTGCTAAGGCTGCTGTAACAAAAGACTACAAACTAAATGGCGTCAACAACACAAATTTATTATCTCAGAGTTTTCAGGGCAAGAAGTCCAAGATCAGTGTGTCAGCAGGGTTGTGTCCTTCTGGGGGCTTTGAGGGAGAATCTGTTCCATGCCTCCTTCCTACCTTTTGGTTATTGGATGGCAATTTTTGACCTTCCTTGGTGTATATTATCAGCATCCTGATCTCTGCCTTCATCTTCATGTTGTGTTCTTGCTGTGTGTGAGTCTGTCTTCAAATTTTCCCTTTTTATAGGGACACCAGTCCTACTGAATTAGGACCTATTCTGATGACCTCATTTTAACTTGTGAAACATCCTATCTCTAAATAAGGTTAATTCTGAGGTACTAGGGTTTGAGACTTCAACATATGAATTTATGAGGGGCACAGTTCAACATAGCAATCTCTTAGTCTTTCCAACAATCCTGTGTAACTGTGTCAAACTTTGATGTGCTAGTCATGTTATAGAGTATGTTGCAGTGTAAAAACCTTAGCTATCAAAAAGTAGTTTCTGCCCAGGTCCAAAAAGAATGGCATAGACTCACTTTTCCCTGTTCCTTCCCTCTAAATATAACTAAATACCCTGGAAATTATTTAGCATACAATTATAATTGGATTATAAATGCCAGAAAGAAGGTGAGCTGGCTAGAGACCTCGGGACTTGAGAAATAACACCAGGGTTCTCTGGGTTTTCTGTCTCCCGTATATCTTGGACTGGGTATTAGAGAGGCCTGCAACCCAGATCCACTAGACAAAAAACAATATTAAACAAGAAAAGCCTGCTCTTACTCACCAAAGGACTGGAAAAGGGGAATCCCAACAAAGATAGGGAACCTCAACATTTTCCTGACACCAGGGACCTGATGAGTGATTCAAGCTCAGGACAGTGGTGAAGCCTCAGGCTATCCCTGCCCCACTCCACAACTTATTCATGGTACCTCCACCATGGAAGTCTCCCAGCAACAGCCGGTAGCCCAGAGAAGCAACTTCCATTCTCACAAGACAGCAGCAGCAGTGATTGAACAGGAGCTCTGGAAGCACCAGAAGAATGAATCAGACCAGAAGAGTATCACAAGTTTTCAGAAAACCGAACTGCAATTGAAACTAAAGCCCACAAAAGTAGGCTAGAAGCCGATTGCTAAACTTTGACAGGCTACTTCCTGCATAAAATAGATTAAGCAGGACTATGAGTCTTTTAACATAATAACTTGTCAAACCAAGCTGAATGCAGCAAAAACACAATTTGTGTGAGAAATGACATTGATTTGACATTCATATCAAGATGAATCAGATGTAGGAATTACCTGACAAGGGTTTGAAAGTTGCTGTGATAGAAATGCTTCAACAATCAATTATCTTAAATTATCTTAAAATGATAAAAAGGGAAAACCTCAGCAAACAAATAGAAGTTTTAAGGAAGAATTAAATGGAAATTATAGAACTGAAAAACACAATAATCAAAATTAAGATTCACAGATTAGACTCAGTAGTACAGTGGAGATGATGACAGAAGATAGAATCAATGAACTTGAAGACATACCAGTTCAGTTCTCTATCTGAACAACAGAGAGTAAAAATACTGAAATTATCAGTCCCAAGAATTTATAGGACAATACAAAAATTTAACATTGTATCTTCAAAGCTTAAAGGACAGGAGAAAGTATGTGACCGAAAAATGAAGAAATAATGACTGAAAATTTCTCACCTATAGATTTAAGAGGCTGAGCAAATCCTACAATAAGATAAACTCGAATCCACACTAAGAAATGTTTTTAAAAAGACAAATCTGAAAAATGGGAGAGAGAAATGACACATTCCATATGAAAGTACACCAATTTGAATAACAGCAGGTTTCTCATCTGAAACCATGGAGTTTAGAAGGAAGTGGTACAACATTTTTCAGGTGCTGAAAGAAGAAAAAGTACTATCAATCTTTAATTCTATATCTGACCAAAACTGTCCTTTTGGAATGAAGTAGAAATAAAGACACTCTCAAATGCAGGAAACTAAAAGAATTTGTTTGTAATAGAGCAAAATTAAGTTACTAAGGACAAAGAGATAAAAAGAGACAAGGTAACAAAAGAATCATGCACTAAGAAGTTATTGCAGGGGGAGGAACCAAGATGGCCGAATAGGAACAGCTCCGGTCTACAGCTCCCAGCGTGAGCGACGCAGAAGACGGGTGATTTCTGCATTTCCATCTGAGGTACCGGGTTCATCTCACTAGGGAGTGCCAGACAGTGGGCGCAGGCCAGTGTGTGTGCGCACCGTGCGCGAGCCGAAGCAGGGCGAGCATTGCCTCACCTGGGAAGCGCAAGGGGTCAGGGAGTTCCCTTTCCAAGTCAAAGAAAGGGGTGACGGACGCACCTGGAAAATCGGGTCACTCCCACCCGAATATTGTGCTTTTCAGACCGGCTTAAGAAACGGCGCACCACGAGACTATATCCCACACCTGGCTCAGAGGGTCCTACGCCCACGGAATCTCGCTGATTGCTAGCACAGCAGTCTGAGATCAAACTGCAAGGCGGCAACGAGGCTGGGGGAGGGGCGCCCGCCATTGCCCAGGCTTGCTTAGGTAAACAAAGCAGCCTGGAAGCGCGAACTGGGTGGAGCCCACCACAGCTCAAGGAGGCCTGCCTGCCTCTGTAGGCTCCACCTCTGGGGGCAGGGCACAGACAAACAAAAAGACAGCAGTAACCTCTGCAGACTTAAGTGTCCCTGTCTGACAGCTTTGAAGAGAGCAGTGGTTCTCCCAGCACGCAGCTGGAGATCTGAGAACGGGCAGACTGCCTCCTCAAGTGGGTCCCTGACCCCTGACCCCCGAGCAGCCTAACTGGGAGGCACCCCCCAGCAGGGGCACACTGACACCTCACACGGCAGGGTATTCCAACAGACCTGCAGCTGAGGGTCCTGTCTGTTAGAAGGAAAACTAACAACCAGAAAGGACATCTACACCGAAAACCCATCTGTACATCACCATCATCAAAGACCAAAAGTAGATAAAACCACAAAGATGGGGAAAAAACAGAACAGAAAAACTGGAAACTCTAAAACGCAGAGCGCCTCTCCTCCTCCAAAGGAACGCAGTTCCTCACCAGCAACAGAACAAAGCTGGATGGAGAATGATTTTGACGAGCTGAGAGAAGAAGGCTTCAGACGATCAAATTACTCTGAGCTACGGGAGGACATTCAAACCAAAGGCAAAGAAGTTGAAAACTTTGAAAAAAATTTAGAAGAATGTATAACTAGAATAACCAATACAGAGAAGTGCTTAAAGGAGCTGATGGAGCTGAAAACCAAGGCTCGAGAACTACGTGAAGAATGCAGAAGCCTCAGGAGCCGATGCGATCAACTGGAAGAAAGGGTATCAGCAATGGAAGATGAAATGAATGAAATGAAGCGAGAAGGGAAGTTTAGAGAAAAAAGAATAAAAAGAAATGAGCAAAGCCTCCAAGAAATATGGGACTATGTGAAAAGACCAAATCTACGTCTGATTGGTGTACCTGAAAGTGATGTGGAGAAGGGAACCAAGTTGGAAAACACTCTGCAGGATATTATCCAGGAGAACTTCCCCAATCTAGCAAGGCAGGCCAACGTTCAGATTCAGGAAATACAGAGAACGCCACAAAGATACTCCTCGAGAAGAGCAACTCCCAGACACATAATTGTCAGATTCACCAAAGTTGAAATGAAGGAAAAAATGTTAAGGGCAGCCAGAGAGAAAGGTCGGGTTACCCTCAAAGGAAAGCCCATCAGACTAACAGCGGATCTCTCGGCAGAAACCCTACAAGCCAGAAGAGAGTGGGGGCCAATATTCAACATTCTTAAAGAAAAGAATTTTCAACCCAGAATTTCATATACAGCCAAACTAAGCTTCATAAGTGAAGGAGAAATAAAATACTTTATAGACAAGCAAATGCTGAGAGATTTTGTCACCACCAGGCCTGCCCTAAAAGAGCTCCTGAAGGAAGCGCTAAACATGGAAAGGAACAACCGGTACCAGCCGCTGCAAAATCATGCCAAAATGTAAAGACCATCAAGACTAGGAAGAAACTGCATCAACTAATGAGCAAAATAACCAGCTAACATCATAATGACAGGATCAAATTCACACATAACAATATTAACTTTAAATATAAATGGACTAAATTCTGCAATTAAAAGACACAGACTGGCAAGTTGGATAAAGAGTCAAGACCCATCAGTGTGCTGTATTCAGGAAACCCATCTCACGTGCAGAGACACACATAGGCTCAAAATAAAAGGATGGAGGAAGATCTACCAAGCCAATGGAAAACAAAAAAAGGCAGGGGTTGCAATCCTAGTCTCTGATAAAACAGACTTTAAACCAACAAAGATCAAAAGAGACAAAGAAGGCCATTACATAATGGTAAAGGGATCAATTCAACAAGAGGAGCTAACTATCCTAAATATTTATGCACCCAATACAGGAGCACCCAGATTCATAAAGCAAGTCCTCAGTGACCTACAAAGAGACTTAGACTCCCACACATTAATAATGGGAGACTTTAACACCCCACTGTCCACATTAGACAGATCAACGAGACAGAAAGTCAACAAGGATACCCAGGAATTGAACTCAGCTCTGCACCAAGCAGACCTAATAGACATCTACAGAACTCTCCACCCCAAATCAACAGAATATACATTTTTTTCAGCACCACACCACACCTATTCCAAAATTGACCACATAGTTGGAAGTAAAGCTCTCCTCAGCAAATGTAAAAGAACAGAAATTATAACAAACTCTCTCTCAGACCACAGTGCAATCAAACTAGAACTGAGGATTAAGAATCTCACTCAAAGCCGCTCAACTACATGGAAACTGAACAACCTGCTCCTGAATGACTACTGGGTACATAACGAAATGAAGGCAGAAATAAAGATGTTCTTTGAAACCAACGAGAACAAAGACACCACATACCAGAATCTCTGGGACGCATTCAAAGCAGTGTGTAGAGGGAAATTTATAGCACTAAATCCCTACAAGAGAAAGCAGGAAAGATCCAAAATTGACACCCTAACATCACAATTAAAAGAACTAGAAAAGCAAGAGCAAACACATTCAAAAGCTAGCAGAAGGCAAGAAATAACTAAAATCAGAGCAGAACTGAAGGAAATAGAGACACAAAAAACCCTTCAAAAAATCAATGAATCCAGGAGCTGGTTTTTTGAAAGGATCAACAAAATTGATAGACCGCTATTAAGACTAATAAAGAAAAAAAGAGAGAAGAATCAAATAGACACAATAAAAAATGATAAAGGGGATATCACCACCGATCCCACAGAAATACAAACTACCATCAGAGAATACTACAAACACCTCTACGCAAATAAACTAGAAAATCTAGAAGAAATGGATACATTCCTCGACACATACACTCTCCCAAGACTAAACCAGGAAGAAGTTGAATCTCTGAATAGACCAATAACAGGCTCTGAAATTGTGGCAATAATCAATAGTTTACCAACCAAAAAGAGTCCAGGACCAGATGGATTCATAGCCGAATTCTACCAGAGGTACAAGGAGGAACTGGTACCATTCCTTCTGAAACTATTCCAATCAATAGAAAAAGAGGGAATCCTCCCTAACTCATTTTATGAGGCCAGCATCATTCTGATACCAAAGCCGGGCAGAGACACAACCAAAAAAGAGAATTTTAGACCAATATCCTTGATGAACATTGATGCAAAAATCCTCAATAAAATACTGGCAAACCGAATCCAGCAGCACATCAAAAAGCTTATCCACCATGATCAAGTGGGCTTCATCCCTGGGATGCAAGGCTGGTTCAATATACGCAAATCAATAAATGTAATCCAGCATATAAACAGAGCCAAAGACAAAAACCACATGATTATCTCAATAGATGCAGAAAAAGCCTTTGACAAAATTCAACAACGCTTCATGCTAAAAACTCTCAATAAATTAGGTATTGATGGGACGTATTTCAAAATAATAAGAGCTATCTATGACAAACCCACAGCCAATATCATACTGAATGGGCAAAAACTGGAAGCATTCCCTTTGAAAACTGGCACAAGACAGGGATGCCCTCTCTCACCGCTCCTATTCAACATAGTGTTGGAAGTTCTGGCCAGGGCAATCAGGCAGGAGAAGGAAATAAAGGGTATTCAATTAGGAAAAGAGGAAGTCAAATTGTCCCTGTTTGCAGACGACATGATTGTTTATCTAGAAAACCCCATCGTCTCAGCCCAAAATCTCCTTAAGCTGATAAGCAACTTCAGCAAAGTCTCAGGATACAAAATCAATGTACAAAAATCACAAGCATTCTTATACACCAACAACAGACAAACAGAGAGCCAAATCATGAGTGAACTCCCATTCACAATTGCTTCAAAGAGAATAAAATACCTAGGAATCCAACTTACAAGGGATGTGAAGGACCTCTTCAAGGAGAACTACAAACCACTGCTCAAGGAAATAAAAGAGGACACAAACAAATGGAAGAACATTCCATGCTCAAGGGTAGGAAGAATCAATATTGTGAAAATGGCCATACTGCCCAAGGTAATTTACAGATTCAATGCCATCCCCATCAAGCTACCAATGACTTTCTTCACAGAATTGGAAAAAACTACTTTAAAGTTCATATGGAACCAAAAAAGAGCCCGCATCGCCAAGTCAATCCTAAGCCAAAAGAACAAAGCTGGAGGCATCACACTACCTGACTTCAAACTATACTACAAGGCTACAGTAACCAAAACAGCATGGTACTGGTACCAAAACAGAGATATAGATCAATGGAACAGAACAGAGCCCTCAGAAATAATGCCGCATATCTACAACTATCTGATCTTTGACAAACCTGAGAAAAACAAGCAATGGGGAAAGGATTCCCTATTTAATAAATGGTGCTGGGAAAACTGGCTAGCCATATGTAGAAAGCTGAAACTGGATCCCTTCCTTACACCTTATACAAAAATCAATTCAAGATGGATTAAAGATTTAAACGTTAGACCTAAAACCATAAAAACCCTAGAAGAAAACCTAGGCATTACCATTCAGGACATAGGCGTGGGCAAGGACTTCATGTCCAAAACACCAATAGCAATGGCAACAAAAGCCAAAATTGACAAATGGGATCTAATTAAACTAAAGAGCTTCTGCACAGCAAAAGAAACTACCATCAGAGTGAACAGGCAACCTACAACATGGGAGAAAATTTTCGCAACCTACTCATCTGACAAAGGCCTAATATCCAGAATCTACAATGAACTCAAACAAATTTACAAGAAAAAAACAAACAACCCCATCAAAAACTGGGCAAAGGACATGAACAGACACTTCTCAAAAGAAGACATTTATGCAGCCAAAAAACACATGAAGAAATGCTCATCATCACTGGCCATCAGAGAAATGCAAATCAAAACCACTATGAGATATCATCTCACACCAGTTAGAATGGCAATCATTAAAAAGTCAGGAAACAACAGGTGCTGGAGAGGATGTGGAGGAATAGGAACACTTTTACACTGTTGGTGGGACTGTAAACTAGTTCAACCATTGTGGAAGTCAGTGTGGCGATTCCTCAGGGATCTAGAACTAGAAATACCATTTGACCCAGCCATCCCATTACTGGGTATATACCCAAAGGACTATAAATCATGCTGCTATAAAGACACATGCACACGTATGTTTATTGCGGCACTATTCACAATAGCAAAGACTTGGAACCAACCCAAATGTCCAACAATGATAGACTGGATTAAGAAAATGTGGCACATATACACCATGGAATACTATGCAGCCATAAAAAATGATGAGTTCATATCCTTTGTAGGGACATGGATGAAATTGGAAACCATCATTCTCAGTAAACTATCGCAAGAACAAAAAACCAAACACCGCATATTCTCACTCATAGGTGGGAATTGAACAATGAGATCACATGGACACAGGAAGGGGAATATCACACTCTGGGGACTGTGGTGGGGTCGGGGGAGGGGGGAGGGATAGCATTGGGAGATATACCTAATGCTAGATGACACATTAGTGGGTGCAGCGCACCAGCATGGCACATGTATACATATGTAACTAACCTGCACAATGTGCACATGTACCCTAAAACTTAGAGTATAATAAAAAAAAAAAAAAGAAGTTATTGCAATCCTAAATATGTATACACCAAATAACCATACTTTAAAATATAGAGAGCAGAAACTAATAGAGCTGAAAGAAGAAGTAAACAGGTTCACAATTACAGTTGAGACTTGAACATCCTGCTCTCAGCAATTGATAGAACTACTAGACAGAAAATCAGCAAGGATATAGAATAGCTAAACACCATCACTAACCACCAGGATCTAATTTGCACTTACAGAATATTCCACTCCACAATAGCAAAATACACATTTTAAGCACCCATCAAAAATTCATCAAGATAATATACTGAATTATAAAACCTTTACAAATATAGAGAACAGTGGAATTAAACTAGAAATCAGTAGCAGGAAGGTGACAGGAAAATCTCCAAACATTTAAAAATTAACACACTTTTAAATAAACCATGGGTCAAAGAGGAAATCTGAAAGGAAATTTAGATGTACATAGAACAGAATGGAAATAGACACACAACGCACAAAAATGTGTGAGAGCTGAAGCACTTCTGTGAGGGAAATTTATAGCACTAAATGCAGACAGTAGAAGAAATGTCTCAAATCACTGTAAATTCCTAACTCAAAATACTAGGAAAAAAAAGAGCAAAATATTCCCAAATCAAGCAGAATGAAGTAATTAAGAATAGATACTGATAAAATTGAGACCAGTAATACTATAGAGTAATGTAATGAAACAAAAAACTGACTCTTAGAAACATAAAAGTGAATTTGATAAGTCTCTAGCAAAATTGACAAAGATAAAAAAGACGCAAATCACCAATATCAGAAAAAAATGGGTATAATTATAGATCTTGTAACAATTAAAAGGATAAATTCAACTTTACATTCATAAATTCAACAACTTAGAAGAGATGAACCAATCCTATAAAATTCGTAAACTACCAAAACTTAGCCAAGTTGAAACAGATATCTTAAATTTTCCTATAACTGTTTTAAAAGTTGAATTCGTGATTCAAAAACTATTGAAAATCTCTGGGCCTAGATGGTTTCACTGGAAAATTTTACCAAACATTCAAAGAAGAATTAACACCAATTTGATACAACACTACAATCTGTTCCCAGAAGTAGTAGTGGAGTGAATACTAATCAACTCATTTTGAGACTGTATTACCCTAATACCATAACCAAAGACAGCACAGAAAAGCAAACTACAGACCAGTATCTTTGATGAAATTAAATACAAAAATCCTTGCCGGGTGCGGTGGCTCACGCCTGTAATCCCAGCACTTTGGGAGGCCGAGGCAGGTGGATCACCTGAGGTCAAGAGATCAAGACCATCCTGGCTAACATGGTGAAACCCTGTCTCTACTAATAATACAAAAAAATTAGCCAGGCGTGGTGGCAGGCGCCTGTAGTCCCAGCTACTCAGGAGGCTCAGGCAGGAGAATGGCATGAACCCGGGAGGTGGAGCTTGCAGTGAGCCAAGATTGCACCACTGTACTCCAGCCTGGGCAACAGAGCAAGACTCTGTCTCAAAAAATAAATAAATAAATAAATAAATAAATAAATAACAAAAATCCTCAATAAAATTTTAGTAAATTATATCCAGCCCCAACCAAGTGGAATTTAGTCTAGATGTACAAGTATTTTACAGTATTAAAAAATCAATGTGATTCACCATATCAACAGGCTAAAGAAGGAAATTCATATGATTACATCAATTGATACAGAAAATCTTTTGAAAAAAATCAGCACCCATTCATGATTTAAAAAAATAATAACTGTCAGCACACTAGAAATACAGGGGAATGTTCTGAACCTCACAATAGGCATCTGCAAAAACCCTGCATCTAATATTATACAGGTAGAAGACTGAAGGATTTCCCTCTACAATTAGGGAACAGGCAAGCATGTAACTTTTACCACTCATATTTGACATTGTACTGTAAGTTGTAGTTACTGCAATAAAGCAAGAAGGGGCATACAGAATTGAAAAGATGAAATAAAGTTGTTGCTATTTCAAGTTGATAATGATTATCTGAATGGGAAATTCCCAGAACTCTACAAAAATACTCCTGAAACTAAAAAGTGAATTCATTATAGTTGCAGGATACAAGATCAGTACACAAAAATCAATTGAATTTATATATATTGACAGCAAGTGGAAACTGATACAAAAAATGTAATGCCATTTACAGTTGTTCCAAAGAATGTGAAAAAGAATGCTAACAAAACATATGCAATATTAAATGCAATTAAATGACAAAATGCTGGTGAAAAAAATCTAAGAAGACCTAAATACTTGGAGAGATACATTGTTTATGAATCAGAAGACTCACAACAGTAAAAATGGCAATTCTTGTTAAATTGGAGAGATAATGCAATTCTTACTAAAATCTCAGAAAATATTTTTTAATATAGACAGGCTTATTTTAAAATTTATATGGAAAGAGAAAGACCTTAAAGTAACTAAAACAATTTTGAAGAACAACAACTTGGGAAGAATAACTCTTCCTGATTTTGAGGCTAACTTATAGCTACAGTAATCAAAACAGTATAGTAGTGGCAAAGGGATAGACACATAGATCAATGAAACACTATGGAGAGTCCCAGAATAGATGCACACAAATATATATGCCTAACTGATTCTTGACAAACACATAAAAGCAATTCAGTGGAGTAGGAGTAACCTTTTCAATATTATTGTGGGAGGAATTGGACATCCATAAGCTCTACCAACCTTGACCTAAACCTCAAACCATATAAAATAATTACCTCAAAACAGATCATGGGCTTTCATATGAAACTGCAAAACTTCTAGTAAAAAGAGAAGAAAATTTGGGGACCTAGTACTAGGCAAAGAGTTATTAGACTTGACACCAAGAGTATAATCCAAAAAAGGAAAAGCTGATAGAGCAGGCTTTGTCCAAATTTAAAAATTTGGCTCTGCAAAAGACCCTGTTAAGAGAAAGAAAATACAAATTACAGGTTGAGAGAAATGTTTGTATAGCACTTATCCAACAAAAGGCTTATATTTAGAAAATATAAAGAAGTATCAAAATTCAACATTAAACATAAAAGATCCAGTTAGAAAATGAGGAAAATTTATACAAAACATTTCACCAAAGAGGATATACATATGGCAGGTAACACATGAAGAGATACCCAAATCATTTGGAAAATGCAAACTTAAACCACAATGATGTTATCACTTCACACCTATCAAAATGGCTATAATAAAAAAATAGTGATAAAACCAAATGCTGATGAAGTTTTGAAGAAACTGGTCACCTATACATTGTTGTTTGGAATGTAAAATGATACAGCCATTGTGCAAAATAGTTTCACAGTTCCTTTTTAAACTAAAAATGGACTTCATACCAAGAACCAGCGATTTCATTCTTGTGCATATGTTCCAGAGAAAAGAAAACTTGTTGTCACTTAGAAACTCATTCATGAATATTCATAGAAACTTTATTTGTAATAGCAAAAAAACTTAAAACTACCCAAATGCCCTTTAATGGGTGAATGAATGAAAAGACTGTATCATAACACTATATCCACCCCATGGAATACTGCTTTGCAATGAAAAGGAATGAACTATTGATGCATTGCAATACCATAGATGGACCATATATAATTATATTGAATGAAAACACTCAGTCTCAAAAGGACACATATTGTGAGTCTATATAGAAATTATGACATAATTATCAAGATGGAGAACAGTTTAATGGTCGATGGGTTAGGGATGGAGGTAGTGAATGTGGCTATGAAGTGTTCCAGTAATAATACAGCTAAGCATCTTGATTAGGGTGGAATTAACATAAGATGACATGAGTGACAAAATTGTGTAGATGCACGGCACAAATAAAAGATTATATCTATAATTTGAATCAATGTCAGTTTCCTGGTTTTGATGGTGTAATGTAGCTATGCAAGATGAGAAATTTGGGAAAGGCTGGGTGAAGGGGCACACAGGACCTCCCTGTATATTCTTTTCACCTTTCTGTATATCTATAATATTTCAAACCAAAAAGGTTTTAAAACTTCAGAGTAACTCAGATTCTTGCATTTCTCAAATATCATGAAAGGAAGTTATCATCTATAGCAATACTCAATTCACTACCACCCACTCCCCTTAACTTTGTAGATACTCCCATATGCCTTTTCAGAATTTATCTCACATCTTTGCCCAGCGCTGCTTATTTCTTATTTTCCTTCATCTCCCCAACTCTTTGACCTATATATATCTCAAAAGCTCAAATACTGATAAGCTATTGCAAGGGCCTTCTTGAAGAGGGGAGGAAACTGAGTGAGTAAAGGTGCTTTGTCATGCTGCAAAAGAAAAAAGGTAGGGCATGCTCTTACAGTAATACTTTTTTGCTCTGGTACACCCAAGAAGTAGGTGTTTTTATGCCTAGACTTAACAACAAGTTTAAGCAGTTTTGTTTAAGATCAACAGTGCTTATGTGATGTTGACAAAAACAGATTTCAGAGTCTGTATTTCATGTTCTTAACTAAAATATACTGCGCTTCCACCATTATAATGCACTCTAATGAGTGCTACTGTGAGAGGTTTCTATAAAGAAATGGTATGGAAGGTCAAAGGAAGCACACTTAACTCCCTAGAGAAGGCTTTGAAGAGGCTTCTGGGGTGAGATACTTGGTTTGAGTTTTGGAAGATGAGTAGAGTTACCCATCTTAAGAGGATGAGTGAGATCATGGTACAGTTTACAGACCACAAGTAGTTGTCGTAGCCAGAATGTAGGATTTATGACTGAGCAGTGGCAGAGATGAGACTAGAAATGGCGAGATCACAAATGGCTTTACCTGCCATTCAACAGAATGTGAATTAAAGTCTGAAGATAATAGTAACCATTGAAGGATTTGTGTGGGATTTGATGTGAAAGAGAAAGGTTACTCTCAGGGCATTGTAGAGAATGGAATTGTGGGATGTGAGACTAGAGGTAGGATGAGTTGGGAAACTCATTTAGCAATTTAAGAGTCAAAAGAAGAGAGGCTGAGCTAAGGCAGAAACTGAAATGATCAATTATAGAATTATTAGGAGATAGAATTGGTAATTTGGCATATTTGAGTATAGTAGGTAAGAGGCAAATGTAATTCCTAGTTTGCTGACTTGAGTGGCTGATCATGTTCAATAACTGAATTGGGAATAAGATTATATAGTAAAAAGAAGGATAAAGTCAGGTTTATAAATTGAGGTAGCTTTGCTGCGTAAGAGTGGAGTTGCCCAGATGTCAGTTTAACATACACAGAAAGCTGTAAAGAGAAAAGGGCTGCAAGGTTTGGGAATTGGCAGCATATGTTAAAGCCTGGGGATGAGAAGAGAAGGAGGGCCAGCAAATGAAACTCTAGAAAATATTGACATTCAGCAACAAGCCAAGGAGAGAAAAGCCTGTGAAAAATAGTGACAATTGAAAGAACCCAAGAGAGAGTGCCATTATAAATACTGAAAGAGAAGAGAGACTTTTTAAAAATGTGTGAATTATAGAACATTTGTATAGTGGAGTGTTATGAATAGTATATAGTCACTTAAGAATAGTGTTTGTAAGGAATATTAAATGGATGTGGGAAGAGATTCAGGATATAATATTGTCTGGATAACTAGTAAAATACCAGTTTTATAAAAATAAACATGTATGTATTATACATATGCAGAGAAGGAAATTTGGAAGACAGTACCCTCAAATTTTAAGTTTCTCAGATGGCAGAATTATAAATGATTCACATTTTCTTTATTTTTTAATAAATTTTCTATAATGAGTATGTATTATGTTATGACAGAAAAAAATGCATATATAAATTAAGTGGATTCAGTCAAAACTAATTTCCAGTGGAAATGTTAAATGCAAAAATCACTCAGAAGGGCTCATTTCAGTTGTGAAGTAGAAAGTCATTGGTGACCTTAGAAAATTTTCAGTCATAATGGGATCAGAAACTAGATTGTAGTGAGCTAAAAAATGACTGGGAAGCAGGAAAATTGAGATGATGAATAAAAAAAATACACATTCAATAAGCCAATAAAAAGACATTTGACAGGAAAGTGGGACTAAAGAGTTTTTTTTAAGGGAGTAAGTCGAAGCATGCTCGTATGCTGAAGGAAGAGAAATATATAAACTATGTTCAAAAATGAGTCCATTTTTGATTGGGTTTGAACATTTGCTGTATAGTAACTGAACATGCCTGAGTGCACAGAGTTTGATTGAGATCTCTTAATTAATATACAACCCATTTGTTGAATTCAGAAAAAGTGATCTCAAATATCTTATTTTGTATGTGTTTAGTATATATATAGACATATGTCGAAATGGATTGGCTGTTTGTAGAGGAAAATTTGGTTTGGGGTTTAACCTCCAAAGCAGTGATTTAAAACAAACAAACAAACAAGCAAACAAAAAAAACCCCTCTTAAGTGACTAACACAAAGATAGCTGGTCTCTGTTTTGAATAATTATGTTTGGGGCTTAATTGCTTCCTTCTGTTCTCACTAAATATATATTTCAAGTTGACATAGGAAAACGCCAGGGTTTGTTATCACAGTTTATCATCAATAAATGGTCAGTATTTGCCAAAAGAAATAAAGTAGCACCTGGATATTCCTTGGTAAGATAATAATGTAGCCTTAGTCATTCTTTAAACTTAGTACATTAAATGATAAACAGGGAATCCTGCAAAACCTGGCAGCTATGTATGGAGGCAGGCCCAGCTCTTCAAGAGGAGGGAAGCCAAGAAACAAAGAGGAAGAGGTATGCTTCCCGCATGTTCGCTACCTCCATCACATAGCCATTTTTGAATTTATTGCCTTCTTTTCTTGCATGGTTTAAATTCTTAACAATTATTTGAAGATTTTGTAGGTCTGTAGGGACCTGTTAATATATTTTTGACTGACATTCTGTGTTATAATTTTGCCCCGTAACTTATTCAATATTATGATTTCAGTTTCTTTTCTTTTGATTAAATTAAAAATTTGTAATTTTATAATGTATTTCTTTCTTTTCAGAAATAAATTGTTCTTAATTAAACACTTGAAAGCTAATATTACATTTCCATTAACCGGATTTCAGAACTTTTATTTCTTGTGTTCAAATTAACACTGTTCCTTAAATTTAAAAAAAATCTAGCAGTAAAAATGTCAATAGCTTTGCTTTTACATTATTATGTTGGGGTTTTTGCCTCCTTGTAGGTTTATCTGGCAAGACTGAGGCAAATAAGACTACAGAATTTCAATGAGCGCCAACAGATTAAAGCCAAACTTCGTGGTGAAAAGGTAGGTTGAAAAGCTATTTTTTTGAAGAAATTGAATGATGTCATAGTAGGTTAACATTTAAAATGCTGTGCCATTAACAACAACGACAACAACAACAAAACTGATGACGACAGTGGAAGTTCAAAGATCAAAAAACTACACATAAAGTAAATCTTATATATGTGATTTTAAATTGATAAGACCATTTGTTCCAGAGAAATTCTGAGAGGAAAATATAACTAGTATTCATGGGAGGATTAAAATGCATTTTATATCATTATCTTTTTGTTCCATTGTTCTGAAAGGCTGATAGTGGTGGAGAGTTCAGTTGCAGCTTTAGGAGAAAACTAACAGCATTAAATGATTTCCATTTTATATTTTTAGATTTTAGTTTATTCATTGTTATCTTTCACAGAGCTCTGCACTCAATTTGATGATTCTATCCTAAGTGATTTGCTTATCTACTTATTTTGTAGAAAGAAGCTAATCATTCTGAAGGACAAGAAGGAAGTGAAGAGGCTGACATGAGGCGCAAAAAAATCGAATCACTGAAGGTATAGACTAGAAATGATACAGGTTTTCTTAGAGAAAATTGAAAGCTGAGATAGCAAATTGTGTTCTTAAGTTTTGCATAGTTATATCACTTTAGTCTCTTCCTTTAATTTTTCTTTCATCTTTCTCCTCCACTTTTTGGTTTCTAAAAATAGTATTTTTCTCTTTTTGTATTATGTTTATGAAAATAGATAAAACCATGGCATAAATACATGAAACTATCATATAAGTAATCTTGAAAAAAATGGTAACCTTAAAAATAAAAAATATACGAATATACATCCCCATGAAGGCAAATGAAGTCTGTGTATAATAATTGTTTTAAATTTTTACATTTTTTTCACATTCAAATATACCTGCCTTTATTTTCACTCAGCAAATATTTATTGAACACCTGCTGTATGTCAAGGCTGGTTTTAGGTGCTAGAGATTTAGAGTGAGCTTACATTTTTATTCTAAGACCACATGCACACTTCTTTTTTGGCTAATAAGTAAATATCTTCATAGACCTGGCCCAAAAAAAAAAAAAAAAACCTCTGCCCTTCTTTCTGGTAACTCATTTTGTTAATTGTTTTTATTTTTAGGCCCATGCAAATGCACGTGCTGCTGTACTAAAAGAACAACTAGAACGAAAGAGAAAGGAGGCTTATGAGAGAGAAAAAAAAGTGTGGGAAGAGCATGTAAGATTTAGCTCATATTCTTAATCCTGGTTGTATTAACATTTTTATAGCTCTTCCTGGGTAGTACATCAGTATTATAATTTTCTTGTGCTTTTTTTTTTCTGTTTTTTCATTCTCATTCTCTCTCTCACCCTTTCTCATTACCTCTCTCTTTCTCAGTCTCTCTGTCTCTCTCGCATTTAAGAATAATCAATGTGGAAGTTATTTGGGAGATTGATTTGAAGTCAGAACTAATTTATCTTATTTATTTATTATTATTATTTTTTGAGATGGAGTATTGCTCTGTCACCCAGGCTGAAGTGCAGTGACACGATCTCGGCTCACTGAAGTGCAGTGACACGATCTCGGCTCCACCTCCTGGGTTCAAGCGATTCTTCTGCCTCAGCCTCCCGAGTAGCTGGGACTACAGGCACGTACCATCACGCCTGGCTAATTTTTGTATTTTTAGTAGAGACAGGGTTTCACCATGTTGGCCAGGCAGGTCTCAAACTCCTGACCTTGTGATCTGCCCGCCTCAGCCTCCCAAAGTGCTAGGATTACAGGCATGAGCCACCACGCCCGGCCCTTACTTTATTTTAAAATTTTTAATTTACTATTACCAAGTAGCTTATCAAAATCCCAGCATAATTTAATGACTACATCATCCTTCTGTCACTGATTTATAATGCTACTTGTAAGATTTATTAAATTCTTATATAAAACAGTGAATGAATCTATAGCAAGTATGTATCAAGCTATATCTTCCTTTGGGCTTTCTCCTTTGCTCTGTTACTCTGTCTTTTCTGCCAGTACCTCGTTGTATTAGTAATTATTTACAATATGCTTTAATTTCTAATAGAATTCTTTCCGCATTTCCCCTTTACTCTCCTTTTTACACTTATTGTTCTTAGTTATTTGCTCTCTTTTTCTTTACCAGATACATTTTTAGGGTAATTCTTGTTTCTTTTTTTTTTTCAATCATATTGTAATTTTGATTAGTATTATATTAAACCTACAAGTTAAGAAGAATTGACATAGTTATAATAGTTTTTATACAGAAACAAGTTAAATTTCTACATTTACTCATAGTTTCTTTTATATCTCTTACACAAATTTTGATCATTTTCACACTTATCTGTTGTATTTCTTATAAAGGTTATTTCTAGATAGTTTATAATTCCATTTCAATCTTTAAAGGTTTTTTTTCCTAACAGAATATTGCTAATATTTGCAGACATTTTGAGTTTTTGCTTATCCTCTTATCCAGTGAGTTTTCCTGTTCTGCCAATTTTAAGTTAATTTTCTGGGTTTTAGCCTACAACTAGATCATTGGCAAATAGTCGTGATATACATCATAGTAACAACAGTTCCTATAGTTTATTGCTTGTTTTATGCCAGGCATATTATAACCACTCTACTATTGACCCATGAACAACATGGGGGTTGGGGCATTGGCCCCTTGCACAGTCAAAAATTCACATACGACTTTTGACTCCCCGTAGTCTTTACTACTGATATCCTACTGTTGACTGGAAGCCTTGCCAGTAACATAGAGTAACATATATTTTATGTTATGTGTATTATATGCTGTATTCTTACAACAAAGCTAAAGGAAAAATGTTATTAAGAAAATCATAAGGAAGAGAAAATATATTTACTATTTTTAAATGGAAGTGGATCATCATAAAGGTCTTCATGCTCATCTTCAGGTGGAGTAGGCTGAGGAAGGAGGAGTAAGAGGGTTGGTCTTGCTGTCTCGGGTGGCAGAGGCAGAAAAAAAAATTGTGTGTAAGTGGATTTGTGCTGGTCAAACCTGTGTTGTTCAAGGATTAACTGTATATTTATTGTTTTTTTTAATCCTTACAACTTTACAAAGCATATATAGAAAGGATAAAATAATTATATAAAATATTTCCAACTAAGGGCAGAACAAAGATTTGAACCTGGATCTGCCCAATGTTGAAGTCTTTTTCTTACGCTGTTTCCCCTGTTTTCTGTAAGTTGTGCCTTAAAAAAAATTTTTTTTTTACTTTTAATTTTTGTAGGTACATGGTAGATGTATATATTTATGGGATACATGAGATATTTTAATACAGGCATAAATGCAAACTAATCACGTTAGGGTAAATGGGTATCTATCACCTCATGCATTTATCCTTTCTTTGCATTTCAAACAATCGAGTTACACTCTTTTAGTTATTTTTAAAGGTACAATAAATTATTGTTGACTATATTCACCCTGTTGTGCTATCAAATACTGAATCTTATTCATTTTATCTAATTTTTGTACCCATTAACCATTCCCACTTTCATGCACTACCCTTTCCAGCTTTTGATAACAATCATGTTCCGTTTCCATGAATTCAATTGTTTTAATTCTTTTAGTTTCCACAAATAAGTGAAAACGTGCAAAACTTGTCTTTCTGTGCCGGGCTTATTTCACCTAACGTAATAGAACTCCAGTTCCTTTCATATTGTTGCAAATGACAGGATCTCATTCTATTTTATGGCTGAATAGTACTCCATTGTGTTTATGTCCCACAGTTTTCTTTATCCACTCATCTGTTGATGGACAATTAGGTTGCTTCCAGATTTTGGCTATTGTGACTAGTCCTGCAATAAACATGGGAGTGCGGATATCTCTGATATACTGATTTCCTTTCTTTTGGGTATATACCTAGCAGTGGGATTGCTAGATTGTATGGTAGTTCTATTTTTAGTTTTTTGAGGAACCTCCAAACTGTTCTCCATAAGTGGCTGTACTAGTTTACATTCCTACCAACAGTGTACGAGTGTAAGAGGGTTCCCTTTTCTCCACATCCTCGCCAGCATTTGTTATTGCTAGTCCTTTTGATGAAAGCTGTTTTGACTGGGGTGAGATAACTCATTGTCATTTTGATTTGTATTTCTCTGATGATCAGTGATGTTGAGCACTTTTTCATGTACCTGTTTGCCATTTGTATGTCATCTTTTTAGAAATGTCTATTTAGATCTTTTGCCCATTTTAAATTGGATTATCAGATTTTTCCTGTTGAGTGGTTTGAGGTCCTTATATATTCTGGTTATTAATCCCTTGTCAGATGGGTAGTTTGCGGATATTTTCTCCCATTCTGTGGGTTGTCTCTTCACTGTGTTGATAGTTTCCTTTGCTGTGCAGAAGCTTCTTAACTTGATGTGCAATCAAGTCCATTTGTCCATTTTTACTTAGGTTGCCTGTGGTTATGGGATATTACTGAAGAAATCTTTGCCTAGGCCAGTGTCCTAGAGAGTTTCCCCAGTGTTTTCTTTTAGTAGTTTCATAGTTTGAGGCCTCAGATTTAAGTCTTTAATACATTTTGATTTGATTTTTGTATATGGCAAAAGATAGGAGTCTAGTTTCATTCTTCTGCATATGGATATCCAGTTTTCCCAGCACCATTTATTGAAGAGATTGTCTTTTCTCAAACGTAGATTCCTGGAACATTTGTCAAAGATGAATTCACTATAGATGTATGGATTTATTTCTGGGTTCTCTATTCTGTTCCACTGTTCTATGTGCCTGTTTTTATGCCAGCACCATGCTGTTTTGGTTACAGCTCTGTAGTATAATTCGAGGTCAGGTAATGTGATTCCTCCAGTTTTGTTCTTTTTGCTCAGGATAACTTTGGCTATTCTGGGTCTTTTGTGGTTCTATATGAATTTTAGGTTTTTTTATTTTTTACAAAAAAATAACATTGGTAATTTGATAGAAATTGAATTGATTCTGTAGATTACTTCAGGCAGTATGGACATTTTAATGATACCAAGTCTCCTTCCAT
Organism: Homo sapiens; assembly: GCF_000001405.40. Taxonomy (NCBI): domain Eukaryota; kingdom Metazoa; phylum Chordata; class Mammalia; order Primates; family Hominidae; genus Homo; species Homo sapiens. Next base: position 169,503,260 of record NC_000004.12, on the reverse strand, counting down.
GGGCATTAAATGCACTTCCATTTGTTTATGTCATCTATGATTTTCTTCATCAGTGTTTTGTAGTTCTCCTTGTAGAGATCTTTCACCTCCTTGGGTAAATGTATTCCTCAGTATTTTTGTGTGTGAGTGGCTACTGTAAATGAGATTGCATTACTGATTTCATTCTCAGCTTGAATGGTATTGGAGTATAGAAATACTACTGATTTTTGTAAAATGATTTTATGTCCTGAAACTTTACTGAAGTCACTCATCAAGTCTAGGAGTCATGGTGGAATTGTTAGAATTTTCCAGGTACAGAATTAAATTGTCCACAAAGAGATAATTTGACTTTCTCTTTTCCTATTTGGATGTCTTTTATTTTTTTCTCTAGCCTGATTGCTCTGGCTGGGACTGCCAGTACTATGTTGAATAGGATTGCTAAGAATGGAATCCTTGTCTTGTTCTAGTTCTTAGGAGGAATCCTTCTAACTTTTTGCTCATTCAGCATGATGTTGGCTGTGGGTTTGTCATAGGTGGTTCTTAATATTTTGAGATATCTTCCTTTGATGCCTAATTTGTTAAGTGTTTTTTATCATAAAGCAATGTTGGATTTTATCAGATGCTTTTTATGTGTATATTGAGGTGATCATATTCTTTTTTAAAATTCTGTTTATGTGGGGAATCACATTTATTGGTTTGTGTGTGTTGAACCATCCTTGCATCCCAGGAATAAGGCTCACTTGATCATACAAATTTTCATTTTAATGTGCTACTGGATTTAGTTTGCTAATATTTTATAGAGGATTTTTGTGTCTATTTTCATCAGCAACATTGGCCTGTAGTTTTCTTTTTTTGTTGTGCCCTTGCCATATTTTGATATCATGATGAAACTGGTCTTGTAGAATGAGTTAGGGAGGAATCTCTCCATCTTAATTTATTTTCAATAATTTCAGTAGGATTGGCATCAGCCTTCTTTGTATATCTTGTGAATCTATCTGGTCCAGGACTTTTTTTTTTGATTGGTAGTTTTTTTTTTTTATTACTGTTTCAATTTTGTACTCATTATTGGTCTGTTCAAGGTTTCAGTTTCTTCCTAGTTCAATCTTGGGAGATTGTGTGTTTCCAAGAATTTGTTCATTTCCTAATTTTATAGTATGTGCACATGGGGATGTTTATAGTAGTCTCTGAGGATCTTTTGTATTTCTGTGGGATCCGTTGTAATGTCACCTTTGTTATTTCTGACTGTGTTTATGAATCTTCTCTTTTTTTCATGTGTTAATCTTTCCAGAAGTTTATTAATCTTGTTTATCTTTTTGAAGAACCAACTTTTCTTTGATCTTTTCTATGGCTGTTTGGTCTCAATTTAATTTAATTCCGCTCTGATTTTAGTTATTTCTTTTCGTCGGCTAGCTTTTGATTTAGTTTCTTTTTGTTCTTCTAGTTCCTGTAGGTGCAGCATTAGGTTGTTAATTTGAGATCTTTCTATTATTTTTGTATAAGCATTTAATGCTGTAAACTTTCCTTTTAACTGCTTTTACCATATCTCAGAGGTTTTGGTATGTAGTGTTTCTACTTTCATTTGTTTCAAAAATTTTTTTAAATATCTGCCTTAATTTTATTGTTTTCCAAAAGTCATTCAGAAGCAGGTTGTTTACTTTCCATGTATTTGTGTGGCTTTGAGAGTTCCTCTTGGTATTGATTTCTATTTTTATTCTACTATGGTCCAAGAAGATGCTTAGTATGATTTCAGTTTTTTAAAAAATTTATTGAGACTTGCTTTATGACTGAGTATGTGGTCAGTCTTAGACTATGTTCTGTGTGCAGATAAAAAGAATGTATATTCTGTGGTTGTTTGGTGGAGTGTTCTGTAGATGCTAATTAGGACCAACTGGTCAAGTGTCCAATTTAAGTCTAGAATTTATTAGTTTTGGGCCTTGATCAGTTTAATGCTATCAGTGGGGTGTTAAAGTGTCCACTATTATTGTATGATATTATTGTCTGTCCCTTTTCTTAGATCTAGTAGTAATTGTTTATAAATCAGGGTCCTCAAGTGTTGGGCATGTACATATTTAGGATAGTTAAATCCTCTTGTTTAATTGAACCTTTTATCATTATGTAGTACTTTTCTTTCTCCTTTTGTACTGTTGTTGATTTAAAGTCTGTTTTATCTGATACAAGAGTAGCAAGCCCTGATCTTTTTTGTTTTAAATTTGTGTGATCTTTCTCCATCCCTTTACATCAAGTCCTTTGGGTGTCATTACATGTGAGATGGGTCTCTTGAAGATAGCAGATGGTTGGGTCTTGTTTTTTCATCCAATTTGCCATTCTGTGTTTGTAGTGAAGCATTTAGGCCATTTATGTTCAGCGTTAATACTGATACGTGAGGTTTTCTTCCTCTCTTAGTGTTAACTATTGCTTTGTAGTCTCAATTGTATAGTTGCTTTATAGTGGCAGTTGCTTTGAACTTACATGTACTTTTGTGGCAGCAAGTATCATTCTTTTATTTTCATGTTTAGAACTCCTTTAAGCATTTTTGTGGGGCCTATCTGCTGGTGACAAATTCTCTTAGCAATTGCTTGTCTGGGAAAAACTTTATTTCTCCTTTGTTTATGAAGCTTACTTAGCTTGGCAGGCTGTGAAATTCTTGGCTGGCATTTCTTTTCTTTAAGAAGGCTAAAAATAGGCCACCAATGTCTTCTGGTTTGTAAGATTTCTGCTAAGAAATCCATTGTTGGAGGAGGAGCCAAGATGGCCGAATAGGAACAGCTCCAGTGTACAGCTCCCAGCTTGAGCAACACAGAAGACAGGTGATTTCTGCATTTCCAACTGAGGTACTGGGTTCGTCTCACTGGGGAGTGTCAGACAGTGGGTGCAGGACAGTGGGTGCAGCGCACCGAGCATGAACCGAAGCAGGGCGAGGCATCACCTTACCCGAGAAGTGCAAGAGGTCAGGGAATTCCCTTTCCTAGTCAAAGAAAGGGGTGACAGACGGCACCTGGAAAATCGGGTCACTCCCACCCTAATACTGCGATTTTCCAACGGTCTTAGCAAATGGCACACCAGGAGATTATATCTGGCGCCTGGCTCAGAGGGTCCTATGCCCACGGAGCCTCGCTCATTGCTAGCACAGCAGTCTGAGATCAAACTGCAAGGCGGCAGCGAGGCTGGGGGAGGGGTGCCCACCATTGCCAAGGCTTGAGTAGGTAAACAAAGTGGCCGGGAAGCTCAAACTGGGTGGAGCCCACCGCAGCTCATGGAGGCCTGCCTGCCTCTGTAGACTCCACCTCTGGGGGCAGGGCATAGCCAAACAAAAGGCAGCAGAATCCTCTGCAGACTTAAATGTCCCTGTCTGACAGCTTTGAAGAGAGTAGTGGTTGTCCCAGCACGCAGCTGCAGATCTGAGAACGGACAGACTGCCTCCTCAAGTGGGTCCCTGACCCCCGAGTAGCCTAACTGGGAGGCACCCCCCAGTAGGGGCAGACTGACACCTCACACAGCCTGGTACTCCTCTGAGACAAAACTTCCAGAGGAATGATCAGGCAGCAACATTTGCTGTTCACCAATATCCACTGTTCTGCAGCCTCCGCTGCTGATACCCAGGCAAACGGTCTGGAGTGGATCTCCAGCAAACTCCAACAGACCTGCAGCTGAGGGTCCTGACTGTTGGGGGGAAAACTAACAAACAGAAAGAACACCCACACCAAAACCCCATCTGTATGTCACCATCATCAAAGACCAAAGGTAGATAAAACCACAAAGATAGGGAAAAAACAGAGCAGAAAAACTGGAAACTCTAAAAATCAGAGTGCCTCTCCTCCTCCAAAGGAATGCAGCTCCTCACCAGCAACAGAACAAAGCTGGACAGAGAATGACTTTGACGAGTTGAGAGAAGAAGGCTTCAGATGATCAAACTACACCTTGCTAAAGGAGGAAGTTCGAACCCATGGCAAAGAAGTTAAAAACCTTGAAAAAAAAATTAGATGAATGGCTAACTAGAATAACCAGTGTAGAGAAGTCCTTAAAGAACCTGATGGAGCTGAAAATCATGGCACAAGAACTACGTGACGAATGCACAAGCCTCAGTAGCCAATTTGTCAACTGGAAGAAGGGGTATCAGTGATGGAAGATCAAATGAATGAAATGAAGCGAGAAGAGTTTAGAGAAAAAAGAATAAAAAGAAACAAACAAAGCCTCCAAGAATTATGGGACTATGTGAAAAGACCAAATCTACGTCTGATTGGTGTACCTGAAAGTGATGGGGAGAATGGAACCAAGTTGGAAAACACTCTGCAGTATATTATCCAGGAGAACTTCCCCAATCTAGCAAGACATGCCAACATTCATATTCAGGAAATACAGAGAATGCCACAAAGATACTCCTCGAGAAGAGCAACTCCAAGACACATAATTGTCAGATTCACCAAAGTTGAAATGAAGGAAAAAATGTTAAGGGCAGCCAGAGAGAAAGGTTGGGTTACCTACAAACGGAAGCCCATCAGACTAACAGCTGATCTCTAGGCAGAAACTCTACAAGCCAGAAGAGAGTGGGGGCCATTATTCAACATTCTTAAAGAAACGAATTTTCAACTCAGAATTTCATATCCAGCCAAACTAAGCTTCATAAGTGAAGGAGAAATAAAATACTTTACAGACAAGCAAATGCTGAGAGATTTTGTCACCACCAGGCCTGCCCTAAAAGAGCTCCAGAAGGAAGCACTAAACATGGAAAGGAACAACCAGTACCAGCCACTGAAAAAACATGCCAAATTGTAAAGACCATCGAGGCTAGTAAGAAACTGCATCAACTAATGAGCAAAATAACCAGCTAACATCATAATGAAGGGATCAAATTCACACATAACAATATTAACCTTAAATGTAAATGGGCTAAATGCTCCAATTAAAAGACACAGACTGGCAAATTGGATAAAGAGTCAAGATCCGTCAGTGTGCTGTATTCAGGAAACCCATCTCATGTGCAGAGACACACATAGGCTCAAAATAAAGGGATGGAGGAAGAGCTACCAAGCAAATGGAAAACAAAAAAAGGCAGGGGTTGCAATCCTAGTCTCTGATAAAAGACTTTAAACCAGCAAAGATCAAAAGAGACAAAGAAGGCCATTACATAATTGTAAAGGGATCAATTCAACAAGAAGAGCTAACTATCCTAAATATATATGCATCCAATACAGGAGCACCCAGATTCATAAAGCAAGTCCTTAGAGACCTACAAAGAGACTTAGACTCCCACACAATAATAATGGGAAGACTTTAACACCCCATTGTCAACGTTAGACAGATCAACAAGACAGAAAGTTAACAAGGATATCCAGGAATTGAACTCAGCTCTGCACCAAGGGGACCTGATAGACATCTACAGAACTCTCCACCCCAAATCAACAGAATATACATTCTTTTCAGCACCACACCACACCTATTTCAAAATTGACCACATAGTTGGAAGTAAAGCACTCCTCAGCAAATGTAAAAGAACAGAAATTATAACAAACTATCTCTCAGACCACAGTGCAATCAGACTAGAACTCAGGATTAAGACACTCACTCAAAACCGCTCAACTACGTGGAAACTGAACAACCTGTTCCTGAATGACTACTGGGTACATAATGAAATGAAGGCAGAAATAAAGATATTCTTTGAAACCAATGAGAACAAAGACACAACATACCAGAATCTCTGGGACACACTCAAAGCAGTGCGTAGAAGGAAATTTATAGCACTAAGTGCCCACAAGAGAAAGCAGGAAAGATCTAAAATTGACACCCTAACATCACAATTAAAAGAACTAGAGGAGCAAGAGCAAACACATTCAAAAGCTAGCAGAAGGCAAGAAATAACTAAGATCAGAGCAGAACTGAAGGAAATAGAGACACAAAAAACCCTCCAAAAAATCAGTGAATCTAGGAGCTGGTTTTTTGAAAAGATCAACAAAATTGATAGACCGCTAGCAAGACTAATAAAGAAGAAAAGAGAGAAGAATCAAATAGATGCAATAAAAAATGATAAAGGGGATATCACCACCAATCCCACAGAAATACAAACTACCATCAGAGAATACTATAAACACCTCTACGCAAATAAACTAGAAAATCTAGAAGAAATGGATAAATTCCTCGACACATACACCCTCCCAAGACTAAACCAGGAAGAAGTTGAATCCCTGAATAGACCAATAACAGGCTCTGAAATTGAGGCAATAATTAATAGCTTACCCACCAAAAGAAATCCAGGACCAGATGGATTCACAGCCGAATTCTACCAGAGGTACAAGGAGGAGCTGTTACCATTCCTTCTGAAACTATTCCAATCAATAGAAAAAGAGGGAATCCTCCCTAACGCATTTTATGAGGCCAACATCATCCTGATACCAAAGCCTGGCAGAGACACAACAAAAAAAGAGAATTTTAGACCAATATCCCTGATGAACATCGATGTAAAAATCCTCAATAAAATACTGGCAAACCGAATCCAGCAGCACATCAAAAAGCTTATCCACCATGATCAAGTGGGCTTCATCCCTGGGATGCAAGGCTGGTTCAACATACGCAAATCAATAAACGTAATCCAGCATATAAACAGAACCAAAGGCAAAAACCACATGATTATCTCAATAGATGCAGAAAAGGCCTTTGACAAAATTCAACAGCCCTTCATGCTAAAAACTCTCAATAAATTATGTATTGATGGGACGTATCTCAAAATAATAAGAGCTATCTATGACAAACCCACAGCCAATATCACACTGAATGGGCAAAAACTGGAAGCATTCCCTTTGAAAACTGGCACAAGACAGGGATGCCCTCTCTCACCACTCCTATTCAACATAGTGTTGGAAGTTCTGGCCAGGGCAATCAGGCAGGAGAAGGAAATAAAGGGTATTCAATTAGGAAAAGAGGAAGTCAAATTGTCCCTGTTTGCAGATGACATGATTGTATATCTAGAAAACCCCATCGTCTCAGCCCAAAATCTCCTTAAGCTGATAGGCAACTTCAGCAAAGTCTCAGGATACAAAATCAATGTGCAAAAATCACAAGCAGTCTTATACACCAATAACAGACAAACAGAGAGCCAAATCATGAGTGAACTCCCATTCACAATTGCTTCAAAGAGTATAAAATACCTAGCAATCCAACTTACAAGGGACGTGAAGGACCTCTTCAAGGAGAACTACAAACCACTGCTCAATGAAATAAAAGGGGATACAAACAAATGGAAGAATATTCCATGCTCATGGGTGGGAAGAATCAGTATCGTGAAAATGGCCCTACTTCCCAAGGTAATTTATAGATTCAATGCCATCCCCATCAAGCTACCAATGACTTTCTTCACAGAATTGGAAAAAACTACTTTAAAGTTCACATGGAACCAAAAAAGAGCCCGCATTGCCAAGTCAATCCTAAGCCAAAAGAACAAAGCTGGAGGCATCACACTACCTGACTTCAAACTATACTACAAGGCTACAGTAACCAAAACAGCATGGTACTGGTACCAAAGCAGAGGTATAGACCAATGGAACAGAACAGAGCCCTCAGAAATAATGCTGCATATCTACAACTATCTGATCTTTGACAAACCTGACAAAAACGAAAAATGAGGAAAGGATTCCCTATTTAATAAATGGTGCTGGGAAAACTGGCTAGCCATATGTAGAAAGCTGAAACTGGATCCCTTCTTTACACTTTATACAAAAATTAATTCAAGATGGATTAAAGACTTAAATGGGCCGGGCACGGTGGCTCACGCCTGTAATCCCAGCACTTTGGGAGGCCGAGACGGGCGGATCACGAGGTCAGGAGATCGAGACCATCCTGGCTAACACGGTGAAACCCCGTCTCTACTAAAAATACAAAAATTAGCTGGTCATGGTGGCGCGCGCCTGTAGTCCCAGCTACACGGGAGGCTGAGGCAGGAGAATGGCGTGAACCCGGGAGGTGGAGCTTGCAGTGAGTCGAGATCGCGCCACTGCACTCCAGCCTGGGCGACAGAGCGAAACTCCGTCTCAAAAAAAAAAAAAAAAAAAAAAGACTTAAATGTTAGACCTAAAACCATAAAAACCCTAGAAGAAAACCTAGGCAGTACCATTCAGTACATAGACATGGGCAAGGACTTCATGTCTAAAACACCAAAAGCAATGGCAACAAAAGCCAAAATTGACAAATGGGATCTAATTAAAATAAAGAGCTTCTGCACAGCAAAAGAAACTACCATCAGAGTGAACAGGCAACCTACAGAATGGGAGAAAATTTTTGCAACCTACTCATCTGACAAAGGCCTAATATCCAGAATCTACAATGAACTCAAATTTACAAGAAAAGAACAACGCCATCACAAAGTGGGCGAAGGATATGAACAGACGCTTCTCAAAAGAAGACATTTCTGCAGCCAAAAGACACATGAAAAAATGCTCATCATCACTGGCCATCAGAGAAATGCAAATCAAAACCACAATGAGATACCATCTCACACCAGTTAGAATGGCAATCACTAAAAAGTGAGGAAACAACAGGTGCTGGAGAGGATGTGGAGAAATAGGAACACTTTTACAGTGTTGGTGGGACTGTAAAGTAGTTCAACCATTGTGGAAGTCAGTGTGGCGATTCCTCAGGGATCTAGAACTAGAAATACCATTTGACCCAGCCATCCCATTACTGGGTATGTACCCAGAGGATTATATAACATGCTGCTATAAAGACACAAGCACACGTATGTTTATTGCGGCACTATTCACAATAGCAAAGACTTGGAACCAACCCAGATGTCCAACAATGATAGACTGAATTAAGAATATGTGGCACATATACACCATGGAATACTATGCAGCCATCAAAAATGACGAGTTCATGTCCTTTGTAGGGGCATGGATGAAGCTGGAAACCATCATTCTCAGCAAACTATCACAAGGACAAAAACCAAACACTGCATGTTCTCACTCATAGGTGGGAATTGAACAATGAGAACACATGGACACAGGAAGGGGAACATCACACACCAGGGCCTGTTGTGGGGTGGGGGTAGTGGGGAGGGATAGCATTAGGAGATATACCTAAGGTAAATGACGAGTTAATGGGTGCAGCACACAAACATGTTACATGTATACATATGTAACAAACCTGCACGTTGTGCACATGTTCCCTAAAACTTAAAGTATAAAAAAAAAAAAAAGAAAGAAATCCGTTGTGAGTCTGATGGGATTCCCTTTAAAAGAGGCAATTTGGTTCTTTTCTCTAGCTGCCTTTAAGATTGTTTCTTTCACATTGACCCTGGATTGTCTGATGACTGTGTGCCTTGGTGATGGTCATCTTATATAGTATCTCACTGGTGTTCTCTGAATTTCTTGTGTCTGCATATCAACCTCTCTTGGAAGATTGGGGAAATTTTTCAGAATCATACCCTGAAATATGTTTTCCAGTTTCCTTACTTTCTGTTTTTCTCTCTCAGGAATGCCAGTAATTCATTGGTTTGGTTGCTTTACATAATCTTATATTTCTTGAAGGCCTTGTTTGCTTTTTTAAATTCTTTCTCTTTATTTTTGTCTGACTGGGTTAATTCAAAAGACCAGTCTTTGAGCTCTGAAATTCTTCTTCTGCTTTGTCTAGTTTGTTGTTAAGGCTTCCAACTGTATTTTGAAATTCCCATAGTGAGTTTTTTAATTCCAAAAGTTCTGTTTGGTTCTTTGTTAATATCATTATGTCATCTTTCATGTCCTGGATCATTTTTCTGGCTTCTTTGTATTGGATTTCAACTTCCTCTCAGATCTTGTGGAGTTTCCTTGCCATCAATATTCCAAGTTCTTTATGTATCATTTTAGATATTTCAGTCTGCTTAGGATCCATGGCTAGGGAGCTAGAACGATCCTTTGGAGATGACAAAGCACCTTGGCTTTTTGTACTTCCAGAGTTCTTTCACTGATTCCTTCTCATCTGAGTGAGCTGACAATTCTTTTTTTGGATTTGTGTTTATTTGGATGGGACTTATTTTTTTTCCCCTTGAAGGTGTAACTGTGATGTATGTTGTGTATGCTCGATTGGCTTCTTTTCTGGGTGCTTTTAGGGGGCCAAAGCTCCATATGGGTTTTTTGGTTGCAGGTAGGTTTGTGTGGTGGCTTTCTCAGATGCTGTTTTTTGTAGTTTTTGCTTGGCGGTGTAATTCAGGCTGCAGTCCAGTAGATGGTGCCGAAGAGTAAGATACAGCAGATTTATTTAGGCTCTGTTCACTTTCATCGAGCCACCAGAGAAGCCCAGAAAGGGCCATTGGGCCCCAACAGAAAGAACTGCTGCCATGTCCACAATCATGCACTTTGGCGAGATGAGAAGGTGAGAGATGACCCCCTTCTCCACGTTTGTTCCGAGGCATTGGCGCTGCCCCCTTCAGTGGTTAGTGCTGCACCCACATTTCCTGTTTCCCATTGGTGGCTTTGACAGGCTGCTCTGTCTCCTCCTTGAGGGGCAGTTTGTGCCAAGTGTTCAATCTGTGGGAGACCCCAAACTCCCTGAGAATCTGCTGGTGTCATGTACTTGCCAAAGTCAGAGTAGGTTGTGTAGTATGTCTGCGGGTGGTGGTGCAGTGGCTCAAGGGCAGAGGATCTACAAGCAAGGGGAGTGGCACCACAGGTACACAACTGGTATGACAACTGCCATCTCAGTTTGGATCAGAGGTGGGTGCAGCATGGCTAAGTCAGCTGCTCACCCAGTTCTCTGTTTTCAGGAAGTCCTCTAATCGCCACCGATAGTGTTGCCCTGGCTTGCAAGGGCTGAGGGGCTCCCCAGCTGTTTAGCAGCCAGTGTGTTGTCAGAGGGGTGAGGGGAGCAGAGACACACTCCCACCTACAGTTTCTGCTGGACTCTGAGTTCCTCAGCGGTCGCTATCAACCAGACTTTTGCTGCTTTCTTTCTCTCCACCCAATCTTCTTCACGTGGGTACTCCAACAGGTCCTGGCTCTGTTCCCTCTGTTTCCTTGTCAAAACTTGATGATTTACCAGTAATTTTGATCTTCCTTCTGAGGAGAACGGGCATGAGATGTCCGTAGTCACAATCTTGAAGCAGCGTCTGAATCTTATTTTTCCATCCATTCTAAATCTTTTGATTGGAGAGCTTAATTACATTGAAGATTGTTATTGATAGGTAAGCACGTACTACTGCATTTGTTATTGTTTTCTGGTTGTTTTTTGGTCCTTTGTTCCTTTCTTCTTCTCTTATTGTCTACTCTTGTGATTTTGTGCTATGTGCTAAGTTTTGATTCCTTTCTCGTTCTCATTTGTGTATCTACTGTAGTTTTTTGCTTTGTAGTTAATCATGAGGCTTACACAAAGCATCTTATAGTAATAATAGACTATTTTAAGCTGATAACAATTTAACTTTGTCACATGAAGATATTCTAGACTTTTACCCTCCTCACAATTATTTTGGCTGTCACAGTTTATACCTTTTTACATTTTGGACTTCATAACAACTTAATGCAATTACAGTTGTTTTTTACTGTTTCAACATTTAACCTTTATAATAGCAATTTGAGAGATTTACACACCATTGTTGCAGTAATGGAATATTCTGAATTTGAATATATATAAATACCTCTCTACCAGTGAGTTTTATACTTTGATATGTTCTTGTGGTAGTAGTTATTGTTCTTTTGTTTCTGGTTGAAGAACTCTTAAGCATTTCTTGTAAATCAGTTCTAGAGGTGATGAATTCCCTTAGCTTCTGTCTATCTGGGAAAGACTTTACTTCTATTTTATTTCTGAAAAACAGCTTTTCTAAGTATAGTATTGTTGGCTGGCAGGGTTTTTTTAATTAGCACCTTGAGTATATTATCCCATTCTCTCCTGACCTGCAAGATTTCTGCTGAGAAATCTGCTGATAGTCTAATGGCGAGCCCCTTGTATGTTGCTTGATGCTCTTCTCCCTCTGCTTTTAAAATTCTTTGTCTTTTACTTTTAATGTTTTAAATTATAAAGTGCCTTGGTGAGGACCTCTTTGCATTGAACCTGTTTGTTAGTTTTCAACTTCTGTAGATATGGATGACCATATCACTCCCAAGACTTGGGAAGTGTTCAGCAAGTACTTCACTTAAAAAGCCTTCTGTGCCTTTCTCCATCTCTCTTTTTTTTTTTTTTTTTTTTTTTTTTTGAGATGGAGTCTTCCTCTGTTGCTGGAGTGCAGTGACGTAATCTTGGCTCACTGCAGCCTCCACCTCCTGGGTTCAAGCGATTCTCCTGCCTCAGCCTCCCAAGTAGCTGGGACTACAGGCGCATGCCACCACACCTGGCTAATTTTTTGTATTTTTAGTAGAGACAGGGCTTCACCATGTTAGCCAGGATGGTCTTGATCTCCTGACCTCGTGATCCTCCCGCCTTGGCCTCCCAAAGTGCTGGGATTACAGGCGTGAGCCACCATGCCCGGCCTCATCTCTTCTCTTTCTAGAGCTCATACTGTGACATTTGTTCCTTTCATGGTGTTCCATAATTCCTATAGGCTTTCTTCACTTTTTCTCTATCTGGGCAACTTCAAAAGACCTATCTTCAAATTCACAGATTGTTTCCTCTGCTTGATCTAGTCTGCTGTTGAAGCTCTCAGTTTTTAACAATTTCATTCATTGAATTCTTCAGCCCCAAGATTTCTGTTTGGTTCTTTTTGTGTTATGTATATCTTTATTGAGCTTGTGATTCATATCATGGATTATTTTGCTGATTTCATTGAATTGTCTATCCTCTTGTATATCCCTGAGTTTCCGTAAGATCATTACTTTGATTTCTCTATCAGGTAATTTGTAAATTTCCATTTCTTTGGGGTCATTATCTGGAGAATTATTCCTTTGATGGTGTCATGTTTTCCTGCTTTTTCATGTTTCTTGTGTCCTTGCATTGATAACTGCACATCTAGTGGATCAGTGACCTCTTCCAAATCTATAGAGTTGCTTTTGTAGGGGATGATTTTACCTATAGATGATTGCTAGGGGGTCAGTTGAGCAGGGTGCATTGGCTCTGTGGGTGGTGGTGCAGTGGCTCAAGGGCAGAGGTTCTGCCTCTGGTTCCAGGTAGGCACGGTAGTGTAGTGTCCATGCAGCTCCTTCAGTTGTAATCAATTTGAGTAATGGCTGCAGGTACTTTAGCCATGACTGTAGGAGTGTGTGACAGCAGTGGTAGCAGCATAGGTTATTAGGATTCTCAGTGACAAGGGCTTTAGTGGGGGTCCTCCTGCTCTTGTTTATCGTACCGTGGGGAGACTTTGTTGGGGAAATCCTTCTTGTTGTCAGATTTGGCAGAGCTCACAAGCAGCCTACAGTGGTGCTAGGGTCCTGGGCCCACTGTCTTCCTGAATTACTATGATACTTGTGACTTGAGTACAAGTTCACTCTCTGAGGTATGGGTAGATGAAGCTGTTCTACAAAGGTGGGGACTGACTCTAAGGCATTCCCCAGTAGCTTGGGCCCAGGTAGCAGGGATATAGCTGTGACTCTGATCCTGAGAGTCAGGGCACAGCACTGGCATGGGTCTGGAGAAGAAGAGATGTTCTAGAGGCTTGGACCCTAGGGAGCAGGGCATAACTGCACTTCAGTTTCTGGAGCCAGTAGGGCATAGTGGCAACTTGGACACCAGGAGAGGAGGTTCCTTGTAGTGGTGACTCTGGCATGGCAGGACATAGCAATGGACCAGACTTTGTGAGGCTGGGTACAGCAGCAACAAGGGCCCATGAATGGTGGGGCACAGCTGTGACTTAGGCATTGGGGAAGGGAATAGCACAACAATGACTCCACCCTTCTGTATATGGCCATACTTAGCCTGTGCTTCACAGGGTTTCTGCCACTCCCTTGCTATTCTCTGACATTCTTAAGTCACTCTGGTCAAAATGCAGTTATCAATTCATTGTTTTTGTCCTTTTTTGTGGGGCAGAGGGTAGAGCATTAGGCATTTGTAATTTGCCATCCTGCTGATGTCACCACCCTCCTTGCCTGGCTGCCTGGCTACCTAGCTGCCTCCTTCCCTCCCTCCCTCCGCCCCTCTATAGTTAGTTTCTATTGCCTTCAACCAAAGAATCTTAACTGATTTACCACGTAAAATGCTCAGCATGGTACCTGGTGAATAGTAACACAAATAAATTCATTGGGAATTCTGTGTCTCATGATATTCCAGAGCTGTGCATAAGGAAATGTTCAGGAAACATCTGTTTATTTAATGCACACTGGTATAGTGGGAAAAAAATGAGACTGGGAATCAGAATACCTGATTTTGGTCTCAGCCTTGCCAATTAATTAGCTTGTTTGAAGATTGACTTAATGTTTGTGGCCTTTATTTCCTCGTCTAGATGAAGGGCATATTCTCTAATGTTGCTCTATCTAAATTGTATAGAAAAATAGTATCCATAATGTAAGTATTTAGATCCAGCTTAATATACAAAAAAAAATTGATTAAAGTTATTTAACTATTATTTCAATAGAAAGTCTAATATAGCATAATCTAGATGTTATATTGGGGGGTAGTGTTCATATATCTATCTTTACTCATTGACCGTTACTCAGGAGTGGTTAACATGGAATTCAGAATTGAAGCTAGCATTATTAAGCCCCCTAAAATATTAATGTAAAGTTTGGCAGTATGTATGTTGGTGCATTTTCTTCAGTAAAACCACGTATATTTCCTTGGATTCTCAAAAGTATAATATTTTCAATCTAACAAAGGATAAAAATCACTGCCCTGTAACCAAACCAGCATGGTACTGGTACAAAAATAGACACATAGAACAATGGAAGAGAATAGAGAACTCAGAAATAAACCACATACCTACACGGAACTGATCTTTGAAAAACCTGACAAAAACAAGCAATAGGGAAAGGATTTCCTATTTAATAAATGGTGCTGGGAGAACTGGCTAGTCATATGCAGAAAATTGAAACTGGATCCCCCTTCCTTAAACTTTATACAAAAGTTAACGCAAGATGGATTAAAGATGTAAATGTAAAACCCAAAACTATAGAAATCCTAGAAGAAAATCTAGGCAGTATCGTTCAGGACACAGGCACAAATAAAGATTTCATGATGAAATGCCAAAAGCAATAGCGACAAAAGCAAAAATTGGCAAATGGGATCTAATTAACTAAAGAGCTTTTGCACAGCAAAAGAAACTGTCATCAGAGTGAACAGACAACCTACAGAATGGGAGAAAATTTTTGCAATCTATCCATCTGACAAAGAGCTAATATCCAGAGTCTACAAGGAACTTAAACAAATTTACAAGAAAAAAACAAAAATGTCCATTTTTACGCATTAAAAAATGGGCAAAGGACATAAACAGACACTTCTTAAAAAGAAGACATGCATGCAGCCAACAAACATGAAAAAAAGCTCAACATCTCTGATCATTAGAGAAATGCAAATCAGAACCACAGAGAAATACCATATCACATCAGTCAGAATGGCAATTATTAAAAAATCAAGAAACAACAGATGCTGGCAAAGTTACAGAGAAAAAGGAATGCATTTACACTGTTGGTGGGAGTGTAAATTAGTTTAGCCATTTTGGAAGACAGTGTGGGGATTCCTCAAAGATCTAGAAGCAGGTACACCATTTGACCCAGCAATCCCATTACTGGGTATATACCCCAAAATATATAAATCATTCTGTTATAAAGATACATGCATGCGTATGTTCATTGCAGCACTATTCACGATAGCAAAGACATAGAATCAACCCAGATTTCCATCAGTGATAGACTGGATAAAGAAAACACGGTACATATACACCATGGAATACTATGCAGCCACAGAAAGGAACAAGAACATGTCCTTTGCAGGGACATTGATGGAGCTGGAAGCTGTTATTCTCAACAGACTAACACAGGAACAGAAAACCAAACACCTCATGGTATCACTTATAAGTGGGAGCTGAACGATGAGAATACATGAACACATTGGTGGGAACAACACACATTGGGGCTTTTGAGGGATGTGGAGGAAGGGAGAGCATCAGGAAGAATAGCTAACGGATGCTGGCCTTAATACCTGGGTGATGAGTTGATCTGTGCAGCAAACCACCATGGCACACATTTACCTATATAACAAGCCTGCACATTCTGCACATGTACCCTGGAACTTAAAAGTGAAGGAAAAAAAAATCACTGCCTTAACTATTGTGATTCTTTGGCAGTATATACCTAATTTTATAAAATTTTCTCTTTGACATATTTAATGATAAAAATTGTAGTACCAATTGGGATTTAGATATGGAGAACAATATGTGATGATGGGTCCTTTTTTTGGGAGGGCCAAGTAATATAGTGTTAGGTTTTCAGCCATCACGTATGCTATATTGTGAATGAAGTATGTAAGGAAGATCGATTCAGTTTTTTAAAAGGGTAGCAATGTTTTAAGAATTAAAATTCAGTGAAAAATAGAATTAGGGAGATTCTGTCTTGGTTAGGTTGGATAAAATATTTTGAATGTAAATTCTTGTGTATTTCTGTTTCCATCTTTGTCTTATTTTTAGACTTTCCATGCACGCCTGTAAGGCTCCCCACAGGGTGTACACACTCATTGCTTCTGGCTACCTTGTTCTTATTCTTAGATATTCTTATAAAAGCATTATGGCAATACTAGTTAAGAAAATTTATTCAAATACAAATACTTTTATACTATTGGTTCTTCAAAGATAAGGTTTTGAGACATTAAATATGAATTTGATAAGATTTGGCCATGATATATCTTTAGGCTGTATAAAACTGTGTGAAATTACTCTATTCAAAATATGAAACTAAGTCATTTAATACTTTCCTAGCATACATTAAATCCTTACTAATAAGTCAGCATAAAGATGAAAATATGTTTGTTATTGATCAAGAGTAGGCAGACATCAAGAGTAGGCAGACTGGTGGTTTCATGTGTTTGTAAGCCTCGCCTCACTATTTGGTGAAATTTTGAGTTTCGTCATTTGGTGGCACTGCTGCTTAATTTTTCAGCACATGGCAAAATTGACACGTGAAGTAGAAACAGTTTTACAGCGATAATTGAAAACCTTTTGTGACAATAAAAGCAATGTTGAAAAGCCTTAAATTTATGAACCTTGTGAGAAAAATGGCTAAGAAAAAAAAAGCTTCTAAAGCATTTCTTTTAAAACTGAATTATGAAACTTTCAGGTCAATGTTTTATCTTTTTTTTTGCACATTTTTATATTTAAAACTGTGGTTAAACTTTGAAAGACTGTGCTTTGTTTGTTTTGTTTTGTTTTGAAACAGGGTCTTGCTCTGTCACTCAGGCTGGAGTGCCGTGGTGTGAACATGGCTCTCTGCAATTTCGACCTGCTGGGCTCAAGGGATCCTCCTGCCTCAGCCTGTCTATAGCTGGGACCCTTAGCACACGTCACCATACATAAGCTAATGTTCTTATTTGTTGTACAAATGGAGTCTCACTGGTCTGGTGAGACTCCATTTCTACAAGAAAAAAGAAAATTAACTGGGTCTCAAACTCCTGGGCTCAAGTGCTCCTCCTGCCTCAGCCTCCTGAGTGCTGGGATTATAGGTGTGAGCCATTGCACCCAGTGAAAAAGTATGTTTAGAATGAAATATATATTATAGATTTAGCTGGGTGATCAATTGTATAATAAAATTGGGTCATTCTTTGTTCCAAATTTTTATATTTTTCTCTTATATGAAACTTTATATTGTTTTCCTGGCTTAGTTAATTTTTGTGATATGTCATATTTGCTCAACTTTCCGTATAAAAGGCTTAGTGTAATGGTTTATCTTTCAATAATTAGAAGTACATTATCATCTTTTATCTCAAGATGTAGTTAATATTGAAAAGCTTTAAGGTTCTGATTATAAATAATACACCATGATATTTATACAGAAGGCCCAATTCAACTGTACTAATAAGTTACTTAAGTGTATGACATTAGCTTATAATGATGTTGCCACATTTCAGTAGTCATCCTGAACCACCCATAAATTTTCAGTAACTTAGTTGTCTTCTTAAGTTATTGTAAGAGTTAGTAATCTGTCTTTGTTCATTTATTTAGATTCCATGTCTGAATTTGTCTGTTTAGGTTCTTCTAATCTGTTTGGTTTAGTTGACTCAGAGGAGAGATCAGTATGCATTTGATTATAGAACATAAGCATTTACTGAAGGCTGCTGAAGATCATTATTATAAAAGTGCCAATAAATTTGTCTCTCACAATGCTCAAATTTTAATTTCTGATCATGGTTAAGATAGGAGGTTTTTGTTTTTAGTCTGCATTCTAAAGATGAGAAACTTGCATTCTGAAACTTAATACATTTCATCAGGAACTAAAACCAGACTTGTAGTGTTTAAGCCAAATAACCTTATTTAATGGAAACCAAATAAATAACAATTGCTACTATTTATTAGGTACACAGATGTGTACTTTACGTAAATTATCTCATGCAATCCCTATAGCAGAGAGGCAAAGAGTACAGCATTTCTATTTTAGAGAAAAACTGTGAGGTTCAGAGAGGATAAAAACAATGAAAAATCACAGGACTGGTGAGTGTTTTGGGATTTGAATGTACAACTGTCCTACTTTATCTGTGTTTTATGGCCTTCCCGAACAATGAATGGCTGACCATTGGCTGCTCTGCGAAGGCTGTTCTCACTGGTGCCCCTCTTGGCTTTACAGAGTTAGTTCTTTCTATATTTTTTGTTTCATTCTTCCCCAGATCGTTTAGTACTTATCTCTTTATTTTTTTCTCTGTAACATACTGATTGATTTATGTGTTCTTTTTTCTTTTCTAATTTACAGTCCCCTCAGAGAAAATATTGTGTCTAATTCATTTTGGATATCATTATCTAGAACTGTGCTTGGCCTTAATAGGTATTAATATGTATTTTAATTTATTGATAATTTTTGTCAAATATTGTGGATTTGTCTTCTCACAGAAATCGTGTCAGATTGATGTATCGAAATAGCAGGCCAAACGCGGTGGCTCACGCCTGTAATCCCAGCACTCTGGGAGGCCAAGGCAGGCAGATCACGGGGTCAGGAGTTCGAGACCAGCCTGGCCAACATGTGAAATCCCATTTCTACTAAAAATACAAAAATGTGCTGGGCATGGTGGCACATAACTGTAATCCTAGTATGTGGTAGAGAAGTGATTACTGATTTAAATAAAAATAGCAGAATGTGTTCATTCAAAGTATATTTCTTTTAAGTAATCATCTAGAGAAATAACATATTTGTTCTAAAAATACTGCTACTATTCAGAACAACTTTGGAGCTTGTTTTTATTCTCTCAGTGTATGAAACCTTATTTGAATTTATATACTATAGTAATTAAAACAAACAAAGTTTCAAAATATTTAGATATAATCTTTCAAGGTGATAATACTGTTAGGTGAGCTCTAGATATTTTTAAAAGTTATTTGTAGTAACTTTTTTTTTTTTTTTTTTTGAGACAGAGTCTCACTCTGTCGCCCAGGCTGGAGTGCAGTGGCACAGTCTCGGCTCACTGCAACCTCTGCCTCACGGGTTCAAGTGATTCTCCTGCCTCAGCCTCCCGAGTACTTGGGACTACAGGTGTACACCACCATGCCCGGCCAATTTTTTGTATTTTTAGTAGAGAGAGGGTTTCACCATGATGGCCAGACTGGTCTCAAACTCATGACCTTGTGATCCACCCGCCTTGGCCTCCCAAAGTGCTGGGATTACAGGTGTGAGCCACTGCGCCCGGCCTATTTGTAGTAACATCTTAAATATCAGTATACTTTTTCAATAATACTGAACTATGGGACTAAAGCAATGTTTCCATCCTTTTTTGAACAAAATAAATACAGGCATACTTTGTTTTATTGTGCTTCATAAATACTGCATTTTTTACAAATTGAAGGTTTGTGGCAACCCTGCATCAAGCAAGTCTATCAGTGTCATTTTCCCAACAGCTTTTGCTCATTTTGTGTCTTTGTGTCACATTTTTGTAATTCTTGCCATATTTCAAACTTTTTCATTATTGTCATTATATCTTTGATATTACTGTTGTAATTGTTCTGAGGCACCACAGACTTCACCCATATAAGATGGGAAATTTAATTGATGAATGTGTGTGTTCTAATTGCTCCACTGACTGGTAGTTCCCCTGTCTCACTCCTCAGATCTTATTCCCTAAGACAAAATAATATTGAAATTAGGCCACTTAATGACTTACAGTGGCCTCTTAAGTATTCAAGTAAAAGAGTTGCATGTCTGTCACCTGAAATCAAGATTAAGCTTGGTGATGAAGGCATATTGAAAGCTGAGATAGGCACAGAATTAAGCCTCTTGCGCCAGTTATCCAAGTTGTGAATGCAAAGGAAAAGTTCCTGAAGGAAATTAAAAGTGCTACCCCAGACCAGGTGCAGTGGCTCACGCCTGTAATCCCAGCATGTTGGGAGGCCGAGGCAGGTGGATCATGAGATCAGGAGTTTGAGACCAGCCTGGCTAACATAGTGAACCCCATCTCTACTAAAAATACAAAAAATTAGCTGAGCGTGGTGGTGTGTGCCTGTAATCCCAGCTACTCAGGAGGCTGAGGCAGGAGAATCATGTAAATCCAGGAGGGAGGCGGAGGTTTCACTGAGCCATTGCACCCCATTGCACTCCAGCCTGGGCGACAGTACAAGACTCCATCTCAGAAAAAAAAAAAGTTCTACTCCAGTGAACACACATGATAAGAAAGCGAAACAGCCAGGTGCCTGTAGTCTCAGCAACTCGGGAGACTGAGGCACGAGAATTGCTTGAGGCCAGAAGTTTGAGACTAGCATGGATGACATAGTGAGAACCTGTCTCTAAAAAAAAAAAAAGAAAGAAAGAAAGAAAGAAAAATTAGCTGGATGTGGTGGCACACACCTATAGTCCCAACCACATTGAGAAGCTAAGGCAGAATGATCATTTGAGCCTAGGATTTCAAGGTTGCAGTGAGCTATTATTGTGCCTGGATCTGCACTCCAGCCTGGGTGACAGAGCAAGACCCCATCTCTTAGAAAAAAAAGAAAGAAAGAAAGCAAAACAGCCTTCTTGCTGATATGGAGAAAGCTTTAGTGGTCTAGATAGAAGATCAAACCAGCCGCAACATTCTCTTTGGCCAAAGCCTAATCCAGAGCAAGGCCCTAACTCTCCTCAATTCCGTGAAGACTAGGAGAGATAAGGAAGCTACAGAAGAAAAATTGTTGGCTAGCAGAGATTGGTTCATAAGGTTTAAGGAAAGAAGCCACCTCCATAACATGAAAGTGCAAGGTAAAGCAGTAAGTGCTGATGGAGAAACTGCAGTACATTATCCAGGAGATATAGCTAAGATCATTGATAAAGGTGGTAATACTAAACAACAGATTTTCAGTGTAGATAAAACAGCCTTCTATTGGAAGAAGATGCCATCTAGGACTCTCATAACTAAAGAGAAGTCAATACCTGGCTTCAAAGCTAAAGAGAAGTCAATAGCTGGCTTCAAAGCTTCAAAAGACTGGCTGACTCTCTTGTTGGGAGCTAATGCAGCTGGTGACTTTAAGTTGAAGCCAGTGCTCATTTGCCATTCTGAAACTCCTAGGACCCTTAAGAATTATGCTAAATCTATTCTATTTGTGTTCTATAAATGGAACAATAAAGCCTGGATGACTGCACATCTGTTAACAGCACGGTTTGCTGTAAATATTTTAAGCCCACTGTTGAGACCTACTGGTTAGAAAAAAAAAATTATTTCCAAATATTACTACTCATTGACAAGGCACCTAGTTACCCAAGAGCTCTGATGGAGATGTATTATACAAAGAGATTCATGTTGTTTTCATGCCTGCTAACACGACATCCATTCTGCAGCCAATGTATCAAGAAGTCATTTTGACTTTCAGGTCTTCTTATTTAAGAAATACATTTTTTTAAGGCTGTAGCCATAGATAATGGTTCCTCTAATGGATCTGGGCAAAGTAAATTGAAAGCCTTCTAAAAAGTATTCATCATTCATCATTCTAGATGCCATTCAGAACTTTTTTGATTCATGGAGTTAATGTCATGTTAATGTTAATGTCAACATTAACAGGAGTTTGGAAGAAGTTGACTCCATTCTTCAAGATTTCAGTGGAGGAAGTCAGTGTAGATGTGGTAGAAATAGCAAGAGAAGTAGAATGGCAAGGGGAGCCTGAAGATATGACTGAATTGCTACAATCTCATGATAAACTTGAATGGATGAGGAATTGCTTCTTATGGAGGAGCAAATAAAGTGGTTTCTTGAGGTGGAGTCTACGAAGGTGAAGCTGTTTTGAACATTGTTGAAATGATAAGGGATTTAGAATATTTTGTAAACTTAGTCGATAAAGCAACAGCAGGGTTTGAGATGACTGACTCCAGTTTTGAAAGAAGTTCTACTGTGGGTAAAATGCAACAGCATCACATGCTGCAGATAAATATTTTCATGGGCTGGGCACAGTGGCTTACGCTTGTAATCCCAGCACTTTGGGAGACTGAGTCAGGACAGTCATTGAAGCCAGAAGTTCAAGACCAGCCTAGGCAATATAGTGGACCTCATCTTTATTTAAATAATAAAGAATTTTAAAAATATTTTTACAAAATCAAAAGAATATTTTCATGAAAGAGTCAATGGATGCAGCAAACTTCATTTTTGTCTTATTTTAAGAAATTGTCATAGCCACCCCAACATCCAGGAGTCACCACCCTGATCAGTCAGTAGCCATCAGTATCAAGGCAAGACCCTCCACCAGCAAAATAATTACAATTCATTGAAGGCTCAGAAGAATCATTAGCTTTTTTTTTTTTTTTTTTTTAGGAATGAGGTGTTTATTAAGGTGTGTACATTGTTTTTTAGACATAATGCTGTTGCACACTTAATAGGCTACAGAATCGTGTAAACATAAATTTTGTATGCTCTGAGAAACCCCAGAATTTGTGTGACTCACTTTATTGCAATATTACCGTTATTGCAGTGGTCTGGAACCAAGTGCGTAATATCTCAGAGGTATGCCTGTATTGTTGTAAAGTGAAGGTCTAGAAGCCTAAATATTAAGATTGTATTATTACTGTATTTTTAGAAGATACTCAATAAATATTGTGTTTGAAATGTATACTCCCCAGAAAGTCTTGTTTCCTAGATTGAGGAAGACTAGGAATAGGGAGTAGGGAGTAAACTTCCTGCTGTGTTACTATTGTCATACCCATAAATGTCATTTCCTTGTATTAATTCAGGTTTCATAATCTTACTTTGTTTAGAGTTTAAATGGCAACATAAAAACAAGCACATATGTTAATACAACATGATGTTTTCAGTGAAGTAAATCTTATTACCTGGATCTGTTTCTCCTTCCATTCTCATTTATGTTGGCATTTTTATGAGGGCTCTTATGTTGAGTAATTGATATTTGAACTTTGAGAAGATTGTACCCAAACCTGCAGGAATTACAAAAGCATTTCTTTTAGAAGTGTAAGATTAACAAAATCTTACACTTGAATCTTTAAAAGACAGTTTTTCAGGATCATTTCATGAAACATTGATAATGCAATGAAAGCGGGTTATTTAGGACTATGTGACATGACTATGTGTACATCTGAGACCAGAGATTTTTTTCTCTAGTCACTGCTGTATCCCCAGCATGTAGCATCATAATGCCTTGCTCAACAGATAATTCAGGAATGAAAAAAACTACTTGTGGATAGAGTGGATAAATAGTGATCTGGTAGGTACCATTTTATTTCTTCATACAAATATAAAATCCCTAATGTATTTAATAAAATCCTTTTTTATAGTTGGTGGCTAAAGGAGTTAAGAGTTCTGATGTTTCTCCACCTTTGGGACAGCATGAAACAGGTGGCTCTCCATCAAAGCAACAGATGAGATCTGTTATTTCTGTAACTTCAGCTTTGAAAGAAGTTGGCGTGGTAAGTTTCCTAAGATTCAGAACTCCTCAAAGTCAAAAGATTATTTAAAAGGAAATTAAATTTAATGAAATCACATTAATCCCTAATGTCCCTTTCAGGTTTTTCTAAGGAAAAAAATTACTTTTTAAGGGATTTTAGTTTACTCAGAATACTGGAGCCTCATTGTTTATAAGTTTTATATCTAGGACCACGTGGTAGATGAAAATATATCACAATAACTCTTATATTACTTTAAAAGAATATTGAAAAAATAAAATATACAGAGAAATGTACTGAAAATAATACTATAAACATTTTTCTACCCAACCCTCATGATTAACAAATGTTCACTTTAAAAAGAATAATGTCTCTTTGGTGCTAAAGTAGCTCTAGGTATTAGGTCCAACACATATTTACATTTATTCAAATTTTGTGACATGGCAAATGTTAGAGGACTCAGTAGAACTAGTTAATTCATCAGTTATTCCTTTTACCTTCTACTTCTGAATCTCTGTCATGCCCTACAGATAGTAAAACAAAGAAACATAGACAAATAAAAAGCTTAAACTTAGAAGTATATTTCAGGTATCTGTCTGAAGTGTGAAGACTGTTCAGGGGTTAAGAGAAGTGGGCTCATAGTGTGGAGCTGCGGCCTAGAATTCAACAGACAGGAGGAGAAAAGTCTACTGAATCAGATAACATAATAACTTCATTTTCCCCTTTCCTGGTAATGGATGTCTGTGCTTTTTATTTGTTTAGTTTCAGTAAATATTTGCAGACAAAATTGGTACACTAGCTGTTTTTTTTTATAGCCTTTGGGTTGATTTTGAAAATAAAACTCAGTAGGAAAATATAAGTTTCTTGATCATTCTCAAGAACTTCATGTAAGAAACTATTGTTCTTCAAGTAGGCTTAGTCACTTTTTCTTTCTGATAACGACTTTGCGTGTGCCACGTTGTTACTCCAACTTTAGATACCACTGTGTGGTCCCTCCTTGGTACCCAGTCTCACATCTCAATAGCTGTTCATCTCTCTGGTTGTAGGACTGCTAATTCCTGACTACTTTACTGGGTAAAATGTTCTTTGTCTCATTGCTTCATATATTACTTTGAAACTGACCACCAAATTTTTAATTTTTTTTAAGTATTACAAAATTCGAGGTAATCCATATAACTGAACGGTTTTCTTTCTGTGTTGTGTTGGTAAATGTCACTTACTTAAAACTTAGAAAATTGTTCTTTGAATCTTCTACATGCCTTTGCTTTCATAGCTTTCGTAACTGCTAATTTCTTCTTTTCGTATGTTTTTTAATTTTAGATAGTCTGGATTGCTTTGACAATGCTAATTAGGAGATAACATTTATGTCATTTGTAGTACAAATGACTCAGAACTAATTTTTGTTACACTCTTTGTTTAGGGAGGAAAGCCACTTCTCAATTACATTTAGTACTATGGCTTAACAAGGATATATATACATGAAACATAAAGACAGTTTTAGAATAACACAGCCTATTTTGAATTACTTCATCTATCAAAACTTTTTCTAGTTATAATTAAGAGAGTATATGAATTTTCCTCTAATTTCTACTTTTTCCTCTAATTTCTACTTTTTCCTCTAATTTTCTGACTTAAATTACCAAAAAATCAGGTACCAAAGAGGAAGAGGATATAGTTAATTATGTGAGCAGTAATCTAAAAATATGACAAATAATTGAGAATTGGCCCCTGTCTATGTTGTCTAATTAATAATATTTAAAGGTTAGTCATTGCTGATAATGAAGGAAGCTTTGTTAACATTTTATAGGAATAAAAAATTTACAAGGAACAAATTAATGAAAACCAAAAAGTAACGAGGATGTAATATTTTTAAAGGTAGATTTAAAAAAATAAAATTATCTCTTCCTCTGTATCTATCTGCATTTAAAGGACAGTAGTTTAACTGATACCCGGGAAACTTCAGAAGAGATGCAAAAGACCAACAATGCTATTTCAGTAAGTAAAATTTTCAAAGTTTATCAATCATTTTACTTAATGATATACATATTAAAATATATAATGTCGTGACTTTCAGAGTAAGCGAGAAATACTTCGTAGATTAAATGAAAATCTTAAAGCTCAAGAAGATGAAAAAGGAAAGCAGAATCTCTCTGATACTTTTGAGATAAATGTTCATGAAGATGCCAAAGAGCATGAAAAAGAAAAATCAGTTTCATCTGATCGCAAGAAGTGGGAGGCAGGAGGTCAACTTGTGATTCCTCTGGATGAGTTAACACTAGATACATCCTTCTCTACAACTGAAAGTATGTATAGTAGTATATTAATATCCTATTTAGGTCTAGTACATATGTAAACTTATAGACTAACCACTCTGAAAAAAATGAACACTTAGAAGAATTGAGAGAAGCTGAAAGAATTCTATATATTTTCCTTTTGGGCGAATAGAAGTGCCTCCCTCTCACAGTGAAATGTGAAGAGCAGAGAAAACTAATCAAACTAATCAGCCTTAATAGCAAGGATTTTTATTACAAAAGTGTATAGTGTGAGAGAGGGAACTAATGATACATATTTAAATTGCATTACTTTAACTCTGTATACCATGTTAAATTAATCTGTTACTATGAATAATTCTTGATGAGAACCAGGGTAGTGTCTCAGAAACATCTCTTAGGCATTTAGCGAGAGTATTGAGAAAATCTGACTTAATGATTTATATATTCGGTGATAATTACTGAGAATCTATATTTCTTACATTGTTCTAGGAATTGGAGATATAGGAACAAAACAGAAACATATGTGCTCTTGTGGAGCTTACATTCTAGAAGGGCAAGTCTGACCATCAACAAATCTGATTTTAAGTAATTTTTTTCACAGACTGTTTTTGTAGAATTTTTTCTTGCATTGGAAAAAAGCCCAAAGACTTGATAGCATTTATTTTGCTTATTTATTCAACAGTTCTTTATTGGGTACCTACCATATGTAATACACTCTTAAGCAATGGGAATATAATAATGTTTAGAATGTAGTCCCTCCCCTTAGGGAGCTTAAGGTCTAGTGGAAAGGCAGGCAAGTAAAGAGATAATTGTAGTTGATAAATACTGTGCTAGGAATAATCATAGACTACTGCAGGAATACATAAGAGACCATAAATCAGCCTTGGAAGAGCCCCCATGATCCAGTCACCTCCCTCCCTCAACACAGGGTTATAATTTGAGATGAGATTTGGGTGGGGACACTATCTGTCTGCTTTTATGATTTGTCTTTATCACTGGTTTTGAGCAATATGATTGTAAAGTGCCTTGGTATAGTTTTCTTCATGCTTCCTGTCCTTGGGATTCATTGAGCTTCTTGTGTCTTTGGGTTTATGGTTGTCACATTTGGAACACTTTCAGCCATCATTTCTTCTAATATTTTTTCCATGCCTCCTCCTTCTTCTGTCCTTTAGGGACTCCAGTTTTACTTTCTGTCTCATACCTCAGTGGTGCTCTTTTTACTTTAATTTTTTAGATTCTTGTTGTGTTTCATTGTGGATAGTTTCTATTGCTCTATCTTTAATAGATGATAGTCTTTTTTTCCTGCCATACCCAATCTGCTATTAATTCTATTCAATGTACTTTTCATCTCAGATATTGTAGTTTTCACCTCCAGAAGTTTAAGGAGTTGTTTTTCTATCTGCCATGTCTCTACTTAACTTTTTTGATCATATGGAATACAGTTGTGAAAATTTTATTAATGTCTTTACTTATTCTGACATCTGTGTCAAATGTTAGAATTTTATTGGGTCCATTTTATTGATTGCCTTTTCTCCTTGTTACAGGTTGTATTCTTCTGCTTCTTTGCAGGCTTGGTTGTTTTTAATTGGATGTCAGACATTTTGCATTTTACCTTGTTGGGTGCTAGGTATTTTTTTATTTTTGTAATTATTCTGGAGATTTATTCTAGAATGCAGTTAAGTTATAATACTTGGACTCAGTTTGATTCATTCATGTCTTATTTTTAATATTTGTGAGGTGAGATCAGAGCCATGTTTAGTCTAATGCTAATTATACCCATTTAGGAGATAAGATGCTTCTGAGTGCTCTACGGAAGGAATGATGAGGTTTTCCAGTTTGGCTGGTAGGAATAGACACTATTTCATGTCTTGTGTTCTCTGTAATCTTTTTGGGTGCTTTTTTTCCTAACTTGGGTAGTTTTCTCATATATTTGCTCTGCTCATACTCAGGGCTACCATCTGCAGGTCTCTGGAATTCTCTTTCTAGTTGCTTTGGTCTTCCAGGAATCCCAGCTCTACCTCCTGAACTCAGGGAGTGTGGTAGACCCATTAGCTATAGCCTGAAAACTCTAAAGGCTGGGCAATCATAGGGATCATCTCATTTGTTTTTGTTTTTGTTTTTTCCCTCTCTCAGGGACCCATGTTCTTTATTACCTGTTGTACAATGTCTTGAAACTGCTGTCTCATATTTTGTCCAGTTGTTTTGGTTATTTAGGGAGCAGCATAACTCTAATTACTCTATACCATCTTAATAAGAAGTAGATATCCTTGAAACCAGTTTTTAGAGGCTATTGCACTAATCTAGGCAGAAGTTAATGATGACCTTAACTAAATTACTGAAAGGTAATAAAGAGGAGATATTTAAAAGATACTAGGAGACAGACTTATAGGGGCTTTATGTGAAACTGTTCAAAGAGTTCATCAGAGGAAGACCTTTGCAAAGAAAATGAGGAACAGACAGAGATAAAATTAGGAGACTGTAGTATGGGTTCCAAAGAAAGAAGAAAGCACTTCAGGAAGAGAGGTAACATATTCAAGGCTAAAAAATATACACTGGATTCGTCAGAGAAGAGGCAATGTGAGCTTGGTAAAAGCAGTGTCATTAGAGTGCTAGAGACAGAAATAGAATCCAAGAATTAGGAAGTGAATAGGAGAGGAAATTTAAAAAGAGAGTTTAGAACCTTTTCAAGAAGCTGAACTGCGAAGCAGAACAGAGAGGTAAGATGGTATTACTTGGTGGGGATGTAGAGTCATTGTAACCTTGTGTAAAAAGAGACTTGAAAATATTTTATGCTGATTAGAAAACCAAAGTATATCACATCACTGTCTCATTTTAAAACCTAATTGGTTTTCATTGCAACTAGAATAAAAGTCCAAAGTTCTTTTAATGATTCAAGTCTCTCCTCTCTCTTGGTTTATGCGTTGCCTGCTCATTGTATCCATTTCCTTCTAACTAGTTCACTAGAACTACTTCTCACCTTTCACTTCTTAAAACATGCCAAGCTCTTTCTTTTCCATCGTACTCTTCCCCTTCCCTCTTTCCCAAGTCCTTAATGTGGCTGCTTCTCTTTTTTTTTCTGTCCCTGTTCTTTAGCTATCACCCCATTTCTAAAAGTCCTCTTTATATCAGAATTCTTCAAAAGTGTTCTCTGTTTACAATTCTAGTTCCTCTCCTTTATTCTCCCTTAATCTACTTCAACCAGACTTTTTCCTCTACCACTCCATTACAATTCTTTTCATGGTCACTATAGACCTTCATGTCGGTAAGTTTTAAAGGCCCTATTTTATGTATTTACAGCTTCGACATCCTGGATTATTGTCCATACCCACACGCACGTGTGCTCACACATACACACTCTTCTTGAAGCACTTTCTTCACTTTTCTCCCCTCTATTAATAGTAGACCTCTCTCTCTCTCTCTTTCGTATTTTTTGGAGAGATGGTGTTTTGCTATGTTGCCCAGGCTGGTCTCAAACTCCTGGCCTCAAGTGACCCACCCACTTTGGCTCCCCAAAGTGCTGGGATTACAGGCATGAGCCACCATGCCTGACCCTTCTCTTATTTTCAAATCATTGAATATTATTTCTGTACTTTAAATATTTATTTATTTAAATCTATTTTATTTCTATAGATTCAGGGTGTACATGTGCAGGTTTGTTACATGTATATATTGCATTATGGTGAGGATTGGGTTTCTAGTGTACCTACCACTCAAAATAGTGAACATGGTACCCCAATAGGTAATTGGTATTGGTACCCCAATAGATAATTTTTCAACCCTCACCCCTGCCCAGCCTCTCCCCTTTTGGAGTCCCCAGTGTCTATTATTTGCCTCCATGTCCATGTTTACCCATTGTTTAGCTCCCACTTAGAATTCTGTAAGAATATGCAGTTTTTTTTTTTTTTTTCAAGACAGGCTGGAATACAGTGCTGCAGTCATGGCTGACTGTATCTTAAAATTTCTGGGCTCAAATGATCCTCCTGCCTCAGCCTCCAGAGTAGCTGGAACTACAGGCACGTGCTGCCATGCCCGGCTAATTTTTTTTTTTTCTTTTTTGTTAGAGATGGTGGACTCACTATGTTAACCAGGCTGCTTTTGAACTCCTGGCCTCATACAATCCTCCTCCCTCCATCTCCCAAAGTGCTGGGATTACAGGTGTGAGCTACTGTGCCCGGCCAGTATTTGATTTTTTATTTCTGAGTTCTTTTATTTATTATTTTTAAAGAACTAATCACATACTGTAATTATCTTCTTCATTTGTTTAAGTATAATTTGCCTGTGTTCTGTTTTAGAATATAAACATTTTGATAAAGCTTGTCTTATTTGTACTGCATGTTTATGCTCCGTCATGTAGCATGTAATTTATACATGAAAAGTAGTTATTAAATAAATGAATGTGAGGACAAAAACATAAATAATGAGGAGAGACACTGGTGTTGTGAGATCTCTGAGATGGTGGGGCTGGAGATGATTGAGAGCACCTCTGAGGCAATAGACCATTGCCATTGTGAAAGGATGCATGGAGGCAAAGGTAGAAAGATACAAGTAAGTTGGGGGAAAGTGTCAGGATGGCCAAATAAGAACAGCTCTGGTCTGCAGTTCCCAGTGAGACCAATGCAGAAGGCAGGTGATTTCTGCATTTCCAACTAAGGTACCCAGTTCATCTCATTGGGACTGGTTAGACAGTGGGTGCAGCCCACAGAGGGAGAGCAGAAGCAGGGTGGGGCGTTGCCTCACCTGGGAAGCGCAAGGGGTTGAGGAACTCCCTCCTCTAGCCAAGGCAAGCCATGAAGGACTGTGCCGTGAGGGACGGTGCTATCTGACCCACATACTACGCTTTTCCGATGGTTTTCACAACCCACAGACCAAAAGATTCCCTTGGGTGCCTATACAACCAGGGCCCTGGGTATCAAGCATAAAACTGGATGGCCGTTTGGGGAGACACCGAGCTGGCTGCAGGAGTTTTTTGTTTTTTTTTGTTTTTTTTGTTTTTTGTACCTCAGTGGCACCTGGAATGCCAGCAAGACAGAACTGTTCACTCCTCTGGAAAGGGAGCTGAAGCCAGGGACCCGAGTGGTATTGCTCAGCGGATCCCACCCCCACGGAGCCCCACAAGCTAAGATCCACTGGCTTGAAACTCTCGCTGCCTGCACAGCAGTCTGAAGTTGACCTGGGATGCTCAAGCTTGGTGTGGGGAGGGGCATCTGCCATTACTGAGGCTTTGTAAACAAAGCTGACAGAAAGTTTGAACTGGGTGCAGAACCCAACACAGCATGGCAAAGCCGCTGTAGCCAGAATCTAGAGAGGCATCTCTAGATTCCTCCTCTCTGGGCAGGGCATCTCTGAAAGAAAGGTAGCAGCCCCAGTCAGGAGCTTATAGAAAAAACTCCCATGTCCCTGGGACAGAGCACCTGGGGGAAGGGGCAGCTGTGGGCACAGCTTCAACAGACTTAAACTTTCCTGCCTGCTGGCTCTGAAGAGAGGAACAGATCTCTCACCACAGCGCTCAAGATCTGCTAAGGGACAGACTGCCTCTTCCAGTGGATTCTTGACCCCCGTGCCTCCTGACTGGGAGACACCTCCCAGCAGGGGACGACAGACACCTCAAACAGGAGAACTTCAGCTGGCATCTGGCGGGTGCCTCTCTGCGACGAAGCTTCCAGAGGAAGGATCAGGCAGCAATATTTGCTGTTCTGCAGCCTCCACTGGAGATACCCAGGCAAACAGGGTCTGGAATGGAACTTCAGTAAATTCCAGCAGACCTGCAGAAGAGGGGCCTGACTGTTAGAAGGAAAACTAACAACCAGAAAGCAATAGCATCAACATCAACAAAAAGGACACCCAAGCAAAAACCCCATCCAAAGGTCACCAACATCAAAGACCAAAGGTAGATAAATTCACGAAGATGAGGAAAAACCAACGCAAAAAGGCTGAAAATTCCCAAAACCAGAATGCCTCTTCTCCTCCAAAGTATCACAACTCCTTGCCAGTAAGGGAACAAAACTGGACGGAGAATGAGTTTGATGAATTGACAGAAGTAGGCTTCAGAAGGTGGGTAATAACAAACTCTCCAAGCTAAAGGAGTGTGTTTTAACCCAATGCAAGGAAGCTAAGAACCTTGATAAAAAGTTACAGGAACTATCACTAGAATAACCAGTTATGAGAACAACATAAATTACCTGATGGAGCTGAAAAACACAGCAAGAGAACTTTGTGAAGCATACACAAGTATCAATAGCCAAATCAATCAAGTGGAATAAAGGATATCAGGGATTGAAGATCAACCTAATGAAATAAAGAGTGAAGACAAGATTAGAGAAAAAAGAATGAAAAGGAACAAACAACAGACCCTTCGAGAAATATGGGACTATGTGAAAAGACCAAATCTATGTTTGATTGGTGTACCTGAAAGTGACGGGGAGAATGGAACCAAGTTGGAAAACACACTTGAAGGTATTATCCAGGAGAACTTCCCCAACCTAGCAAGGCAGACCAACATTCAAATTCAGGAAATACAGAGAACGCCACAAAGATACTCCTTGCGAAGAGCAACCCCAAGACACATAATCGTCAGATTCCCAAGGTTGAAATGAAGGAAAAAATGTTAAGGGCAGCCAAAGAGAAAGGTTGGATTACCCCCAAAGGGACGCCCATTGAACTAACAGCAGATCTCTCTGCAAAAACCCTACAAGCCAGAATAGAGTGGGGGCCAATATTCAACATTCTTAAAGAAAAGAATTTCAACCCAGAATTTCATATGCAGTCAAACTAAGCTTCATAAGTGAAAAAATCCTTTACAGACAAGCAAATGCTAAGGGATTTTGTTACCACCAGGCCTGCCTTATAAGAGCTCATGAAGGAAGCACTAAACTTGGAAAGGAAAAACCAGTACCAGCCGCTGCAAAAGCATACCAAAATGTAAAGACCATTGACACTATGAAGAAACTGCATCTAACTAATGGGCAGAGTAACCAGCTAGCATCATATGACAGGATCAAATTCACACATATCAATATTAACCTTAAATGTAAATGGGCTAAATGCCCCAATTAAAAGACCCAGACTGGCAAATTGGATAAAGAGTCAAGACTCATCAGTGTGCTGTATTAAGGAGACCCATTTCATATTCAAGGACACACATAGGCTCAAAATAAAGCGATGGAGGAATATTTACCAAGCAAATGAAAAGCAAAAAAAAAAAAAAAAAGCAGGGGTTGCAATCCTAGTCTCTGATAAAACAGACTTTAAAGCAACAAAGATCAAAAAAGACAAAGAATGGCATTACATAATGGTAAAGGGATCAATGCAACGAGAAGCTCTAACTATCCTAAATATATATGCACCCAATACAAGAGCACCCAGATTCATAAAGCAAGTTCTTAGAGACCTACAAGGAGACTTAGACTCCCACATAATAATAGTGGGAGATTTAACACCCCACTGTCAATATTAGACATATCAACAAGACAGAAAATTAACAAGGATATTCAGGACTTGAACTCAGCTCTGCACCAAGCAGACCTAATAGACATCTACAGAACTCTCCACCCCAAATTAACAGAATGTATATTCTTCTCAGCACCACATAGCACTTATTCTAAAATTGACCACATAATTGGAAGTAAAACACTCCTCAGCAAATGCAAAAGAATGGAAATCATAACAAACGGTCTCTCAGACCACAGTGCAATCAAATTAGAACTGAGGATTAAGAAACTCCCTCAAAACCTCACAACTACATGGAAACTGAACAACCTGCTCCTGAATGACTACTGGGTAAATAATGAAATTAAGGCAGAAATAAATAAGTTCTTTGAAACCAATGAGAATAAAGACACACTGTACCAGAATCTCTGGGACACAGCTAAAGCAGTGTTTAGAGGGAAATTTATAGCACTAAATGCCCACAGGAGAAAATGGGAAAGACCTAAAATTGACACCCTAATATCACAATTAAAAGAACTAGAGAAGCAAGAGCAAACAAATTCAAAAGCTAGCAGAAGACAAGAAATAACTAAGATCAGAGCAGAACTGAAAGAAGATAGAGACATGAAAAGCCCTTCAAAAAAAAATCAGTGAATCCAGGAGCTGGTTTTTTGAAAAGATTAACAAAATAGATAGACGGCTAGCCAGACTAATAAAGAAGAAAAGAAGAATCAAATAGACACAATAAAAAATGATAAAGGGGATATCACCACTGATCCCACAGAAATACAGACTACCATCAGAGAATACTATAAACACCTCTATGCAAATAAACTAGTAAATCTAGAAGAAATAGATACATTCCTGGACATATACACCCTCCCAAGACTAAACTAGGAAGAAGTCGAATCCCTGAAAATAGACCAATAACAAGTTCTGAAATTCAGGCAGTAATTAATAGCCTACCAACCAAAAAAAGCCCAGGACCAGACAGATTCACAGCCGAATTCTACCAGAGGTACAGAGGAGCTGGTACCATTCCTTCTGAAACTATTCCAAACAACAGAAAAAGAGGGACTCCTCCCTAACTAATTTTATGAGACCAGCATCATCCTGATAGCAAAACCATCAATTGGTTTGTCATTGTTTCATGCAATTCAGAGTAAATTGCAGACATTGGTATACCTTGCCCTAAGTATTTCACAGCATGTAATTATTTATTAGAGTTCAATGTTTGTTTTTTCATTTATGTTAAATTTACATGCAATGAAATGCACACATTACAAATATATATTTACTGGTTTTTAACAAATGCTGGGAGCTACAAAATAAGAACCCCCATCAAGATACAGAACATTAACATCACCCCAGAAAGTTTGCCCCTGCCTAATCGTTCTCTGTTCTTATCCTCCCAGGGGCAACTTTTTCTGAATTTTTTTTCTACCTTAGATTAAATGTTCCTGTTCTAGAATATCATATAAACAGACTCTAATCGTTTGTATTCTTTTATGTCTGGCTTCTTTCACTCAAGCATAATGATTATTTTTCCCTAATCTCTCACCTCTGGCTGAAAGCATAATGATTTTTGAGATTCATCTGTGTTGTAATTATTAATAGCTTGTTCTTTTTAAAAAAATCTTTGCTTTATTAAAAGTTTTCTTTGTTTGATATTGATATAGTCACTCCTACTTTGTTTTGCTCAGTGTTAACCTGGTATATCTTTATCCTTTTTTTTCCTCTTAATCTGTATGTGTCTTTATATTTAACATGGGTTTCTTATGGGCAGCATATTGTTAAATTCATTTTTAATCCTTTAAAATAACTTTTAACTGGTATGTTTAGATCATTTACATTTAATGTGATTATTAATGTGATTGGATTTAAATCCAGAGCTCCTCAATTTACAATGGGATTGCAGTCTAATAAACCCATTGTAAAGTTGAAAAATCTTTAACTGGTAAAAATCATAACCTTTAACTGGTATGTTTAGATCATTTACATTTAATGTGATTATTAATGTGATTGGATTTAAATCCAGATGCTCCTCAATTTACAATGGGATTACAGTCTAATAAACCCATTGTAAAGTTGAAAAATCTTAAGTTGAACCATCATAAGTCAGGGACTGTCTGTGTACCATTTTTCTATTTGTTTTTTGTTTGCCTCATCTATGCTTTCTTTCCTTTTTCCTCCTGTTTTGCATTATTTGGGGTTATTTTTTATTATTCCATTTTACCTCTGTTGTTGAATTATTAGCTATAGCTCATTGTTATTTCAGTGTTTGCTTCAGAGTTTATAGTGTATTATTGTAGCACAGTGTATTAACTTAGCACAGCCTATCTTCAATTGAGTTATACTTCATATATGGTATAAGATTATTACAATAATATACAGTTGACCCTTGAATAATACGGGGGTTGGGGGTGTTGAATCCCCCGTGTAGTCAAAAATCTGTGTGTAACTCTTAACTCCCCCAAAATTTAACTAGTAATAGCCTACTGTTGACCAGAAGCCTTATCAATAACATAAAGCCAATTAACACATATTTTACATGTTATACGTATTATATACTATATTCTCATAATAGGAATCAAGAGAAAAGAAAATGTTACTAAGAGAATGATAAGAATGAGAAAATATATTTACTATTAAGTGGAAATGGATCATCATAAAAGCCTTCATCCGCATCATCTTCACATTGAGTAGGCTGAAGAGGAGGAAGTTGGGGGGTTGGTCTTGGCGTCTGAGGGGTGGCATAGGTGGAAGAAAATTTGTTTATAAGTGAACCCTGGCATCTCAGAACTTTGTTTGAGGGTCACCTGTACTTACATTTGTTCCCTCCCAACCTTTGGTGCTATTTTTTTTTTATGCTATAAATCCCATAATACAGCAGAGTCATTTATTCTTTAAAAAGATTTAAATAATAAGAGAAAAAACTATTTTGTGTCTACCCATGTAGTTTTCATTTCTTTTGTGTAGAAGATATCTATTTTGTATCATTTTTCTTCTGCCTGAAGGACTTCCTTTAAGATTTTTTGTAGTACAGTCCTGCTGGTGATTCTTTCAACATTTGTATGTCTGTAAAAGTTTTTATTTTAAAGACATACAAATGTTTGTAAAAGTTTTTATTTTTATTTTATTTAGCCTTCCTTTTGCAAAGATATTTTTTCTGAGACATAGAATTCTAAATTGAAATTTTTTTCTTTTAGTACTTTAATGATGCTGCTCCACTGTCATCTTATGCACATTACTTGTGATGAGGTCTTCTGTTACCCTCATTTTTAGTTTTATTCCTCTGTGTCTTTTTTCTCTGACTCCTTTTCAGATTTTTCCCTGTAGCCTTGGTTTCAGTGAATTTGATTGTGATGTGCCTTGATGTCACTTTCGTCATGTTTCTTTTGCTTGGGTTTTGTTGAGCATCTTGGATTTATGAGTTTATAGTTTTCATCAAACTTGAAAAACTCGTGGCCATTATTTATTCTATTTTTTTTTCTGTCTTCAGTATGAATGGACGAGTTCAATGGACAGGTTCATTTATATGAACTTCATTAGGACAAGTTCAGTGTGGATCTTATTAATGTTTTCTTTACCTCTATCACGGTCAGTCTTCTCTCTAGCTTGTTGAACATATGGAATTCAGTTACAATGACAGTTATAAATGTCCTTGTCTACTAGTTACATCATCTCTGTCATTATAGAGTTGGATTGGATTCATTGATTTTTTTCTTCCTTTTTTATAGTTAATATTCTGTTTCTGTGCATGCTTGATAATTTTTTGGGGGTGTCCAAATGTTGTGAATTTTAATATTTGTGCTATGTATTTTTGTATTTCTATAAATATTCTTGACCTTTATTCTTGGACACAATTTAGTTACCTGTGCATAGCTTGGCTCTTTCAAGTCTTGCTTTTAAGCTTTGTTAGTTGGAACAAAGCAGCAATCTATATTATTAGTATTTATTAGTATTACTGTGCATTAGCGTACTGCTAATCTTTTACCTTTTCTGCATCAACAACCTTTCTGAATAATCTGCCTTGTGCCTTGTGAATTATAAATCAGTCTTTTTTGGCTGATGGGAATAGGAACTCTTTCTGGCACTGTGTGAACTCGAAGTATTGTTACCTCTGCTTCTTTTGAGTGGTCTTTTCTCTAAACTTTCTCTAAAATTTCTTTATACATTATGTACTGATATGCTGATCAGTACTCAAGTAAAGACTCAAAGGGGCTTTTTACAATTTTCCTGAGTTCTCTCTCTGTGAAACGTATTACTTCAGTACTCCTATCTTGCAAACACTAGCCACTTTGGCCTCCCTAGACTCCCATTTCCACCTCCTCAGCTCAGAGAGACCATTGACTCCACCTCTGTTTTCCCTCCCTGCATTGAAGGGGTTAAATTCCAGTGGTGGGGGGGACAGGAGGGTTTCTCTTATGAACATTTAGTTATCCCAGTTTTGTTTGTTAGAACTTTTTCCCCTTTTGAATTTCTTTGGCATATTTGTCAAACATCAAATGACTGTAAGTTATGGGTCTATTTCTGGGTTCTCTACTCTATTTTAACCATCCTTTAAGAAATTCCTCTTGGTAATCATTTTGGCTGTATGAAACTAATTATTATCTGCTAATTTGCATGTACTTTCATGGAACTGGTACATTAACTGTATCAATATGTATTAGGTTACCATTGAATGTCTATATACCTTATGCCTCATAATACATAATATTATATCCTGTATGTTACTACTAGGTACCTGTATACTTCATATATTATTACCAAATATTCTAAAGACTCAAACTTCAGTATATAATTTTTATATATTGCTTTGATAAATGTTATTAAAATGGTTTACCCCAAATTATTATTGTCAATAAGGAAGTAGCAGTTATTTGCCTACTTATGATAAATAAAGCAGGACAAATTTTCTTAGAAATACTTTTCTCTGCTTTTTAATCCATATGTATGTTTATTTTAAGATTTGTTTTCTATTTTTTCTGTTTAATATATAGAAATGAAATACTAATTTGTTTCTTCTATTTTTATATTCCCCCCAATTGTATTTACTTATCTTAGTTTTTTCTATTTTTTCACATAAAGATTTTATAGAAACATAATACAGGTTGAGCATTTCTAATCCAAAATCTGAAATCCAAAATGCCCCAAAATCTGAAACTTTTGAGTACCAGTGTGACACCCCCACATCTGACCCCATGTGATGTGTCAAAGTCAAAGTGAAGGTACACAACACATGGTTTATTCAGCATCCCCAAGGACAAAAAGACCCTCCAGCCATTTTAAAAAGCTATCTGATAGAATACCTTCTCATCCCTTCAGATCCCTTTCTGATCCCTCAGCTGCTTCTGATATTTCTTTTTGCCCATAAAATGAAAGACAGCATAGAGTAACCTTTTAATCAAAATCCAGTTTCGTGGGTGGAGACTGAAAGCCTGCGGTTGCTTAACAGCTCTCAGGTATTCTGGTGATAATACTGTGCTGCTTAGTTATCTTAAACACATTTTTTCACTGTAATGGTATGTCTCTCTTTTTTTTTAACTACGAAGTATTTTTGTGTGAACAAGTGTAAGAAAATGATTGCTTATTAGCAGCATATAAACTCACAGTCAGGAATGATGGTGATGCCAAACAACCATAGAGGGCCCACATGGGTGGCCAAGACAGTGACACTATTGCTTTCTGATAGTTCTATGTATATGAACTTCGTTTTGTTCACAAAATTGTTTAAAATATTATATAAAATTACCTCAAGTCTATGTGTATAAGATGGATGTAAAACATAAATGAGGCCCTTTGTGGTGGTTCACACCTATAATCCCAGCACTTTGGGAAGCCAAGGTGGGAGGGTCACTTGAGCCCAGGAGTCCAAGACTAGCCTGGGCAACATAGTGAGACTCTATCTCTTAAAAAACAAACAAATGAATTTCATGTTTAGACTTTGGTCCCATCAACAAGATTCTCGTTATGTATATGCACATATTTCAAAGTCTGAAAAAAATTCAAAATCCAAAACACTTCTGGCCCCAAGCATTTCAGATAAGAGATACTCAGTCTGTATTAATTTATGGTTTTTTCCTATTTTTATATTCCCCAAAACTAGAATTTAATTCATATTCTACAAGGCAATTGTAGATATATTTTTATTGCTAGTTTCATTTGCTTCTGTTCTTGCCATTATTCATCATTCTTTCCCTGAAAGTCTTTGTGATATAACCTTTTTTTCTCATGAACCACTCAATTGGATAAAAGACTCAAAATCTGCCTTACCATGCAGTATTATTATACTGTTATTGAAAATTGTTTCTTTGTATATTTTTCTTATAGGACATACAGTGGGAGAAGTTATTAAATTAGGTCCTAATGGATCTCCAAGAAGAGCCTGGGGGAAAAGTCCGACAGATTCTGTTCTAAAGATACTTGGAGAAGCTGAACTACAACTTCAGACAGAACTATTAGAAAATACAACTATTAGAAGTGGTAAGGAGAAACTGGTAGTTTTTCTATACTAGAAGTAATATTATTAAAAATCTAATTATGTATTTTAAGATGTTTCCATTTTAAGTGAATTATTTTTAATTATCTTTCTCTTATAATAATTTTTTAATTAGATTGAGAATGATTGTGTTTTCTAGGGGGATTGTCCAAATGGTAGTCTTGAGTTTTGACCTGATAGACCTGGATGGGATCTAAAAGGAAAATGAAGTGTGTATGGGTGGAGTTGGAAAAGTCAGAATGATGTTTTACATGAAAACAGATATAGGAGAAATGCACTGAGATGAATTGTGTCTGTTTTGATATGGATTCAAGAATGAGATTGACTAAAAGGTATTTTAGTAGGTATGACAGACATTATTAATTCTAGGACTGGGGAAGGAGAGTTGTCATGAGGCAGGAGGAAATATTCCTGATCCATAAGTTTTGTGGCCTTTGGTATTACAGCTATGCATCAAGAAGAGTGGCTATGTATGAAACAGGTATTTTCAGATTAAACAGCTTGTTTAAATGATGAGGAAGTGGAGTGTACTTTTCCT
Source organism: Homo sapiens (assembly GCF_000001405.40). NCBI lineage: Eukaryota > Metazoa > Chordata > Mammalia > Primates > Hominidae > Homo > Homo sapiens. Next base: position 169,462,688 of record NC_000004.12, on the reverse strand, counting down.
CTTTTTAGAAGTTGTGTCTAGGCAGGAGTGTGTGTTGCACTTTTGTGTTCTTTTTCCTTCTCTATCTCTCTCACTCTTTTTCTCTGTCTCCCCTTAAAAAGCTTCTAGTGACACTCATATCCAGAGCTGGTGGAAAAATAACCTAGGAGATGACACTGCTGATATGTTCAATAATGGAATTAGCCAGTGAAACGAACCTATACACATGTTACTGAAATGGCAAAAGTAGGCTGCTAATAATTCTGTTATTTTCTTTAATATTAAAGGGAGAAAACAATTTGAATTGAGAAATACAGTCATCTGCAAAAAAGGCAAAAAGTGTATATGTTTGTAATTAATTTGTTCACATTCTCATATAAGGAAATTTTGCAGTTGTATGCCAAATACTAATTAAAAATACTAGTAACTTTTTCAAAATGTTCCAGGCTTTATTCAAGACAAAAATGCCTTCAGGCTCTAACATTTTTTTAAATAATAATAATAATTTTACTCTGCAGTGCAAAACTCTCTGGAAAAAAATGAGAAAAAAATTCAGATTTTTTTTGTAGTCTAAAAGCTCTATAATATGCTGATGCTCATTAACACTATTACTTTTAAAATATTAGATTCTGATTCCTTGATGTCGTTTTATTAATTAAATATATGCAATTTGGTGTACAGTAATACTTAAACCGCATAAAAATTGGGCTTTCATTCTTCGTATTCATCATAATCCATTTGCACAGAATTGGAACTGAGAAATAACTTATGATTTCTCTTCATTCAGTCACCAACTATTTATTGAACACTTCTTAGTTGTGTTCACTATTATATGTTAGATGGTAAGCTATAAAGGAAAAAAAGATCATTCTTGCTCTCAGAGGACAGACAAAAATGAAAACAAATAATAACATTGCGTGAAAAGGACAAGAATAAAAAGTACCCACAAAGTTCAGAATTAATGCAGAGATATTTAGGTAATTAACTTTATCTTGTATAGTCAAGAAAGACATCCCAGACCTGTTATCTCCCCTCTTCTTTTTCTCCCAAATACATTTACTGGGAAGAATATGCTCTGTATTGGGATTTTAAGCCAAAGAAGTGACAGTTTTTACCATCATCGAAATCACATGTGGCAAAATCTGTGTTACAGATGTTTTTTGTGAAATGCTCTGCGGCCACAGCTGAGGTAGCTTTACTTTATCAGTACTATATGCCTTTATTAATGATAACACATATGGCCCTTTTGGGTAAGGGAGAGCCACAAGACAATAAGCAGTTTTGGGACCACAGATGAGGTGGCTTTTCTTTATCAGTACCATACGGTTTTATTAATGACAATATATATGGCCCTTTTAGGTAAGGGAAAGCCACAGAGAATAAGCAATTTTTGGGTGTATCAAAGATTGTTTTTCAAATAACTCATAAGGTAGATAAGGGGGAGAATGAAATTCCAGGCAGTATGCTATTCTAGTATATGCAAAGACAAAGGTTTAGCTCATGTGTATGTGGAGGTAGCTTCATGTGGTAGAAAGAGAATGGGCTTTGGTTCCAATCCTGGCTTTATTACTTGCTCAGCAACAATGGATAAGTTCCTCTGACTTTGGCATTCATTTCCTCCATGTGTAGAATGGAAACACTACTATCAAGGCTTGTTTTGTGTATTAAATGAGAAACATAAAAGATCCTTGGTGTTCTTTATTTTAGTCTTCCAATTCTTATGTCAGTGTCTCCTTAGTCATTCTGATTGCTTGAAACTCTTTTTGTAATAGATTCCTTAGGAAGGACTTGTGTGAACACTACACTCATAGATTTTCCATTTTCATAACAGTTTGTCTTATGACTTTATTTGTGAGGGTCGATTTGGCTGCATGTAAAATCCTTGGCTTACTTTTTTTTCCTTGACTGTCTTTAATATATAGTTTAATTATATTCTGGCATAAAACATTGCTGCAGAAAGTCTGATGGCAGTTTTATTTTCTTTACCTTATAAGTGATTTGGTCTTTTTGCTTGGATGCTCAGAGTATATCTTTCTTTTTACTTAAAGTCCAATCATTTTCTTAAAATATATTTTGGCATTGAGTTTATTTTTCTAGTACAGTACATAGTGGGTTTTTTTTGTTTGTTTAATAGACCTTTTCTTATAGGAGTTTTGGATACATAGTGATATGGTTTGGCTCTGTGTCCCCACCCAAATCTCATCTTATAGCTCCCATGATTCCCACGTGTTATGAGAGGAACCTGGTGGGAGATGCCTGAATTATGGGGGCAGGTCTTTCCCATGATATTCTCGTAATAGTGAATGGATCTCACGAGATCTGATGGTTTTTAAAAAATGAGAGTTTCTCTGCACAAGCTTTTTTTTTTTTTAACCTGCCACCATCCATGTAAGATGTGACTTGCTCCTCCTTGCCTTCTGCCATGATCGTGACGCCTCCCCAGCCATGTGGAACTGTGAGTTCAGTTGTACCGCTTTCTTTTATGAATTTCCCAGCCTCAGGCATGTCCTTATCAGCAGCATGAAAACGGACTAATACACGTAGCAAAATTGAGTGAAAAGTACAGAGTTCCTGTATATGCCCTTCCCCCATACACACACAGCCTCCCCCACCATCAATAGCCCACACCAGAGAGGTACGTTTGTTTTAATCAATAGACCAATGTTGACACATCATTATCACCAAAGTGTATAGTTTACATTAAAATTTACTCTTGGTGCTTTAATTGCCCTGGGTTTTGACAAATGTATAATGCTATGTAACCACTATTATTACACAAGAATTTGCTGCCCCAAGAATCCCCTGTGCTCTGCTTATATTATCCCTCCCTTTCTTCCAAACCCTGGCAACCACTGATTATTTTACTATCTCCATAGTTTTGTCTTTTCCAGAATGTCATGTAATTGGACTCATACAGTATGTACTCTTTTCAGATTGGATGGTTTCACTTAGTAATATACACTTAAGGTTCCTCTGTAATCTTTTTGTGTCTCAATAGCTCATTACTTTTTAGCGCAGAATATTACATTGTATGGATGTGCCACAGTTTATTTATTCACTTTCAAGATGTACTGAAAGACATCGTGATTGCTTCCAAGTGATAGCAATTATGAATAAAGATGATATAAACATCTATGAGCAGGTTTTTGTGTGGACTTAAGTTTTCAATTCATTTGGGTGAATACAGAGGAATACAGTTGCTGGATTGTCTAGTAAGAGTATGTTTAGTTTTGTAAGAAACCACCAGTCTCCCAAAGTGTCTGTACCATTTTGCAGTGTATGAATGAGAGTTCCTTTTACTCCATGTCCTCTCCAGCATTTGGTGTTGTCAGTGTTTTGGATTTTGGTTATTTTAGTTGCTGTGTAGTGGTATCTTGTTGTTGTTTTTATTTGCAATCTCCTAATAACATATGATGTTGAACCTCTTTTCATATGATTCTTACTATATGCTGCTTTGCCACCTGTATACCTTAGTGAGTTGCCTGTTGAGATCTTTCACCCATTTTTAAATTGGGTACTTTATTTTCTTATTGTTGAGTTTAAGAATTCTTAGTATATTTTGGTTAATGGTCCTTTATCAAATATGTCTTTTGCAAATACGGATTGAGTATCTCTTATCTGAAATGCTTGGGATCAGAAGTGTTTTGGATTGGGTTTTTTTTTTCAGATTTTGGACTGTTTGCATTATACCAGTTGAGTATCTCTAATCCGTAAATCCAAAATCTGAAATGCTCCAATGAACATTCCTTTGGGCATTATAACAATGTTCCAAAAGGTTCATATTTTGGAGCATTTTGGATTAGAGATAGTCAACCTGTATTTTCTCCTAGTCTGTGGCTTTTCTTCATGTTCTCTTGACATTGTCTTTTTTTTTTTTTTTTTGAGATGGGGTCTCACTGTGTTGCCCAGGCTGGAGTGCAGTGTTGCAACATGGCTCACTGCAGCCTCAACCTCCCTGGGCCCAGGTGATCCTTCCACCTTAACTTCCTGAATAGCTAGGACAACAGGTATGCACCACCATGCCTGGCTAATTTTTGTATTTTTAGTAGAGAGAGGGTTTGCCCATGTGATCCTCCCACCTCAAACCCCAAGTAGCTGGGACCACCAGTGTGCATCATTGTGCCTGGCTAATTTTTGTATGTTTTGTAGAGATGGTGTTTCTCCGTGTTGCTTAGGCTGGTCTCAAACTTCTGAGGTCAAGTGAACCATCCGCTTCAGCCTCCCAAAGTGCTGGGATTACTGGTGTGAGCCACTGCACCCGGCCTAGTTTTGCATTTTATATTTAGTTATGTGATTTATTTGGAGTAAATATTTTTGAAGAGTTATAAGGTCTGTGTCTAGATACATTTTTTTCGTAAGTAGATGTACAGTGTTTTTTTAGCACCACTTATTGTAAATACTATTCCTTCTTCGATGAATTAACTTTGCTCCTTTGCCAAAGATCAGTTGACTATATCTGTATGGGGCCATTTCTGAACTCTGTATCCATTCCATTCAACTTTTTTCCTGTTCTTTTGCCAGTACCCCAGTATCCTGATTACTGTAGCTTTATAGTATTTCTTGAAGTCACATAGTGTCAGTCCCCCAACTTTGTTCTCCTTCAATTATGTATTGGCTATTCTGGGTCTTTTGTATATCCATATAAACTTTAGAGTTATTATGTCTGTATCCACAAAAGAGCTTGCTGGGTTGGCTGGGATTATGTTAAATCCAAAGATCAAGTTGGAAAAAAACTGACATCTTAATGATATTGAAGCTTCCTGTCCATAAGTTTGAGATATCTCTTTATTGTTCTTTAATTTTTTCATCAGTTTTGTAGTCTTCATCATAGTATATCTTTTTAATATGTAGCTTCCGGTCTTTTTTTCCCCTGTCAGTTTTAGGAGTCTTTTTTTATCCTCTCAATTTTAGGACAGTACTCTTGAATTATTGCCTGTCTTCTTCCCTCCCCTCCCCTCCCCTCCTCTCCTTTCTCCTCCTCTTCCCTCCCTCTCCCCTCCTTCTCCCCTCCCCCCTTCTTTCTCTCCTTCCTTCCTTCCTTCCTTCTCTCCCCCTGCCCCGCACTTTCTCTCTTTCTCCCTTTCTCCTTTTCTCCTTTTCTCCCTTTCTTTCTTTTTTCTAACAGCAATGGAGTCTTGCTATGTTTCCCAGGCTGGTCTTGAACTCATGGCCTCAAGTGATCCGCCTGCCTCAGCCTCCAAAGGGCTGGGATTATAGGCATGTGCCACCATACCGGGCATCTAGTATTCTGTTTTTTTTTCTCCAGTCTTTGGGAATTTCCACTTTGTATATTTTGGGTCATCTTTGCCTTTCCTCTCAGTCAATTGCTCTTTTTTCTTAATGTCTTATTAACTATTGTGGGTACATAGTAGGTGTATATATTTATTGGGTACATGAGGTATTTTGATACAGATATGCAATGCATAGTAATCACATGAGGGTAAATGGGTCACATAAAGCATTTATCCTTTCTTTGTATTACAAACAGTCCAATTCTACTATTTTAGTTATTTTTAAATGCACAATATATTATTCTTGACTTAACTCTAGTCACCTAGTTGTGCTATCAAATACTGGATCATATACATTCTGTCTAACTGTATTTTTGTACTCATTAACCATCCCCCACCACCCACCACCACCACCCTTCCTAGCCTCTAGTAACTACCATTCTGCTCTCTTTATCACCATGAGTTCAGTTATTTTAATTGTTAACTCCCACAAATAAGTGAGAACATGTGAGATTTGTCTTTCTGTGCCTGTCTTATATCACTTAATATAATGACCTCCAGTTCCATACATGAAACTGACAGGATCTCATTCTTTTTTTGTGGCTGAATAGTACTCCATTGTGTATATGTCCCACATTTTCTTTATCCATTCAACTGTTGATGGACATTTAGGTTGCTTCTAAATCTTCGCTGTTGTAAATAGTGCTGCAATAAACATGGAACTGCAGATATCTGTTTGATATACTGATTTCCTTTCTTTTGGATATATACCCAGCAGTGGGATTGCTGGATCATATGGTAGCTATATTTTTAGTTTCTGGAGGAACCTCCAAACAGTTATATATGTCTAGAAATTTATCCATTTCTTCTAAGTTTTCCAATCTATTGAAATACAGCTGCTCATAGTAGCTTCTAAAGATCCTTTTAATTTCTGCAGTATCAGTTGTATTATAATTCCTCCTTTTTCATCTCTGATTTTGTTTGCTTGGGTCTTCTCTCTTTTTCTTAGTCTGGATAAAGGTTTGTTGATTTTGTTCATCTTTTCAAAAAGCCAACTTTTGATTTCATTTATCTTTTGTATTCTTTGTTTCTATTTTATTTATTTCTGCACTCATCTTTATTATTTCTTTTCTTCTACTACTTTTGGGCTTACTTTGCTCTTGCTTTTGTAGTTCTTTAAGATGGATCATTAGATTGTCTACTTGAAGTTTTTCCTCTTTTTTGGTGTAGGGACCGATAGCTATAAACTTCCGTCTTAGTACTGCTTTTGCTGTATCCCAGAGGTATTGGTATATTGTGTTTCCATTATCATTTGTTTCAAAATTTTTTTCAATTTCCTTCTTAATTTCTTCATTGACCCACTGTTTATTCAGAAGCATATTGTTTAATTTCCATGTGTTTGTATAGTTTCCAAAAATTCCTCTTGTTATTGATGTCTAGTTTTCTTCCATTGTGGTCAGAGAAGAAACTTGGTATAATTTCAGGTTTTTTGAATGTTTTAAGACTTGTTTTGTGATCTAACATATGTTCTATCCTTGAGAATGATTCATGTACTGAGGAGAAGAAGCCGTATTCTGCAGCTGTTAGATGAAATGTTCTGTAGATATCGATTAGGTCCATTTGGTCTACAATACAGATGAAGTCTGATGTTTCTTTTCTTTTTTTTATTTTTCTTTTGCTGCTCCTTGCAGAGCTGTGATGACCCCTAGGCAGTGCTACTAGACTAGAGTCAGCTAAGTCTGATGTTTCTATGTCGATTTTCTGCCTGGATGATCTGTTCAATGCTGAGAGTATAGTGTTAAAGTCTCCAGGTATTATTGTATTGGGGGCTATCTCTCACTTTGACTCTAATAATATTTCCTGTACATATATGGGTACTCCAGTATTGGATGCATATATATTTATAACTGTTATATCCTCTTGCTGAATTGACCATTTTATAATTATATAATGACGTTATTTGTATCTTTTTATAGTTCTTGTCTTGAAATCTATTTTGTCTCATGTAAGTATAGTTACTTCTGCCCTTTTTTGGTTTCTATTGGCATAGAATATCTTTATTCATCCCTTTATTTTTGGTCTGTGTGTGTCTTTATAGGTGAAGTCTGTTTCTTGTAGGCAACTGTTCATTGAGTCTTCTTTTTTTTTTTTGATTATGCTTCAAGTTCTAGGGTACATGTGCACAACGTGCAGGTTTGATACATAGGTATACATGTGCCATGTTGGTTTGCTGCACCAATCAACTCATCATTTACATTAGGTATTTCTTGTAATGCTATCCCTCTGCCAGGCCCCAACCCCCCAACATGCCCCAGTGTGTGATGTTCCCTGCCCTGTGTCAAAGTAATCTCATTGTTCAGTTCCCACCTATGAGTGAGAACATGTGGTGTTTGGTTTTCTGTCCTTGTGATAGTTTGCTGAGAATGATGGTTTCCAGCTTCATCCATGTCCCTGCAAAGGACATGAACTCATCCTTTCTTATGGCTGCGTAGTATTCCATGGTGTATATGTGCCACATTTTCTTAATCCAGTCTATCATTGATGGCATTTGGGTTGGTTCCAAGTCTTTGCTGTTGTGAATAGTGCCACCATAAACATACATGTGCATGTGTCTTAAAGGAGCATGATTTATAATCCTTTGGGTGTATACCCAGTAATGGGATTTCTGGGTCAAATGGTAATTATAGTTCTAGATCCTTGAGGAATTGCCACACTGTCTTCCACAATGGTTGAACCAATTTACACTCCCACCAACAGTGTAAAAGCGTTCCTATTTCTCCACATCCTCTCCAGCACCTGTTGTTTCTTCACTTTTTAATGATTGCCATTCTAACTGGTGTGAAATGGTATCTCATTGTGGCTTTGATTTGCATTTCTCTAATGATCAGTGATGATGAGCATTTTTTCATATGTTTGTTGGCCACATAAATGTCTTCTTTTGAGAAGTTTCTGTTCATATCCTTTTCCCCACCTTTTGATGGGGTTGTTTTTTTCTTGTAACTTTGCTTAAGTTCTTTGTAGATTCTGGATATTAGCCCTTTGTCAGATGGGTAGATTGCAGAAGTTTTCTCCCATTCTGTAGGTTGACTGTTGACTATGATGGTAGTTTCTTTTGCCATGCAGAAGCTCTTTAGTTTAATTAGATCCCATTTGTCTATTCTGGCTTTTGTTGCCATTGCTTTTGGTGTTTTAGTCATGAAGTCCTTGCCCATGCCTATGTCCTGAATGGTATTGCCTAGGGTTTTCTTCTAGGGTTTCTATGGTTTTAGGTCTAACATTTAAGTCTTTAATCCATCTTGAATTAATTTTTGTATAAGGTGTAAGGAAGGGATCCAGTTTTAGCTTTCTATATATGGCTAGCCAGTTTTCCCAGCACCATTTATTAAATAGGGAATCCTTTCCCCATTTCTCGTTTTTGTCAGGTTTGTTAAAGATCAGATGGTTGTAGATGTGTGGCATTATTTCTGAAGCCTCTGTTCTGTTCTATTGGTCTATGTATCTGTTTTGGTACCAGTACCATGCTGTTTTGGTTACTGTAGCCTTTTAGTGCTGAGACCATCTTGGTCAGGGAGACCCTAACCCAGCCGCACTAGAGGAATTAAAGACACACACAGGAATATAGAGGTGTGAAGTGGGAAATCAGGGGTCTCACAGCTTTCAGAGCTGAGAGCCCCGAACAGAGATTTACCTACGTATTTATTAACAGTAAGCCAGTCATTAGCATTGTTTCTATAGATATTAAATTAACTAAAAATATCCCTTATGGGAAATGAAGGAATGGGCCGAATTAAAGGAATAGGTTGGGCTAGTTAACTGCAGCAGGAGCATGTCCTTAAAGCACAGATCGCTCATGCTATTGTTTGTGGCTTAAGAATGCCTTTGAACAGTTTTCTGCCCTGGGCGGGCCAGGTGTTCCTTGCCCTCATTCCAGTAAACCCACAACCTTCCAGCATGGGCGTTATGGCCATCATGAACATGTCACAGTGCTGCAGAGATTTTGATTATAGCCAGTTTTGGGGCCAGTTTATGGCCAGATTTTGGGGGGCTTGTACCCAACATTGTAGTATAGTTTGAAGTCAGGTAGCATGATGCCTCCAGGTTTGTTCTTTTGGCTTAGGATTGTCTTGGCAATGTGGGCTCTTTTTTGGTTCCATATGAACTTTAAAGTAGTTTTTTCCAATTCTGTGAAGAAAGTCATTGGTAGCTTGATGGGAATGGCATTGAATCTATAAATTACTTTGGGCAGTGTGTCCATTTTCACGATATTGATTCTTCCTATCCATGAGCATGGAATATTCTTCCATTTGTTTGTGTCCTCTTTTATTTCGTTGAGCAGTGGTTTGTAGTTCTTCTTGAAGATGTCCTTCACATCCCTTGTAAGTTGAATTCCTAGGTATTTTATTCTCTTTGTAGCTATTGTGAATGGGAGTTCACTCATGATTTGGCTCTGTGTGTGTCTGTTAATGGTGTATAGGAATGCTTGTGATTTTTGCACATTGATTTTGTATCCTGAGACTTTGCTGAAGTTGCTTATCAGCTTAAGGAAATTTGGGGCTGAGACGATAGGGTTTTAAATATACAATCATGTCATCTGCAAACAGGGACAATTTGACTTCCTCTTTTCCTAACTGAATACTCTTTATTTCTTTCTCTTGCCTCATTGCCCTGGCCAGAACTTCCAACACTATGTTGAATAGGAGTGGTGAGAGAGGGCATCCTTGTCTTGTGCCAGTTTTCAAAGGGAATGCTTCCAGTTTTTGCCCATTCAGTATGATACTGGCTGTGGGTTTGTCATAAATAGTTCTTATTATTTTGAGATATGTTCTGTCAATACCTAGTGTATTGAGAGTTTTTAGCATGAAGGGCTGTTGAATTTTGTTGAAGGCCTTCTCTGCATCTATTGAGATAATCATGTGGTTTTTGTTGTTGGTTCTGTTTATGTGATGGATTACGTTTATTGATTTGTGTACGTTGAACCAGACTTGCATCCCAGGGATGAAGCCAACTTGATCATGGTGGATAAGCTTTTTGATATGCTGCTGGATTCAGTTTGCCAGTATTTTACTGAGGATTTTCGCATCGACGTTCATCAGGGATATTGGTCTAAAATTATCTGGTTGTGTCTCTGCCAGTCTTTGGTATCAGGATGATGTTGGCCTCATAAAATGCGTTAGGGAGGATTCCCTCTTTTTCTATTGATTGGAATAGTTTCAGAAGGAATGGTACCAGCTCCTCTTTGTACCTCTGGTAGAATTCAGCTGTGAATCCATCTGGTCCTGGACTTCTTTTGGTTGGTAAGCTATTAATTATTGCCTCAATTTCAGAGCCTGTTATTGGTCTATTCAGGGATTCAACTTCTTCCTGGTTTAGTCTTGGGAGAGTATATTGTTAAAGTCTCCAGGTAGTAATTATGTAAGTACGTGTCCAGGAATGTATGCATTTCTTCTGTATTTTCTAGTTTATCTGCATAGAGGTGTTTATAGTATTCTCTGAAGGTAGTTTGTATTTCTGTGGGATTGGTGGTGATATCCCCTTTATCATTTTTTATGGCATCTATTTGATTCTTCTGTCTTTTCTTCTTTATTAGTCTTGCTAGTGGTCTATCAATTTTGTTGATCTTTTCAAAAAACCATCTCCTGGATTCATTGATTTTTTGAAGGGTTTTTGTGTCTATCTCCTTCAGTTCTGCTCTGATCTTAGTTATTTCTCACCTTCTGCTAGCTTTTGAATTTGTTTGCTCTTGCTTCTCTAGTTCTTTTAATTGTGATGTTAGGGTGTCAATTTTAGATCTTTCCTGCTTTCTCTTGTGGGCATTTAGTGCTATAAATTTCCCTCTACACACTGCTTTAAATGTGTCCCAGGGATTCTGGTATGTTGTGTCTTTGTTCTCATTGGTTTCAAAGAACATCTTTATTTCTGCCTTCATTTTTTTATTTACCCAGTAGTCATTCAGGAGCAAGTTGTTCAGTTTCTATGTAGTTGTGCGGTTTTGAGTGAGTTTCTTAATCCTGAGTTCTAATTTGATTGCACTGTGGTCTGAGAGACAGTTTGTTGTGATTTCTGTTATTTTACATTTGCTGAGGAGTGCTTTACTTCCAATTATGTGGTCAATTTTAGAATAAGGGCTATGTGGTGCTGAGAAGAATGTATATTCTGTTGATTTGGGGTGGAGAGTTCTGTAGATGTCTATTAGGTCTGCTTATTGCAGAGCTGAGTTCAGGTCCTGGATATCCTTGTTAACCTTTTTTCTCGTTGATCTGTCTAATATTGACAGTTGGGTGTTAAAGTCTCCCATTATTATTGTGTGGGAGTCTAAGTCTCTTTGTAGGTATCTAAGAACTTGCTTTATGAATCTGGGTCCTCCTGTATTGGGTGCATATATATTTAAGATAGTTAGCTCTTCTTGTTGCATTGATCCCTTTACCATTATGTAATGGCCTTCTTTGTCTCTTTTGATCTTTGTTGCTTTAAAGTCTGTTTTATCAGAGACTAGGATGGCAACCCCCGCTTTTTTTTGCTTTCCATTTGCTTGGTAGATCTTCCTCCATTCCTTTATTTTGAGCCTATGTGCATCTTTGCACGTGAGATGGGTCTCCTAAATACAGCACACCAATTTGCCAGTCTGTGTCTTTTAATTGGGGCATTTAGCCCATTTATATTTAAGGTTAATATTGTTATGTGTGAATTTGATCCTGTCATTATGATGTTCACTGTTTATTTTGCCCATTAATTGATGCAGTTTCTTCATAGCATCAGTGGTCTTTATAATTTGGCCTGTTTTTGCAGTGGCTGGTACCAGTTTTTCCTTTCCATGTTTAGTGCTTCCTTCAGGAGCTCTTGTAATCCCTCAGCATTTTCTTGTCTGTAAAGGATTTTATTTCTGCTTCACTTATGAAACTTAGTTTGGCTGGATATCAAATTCTGGGTTGAAAATTCTTTCCTTGAAGAATGTTGAATAATGGCCCCCACTGTCTTCTGGCTTGTAGGATTTCTGCCGAGAGATCTGCTGTTAGTCTGATGGGCTTCCCTTTGTGGGTAACTCGACCTTTCTCTCTGGCTGCCCTTAATACTTTTTCCTTCATTTCAACCTTGGTGAATCTGACAATTATGTGTCTTGGGGTTGCTCTTCTAGAGGAGTATCTTTGTGGTGTTCTCTGTATTTCCTGAATTTGAATGTTGGCCTGCCTTGCCAGGTTGGGGAAGTTCTCCTGGATAATATCCTGGAGAGTGTTTTCCAACTTGGTTCCATTCTCCCCATCACTTTCAGGTACACCAATCAGACGTAGATTTGGTCTTTTCACATAGTGTCATATTTCTTGGAGGCCTTGTTCGTTTCTTTTTACTCTTTTTTCTCTAAACTTCTCTTCTCGCTTTATTTCATTCATTTGATCTTCAATCACTGATACCCTTTCTTCCACTTGATCGAATCAGCTATTTAAGCTCATGCATGTGTCACGAAGTTCTCATGCCATGGTTTTCAGCTCCATCAGGTCATTGAAGTTCTTCTCTACACTGTTTATTATAGTTAGCCATTCTTCTAATCTTTCTTCAAGGTTTTTAGCTTCCTTGCTATGAGTTCAAACATCCTCCTTCAGCTAGGAGAAGTTTGTTATTACCGACCTTCTGAAGCCTACTTCTGTCAACTTGTCAAAGTCATTCTCTGTCCAGCTTTGTTCTGTTGCTGGCAAGGAGCTGTGATTCTTTGGAGGAGAGGAGGTGCTCTGATTTTTAGAATATTCAGCTTTTCTGCTTTGGTTTCTCCCCATCTTTGTGGTTTTATCTACCTTTAGTCTTTGATGTTGGTGACCTCCAGGTGGGGTTTTGGTGTAGATTACCTTTTTGTTGATGTTGATGCTATTCCTTACTGTTAGTTTTCCTTTAATAGTCAGGTCCCTCAGCTGCAGATCTGTTAGAGTTTGCTGGAGTTCCACTCCAGACCCTGTTTGCCTGGGTACCACCAGTGGAGGCTGCAGAACAGCAAATATTGAAGAACAGCAAATATTGCTGCCTGATCCTTCCTCTGGAAGCTTTGTCCCAGAGTGGCAGCCACCTATATGAGGTGTCAGTCAGCCCCTACTGGGAGATGTCTCCCAGTTAGGCTGCGTGGGGGTCAGGGACCCAGTTGAGGAGGCAGTCTATCTTTTCTCAGAGCTCAAGCACCATGCTGGGAGAACCACTGCTCTCTTCAGAGCTGTTAGACAGGGTCGTTTAAGTCTGCAGAAATTGTCTGCTGCCTTTTGTTCAGCTATGCCCTGCCCACAGAGGTGGAGACTACTGAGGCGGTAGGCCTTGTTGAGCTGCGGTGGGCTCCGCCCATTTTGAACTTCTGGGCAGCTTTGTTTACCTACTCAAGCCTCAGCAATGGCGGATGCCCCTCCCCGAGTCAGGCTGCTGCCTGGCAGATCCATCTCAGACTGCTGGGCTAGCAGTGAGCAAGGCTCTGTGGGCGTGGGACCTGCCGAGCCAGGCACAGGAGAGAATCACCTAGTCTGCCGGTTGCTAAGACCTTGGGAAAAGCACAGTATTTGGGTGGGGAGTGTCCCGTGTTTCCAGGTAGTCTGTCACGGCTTCCCTTGGCTAGGAAAGGGAAATCCCCCGACTCATTGCGCTTCCCAGGTGAGGTGATGCCCCACCCTGCTTCGGCTCACCCTCCGTGGGCTGCACCCACTGTCCAACCAGTCCCATTGAGATGAACCAGGTACCTCAGTTGGAAATGCAGAAATCACCCATCTTCTCCATCAAGCACGCTGGAAGCTGTAGACTGGAGCTGTTCCTATTCCGCCATCTTGGAACTCCTGTTGAGTCTTCTTTTTTAATCTATTCAGCCACTCTCTGTCTTTTGATTGGAGAGTTTATTCCATTTACATTCAATGGGATTATTACAAGTAAAGACTTAATTCTGCCATTTTGTTATTTGTTTTCTGGTTGTTTTGTGGACTTCTCTTCCTTCCTTCCTTCATATCTTCATTTTAGAGAAGGTGATTTCTTTAGTGGTATGTTTTAATTTCTTGCTTTTTATTTTTTTGCGTATCTGTTGTATGATTTTTTATTTTTGAGGGTACTATGAGGTATAAATACTATCTTATAACCCACTATTTTAAACTGATGACAACAGTGATTGCAAAAACAGATACCAAACAAGCAAATAAAAAACTAATAAAGACTCTAACTTTGTCCCTCACTTTTCAACTTTTTGTTTCTATTTGTATCTTACTGTATTGTCTCTCAAAAAGTTGTAATTTTTTTTTTCTTGAGACAGGGACTCACTCTGTCACCCAGGCTGGAGGGCAGTGGCACAATCTCAGCTTACTACAACTTCCACCTTCTGGCTCAGGTGATCTCACATCAGCCTCCCAAGCAGCTGGGACTACAAGCATGTCCCACTGCTTGTAGCCACCACACATGGCTAAATTTTTTTGTATTTTTTTTTTGTAGAGAAAGGGTTTTGCCTGTTGCCCAGGCTGGTTTCATGTTGCATGTTGCCCAGGCTGGTTTCAAATTCCTGGGTTCCAGCAATCCTCCCACCTCAGCCTTCCAAAGTTCTAGGATTACAGGCATAAGCCATCACACCTCACATAATGTTTATTTATTTTATTTCATTTTATTTTTTGAGACAGAGTCTCACTCCGTTGCCCGGGCTGGAGTGCAGTGGCACGATCTCGGCTCACTGCAGCCTCCACCTCCCGGGTTCAAGTGATTCTCCTGCCTCAGCCTCCCGACTAGTCTGGATCACAGGTGTGTGCCACCACACCTGGCTAATTTTTTTGTATTTTTAATAGAGATGGGATTTTAGCATGTTGGCCAGGCTGGTCTCAAACTTCTCACCTCAAGTGATCCACCCGCCTTCACCTCCCAAAATGCTGGGATTACAGGCGTGAATAATTTTTATTTTCAATCAGTTCATCTTTTAGTCTTTCTACTCAAGATATGAGTAGCTTACACACCACAATTACAGTGTTCTAATATTCTGTGTTTTTCTGTATACTTACTATTACTGGTGAATTTTACACCTTCAGATGATTTCTTATTACTCATTATTGTCCTATTCTTTCATATTAAAGAACTCCTTTTAGCATTTCTTATGGGACAGGTCTTGTGTTGATGAAATCCCTCAGCTTTTGTTTGTCTGGTAGTCTTTATTTCTTCATTATGTTTGAAGGATATTTTCTCTGGATATACTATTTTAGGATAAAAGTTTTTTTCCTTCAGTACTTTAAATATGTCCTGTCACTCTCTCCTGGCCAGTAAGATTTTTGCTGAAAAGTCTGCTGCCAGACACAAAGTCTGCTGCTGCTTTTCTCCTTTGTTTGTCTTTGACCTTTTGGAGTTTGATTAGTAAATGTCTTGAGGTAGTCTTCCTTGGATTACATCTGCTTGGTGTTCTATAACCTTCTTGTAGTTGAATATTGGTATCTTTTTCTAGGTTCAGGAAGTTCTCTGACATTATCCCTTTGAATAAACTTTGTACCCCGGTCTCTCTACTTCCTCGTTACAACGAATCACTCTTAGATTTGCCCTTCTGAGTCTGTTTTTTAGATCTTGTAGGTATTCCTTATTCTTTTTCCTTTGTTTTTTGTCTCCTCTGACTATGTATTTTCAATTGTTTTTTGTCTCCTCTCACTATGTATTTTCAAGCAGCCTGTCTTCAAGCTCGCTAATTCTTTCTTCTTTTGATGTGTTCTGCTATTAAAGGACTCTTATGCATTCATCAGTATGCCAGTTGCATTTCTCAGCTCCAGAATTTCTGCTTGATTCTTTTTAATTATTTCAATCTTTTTGTTAAATGTATCTGGTAAGATTCTGAATTTTTTCTGTTATTTTGAATTTCATTGAGTTTCCTTAAAACAGCTATTTTGAATTTTCTGTCTGAAAGGTCATATATCTCTGTCTTTCTGGGATTGGTGTCTGGTACCTTATTTAGTTATTTGGTGAGGTCATATTTTCCTGGGTGGTCTTGATGTTATGGGTGTTCATCGGTGTCTGGGTGTTGAAGAATTTGATATTTATTGTAGTTATTTTGGGAGGTTGTCTGTGTGCAGGAATTTGTCTATTACCTCTAGGTTTTCCAATTTGTTAACATATAGTTGTTCATAATAGTTTCACATGGTACTTTGCATTTCTGTAGTATTTGTTGTAATGGCTCTTTGTTTTTTATTTTCTTTATTTGGGTCTTCACTCTTTTTCTCTTAGTCTCGTTAGTGGTTTTTCAATTTTGTTTATCTTTTCAAAACGCCAACTTTTGTTGATTTTTTTAGTGTCTGTTTGATTTTGTTCTGCTTGATTATTATTTCTTCTACTAGTTTTGCTTTTTTTCATTAACTGTAGTCATCCTACTGTACTATTTTAAACACTAGAATTTTATTCTATTTAACTGTATTTTGTATGCATTAACCAGCCACACTTTCCAGCTTCTGATAAGCACCATTCTGCTCTCTACTTCCATGAGATCAATTTTTTTAGCTCCCACCTATAAGTCAGAAACATGCAATGTGTATTTCTCTATATGGATAATGACCTCCAGTTCTATCCATCTTACTGCAAAAAAATAAGATTTCATTCTTTTTATGGCTGAATAATGGTCCATTTTGTGCATGTGTGTGTGTGTGTGTGTGTATATATATATATATATGTATATAGTTGTTTTGTTTTAAGTTTAGTGGGTGCATGTGCATGTTTGTTACATGGGTATATCGCATAATGCTGAGATTTGGGCTTCTGTTGAACCCATCACTCAAATAGTGATGATAGTACCTGATAGTTTTGTTTTGTTTTTTTTTGCCTTCTCCCCACTCCCTCCTTCCTTCCTTTTGGAGTCCTCATCATCTTATTATTTTCACCTTTGTGTCCATGTGTACCAATTATTTAGGTTCCACTTATAAGTGAGAACATGTAGTACTTGATTTTCTGTTTCTGAGTTAGTTCACTTAGGATAATGGCCTCCAGCTCCATCCATGTTGCTGCTTTTACTAATTTTGGATTTGACCTTTTTTTGCTTTTCTAGTTCCTTGAAATACATCATTACATTATTTATTTGAAATCTGTCTCTTTTTTTTATAAACAGGGTCTCACTCTGTCGCCCATGTTGGAGTACAGTAGTGCAGTTGTAGCTTGCTATAACCTTAAACTCCTGGGCTCAAGCAATCCTCTCACCTTAGCCTCCTGAGGAACTAGTACTACAGGCAGCCACCATGACCAGCTATTTTTTGTTTTTGTTTTTGTTTCAGTAGTGACAGGGTCTCACTTTGTTGCCCAGGCCGATCTCTAACTCCTGGCCTCAAGGATTCTCCTACATCAGCCTCCCAAAATATTGAAATTACAGCCATGAGCTTCTGGCCCTTTTGTGATATGGGTGTTTATTGCTATAAACTCTCAGCACTGCTTTTGCTGTTTCCCATAGATTTTGGTTTGTTGTGTTTCTGTCCCCATTTGTTTCATGAAATCCATTTATTTCCTTCTTAATTTCTTCGTTGACTCAATGTTTGCTCAGGAGCATGTTGCTTAAATTCCATGTATATGTACAGTTTCCAAAGTTCCTCTCGTGATTGATTTCTAGTTTTCTTCAGTTGTGGTCTGAGAAGGTACTTGATATGAAGTAGTTACGTTTTAATTTGTTGAGATTTGTTTTGTAGCCTACCATGTGGCCTGTCCTGGAGAATGTTGCATGTGCTGATGAGAAGAATGTATATTCTGCTGCTGTTGGATGTGTTCTGTAGATGTCTGTTACGTCCATTTGGTCTAAAGTGCAGTTTAAATCAAATGTTTCTTTGTTAATTTTCAGTCTAGATTATCTGTCCAGTGCTGTCCATGGGGCGTTGAAGTCCACAACTCTTATTATATTGGAGTCTATCTCTCCCTGTAGTTGCTTTATATATCTAGGGGTTCTGCTGTTGAGTGCACATCTATTTATAATTGTTAGATCTGCTCATTTAATTTTTCCCTTCATCATTATGTAATGACCTTCTTTGTCTTTTTTTACAGCTTTTGGGTTAAAATATGTCTTATCTGATATAAGTGTATGCCTTCTCCCACTCTTTTTTTGTTTCCATTTGCATGGAATATCTTTTTCTGTTTCTTCATTTTCAGTCTATATATGTAATGAGTTTATTGTAGGCAGCATGTAGTTTGGTCATTTTTTTTTAACCATTCAGCCAACCTGTATCTTCTAAATGATTAATTTATTTCATTTATATTAGAGGTTATTATTGATAGGTGAGGACTTAACTCTAGTCATTTTGTTAATTGGTTTTTGGATGTTTTGTATATTTGTTGTTCTTTTCTTTCTCTTTTATTGTTTCATTGCAGTTTGGTTATTTTCTATAACATTTGACTCCTTTTTCTCTTTTGTTTGTGAATGTGCTCTGTCAGGTTTTATACTTTAATGTGCTTGCATGGTGTTAGATACTGTCCTTTTATTTCCACATGTAGTGCTCTCTTAAGCATTTCTTATAGGATCAGTCTGCTGTTGAATTCTCCCAGTTTTTGCTTCTTTGGGAAAGACTTTATTTCTCCTTCATTTTTGAAGGATAGCTTTGGTGGGTATAGTATTCTTGGCTGACAGTTTGTTGTTGGTTTGTTTTTGGTTTTGTTTTTGTTTTCTCAGCACTTTGAATATATCATCCCGTTTTCTCCTATCTTATAAGTTTTCTGCTGAGAAAGCCATTGTTAGTCTGTTGGGGGTGCCCTTATATGTAATTTGATGCTCTTTTCTTTCTGTTTTTAGAATTCTCTTTGACTTTTAACTGTCTGATTGTAATGTGCCTTGGGAAGATCTTTTTGGGTTGAATATTTTTGTGTCTTTAAGTTTCCTGTATCTGAATGTCTATATCTCTTACAAGGCTTGGGAAATTTTCAGCTGTTATTTCGTTAGAGAAATTTTCTATGTCCTTGCCCATCTCTTTTTTTTTCTGAAACACCCAAAATTTGAATATTTGGGCACTTTACAATTTCTCTTATGTCACATAGACTTCCATTCTTTTTTTTTCTTTTATCCTTTTCTTTATTTTCTGAGTGGATTATTTCGAAAGAACTGTTTTCATTCAGAAACTCTTTTTTCTGTTTAGTCTATTGTTGAAGCTCTCAGTTGTAATTTTATTTAATTCATTGAATTTTGTGGTGGGTGGGGGGGTTTGGGGTTTTATTTGTTAGTTAATTTGTTTGTTTTTGAGACAGGGCTCTGTCACCCAGGCTGGAGTGCAGTGGCAGTGCTGTGATCACAGCTTACTGCAGCCTTGACCTCCTGGGTTCAAGGGATCCTCCCATCTCAGCCTCCCAAGTAGATGGGACTACAGGCTTTTGACACCATGCTTGGCTAATTTTGTTTATTTTGTGTAGAGACAGAGTTTTGCCATGTTGCCCAGGCTGGTCTCAAATTATGAGATAGATAGATAGATAGATAGATAGATAGATAGATAGATAGATAGATAGATAAAATATTTTTACTTGGTTAGAGACAGGCTGTCTGCCATCCAGGCTAGAGTACATTGGTGCAATCATAGCTCACTACAGCCTCAAATCCTGGACTCAGGAGATCCTTCCACCTTATCTTCCAGACTAGCTATGGCTATAGGCACATGCCACCACACCTGACTTACTTTTTAAAGAATTTCCTGTAGAGACAGTATCTCACTGTGTTGCCCAGGCTGGTCTCCAACTCCTGGCTGCAAGCGGTCCTTCTGCCTTCCTTTTCTAAAACACTAGGATTACATTTGTGAGTCATAGCATCTGGCCCTGTTTGGTTATCTTTAATGATATCTATGTTGAATTTCTCATTGAGACCATGAATTGTTTTTCTGATTTCTTTGTATTATTTATCTGTGTTCTCCTATACCTCACTTAGCTTTAATTTTACTTTGAATTGTTTTAGGCATTTTGTAGATTTATTTTTGTTGGAATCTTGTTGGAGAATTACCGTGTTCTTTTGGAGGTATCATGTTTCCTTACTTTTCATGTTTCTTGTGTCCTTATATTGATATCTGTGCATCTATTGTAATAATCACTTCTTCCGATTTTACGGATTGACTTTCGTAGGCAAAGACTTTTTCCCGTATATGTATCCATAGTGTTGGTTGAGTAGGGTGTTTTGGCTTTGATTCTGGGTGGGCAGAGTAGTGCAGTCTTCATATGATTTCTTTGGCTGTAATCAGTGTCAGTGGTATCTGTGAATTCCTGTGTGTCTTAGGTTATGATTGTTAGTGGAGACTCTGGTAAGGATTTACCGTGGACAGGGAGCCAGTTGAGCCAGTCCTCAGGCCCCAGTCTTGGCAGCATGCTGAGAATGCAGGTACTTGGCCCCCCAGATGGTGTTCAGGCACTGGTGATAGTGGGTCCAGGTAATCCTTGGGCCTCCACATGGCTTACTTGGGTGCCAGCAGTAGCAGTGGTGGGCCAGGTGGGCAGGGCTAGTCCCTGGGTCCATCATCAGCACTCATGGGCACCAGCAGTGGTGGTGGTGAACTGAGAGGGCTAGTCTCCAGGCCTTTAGTGCAGGTGGATGGTGGCAGTGGCTGCAGGTTGGGTCTCAGGGCCCTCTGGAAGGTATGTTTGGGTGTCTGTGGTGGCGGACAGAGGTGGGTAGATCTCCAGACCTCTGGACAATACACATAGCACTATTGGGGGCATCGCCAGGTAGAGCAGGCCTATACTTGGGCCCCTGTGTGGTGCATGTGCAGGCAGTTTATGTTGGGCAGGACTGGTTGATCTCTAGACCCTAGATGATGTGTGTGGGTGCTGGCAGGCTGGGTGGGCCCTTTCCCAAGCCCCTGGAAAGCTTATACAGGCACTAGCAGCAATAGGCATGGCAAATTGATCCCTGTGCCCCTGGATGATGCTCACAGGCCTTTGCCAAGGCAGTAGCAGGGCAGGGTGGGTCTGTCTTCAAGCCCTGTGATGGTGCTGTCAGGCACAGGTTGTGCTTAGCACAGTAGGTCTACCCCCAGGACCCCAGACTGCACACTCAGAAATCAGTGGTGGTGGTGGTAGGCAGGAGGGCCTGTCCTCAGGCCCCCTGACTGTGTGTGCAGGCACCTGCATCAGCAGGCATGGTGGGTTGATCTCCAGTCCTGGATGACATGCTTGCTAGTGCCAGCTCTGATGCATGGGGCAGATCGATCTCCCAGCTACCAGGTAGCATTCTCAGGTGGTGGCATCAGTGAGTGGGCCAGGCCTGACCTCAGGCTCTAGGATGGCACCCAAGCATGCCTATCTCCTTGCTCCTGAAGGTGCACACAAGTGCACATTCACCCAGGTGCTAGGGGAGGCAGGGTTGCTGTCAGTACCAGCAACTCCAGGAAGGCAGCTCCCAGGCTCTGGGGAGCACATGCTTCAGCTCCCTTTTTCCCAGGGGCAGCCTTCCTAATGTGCTGCACCACCCATTTCCTGTGGTGTAGGACTGTATGTGGGCTAGAGGACTAGGGACCTGGCTGCACAGTTGAGTCCAGCTCATGTCACAAGGTTGCAAATCTATAGGTGGACATGGAGTAAATGTCAGTAGGGCTCCAGGGGTGTGGAGATTCAGGGCCTGTTGAGCCCTGGGGCAGGTTGTTATCTGGTAGGGATTGGGTTCTCAAAGTGGCACCATGTTGCAGCTGCTTGGGTCTCAGGATGCTGTGTGAGATCCAGCACAAACTTCCTCTCTAGAATAATGCATCACTTTGACTCCAGGCAGCTTCCTCTACTAGTCTCAGGGCGCTTGAGGGCTGAGGAGCCATGGCTAGGCTTGCAGGAGTCCATGGTGAGAACATGGAGCACTGGGGATCTCTCTTACCATTTTCCTGCATTCAGGCAGGTCAATCTGTGGTGTTTCTCCTGGCTTCTAGCCAGTCCTAGCCAGGCCAACTGTTTCGCTTCCCTCTCCTTCCATGCCTCAGAGGTTCCCCATCCCTTTGCGGCTGAATTCCTGTGTTCTCTTTCAGATGCTCTATTCAATGTGTTATTATCTACTTGCTGTTTTGTACTTCTTTGTGGAACAGACAAGTGCCAGGTGTCTGTGGTCAGCCATGCTGAAGCTCTCTCCAAACCCATTTTCCAAATCAATTAATATAATAGTATAATTTCTCTTTTATTATATTAATGTTGCAAATTGCATTGATTGATTTTTAAATATCAAACAGCCTGAAAGGTAATATCCCTTTAAAAAAATTTTTTACCATTTTTGTGTGGTATATATTTCATTGGTTTTATTTTTCCTTTTCTGATTGTGAGTGAATTTCATTATGTTGCATTCTATTGACTATTTTGATTTGCTGCTTTGAAAATTGCCTGTTTATATTCTCTGCCCTTTTTTATATTTCATTGCTTTTTGCTATGTTTTAAGAATTTTTATCTAGTATAGCTATCCAGCCGGGTGTGGTAGCTCATGCCTGTAATCCCAGCACTTTGGGAGGCTGAGGCAGGTCATTTCAGGTCAGGAGTTTGAGGCCAGCCTAGCCAACATGGCGAAATGCTGTCTCTACTAAAAATATAAAAAATTAGCCAGGCATAGTGCCGTGCGCCTGTAATCCCAGCTACTAGGGAGGCTGAGGCAGGAGAATTGCTTGAACCCGGGAGGTGGAGGTTGCAGTGAGCTGAGATCACGCCACCGCACTGGGTGACAGAGCAAAACTCAGGTCTCTAACAAAAAAAAAAAAAAAAAAAAAGATACCCTAACCTCCTCCTCTTCCTTCCCCTATTTCTTTCTATATATAGATAGAAAATTTTATATCTGGACGCTGTACTGATTATTTTTACTAAATCTATTAAGCTTTCTTCCTTGAGATATTAGATGTTCCAAATGTGCAGATTTATCATCAGTGACAAGAAATAGATTTTTATCCTATATTTTGATTATTTCCTATTCTTCTGTTAGAACCCACTAAAGCAATCTTTAATAATAATAATAATGCGATATGGTATCCTGATTCCTGGTGTTAATAGACATGATTTTATTGCAGAATGGTAGGGCTGAAGGAGGAAAAACACAGATGTGATCTCTGCTACAGTCAGTTTGTTTTGGCAAGCAGTTTGTTGAAGTACAGTGCAGGGAAATGATTCTGAAACATTTGCAACACTATAGTTTTGTTCTCTGTTGACTAGAAAGAAGTAAAGAGTAAAACAACTTATAAATACTTGATGAACAACTTTTTTGCTCTGGAAATTAACTGAGCTAAGGACAGTTCCTGCTAGCCCAGTGTTATAAAAGGACTGCAGCCAACACAAAGGGCCTACTTGGCTTTAGAAACAATGAATTTAAATTGAGACCAATGAGCAAGGATTTCTGTTTTTCTTCAACCATTTTAACCCTGTGTATGCAGATATAGTAGGCAGAGAATTGAATTTATGCAAAATTGGGGTTTTGCCACTTGAATACAATAAGTTGAGGATGCACAAGAGAATGACTATATTATGGAATTTCTGTGAATTTTAATGGAGATGACAGAAAATGTAGCAGAATCAGTGCATTGTAGGTACTTTCAGGGTAAAATTTTTTTAGAGTTGGAGTTGTAGAGGCGGAGAAGTGGAAAATGAGTGTTAGAGATTAGAGGGTGGAATACTTAACACTGGAAATTTAAAGAGGCTATAATTAATGACAAGTTCTCTAAGATATGACCATTGGAGTGCTGGAGATAGGATGAAGACTGAGGTAGAGTGAAGTGCAACAAACCAAGAGGCCTACCTTTTGGAAGGATTATTGATACAAATATAGAAATCACCTAAATTAGTTATGACAGAGTTAGTGTTGGGGAGCTTGTAACCTGGAAAGTAAAATCTTCAACGGATTAATAGGAGTGAGAAGGTGGTAAATAACTGCATTAAGCTATTCTGAGGTAGTTTTTTTTTCTTTTTATTCTTTTTTGAACCTGTCTCAGGATGTTCTGAGGTAAACCTCCTCTCTCCTTAGTGTGGAGAATTTCAGAGCAATTAGAAGTAACTAGGAGTTACTTCATATAAACAGAATCAACTAGTTAATAATTTAAAAAATAGTATTCTAATACACATATTAATTTTACCAAAAGCAGAAAGAAGGTAAACCATTTTGACCACCATAGAAATTATTATGTACAATTGAAATGAAATTTGACTTTCATATACTGTAGTCACTTATTAACTTCTAATATGTAACAGAGCTTAACTAGTAATTGCCTGTTGCAGTAATGCAGCTTTTTGAACTTTGCCCCCAATGCCATTACAGATAAAATGCATCATTTTGAGAACTAGCATGATTTTTTATTTTTTGTTTTCACAGAGATTTCTCCCGAAGGGGAAAAGTACAAACCCTTAATTACTGGAGAAAAAAAAGTACAATGTATTTCACATGAAATAAACCCATCAGCTATTGTTGATTCTCCTGTTGAGACAAAAAGTCCCGAGTTCAGTGAGGCATCTCCACAGATGTCATTGAAACTGGAAGGAAATTTAGAAGGTATGTTCTAATGAGTCAAAATGAGCTATATTTGATTTAGTAAAAACTTAAATTTCACAAGCTTTATAAACAGATTATCAAAATTTGTATATGTTTGGGTAATTATCTCAAATTAGGTTCAGTATTTTTATATTTTTAGCTATTGGTCTTTTTTTTATGACTGCCTAACAAGTCACCCCAAAACTTAGTGTTGAAACACCAACCGTTTCATACCATGATTTTATGTGCCAGGAATTGAGTCAAGACTTGTCTAATGTGATTTTTCCTAATTCGTGTGCCTTTATCTCAGAGATCAGTAAGTGTTGGTCAGCCGGCAGCTAGGCTGGTCTGAAGGGTCCCAAAAAGCTTCACTGCTATCTTGGCAAGTACAGCTTAGCTGGGCCCCTCTCCCTCTTTATGTGGTTTCAGGGCTATTCTATGTACTCTTTCTGGCAGGATAGTCTGACTTCTTATGTGATGGCCCGGGGCTCACAGATGCTAAGGTGAAAGCAGCTTGTACTCTTAAAAGCTGATCTCAGAACTAGCACAGTATCACTTCTGCCGTATTCTATTAGTCAAAGCAGTCACAGCCCAACCTGGATTCAAAGGGAGGGCAAACAGAACCCACCTCTCAATGGGAAGGGCGTCAAAGAATTTGCATCTGTCCTAAATCTGCCATAGTCTGCCCTCTGACCAAAAATTATCTTCATTCCTCCCATATGCAAAATACACTCACACCTTCTGAAAGCCTCATCTCATTATGACATTAGCTCAGAGTTTAATATGATAACAAAGTCAGGCCGTGCAGATGGGTTTTCTCATCTACAGGTCTTTGAGTACAGTTATTCTCAATCTGAAGACCTATGAGTAAAAAAAAAAATTAGTTATTTGTTTTCCATATGTGCAAAATACAATGGTGAAACAACCTTTGGGACACCTTTTCGAAAACAAGGAAGATGGGAAGCAGATAGCAGTCATTGGTCCCTAGAAATTCTAAAATCCAACCAGGAATAGCATTGTCAGCCTGCTTCCTTGCACCAAAGCTTGGTGTGCTCAAGGGCTCTTCTCTTTTGCACTATGTTTGTCCCCTTCAGTCTGAGCTTACACAGTGCTTCCAAAAGCAGAATTTCTAAATAATTTTGTGGGTTTATGTGAATATTATTGATACTCACTGTGGTTAACAAAAGCCACTCATGTTTCTGAGACAGACTCTTCTCTACCTTCAGTTATCTATGAGGATACTGTAAGACAGTGCTGTTGAGTTCTTAGAAATTCTTTCTCTATCAAAGAGGGTCTGCAAGACATGCCTTTAAATCTTTCTGTGCTGTAACAGATCTTATGTGCACAACCTTGACTTCATCTTTGCCCTGAGGCCACACCCTACTGTCCTAAATTTAGTCTTTGTCTTGAGGCCATGTCTTCCTTTGAGAAGCATTTGTTGCCTAGAAGGAATCATCCTGGGCTCTCTGTATCTCTTCTAAATTCTGCTCATAAGCTAAACTTTTTTCTTCAATTAATCTCTAGTTTCTTGTTCTTTATCAGAAGTTATTAGAAGCAGCTGTCACTTTGAATGTTCTGCTTTGATAATTCCTTAGCTAGACCACTGGATCCATAAAGTACAGTTACTATCTTCCACATTATTGCAGTTACCAAATTTTCAGCCACCGTAGAGCAAGAATCCCCTTTTCTTCAGCCTCCAGTAACTGTTTTTCACTTGCCAGTCTCTCACCAACAATGTCATTGAAGCCCTTCCAATTTCTGCCTGCTCCGCAGTCCCAAAGCCAGTGCACATAGGCTTTTACATCAGCTCCTTGCTTCCGGATATGTAATTCTGCTTCAATTATCTATTGCTGCAAAACAAATTACTCCTAAAACTTAGTAGCTTAAAATAACAATTTTAGGCCAGGCTCAGTGGCTCACACCTGTAATCCCGGCACTTTGGGAAGCCAAGGCTGGCATATCGCTTGAGCCCAGGAGTTCAAGACCAGCCTGGGCAACATGGCAATACCCCTTCTCTACTGAAAATATGAAAATTAGTCACATGTGGTGGTGCATGCCTGTAATCCCAGCTGCTAGGGAGGCTGAGGTGGGAGAATCACTTGAGCCCAAGAGTTTGAGGCTGCAGTGAGCCATGAGCATGCCAGCCTGGGTGACAGAGTGAGAACTTGTCTCCAAAATAAAAAACAATTTTTATTTTTATTTTATGTTATCTCACAATTTTTTGAGTCAGGAATTTGGAGGTTCTTCTGCTCCATGTAGCATCAACTGGTATTGCTCAGTGGTATTCAGCCATCAGCTGGGCTTTTTTGGAAGACGCAAAATGACGTCACTCCCATGCCTGGCATATTGGCAGGGCTTATTCGGGTCCCTCTCCTTCATTTTAGTCTCATGGCATTGCAATGTGGTCTTTAAGAATAAACTATTTTCATGATGGCTTGGGCTTCCAGATATCAAATAGAAGTTCCCAGTTCTCTTAAAGGCTCAGCCTGGAACTGGCATAGCATCACTTTCACTGTCTTCCATTACTCAAGGGAATCACCATGCCAGCTGAAATTAAAGAGGAGGAGAAACAGAGCTCCCTCTAGTTGAGAGGAAAACCAGAAACCCTGCAAAATGTGACCATCCTTAATTCACCACAGTAACTTAAATAATCTTATTCATTAGAACATAGTTACTAGTATCATTATGGAACGAAAGTTTGTTCCCCTCCCTACCCCCCAAAAAAATCATATGTTGAAATCTAATCCCTGATGTAATGGTATTGGAAGTGGAGTCTTTGCAAAGTAATTAGGTTATGAGAGTGGCGCCCTCATTAATGGGATTGGTGCCCTTATAAGAATAGGCCAGAGAGCTTTCTGCTTTCTACCACATACGGATACAAGGAGGAAAAGGTTATCTGCAAAACAGGAAGAGGGCCCTCTAGAACCAACCGTGCTGGCACCCTGACATTGGATCCTTCAGCCTCCAGAACTCTGAGAAATAAGTTTCTATTATTTACACCACCCAGTCTATGATACTCTGTTATAGTAGCCTGAACTAAAACAGTATCTTATGCCTTTTCTTTAAAAAAGAAAAGAAAATAGTGTTAGGCATACTATGGAAGCTGTATAGCCTAGTGCAGGAGTTGATAGACCAGAGAATAAATATTCTAGGCTTTGCAGGTAATGCAGTCATAAGTCAAGTTTATAGAATAAGTTGATAATGATACAGCTTAAAGTACTAGGAAACAGAATTATTCATTAAAAAATAAAAAAGGATTTTGCCCCCAAGTGCTTACCTTGAATGAATGACCAAAATAATCATTTGAATAAAAGATAAAAACTTAAAGATTAGTACAATATCAGTTGTCTTTCCAAATAAGACAGATAATTGGAAGCTTTAAAAATGGAGAAGTATGTCTGTATTCCAGGGGAAGTAAGAGGGATAGTGTTGGCTTAAACAGGATATTATTGATAATCTTAATTGGAAAGGAAAAAGAGAAGTTAACAAATACTCTCCTCATCGCTGTTCACTTTTGGAAAATATTAGCCAGGTGAAAAATGAGCCACTGCCAGAAAACAGAGGTAACATCTTGATGTTAATTGAGGGTCAGGCCAGGCGTGGTGGCTCACGCCTGTAATCCCAGCACATTGAGAGGCTGAGGCAGGTGGATCACTTGAGGTCGGGAGTTTCAGACCAGCCTGGCCAACATGGTGAAGCCCCATCTCTACTAAAAATACAAAAATTAGCCTGGTGTGGTAGTGTGTGCCTATAGTTCCAGCTACTCAGGAGGCTGAGGCAGGAGGATCACTTGAGCCCGGGAGGTGTAGGTTGTAGTGAGTGAGCCAAGAGCACACCACTGCACTCCAGCCTGGGCGATGGGAGTGAAACCCTGTCTCAAAAAAAAAAAAAAAAAAAAAAACTATTTGAGTGTCTAAGAAAATAGATTTTTAGTGCCATTCAATTATGTTCTCAATATCATTGTGAAAGTCCTGGTAATAGTTTTTCTTTTTTGACTATTAAAAGATAGATTTTGAAGATTGAAATTTTATTTTAGTCACTAATCAGTAATATCACAGTCTATTCTTCCATATTTCTAACCACAAATATCTTTATTCTTTAAACTGTTTTTATACCTTCCCTAAATGAATTTACATATTACTAAAATTTTAATTGAAGAGAAAATTTTACATAATGGTGAAAAATATAGAGTATACCATATTACCTTTGAGCATTTTTATTACAGTAAAAGGCAAAAGAAGTAGTCTGTCGTTTCAGAAATAACTGAACTAAAGACTTCACAATAAGAGTTAAACCCTATAGAGAGAATACTTAATTTTTCTGTTTTAATGAATATATTACCCTAAAACTAGGTAGCAATAATTTATAGCAAGTTTATTCAATATTCTCTTGACAAATTTTGCTTTGAGATGTCTCTCGTTACGTTTATCCTTTGCAGAACCTGATGATTTGGAAACAGAAATTCTACAAGAGCCAAGTGGAACAAACAAAGATGAGAGCTTGCCATGCACTATTACTGATGTGTGGATTAGTGAGGAAAAAGAAACAAAGGAAACTCAGTATGTACATCTTTTCCTGACATTTTAAAACCCAGGTCCCTTTTGTAATAACTTTTAAGAAAATACTATAATAAGCTAATATTGCAACATAATATCCTAATATTGTAATACCTTATAAAAGGAACTTAATTTGAATAGATATTCATATGGTTCAGAAATAAACAAGTATATAAAATATTTGAAGAGGCCGGGCACAGTGGCTCACACCTGTAATCCCAGCAATTTGGGAGACTGAGGCGGGCAGATCACTTGAGGGCAGGAGTTCAAGACCAGCCTGGCCAACATGGCAAAACTCTGTCTCTACTAAAAATACAAAAATTAGCCAGGCATGGTGGCACGTGCCTATAGTCCCAGCTGCTTGAGAGACTGAGGCACAAGAATTGCTTGAATCCAGGAGGCAGAGATTGCAGTGAGCCAAGATCATGCCACTGCACTCCAGCCTGGGCTACAGAGCAAGACTGTCTCACAAAAAATAAAGTGGGCCAGGCACGGTGGTTCACACCTGTATTCCCAGTACTTTGGGAGGCCGAGGAGGACGGATCACCTGAGGACAGGAGCTCGAGACCAACCTGGCCAACATGGCAAAACCCCATCTCTACAAAAATTAGCCAGGCATGGCGGCGGGTGCCTATAATCCCAGGTACTCAGGAGGCTGAGGCAGGAGAATCACTTGAACCTGGGAGGTGGAGGTTGCAGTGAGCTGAGATGGCACCACTGCATGCCAGCCTGGGCAACAGACTCTCCAACTCAAATTAATTAATTAATTAATTAATTAAAGTATGATGATATGCAGTAAAAAGTCTTGCTTACATCTGTCCCCATCCACTCTTGTCTTCTTTCATATATTTCTAGTATATGCTTAAGCAAAAATAAATATATTGTCTTCCTCCTTACAGTTAACTACATTTGTTAGTATAGTGTACACAGATTTTTCCACCTTGTTTATTTTTGGTCAATAATAAATCTGGGAAATTTTTTAAATAATAATACATGAAGGGCTTTCTTTTTTTCTTATTTTATAGCTAGTTAGTATTCCATTATGTAGAATACCACAACTCAACAAGTTTCCTACCTGCTGGACATTGATTGACATTACAAATGATGCTGCAATGAATAACTTTTTATATAAAGTGACTTTCGTATGTGTATATATCTGTAATAAGTATAATTGCTTGGTCAACTGCATTTTTATAAGTTGCATTTGTAATTTGGTTATTGTTCTCCTGGAGGTTGTACTGGTTTACACTTTCAGAAAGAATGTCTGAACCCCATTTTCTCCACAGCCTTGCTAAACTTTTCTCATCAAACTTTTTGAGTTTTTCCAATCTAACAAGGTAAAAAATAGTATATCTGTTTGGGCTGTTAGTTTGTCTAGCTCTTATGATAGGTAAAGGTAAGCACATCTTTTCAAATGTAAGTTTCATTTGAACTTCCTTGTCTGTGAATTTTCTCTTTATATCTTTGGTCCCCCCCTTTTTTTTTTAATTTAGTCGTTGGTCTTTTATAAATTAGTAAAAACTCTTAAAAGTGAGAGATATTTGCCCTGGTGGTTACATGAATTGCAACTATTTTTTCTCTGCTGGTCATTTATGTTTTGTGTGTGTGTGTGTGTGTGGTTTTGCCATGCTGAAGTATATAGTTTATTTTTGTTTATCTTTTATTGTTATCATATTTATCTGAGCTTTGATAGTTACTCAGAACAGCCTTGTTCTTTCTAAGATTACCAAATTTTTTTTCAGTTTTTCTAGTATTTTTTTTCTTTCTTTTTTTTTTATTTTGGTGGAGACGGAGTCTAATTTTGGTGCCCAGGTTGATCTCAAACTCCTGGCCTGAAACAATCCTCCCGCCTTGGCCTCCCAAAGAGCTGGGATTACTGACATGAGACTGTGCCTGGCCAGCATTCTAGGACTTTTATTTGATGCTTTATACATTTAAATATTTGATTTTTTTACATGTAAATCTGTGGAATTTATCATGGTTTATAGATTTGAGTCTGTTTGTATACATTTTTTCCTATTAGTCTGTCTACAGTAAGCTAGTACATACTTTTAATTAATAAATTATAAAATATTTTGGCATTGTTATGTATCGGTTATCAGGTTTTTTATTTAGGTTTTCTATATACTTAACAATTTTTATTCACTTCATTGAAATGAGTGAAGGCTTCTTCCTACTAATGTGTTTCCATTTATTTCATTTTATATTTCAAGTGATTTTTATCTAATGAATGTTGCTCCTAAGTTATTTGGTGCATAGATATTCACAAGTATAATACTCTTGTGGTAAATTACACATTATAGCATTATAAAATATCATTGTTTTAGTCTTGCTTAATATTTTTGACTAAGTTTTATCTTTTTATTTATATTTTCCCAATCTGCATTGGCTCATCCTTCTGTTTTCAGCTTTTCTGAATTATTTTATTATGTTTCTGATATCGTTCGTGATTCAATCTGAAATTTTTGTATTTAAATATCTAGTTAATTTACAGAAGTATGCTATATCTTTGATATGATATAATAGTTGAATTTTGTTGTCATTTTTATTTTATTTGTATATTCTTTTTAGTCTTTTGCTGTATTGGCTGTATTGGTTTTTTTAACTAATAGATTTCTGTAAGCAATTTTAGTTTACAAAAAAATGAGCAAAAATTATAGACTTATTAGATACCTCTCACTCCCCACCCCCAACAATTTTTTTTTTCTTATTCCTGACAAGTGATATTTTTAACATCTTGCATTAATGTATTTCATTTGTTACAACTGATGAGCCAATATTGACACATTACTATTAACTTAAAGTTTATAGTTTACATTAGGGTTCACTATTTGGTACATTCTACAAGTTTTGACAAATGTGTAATGACATGGATTCACATTACACTATTATTCCTATGATACTGTACAATCCTCTGTGCTTCACCTGTTTATCCTGTCTTCTTTGCACCCCACAATCCCTGGCAGCCACTGACCTTTTTATTGTCTCCATAGTTTTGCCTTTTCCAGAATGTCATCTAGTTATATAGTATGAAGTCTTTAGATTGGCCCCTTTTGCTTAGCAGTATGTGCCCAGTGGCTTACACCTGTAATCCCAGCACTTTGAGAGGCTGAGGTAGGCAGATCTCTTGAGGCCAGGAGTTCGAGACCAGTGTGGCCAACATGGCGAAACCCTGTTCCTACTAAAAATACAAATAAATTAGCCAGGTGTGGTTGTGTGCACACCTGTCATTCCAGCTACCTGTGTGGCTGAGGCATGAGAATCACTTGAACCAATGGTAGAGGTTGCGGTGAGCCAAGATTGCGCCACTGTACTCCAGCCTAGGTGACAGAGTGAGACTCTGTCAAAAATAAAACAAAAACAAAAACAAAAAAAGCTCCTTAAAGGCAGAGAGAGTGTTTTCTATTTTTTAAATCATTTTTACATATTATAGGAATAATAGAAAACCGGTGTTTGATATGTGTGTGGAAATTTAATAAATGGTAAAGATTTCTAATCAACATAAAAAGATAACCTATTTAATACCTGCTTTTGGGACAAATAAATCACAATTTGGAAGAAATAAAATAATCATTTCCATTTCTGAAATCATTCAACAAAACAATACCAGATTGATTAAAGACCTAAATAAAAAATTTTTAAAGGAGGCAGCCTAACATAAAAATTAATATCCAGAATTTATAAAGAATGTGTATAAATTAATAAGAAAAAGACAGAAGTCCAAGGGAAAAATGGGGAAAGGTGATGAATAGGCTATTCATGAAGGAAGAAATCCAGATAGTAAATACAACAGTATGATACTTTAGGAGTTACAGGGCATCGATAAAATGACAGATGGTAAGTGTTTGAGAGACTAACTTAGTGGAGAACTAGGGTCCTGTGAATGTCACTGCTAGTCAGATACTTACTCCTCCTCAAAGAAGAGTGAGTAAAAGGCAGGGCAAGAGTCCTTTTCCACATCAGTGGAAAAGATGTATTTTCCACTGATTGTTTTTCCATAAAATAACATGAAGCAATGGGGAAGAGAAATGACATATCAAATGTATGTGAGGGATTGGGACTATGGTTCTTTGATGGACTGCAAATACATATATGAAATGGTAGAGCCAGTTTAGAGATCCATTTGACAGTTTTTTTAACGTTTTAAATGTGCACATCCTATAATATACCTCTTTTACTTTTGGTATCTACTCTTCAGATCCTTCATACATGAGCACAAAGAAGCAAATGCAGGAATATTCATTCCAGGAGAGTCACAGCCAATAATTTGCAACAGTCTAAATAAGCATTAATAAGGAGATAGCTAAAAATACTGCTGTGTTTCTGTATACAGCCATCCTTTAGTATATTTGAGGGATTGGTTCCAGTATCCTTCGTATACCAAAATCTACATATACTCAAGTCCCACAGTGGGTTCTGTGGAATCCATATATATGAAAAGCCAGCCCTCTGTGTACACGGGTTTGCATCCCACGAATACAGTATTTTCAATCCACATTTGGTTGAAAAAAAAATTGCATCTAAGTAGATGCATGAAGTTCAGACCCATGTTGTTCAAGGGTCAACTCTAAAGCATTAATGGAATATAATACAGCACCTAAAAGAATAAAGGGGACTCTTTATTAATATGGAAAGATGTCTAAAACATTGATTAATGGAATAAAATAATATTGAATGAAAAAACCATCTCCATAGATTAGATTAGCATGTAAATTTAAAGGAAAAATCTCGTAAGGTGTGCACCAAACTAATAATAGGAAAGGCAACTGGAATTCGAGTAGTTAGGAGTCCTGAAAGGAACTTAACTTTTTTATTGGAATAAAATTCACATAACGTAAAATTCACCATTTAAAATTGTACAAGTCAATTACATTTAGAAATTCACAGTGGTGTACAACCATCACCACTATATAGTTCCAGAACATTTTCATCACCCACCTCTCTATCTGTTAAGCAATCATCCCCCGTTTTTTCCCTCCCCACCAACCTCTGGCAGCCACTAATCTGCTTTCTGTCTCTGTGGATTTAGCAATACTGGATTTTTCTTACAGAATCATATAGTATATAGCCTTTTGTTTCTGGCTTCTTTTACTTAACATACTGTTTTTAGTTTTTCATCCATGTTGTAGGATATGCCACTTCTTCATTTCTTTTTATGGCTGAATAATATTCCATTATATATATATATATATATATCCCATATATTTTTATAATTCATCAGTTGATGGGCACGTAGGTTGTTTCCACCATCTGGCTATTGGAAGAGTGCTGCAAAGAACATTGACACACAGTATCTGTTTGAGTCTTTGCTTTCAGTTCCTTTGGGTATATACCTTGGAGTGGAATTGTGGCATCATATGGTAGTTCAGTTTACCTTTTTGAGGAACCAAGGGACATTATATTTTGAATGAATAAATATGTTGCTTGACTGGGGAAAGTGGCTCATGCCTGTAATCCCAGCACTTTGGGAAGCCAAGGTGGGAGAGTTATTTGAGGTCAGGAGTTTGATACCAGCCTGGGCAACATAGCAAGACCCCACCTCTACAGAAAAAAAAAAAAGCCAGGCATGGTTGCATGTGCCTGTAATCCCAGCTACTTGGGAGACTGAGGTGGGAGGATCACATGAGCACAGGAGATCAAGGCTGCAGTGAGGTGAGCCATGATTATTCCACTGCACTCCAGACTGGGCAACAGAGCAAGACCCTGTCTCTTAAAATAAATATATATATAAGCTTAAAAAATAAAAAACAGAGGCTGGACATGGTGGCTTATGCCTGTAATTCCAGCACTTTGGGAGGCCGAGGCGGGTGGATCACCTGAGGTCAGGAGTTTGAGACCAACCTGGCCAACATGGCAAAACCCCATCTCTACTGAAAAATACAAAAATTAGCTGGGTGCAGTGGCATGTGCCTGTCACCCTACCTACTTGGGAGGCTAAGTCATAAGAATTGCTTGAACCTGGGAGGAGGAGGCGGCAGTGAGCCAAGATTGTGCCACTGCACTCCAGCCTGGGTGGCAGAGTGAGACTCTCTCAAAAATAAATAAAATAAAATAAAATAAAAGCAGAAAATGGTTGAAAATCTGAAAATGAGAAAGTAGAAAATTATTTAAAATTTGAAACAGGCCGGGCGCAGTGGCTCATGCCTGTAATCCCAGCACTTTGGGAGGCCGAGGCGGGCGGATCTCAAGGTCAGGAGATCGAGACCATCCTGGCTAACACGATGAAACTCTGTCTCTACTAAAAATATAAAAAATTAGCCGGGCATGGTGGCGGGCTCCTGTAGTCCCAGCTACTCGGGAGGCTGAGGCAGGAGAATGGAGTGAACCCAGGAGGCAGAGGTTGCAGTGAGCCGAGATCGTGCCACTGCACTCCAGCCTGGGCAACACAGTGAGACTCCATCTCAAAATAAATAAATAAATTTAAAAGATAAAATAAAATTTGAAACCAATTTAAAAGTATTTAGAAAATAAAAACTTACCTATAAG
Source organism: Homo sapiens (assembly GCF_000001405.40). Taxonomy (NCBI): domain Eukaryota; kingdom Metazoa; phylum Chordata; class Mammalia; order Primates; family Hominidae; genus Homo; species Homo sapiens. Next base: position 169,427,061 of record NC_000004.12, on the reverse strand, counting down.
CTAACTCCCAGAGATAAATTACTGGTACTTTTGGAATATATTCTTCCAGTCTTTAAATTTTTGTTTAAAAAAAATGCATGAATTTAATTCCCAGGCATATAGAGATAAAAATTGTGAGTTCTTTTTTATTTTTTTTTCCTCAATCTTAATCCCCTCCCTTTGAGGGTTAAAATATTTTTGTGAATCTTATTCTATTTTTCTGTGCTACAAACCATTTTTTCAAAACCTAACACCATTTAATACAAATTGGTCTGTGAATCACTTTGTTTACTTAACAGTATATCTTGCCTATTCTAATCAGTTTATATAGATCTCTGCTTCATTTTTTAACAGCTGCATGATATTCCATGGTATTAATATATTGTAATTGTTTTATATTCTCCACTCTTAAGGGGCATTCCCATTCTTTAAAGTAGTGGTTCTCAAACATTAGCATGTATTAGAATGACTTCGGGACTTTTCCCAACTAATTGCTGGGCGTTATCCCCCAAAGTTTCTGATTCACAGGTCAAGGGTGAGGCTGAGAATTTGTATTTCTAACCAGTTTCTTTACTATGCCGTTGTTTGGGGACTGTACTTTGAGAACCATTGTTATAAAACATGGTGAGCCTGGTTGCTGTGAATGATTACTATTTGGTGAGGATTTGAACAGGGTGAAAAATACATTGTACTTATGTGAGAAAGTATATATGAAAGTGAGAAAAATACTTGGAAGAGGGATCAAAGAATGCTAGTGAACTTGTGTTCCATTTCCTGTATTTTAGAGCACTTTTATTTCTGGTAAACTAAGTGTGTGTGTTTTTAATTGGTGTACCCATCTGTGGCAGGTCGGCAGATAGGATCACCATTCAGGAAAATGAAGTTTCTGAAGATGGAGTCTCGAGTACTGTGGACCAACTTAGTGACATTCATATAGGTAAGCATCATTGCATTAGTCTAATTACTTTCTGGAAGATGTTAATGATTATTAACATCAACCTGTTTTATTTGGGTAATATATAAATAAGAAAGCATTCCTTATCAGTCATCTCAATCATTTAAAAAATATAATAGGCATAGCACACTGGACTACATTAATAAGCCTGGATTGTATGGCAACATGGCAGTGAAAGTTTTTGGTCAGTTATTTTTATTGAATATTAAAAATGAAAAGAATTACTTGCCAAAGCTAAGCCAGTGTACTAAGGACATTAAATAAATTGTTTTCTTTTTAAAATAGTATTAGTTAAAATGTAAGAAAGGTAGGCTGGGTGTAATGGCTTACACCTGTAATCCCAGCACTTTGGGAGGCTGAGGTGGGAGGATCACTTGAGGCCAGAAGTTTGAGACCAGCCTGGACAACATAGCGCTACTCCATCTCTACAAAAAATTTTTTAAATTAGCCAGGCATGGTGGCATGCCTGTAGTCTCATCTACTCAGGAGACTGAGGTGAGAGGATTGCTTGAGGCCAAGACTGCACTCCAGCCTGGGCAATAGACCAAGACCTATTTCTTAAAAAGAAAAGAAAAAATAATTGTTTTCATCTAACCTATAGGAACAAAGATAAACTGGAGCTAAATATGTATCTAAATAGTGTATTTTTTCACCTTTCTTTGGATTTATGTCTTTTTTTTTTTTTCATTTTGTTTGTTTTTCTTGAGAGACAGGGTCTCACTCTGTTGCCCAGGCTGGAGTGCAGTGGCGCGATGATAACTCACTGCAGCCTCGAACTCCTGGGCTCAAACAACCCTCACCTCATCCTCCAGAGTAGCTGGGACTATAGGCATGCGCTACTACACCCAGCTAATTTTATTTTTTGTGGAGACGTAGTCTCACTTAGTTGCTCAGGCTGGTTTCAAACTCCTGGCCTCAAGCAATCCTCCACCTTGGCTAATTTTATTTTATTTTTTGTGGAGAGAGAGTCTCACTTAGTTGCTCAGGCTGGTTTCAAACTCCTGGCCTCAAGCAATCCTCCCACTTTGGCCTCCTGAGGGGCTGGGATTACAGGCATTAGCCACCATGCCCACCCTTGTGTCTGTATTGTAGAACTTTCAATATAATGAAAGTACATAACAAATTAAATCAACTCTCTGAAGATAGAACATTGTATCCTATTAAAGATTATTCAGAAGGTAATATACTGACACACATATTTTGATTTTATTTTCCTGATATGTGGGTTTTTTGCTAGAATTTGTGTTACATACTGTGCCTTATCAATATCATTTAGAACTTTAAGTACTGTATAGACTTACCACATAATCTCTCCTTTCTACCACAGAGCCTGGAACCAATGATTCTCAGCACTCTAAATGTGATGTAGATAAGTCTGTGCAACCGGAACCATTTTTCCATAAGGTGGTTCATTCTGAACACTTGAACTTAGTCCCTCAAGTTCAATCAGTTCAGTGTTCACCAGAAGAATCCTTTGCATTTCGATCTCACTCGCATTTACCACCAAAAAATAAAAACAAGAATTCCTTGCTGATTGGACTTTCAACTGGTCTGTTTGATGCAAACAACCCAAAGGCAAGTATGGTCCTCAAGTGGAAAATATTATCCATTCGATAACATGTATTATTGTTTTTCTTTTATAAACCATAATATTGAGTTTTAATCTCTTAACACAGACACAAACACACATCCAACAAAAACCTCCATCTTCTGAGCAAATAAATTGCAATTGAGAGTACAACTAGGATAAAGACTATTTCATTGGCTTCCTGTTCAGGATTTTTTTTATAGAGTCTTTTACTTGAGCAAAAAGTCCCTTTATATACCCTCATGCACTATTGCTCTTTCCCACTACCCAACCTGACTTCCATTTTTAGTATCACACTAAGTTTAAGCAATATATCTTAAATAGACAGAGGTGCTATATTGCCTAATTTGTATATAAAAACATTAAGAGATATTCATATGCACTTTCTGGTAGAAGTTTTTCGGACCTCTTTTTCTCACTTGCTATTTTTGAATATATGTAACCAATTTTTTCTTATAAAAAATATCTCTACAGAAAATGTTGAAACGCAGGTAAAAATAAGAAATAATCATTTGTTATATTACTCTTTATATAACCTTTGCATATACATAACTTTTTACCAAAATAAGATTTTATGTATACTCTTTATAACCTTTTCTATTCAATATATATTACGACATTATTGCAAATGCCATTATTACAATACTGTGATGAAAATAGCACTTTGTCATTGTCACATATTCTCTTTATATCATCATAAATAACTACATATTCCATTGAGCTGCTTATCATAATCTTTTTACAAATCTTTTTCTATTGTCATGCCTTTCCGCTGTAATTTTTGTTGTTGTAATCACACCTCTTATCTTTGTACATATCTACAATTATTTCCCTAAAATAAATTTCTATAAGTGGAATTCAAAAGGTTATATTGTATACTGCCTGATTTCCAAATAGTTTATAGTGCTGTCAATAGTATGTGAAAGTACATCCATTTCTCTGTGTGTTAAATACCACCCACTATTATTATTTACTTAAAAATTGTCTATTTATCAAATGAGTAATGTTATTGATTTGTATACATTTATGTTTCTGTGTTTTACAAATGAGATTGGGCATTTTTTTTTATTTTAGCCTGTAAAAGAATCAACTGCCTGAATTCTTTAGTCCTTAACTATTTTTTAAATATGTCATTTTGGCCAGGCATGCTGGCTCATACCTAGAATCCCAGCACTTTGGGAAGCTGGGGTGGGCGGATCATTTGAGCTCAGGAGCTCGAGACCAGCCTGGCCAACATGGCAAAACCCCATCTCTACTAAAAATACAAAAATTAGCTGGGCGTGGTCGTGTGGGCCTGTAATCCCAGCTATTTGGGAGGCTGAGGCAAGAGAATCACTTGAACCCGGGAGGTGGAGGTTGCAGTGAGCCAAGATTGCAATATTGCACTCCAGCCTGGGTGACAGAGTGAGTCTCTGTCTCAAATAAATAATAAATAGTCACTTTGATTTTCAATTTAATTTTCCAACTGGGTATACTTTCATTTTGTGGAGTATTTTCTTATGCTTATCTTAAATTTAGAGATTATTAAATTTCCTCATGTATCTAATATCAGTCTTTTGAAAGGTGTGAACTACCAAAACCAATTTATGATCTTCAGAGTTAGAGAGAAAGGCCTATAGATAAGGACTATCATACAATTCATGTACTTTTCTTGTAGTAAAGATGTATAGCCATCTTTAGCTCAGAGCTTCTTAATACCTATTGCCATCTATAAAGTTAATATTCTTTGCATAATACATTTGATTGTTTGATTTTCTTTTATGACCTTAAGAGTTCTATAGAAGAACTTACTCTGGAAGTAACCACAGCAAATTAGAAGCAGCAATGCAGATTTCATGTAGAGGAGTATGAGGAAAAGAGGCAAGAAAAAACACTAGAAAATCAAAGCAGTCTGTAGCCATTTAGGAAAAGAACACAAAACCATCCCTGCCCGTTCTATAAATATTTATATAATCTGTTTACTAAGGTGGGATAATTTAACCTTTTATAAGCATGTTTAAAACTCTTTTTTGCAAATGTTAAGTTATACTACTGGTGGGATTTTTTTCTTGATTGAGGAAATTCCCCTTGTGCTTTGGATCCCACCTCCTCACTCTTCAAGGAACTGACTCCATTAATTTTGCCACTCTAACCCGTGTCATCAACTTTTTCTATAGTGGATCATTTACTCAACATATATGTTCTAATAAATCTCATCAAAAATAGCAAACTTCTTTTGAGCACAGTATCCTTCTTTACCTACGACCCCATTTCTCTATCCCCTTTTGCAACCAAGCATCTTGACTATGTTGCAGTCTCATTGCAGTTTCCACATACATTCACTTCCCAATACATTCCAGCATGGCTTTTAGCCTGCTCGTCCACTGAAGCGGCTCTGTTCAGATAGTCAGTTACCAGTATGTTGCCAAATTCTCTGCACCGTTTTCTCTTTCACCTTTCTTAGCTTTTCAGAGTTCATATATGCTGTACTTTTAAATTCACTTTATCTGTTGGCTCCCTTTATATTGTACTTTCCTAGTTTTTCTCTGAACTCAGTAGTCACTCTTCTGTCTCCACTGCTGGTGGATCCTACTCTAACAAATTTCTTAAAAATAATGTGTGTTTTTCTACTGTGAAATATGCTATGAATGTCTATAAAGTCAAATTGGTTGATAGTGTTCAAGTCTTCTGCATCTTTACTGATTTTTTAATCTATTTGAACTATAAATTGCTGAGAGAAGATTGAAATTCTTAACTACGCTTGTGTAGAGTTGATTTTCACACTGCTTTCAAGAAGTACCTGAGACTGAGTAATTTATGAAGAAAATAGATTTAATTGACTTACAGTTCCGCATGGCTGGGGAGGCTTCAGGAAACTTAACCATCATGGTCCTAGAAGGTGAAGGGGAAGCAAGGCATATCTTACATGGCAGCAGGAGACAGAGAGAGGGAGAGAGCGTGGGCACGAAGGGGGAAGTGCCACACACTTTTAAATTGTCAGATCTCATGAGAACTCACTCACCATCACAAGAATAGCATGGGGGAAATCTGCCCTCATGATCCAGTCACCTCCCACCAGGTCCCTTCACTGACTCTTGGGGATTACAATTCCAGATGAGATTTGGGTGGGGACATAGCCAAACCATATCAACTTGTATAGATAACTATTTCTTCTTTCAGTTATGTCAGTTTTTATTTTATGTATTTTGAAGTTCTGTTTTGGGGCAAATAAAAATTTAGCATTCTTATGTCTCCTGGATGAATTGATAAGTTTATGTTTATGAAGTATCCTTTTTGTTTGATCACGTTGTTCAGTATCCTTACTGATTTTCTTTCTACTTATCAATTACTGAAAAGGAGTGTTGAAATTTCCACTCAGTTGCATTTGAACTAAGAATCAATATGTCTTCTTAATGAATCAACCCCTTTGTCACCATGAAATGAATCCTTTTATCACTGGTCATATCACCTTGTCTGAAACATTTTCTCTGGTTTTATTATAGCCATTCCAGCTCTCTTATGCTTAATCTTTATATGGTATATATACATTCTTTACTGCTCTTAACCAAACATTTTATATTTAAAGTGGATTTCTTACAGTTAGCATGTTAGTCAAGTCTTGTTTTTAACAAGTCTAACAATCTCTTTTAATTGATTAGACAATTTACATTTAATGTAATTATTAATATCACAACCATATGATTGGGTTTAAACCTACCATTTTGCTATTTGTTTTCTATTTGATCACTTTTTTGTTCCCTTTTTACTTTTATTCTTCCTTCCTTTGGATTTAGTATTTTTAGCACCTTATTTTATCTCTACTGTTTGTTTTCAAGGTACATCTTTAGCTTAGCATAATCTCCCTTCAAATAATATTATACCACTTCACATATGTCATAAAAACCTTACAACTATAGGCAGTCATGCATCACATAATGACATTTCAGTGAATTACAGACCCCATATACAGCAGTGGTCCCATAAGATTATAATAGACCGAAAAATTCCTCTCACCACCTAATGACATCGTAGTGTCACAGTGTAGTGCATTACTCACATGTTTGTGGTGATGCTGATGTAAACAAACCTACCACACTGCTAGTCCTATAAAAGTTTAGGACATACAATTATGTACAGTACCTAATGCTTGACAACAATAATAATTGACTGCATGCCTGGTTTGTGTATTTTTAATACTTTACTTTTTATCATTATTTTGGAGTGTTCTACGTATTAAAAGAAAGTGAACTGTAAAACGGCCTCAGGCAGGTCCTTCAGGAGGTATTTCAGTGTATAGTGTATAGTTATCACAGGAGATGACAGCTTCATTCGTGTTATTGCCCTTGAAGACTTTCTAGATTGGAGGTGGAAGACAGTGATGTTGATGATCCTGACCCTCTGTAGGCATAGGCTGACGTGTGTGTTTGTGTCTTCAAGTTTATAAAGTGAAAAGGTTACAGTAAGATAAGGTTAATTTATTGAAGACAGAAAATTTTTAAATACATTTAGTGTAGTCTATGTATACAATGTTTATAAAGTCCACAGTAGTGTACGCTAATGTCCCAGGCCTTCACATTTCACTCACCACTCACTCACTGGCTTACCCAGGGCAACTTCCAGTTCCACAAGCTCCATTCATGGTAAGTACCTATACAGGTGCACCATTTTTAATCTTTTATATGGTATTTTGACTATACCTTAGTGTTTAGATAGACAAATATTTACCATTGTATTACAATCTTCTATAATATTGAGTGTAGTAACATGCTATACAGGTTTTGTAGCCTAGGAACAATAGGCTGTACCACATATCCTAGATATGTAGTAGGCTAATACCATCTAGGTTTGTGTAATTACACTCTATGATGTTCACACAATGACAAAATTGCCTAACAACACTTTTCTCGTAACGTATCTTTGTTAAGCAAAGCATGACTGTACTTCCATTCCCGTCCTGCCTGTCCTTCGTGGTATTGTTGTCGGGTATTTTTTCTACCACGTTATAAATTCCACAATACATTTTTATTATTTTTGCTTAAACATTCATTTATCTTTTACAGAAGTCAGAAATTGGAAAGTATTTTATATTTACATGTTTACTATTTCTGACATTTTTTGTTCCTTTGTGCAGAATTCAAGTTTCTATCTGGTATTCTTTTTCTTCCACTTTAAGAACTTCCATTAACACTTCTTACACAGCCCTGTTGATGATGATTTTTTTTTTCAGATTTTGTTTGTATGAAAGTGTTTTCATTTCACCTTCATTTTGAGTGGATATTTTCACTAGATATAGAATTATATTGTCTTCTGGGTTGCATTGTTTCTAAGAAATATGTGAGCTTTCTTATCTTCATGTATATAGAGTATCTTTCTCTCTGGCTTCTTTTACAGTTTCCTTTTTATCACTGGTTTCTAGCATTTTGATTATTAAATGCTTTGGTAAGGGTTTTGGGGAGTAAGGTTTTTGGAGTAAGGTTTTATAGGACTAGCAGTGTGGTAGGTTTGTTTATATCAGCATCACCACAAACATGAGTAATTCATTAAACTATGACACTACAATGCCATTAGGTGGTGAGAGGAATTTTTCAGCTTTATTATAATCTTATGGGACCAATGCTGTATATGGGGTCTGTAATGTGTGTGTGTTTATCCTGTTTTGGGGTTCATTGATCTTCTTGGACCCTTAGGTTTATACTTTTCATTAAATTTGGAAAAGTTTTGGCTATTATTTCAATTAAATATTTTTTCTCTCTCTCTACTACCTTTTCTGTGACTCCAGTTACATATGTTAGACTCTTTGATACCATTCCACGGGTCACTAAGATTATGTTCATTTTGTTTTCAGTCTTTTTTTCTCTCTGTACTTCCTTGTGGATAAATTCTATTAGTATGTATTCATGTTTACTTATCTTTTTTCTGCAATAATATACTATTAATCCCACTCAGTGAACCTTTTATTTCGATATTGTGTGTTTTATCTTTAGAAGTTGTTTTTGTGTCTTTCATTTCTCTCCACATTATGTTCGTGTTTATCCTTTAATACTCCATTAAAATAGCTGGCTTAATATCCTTATGTGCGAGTTCCATCATCTCTGTATCTTCTTCTGTTGACTTATTTTTCTACTGGTTATGGATCATATTGTCCTACTTCTGGGTGTGTTTTATAATTCTTTATTTGAAGGTGGACCTTGTGAATATTATATTCCTAGGTCTCTGATTTTTTTGTTATTACTATCTTCCTGTAAAGAGTATTGGGTTTAAGTTAGTCAAGTTACTTGTGGATCTATTTTACACTTTTAAACTTTGTTTTTAAGCTTTGCTAGGACAAGTGTAAAGTTGTCTTCATTCTAGAGCTAGTTAACTTATTTCCAAGGCATGACCCTCTAGGGCCTCCACTGTACATCACAGGTGATCTTGAGGAAACACCTCCCTCCCGGTCAGTTTGATCATCTCCTACCTGCATGAGCTCTGAGCATTGTTCAGCTTACAACTCCCCAGCTGTTTTGGCCTAGCTTTGTGAAGTTTCATTCTGCATATTCATGGCCTGTGCTCATCAAAGACTCAAGAAAACTACCTTGCAAAGTTTTGAAGTTTTTTTTGTTTTATTTTAATGAATCTCTCTTTTCTAGTTCTACCTCCCTGGACTTTGATCTTTGTCTCATCAGTCTAGCAAGGCTGCACCCAAAGTCCAGATATTTTCTCCAGGCAGAAAGCCAGTTTAGTGGTAGGGTTTACTTCATTCATTTCCCTTCTCACAGGGATCACAGTCTTGTGCTGCTTATTGTTTAATATCTAAACACAATGTCATGTATTTTGTCCAGTTTTCTAGTTGTTTCCTGTGGAAGTTAAGTCTGGCCATTATTACTCTCTCATGGCCAGAGCTGGAAGTCTCCAGAAGATAAATGTGATATTTTAAGGCTATGTCCTGGGCCTTCTCTGTTTGCATTTGCTTCCCAAGTAATCTGACCCCAAGGCTTTAAATATAATTTATATGCTGATGATACTCAACTTTATTACTCTAGTTCTTTCCTACAGATTATTCATCTATTTCATCAATCTACTAGTCATATCAACCAATTGTTTCCTAACTTCTCTTCCTAATTCTGTGGCTGCCTGTGTGAAATCCATTGTCCAAATAGAAACCAGAAGTCTTTTTTAGTATTATAAATTATGTCAAATCACAGCCATGCTTAAGACTTCAGTGGCTTTCTGCTGCTTAACTAATATTCAGACTCTTTACCATGGTCTACAAGGTTTCATATGGCATTGACTGCCTCTCTGTCTGACCTCAAAACATTTTTCTCTAGCTCATTCTAACATTTTCCTTTGATACACCAGTCCCTTTCCTGCAGTAGAGTTTGCACTTGCTGTTACCCTGGCCTGAAATGAGCTTCTCTTTGTTCTTTTCAACTGTGACTCATTATAGTCTTTCAAGTGGGGCCTTGGCTTCATTTCCATTTCTAGTAATTGCCATCCCAACTAATGTCAGACATCATCATCTTGGCCATCAGGTTGGAAAATTACAGTTATAGGACATGCTACTATAGCACATACAGGAAACTCTAATATAGTAGTTGTTAGCTTTTCAGCTTCACTTATTACTGTGATTTTATTTAAAGTATATTCATGAATGCACTTAATCTTTTTTTAATATTAGAGACAGGGTCTTGCTCTGTCTCCCAGAATGGAGTGCAGTGGTGCAATCACGGCTCACTGCAGCCTCAACCTCCTGGGCTCAAGCAATCTTCCCGCCTCAGCCTCCTGAATAGCTGGGACTACAGGCATGCTTCACCATATCTGGCTAATTTTTAAATTTTTTGTAGAGACAAGGTCTCGTTATGTTGCCCAGACTGGTCTGGAACTCCTGGGCTTAAGCAATCCTCCCACCTTGACCTCTCAATAGTGCTGGAATTACAGGCGTGAGCCACCATGCCCAGCCACATGTGCTTAATCTTAATCTTTGAGTACCTCTGATAACATCTAGACATTTATGTATCTGTGATACCTAATGTGAGGATTGTTAACCAGTACACCAAAGATCTGTCTTAAATAAGATGTACATTAATATATCTTTATGCTGTCAGTTTACTTTGGTGAGTAGTATAAGAAATTCTCTAGAAGACTTTTGTATTTACCTTGAGGATGCTGTTGTAAATCTTATCTACCACACGGTTTGAGAAGGAACAAATAAGTGAAAACACTTGTAATGCATTATGATAATTCCTGTAATGGAGAGATGAATGTGGGATAGTGGGACCACTAAAGAGGAAATGATTAAGTCTGTCCTAGAACAAAGAAAGATTTCTGAAAAAGTTCGCATGGTGGATAAGACATGAGAACATTTAAAGCAAAATTAACTGTCATGAACATGAGATAGCACAGTGTGTTTGAGACATTACAACTAGTTCTTAGTAACTCAGATGTGAAGGAGGTAAGATTCCAGTCATTCTTGTCCTTAAGCAGATGTCCTTAGTTTTCGAATCTGTGGGATCTTTTCCCCGTTTTCTAGAAAAAGTCTCTCTTTTTTCTGAATAAAGGAATACAATGTCTTAAAGAGATAAAAGTGGAGCTGTTCTTGTGGCCCAAGTCCTCCCTTGTCCTCTTGCTCCTACCCCGCCCTCCACCTCACAAGCAGTTCCTTAGCCACGTGTTTAGAGCCCTAGAATTCTGGGAATATGCTCTGGATCATGATACTAAGGCATTCCTTTAATGTACTTTAAAGGGCTCTTTTTGCAGAAACTAAGATGTAATGACAGTAAACTGAATTACATGTTTAAGCATCCATACAGATAGTAGTTAGTGGCTTAGTTGATCACTGTAAGACTGGCAGTCAGAGTAATGCTTTGATTGCCACCATTCATCAGCAGGGATAGGCCTGGAATAAGCAGTTATTCCAGAAGACTGCCCTTCCTTTTATACTACATATTTGTTTATACCCTGCTTCAGACCAGAAGAATTGATCACATCCAAATATATAGATTGTACTAGAGAATATGCATTACAAATCAAGCCATTAGCAACTATTTTACATAGTTATTAATATTGAGTATAAGATTTGTTTAAATGATAGTCAAAATGAAAAGAGAATTATAAACTATGCCATATTCCCCAGAGGAGAGAAATATATAAATTGTTCAGGGGAATAAATGCTTTCCTTGCTTCTTCCCTCTGTAAGGGATTTCTCTACTGGAGTTTTCTGTAACAGCCAATAAATTCTGTAACCTATGATAACTTCAGTACTACTTCTACTGTAAATACAGTAGATGATTTTATAAGGTAGCTATAAAGTGACTTACTAAAATGAGGTATCACACTTGGAGATCACTGAAGGTTAGTTTGTGAAAGGTCAAAATTAAATAGTCTAAAATTGTTGTTTTCTCATGCTTTTGTTTACATAAGGACAGATTCTAGATTACCAAATGAATTAGCTGTTTGTCTTTGAAAGAGTCACATTTTGCAATATAGCTTTTAATAGATTATTCAGTGGATGGCACTGCAAAGGCATGCCATGCAGTGCTCTATGTTGTTGGTTGATAACTTTGAAATCCAATGAGGCGGTGATACAATTGATAACCTATAATGGAAAATGACTGTAACTCAGACTCTAGTTTGGTTAGGTGGCCAGCTATTTTTGTTAAAGTAGGTTACAGAGCAATTTTTAATCAAAACTAGAACTTCTTCATGAAAACTTTTTTGTTCATTCACCATTTTGTTCATTCACCATTGATTAATGATCAGTTTGTTTTAAACCATATAGCCTTAACTCTAGAATTTTAATGTGGGTACCGTGAAGAATGTTTGTCTAAAATACAGATTCTTACACCTCACAGCTAAAGGTATTTGTTTTAATATATCTGGAGCAGAGGTCAGGAATATGCATTTTTGGCACACACCGTAAGTAATTCTGCTGCTGGTGGTCCACATTCCCCACTTGAGAAATACTGCCACAGATCACAGTTGACCTAATTGCAGCCTGGAAAGTGTTTAAAGTATGTTATATGTCAACCCTCCTTGACCACTAAAAATATTAATAATGCTTCAAAGGAATGTCTAATTTTGAGTGCTGTGCCTTTCTGATGAATTACAATTATGAACACTTTGTCAAATACATTCATAAATATTAAACAAGTTAATTTTCTATATAGGGTTATTGGATAACAACCAATAAAATTTTGGAAAGAGATTACTAATATGAGGTTTACTTCTTGGTGGTAATAAAAAAGAAGTACCAAATTTAAGACCATATTATCAGAGTAATACAGATTATACTGACCTTTCTGTTGTTACTAGTAGGATGTATGACTGTAACTCATTAAAATTTAAGCAAATAGATTCTAGATCAGAAAACAGCCTTGCATTGTTCACAATTATTAATATTTTTTGTCTTGGGAAGTAGCTATGAACTACCATCTAATAAAAGTATACTAATTATTAGTGTAATAGTAGCTGGCTAATAGTATGAATAGTATTCTATATACTGTTCTAGCTGCTTGACATATAGTTACTTCTCACAGTGACCCTATGTGACAAATACTGTTTTTGTTCAGACTGAGTCTCACCCTGTCACCCAGGCTGCAGTGCAGTGGCACAATCTTGGCTCACTGCAACCTCTGCCCTCTGGGTTCAGGTGATTCTTCTGCCTCAGCCTCCCAAGCAGCTGGGATTACAGGCACCCACCACCATGCCCAGCTAATTTTTGTATTTTTAGTGGAGACGGAGTTTCACCGTGTAGCCCAGGCTCATCTTGAACTCCTGACCTCAAGCGATCTGCCCACCTCGGCTTCCCAAAGTTCTAGGATTACAGGCGTGAGCCATCGCACCTGGCCATTAATACTGTTGTCTCCATTTTACGGATGAGGAAATTACAATGCAGAGAGGTGAAGTACATGGTGGATCAGTATAGATTTTGAAGGACGTATTAGTGACATGAGGTGACTGATCTAGTTTCTCACACAGAGACAAAGACTGATTAAAGGTCATTTAAATTTGTACTTTATCACTTATTTATTCATAAAATAACTGTTGCCTGTGGTGAAGTACTTCCTGCATTGCCATCTTATATGAAAACTTGCCTGGAAAACTTTGGAATTTGTTGTAGAGGAATGTGGCATAAAATTTAGGTGTATTTGGGAGGCCGAGGCAGGAGGATCACTTGAACCCAGGAGTTTGAGAGCAGCCTGAGCAACATAGTTAGCCCCCACCTCTACAAAAACATTTTAAAATTAGCCAAGCATGGTGGCACACACCCACCTCTAGTCCCAGCTGCTTCGGAGGCAGAGATGGGAGGATCGCTTGAGCCCAGGAAGTCAAGGCTGCAGTAAGCCGTGTTCATGCCGTCACGCTCCAGCCTGGATGACAGAGCGTGACCCTGTCTCAAAAAAAAAAAAAATTAGCTGTACTATTTAAATATTAATAACTATAGTTTGAAGGAGTAAAGAGTTGCTTTAAAAAAAAAGTGACATAAACTAAATTAACACCACACACCTATGATGTTAAGTGAACAGAAGGTAGAGTTTATAGCCCACAAATCAGAACAGTCTGAAAAGTTTGGGTCCTTATATTTGTTCATTAAGTGAACTCCATCAAAGAGACATTCAATCTCAATCTCCCTTGCCTCTCTCCTTGCCTCCCTCTTTCCCTCTCTTTCTTCCTCTCTCTTCCTCCCTCCCTCCCCCCACCACCCCTCTCAGTCTTATTCCAGCAGAGACCTATGGCTCCTGAAACGTAGATAAGCCTTTCTCCTTTCTGTTGCCACAACTGTTCTCTAGTCTTGTGGTGATAACTTTTCTATGTTCAGAATTCCCAGAGTCAGGATATTTTTCTTCCCTAAAAGTATCATAAGGCAAAGACTGGATCTATTTTCAATCACCATTATATCCTCAGCATCTAATACATGGTTAATGCCCAATAAATTCTATCAGTGGATAGAATGTATTCATCAGTTAGGGACTTTTTACATGTGGTTGCTTTGTACCTTACCAAATCTAGCTTTGTTTTGATAAAGGTATAGGCAGGCCAAAGAAGTCCAATAGTAGAAGATAATGGTGAAGCATGGTTTAAAGTTCATTCTCTACCATAAAGCTTTCCTTTTCTTTGTCCTGTTAGGGAGAATTCATCAGTGATGGGTTTTGATTAAAAGCCTTTTACAAGGAGGCTTTTAAAAGTAGAAATCAGTCTAGGGAAACACTGTTCCACCTTCAGAAGAAACAAAGGTAGGACAGGTGATAAGCAGTTTAAAGCCAGTGATACAGTCTTGTATTCTTCTCTAAAGAACAACTGTTTCTTTAAAAGTACAAACTGGTTAAGCCTGTTTGGTTGTCCTCACAAGTGGATACAGGATGAATTTGTGGAGTTGCCCACAAATTCTCACTCTGAGTCAAGCTATTGTAAGGCAGATTCATTTAGTCAACAAATATTTATTAAATATCTGCTATGTGCCAGGTACCACTCTAAATGCTAGAGTTAACAGTAGTGAGGAAAACAGACAAAAATCCTCTGCTCATGGAGCCATTCTAATTGGAGAATATAAATGATAAAATACATGATCATAAATAATTGGAAAAATTGAAGCAAGGCTAGTGAAGAAAGTTTGTGTACATGAGCCCCATTTCTCCTCCTTATCTGGAGCCTGCTAGTCAGGTATGAAGGTATTCCTCAGAGGTTACTCCTGGCTGGGATACATGCCTTCATAATGCAGTGAATGGTCTGTAGGCCAACATAGGTTTGTAAAGATTCAAATCAAAACTTTGCATTTGTTGTGATTTTATAAAGGGAAATTATCAATATATTTTTCCAATGGAATTTTTAAAAATAGTAACATTTTCAAGATTTGATTAATTTATAATCCCATGAAATCTGAAGTAGGTTGAGATAGAGAATTACCTGCTAACTCCACTTCATTTGCAGCCAGTTAAAATGACATAAAAGTCAGTCATGGCGGTGTGCAGTGACTCACGCCTGTAATCTCAGCACTGTGGGAGGCCGAGGCAGGTGGAACACCTGAGGTCAGGAGTTTGAGACCAGCCTGGCCAACATGGTGAAACCCCATCTCTACTAAAAATACAAAATTAGCCAGGTGTGGCGGCACATGCCTGTAATCCCAGCTACTCTGGAGGCTGAGGCCCGAAAGTCGCTTGAACCCAGGAGGCAGAGGCTGCAGTGAGCCGAGATTGCATCATTGCACTCCAGCCTGGGCAGCAAGAGCGAGACACCATCTCAAAAATAAAATATAAGTCAGTCAGTCATGACCACTGAGACTAAAAAAAAAAAAAAAATAGAGTCAGATAAAGATCATAATATCAGTTTTATTTTTGATAAAGCTCTACTGGAAAATGTGGCCTTAGGTTTGGCTTAAAATCATGCCTCTCAATATTTTCCTCCTGTGACTAGTCCTTGGAATCTGAAGAACAAACTTTCTTAACCCACAATAAGAGCTTTATATCCATCAAGCTCCAGTAGCAGGAAGACTGAGAGTGAGACCTATCTTGTCCCTAGAAAGCAGGCGTAGGCCTGAGCTATTTGTGCTCACCACAAGGCAACAGAAGGGAAACAGGATACGCACGCACACACTCTGTGGCAGGCAGATCTGAGAAAGAGAACAGGAAGGACACACACTTTACTGTCAGTGCCCTCTTGCAAATTTGCCTTCAGTCAGCTCGTGTTTCTTCACTTTAGGGGATAGTGAATAAGGGATGGAGAGAGACCAGATGTGTTCTGTGGATAGGGAGTGGGACAAAAAAATGATCTGCTTTATGAAAACTTGAGAATTTCTTGTTAAAGCAAATGCAAAGTGGCAAAAAATGATGAATGTATAATTCACATAAATAGCACATGTACCTTAGATGTCTTTTGATTTGTTAAAGTATTCCATTATTAGATAATGTCCGTAATTTTTGTCTTTGGGAAGTGTTCCTAAGTTTTAAATTAATGTTTTAAATCCATTTTGAGCCTGATGTATCGGTTGAAGTAAGCAGATATTCACAGTGGTTATTCTTAGAGAGCAGCAGCAGCATTTAATTGCAGTAAACAGAGGCTAAAAGAATGTGTCCATCATAAGACATTTGGTAGTGTAACTAGAATACTACTACTTCCTGATTTTATATGAAAAATACTGGAGCTCAAAGAGTGTATTAGAATTACTATGAGTAGAATTTTTTAGTTGAAGTTCTGTTAATGCAAGTAATACTGAATTCATTCACTATGTTATATGTTTCTCTACATCTTTGAAAAAAAATAGAACTAACCAGCAATAAAAACTGAAGGAAACATTTTAAGGTTTCCTAAAATTTGGTACTCCTGTTTGAACTTATAATGGTACCAAATGCTAGATGTGTAAATTATCATGTAACAATCTTGAAAAAAAAAATACTGTACATGAAGATCTCAGCCAGTGTGTTATAGATGAGCTGTTATTTTCAGAAAGAGTTCTTTTTGTGGATATTAAAACTATAGAATATTGTTTAAACAACATAGAAATAGTAGAATCAGAATTATAGAACTGAAAGTGTTCTTTTATAAAATTCTCTTGACCAAAGATGAATAACCTGTTTCAAACTTACCAGTCTACTATTCAGAATCTACCAGGAACTCAAACAAATAAGAAAAAAACAATCCCATCAAAAAGTGAGCAAAGGGCATTAATAGACATTTCTGAAAAGAATATAAACAAGAAACATATGAAAAACTGCTCAACATCACTAATCATCAGGGAAATGCATATTAAAGCCACAATGAGATACCACCTTACACCTGCAAGAACGGCCGTAATTTTTTCTTTTCTTTTCTTTATTTTTTGAGACAAAGTCTCGCTCTGTCGCCCAGGCTGGAGTGCAGTGGTGTGATCTCGGCTCACTACAACCTCCGCCTCCTAGGTTTAAGCAATTCTCCTGCCTCAGCCTCCCAAGTAGCTGGGATTACAGGCGCATGCCACCACACTGGCAGATTTTTGTGTTTTTAATAGAGACAGAGTTTCACCATGTTAGCCAGGGTAGTCTCAAACTCCTGACCTCAAGTGATCCATCTGCCTCGGCCTCCCAAAGTGCTGGGATTGCAGGTGTGAGTGAGCCACTGCACCCGGCCAAGAATGGCCATAATTAAGAAGTCCAAAAACAGGTAAGTGGCCGGGCGCGGTGGCTCACGCCTGTAATCCCAGCACTTTGGGAGGCCAAGACGGGCAGATCATGAGGTCAGGAGATCGAGACCATCCTGGCTAACATGGTGAAACCCCGTCTCTACTAAAAATACAAAAAATTAGCTGGGCGTGGTGTAGGGCGCCTGTAGTCCCAGCTACTCAGGAGGCTGAGGCAAGAGAATGGCGTGAACCCGGGAGGCGGAGCTTGCAGTGAGCCGAGATCGCGCCACTGCACTCCAGCCTGGGGACAGAGCAAGACTCTGTCTCAAAAAAAAGAAAAACAATAAGTAAAACAATAGATGTTGGCTTGGATGTGGTGAAAAGGGAACACTTTTACACTGCTAGTGGGAATGTAAATTAGTACAACCACTATGGAACACAGTATGGAGTTTCCTTAAAGAGCTAAAGGTAGAACTACCATTCGATCCAGCAATCCCACCACTGGGTATCTACCCAAAGGAAAAGAAGTCATTATATGAAAAAGACACACACACACCCATGTTTATAGCAGCACAATTTGCAATTGCAAAGATATGGAAACGACCTAACTGCCCATCAACCAACGAGTGAATAAAGAAAACGTGGAATATACGTACCTTGGAAGACTACTCAGCCATAAAAAGGAATGAAATAATGTCTTTTGCAGCAACTTGGATGGAGCTGGAGGCCATTATTCTAAGTGAAGTAACTCAGAAATAGAAAACCAAATAGCGTATGTTCTCATTGATAAGTGGGAGCTAAGCTGTGAAGACCCAAAGGCATAAGAGTGATGTAATGGACTTCGGCGACTCAAGGGGGGAAGGGTGAGAGGTAGATGAGGGATAAAAGACTGCACGTTGGGTACAGTGTACACTGCTCGGGTGTTGCGTGCACCAATATCAGAAATCACCACTGAAGAACGTATCCATGTAACCAAAAATCACCTTTACCTCAAAAACTATTGAAATAAAAAAAATCATTTGTATTGTTTAAAATATGAAAAGGAAAAATGAGAATAAATAAATCTATAGGGAAAAAAGCCTCCAAAGCCATGGGGGAGTAGGTGGGGGGACTTACTAGTCTATCAAGGAGTACTGTGAACATGAAGGGCTTATCCAGTTGATAGCTGTCAGATTAGTGGGTTGGTATAAACCTGTTCCAGGAGGTAAGTTGTCAAATTACATGACCACTTGAAATTTATTTTGGTTAACAAAAGGAGTAAACTAGAATTGAGTTTATTTTACCAGGGCCAGAATTTATCTCAGCCTAAAAAATATTGCATTATTTTATGTAGTAACCCCAAATTTAATTATATAATGCATATGTGCTGTTTATTGATTAGCAGGTACCTAAGGAAACCATTTCTGGTACATATTGCTAGTTTATAATATACATGGTCCAAACCATTAAAATAATAAACAAGGAAAGTGTGAATTCTACAGACAGTGGGAAATTCAGCAAAAGAAATACTTCCAGTACCATCACTAAGTGATTTAACAAGCAGTGTACTTTTACCAACTTGTAGTTCATAACGATTTTTCCCTTGAGTGTGAGAACATTTAAATTATGTTCAAATAATGGAAATCTTTTTCATTATTCTCAAAAACAGATTGTACCAATAAAATTGGCCAAGTATATAAGTTTTCATTAATATGCTAAACATTGTGTTTTCCTCACAGGCTCCCATCTGGTGAAGAGTTCTTATCAGTGCCTTAGTAGTCATGTTTCAAATCTCACAGATTCCTTTAGGGTTAACCCAGCTGTGAGAGTTATGTATGTAGTTAGTTGTTTCATAGCCTTGTCTATCTATCACATTCTAATTGTTGAAAGGTTGTTGGACAGAGGCTATTTCTATTATCCCTTATCCAGTACGGATTCACATTTTCAACACCTCAGCTGTGCTTTTTTTCTTTCCTCAACTCAGTTGGCTGAGTTTCTTCTTACTGTTCCTGCAAATTATGCTCAGCATTGACATCAAAGTGCTTGTCCTTCCTGCCTTCTGTTCTAGTGAGAAAGGTTCCACTCACAGTCCCATGGTCAGGGAAGCACTGATAGGCTTCTCTCTGCACTGATTTGAGGCCCCTCATTTCACCAGTATGTGGCTAATCAGCAGTTCCTACAATTGAGTGATACAAGGGGCTGTCAGTTATGTGTGGTGGTGCTTAGCCAAACTTCAGACTAACATGCTGCAGCATTTGGGCAAGACTGTGTGGGGCAAGTTGACCATAGGAAGATGAGAGGAACACTTAGCAGAAACACCGTGAAAGCGGAACAAATGGGTCGTGAGTGAGAAGGAGAAAACAGATAGTTTCTAGCACTGCCTGATTCCTGACAGATTTCCAAGTCCATTCCATGTTTATACCTAAATAAACACTTCTCCCAGTTTTCAAAGGTGGTATCAGGGAATTCCTGTGCTAAAACCCAAACATAACTCACAAGTTTAGTTTCCTGTGAAAAAAGACTGAGCTGAAATTCAAGAGAATTAGGTTCTAGCTTTATGCAAGTCACCTTTGGATCCTCTAGCTCTAAAAATATATATATATATTTTTTATATGTTACATATATATGTTACATATATAAAAAAACTTTTTATATGTTACATTTTACACATATGTAACAAAATTGTGATTAGTTCTAGTTTTCTCTCATTTTTATGTTTTAATTATCTTTCTCCTAATAAGAAATTTGTTGATTTTTATTTTAGATGTTAAGGACATGTTCACTTCCAGATCTCTCAAAGCTGTTCAGAACCCTTATGGATGTTCCCACCGTAGGAGATGTTCGTCAAGACAATCTTGAAATAGATGAAATTGAAGATGAAAACATTAAAGAAGGACCTTCTGATTCTGAAGACATGTAAGTATAATGTCATTAGTAAACAGCATTAAAAGATTTTCTGAATTTATATGTAAAAAAGAGGGGATAACTTACCTAGCTCTTTTTTTTAACTCATTAACCTCTGCTTTTATGTCTTCTGTATATTATTTTTATCTATTTTAAGAGACAGGGTCTCACTCTGTCACCTAGCTGGAATACAGGCTGGACACAGTGGCTATAATGTCATTAGTAAACAGCATTAAAAGAGTTTCTGAATTTATATGTAAAAAAGAGGGGATAACTTACCTAGCTCTTTTTTTTAATCATTAACCTCTGCTTTTATGTCTTCTGTATATTATTTTTATCTATTTTAAGAGACAGGGTGTCACTCTATCACCTAGCTGGAGTGTGGGTTGGACACAGTGGCTCACACCTACAATCCCACCACATTGGGAGGCCAAGGCAGGAGGAATGTGAGACCAGCCTGGGCAACATAGTGAGACACCATCTCTACAAAAAAAAATTTATTTTTTCTTTTGAGGTGGACTCTTGCTCTGTCACCCAGGCTGGAGTGCAGTGGCATGATCTTGGCTCACGGCGACCTCTGCCTCCCAAGTTCAAGCGATTCTCCTCCTCAGCCTCCTGAGTAGCTGAGATTACTTGCCACCACGCCTGGCTAATTTTTGTATTTTTGGTAGAGATGGGGTTTCAGCATGTTGGTCAGGCTGGTCTCAAACTCCTGACCTCAAGCGATCTGCCCACCTTGGGCTCCCAAAGTGCTAGGATTACGGGCATGAGCTACCACACCTAGCCAAAAAAAATTTTTTTAATAGCCAGGTTTGTTTCCACATGCCTTGTAGGTAGTCTCAGCTACTCAGGAGGCTGAGGTGGAAAAATCATTTGAGCCCAAGAGTTTGAGGCAGCAGTGAGCCATGATCATGCCACTGCACTCCAGCCTGAGCAACAGAGTGAGACCCTGTCTCAAAAATGAAAAATAAATAAGCTGGAGTGCACTGGCATGATGATAGCTCACTGCAGCCTCCAACTCCTGGACTCAAGCAATCTTTCCACTTCACTCTCCCAAATAGCTAGGATTACAGGTGTGAGCCACTGGGACTGGCCAAGTTAATTTATTATTGCAGAAAAATAAATTGATAAATTTAGTGTAGCCTAAGCATATACTGTGTTTATAAGTCTATAGTAGTGTATAGTAATGTCCTATGATAAGTACCCTATAAAGTTTACCATTTTTTATCTTTTATACAGTGTTTTCACTGTACCTTTTCTATGTTTAGATATATTTAGAATAGACAGATAGCATTGTGTTACAGTTGCTTCCAGTACTGAGTACAGTCATATGCTGTACAGGTTTGTAGCTTAGGAGTAAACAGGCTCTACTTTGTAGCCTAGGTATGTAGTTAGCTATACTGACTAGGTTTGTGTAAGCACATTCTATGATGTTAGCACAACAATGAAATTGGCTATAACAATGCATTTCTCAGAATGCTTCCTGTTGTTAAGCAATTCATGACTGTGCTCTACAGTTTCCCAGGAGAATGACCAGAAAGCTCCACATCTACCTCTTGCCATATATGATTTCAAAGCCATGCCAATGGGGAGTTAGCAGGTCGACCAGTTTTGTTCATGTGTGTGTGTGCACATGTGTCAGTGCACACATGTTTTCTGCATGTAATTGGATTGTTTTCACAAAATTGCTTTCTTTGTGATTCATGGGGAATCCTGAATCTAGGAGGGAAATTTAACAAGCAATACCTCTGAGAGCTGTAAGGAGTGATAACCCCTTAGATTGTGCACATGTACCCTAAAACTTAAAGTAAAATTAAAAAAAAAATTTTTTTCCATAAAAAAACAAAAAGAACCTTCCTTTACCTTGTTCAGTGTTGGTCAGCCCTCTCAACTGTCTTAGACAAATGTTACACACTTTTTGGTGTAATAAAACCAGAGTTTCCTAGAGTAAGGTGAGAAGGTACAGTGTGTTCAAATCACCTGGATAAAAAGTTATAAAATATTAGAATTTTTATAATTTATTTTGTAATTTCTTTGAACTTGTTTCTGCTTTTTACTTTTACCTTTGGAAAGAACTTGTATTTTGATCTGATTGAAAGTATTATATCACTCTCATAATGTTTTCTTCTGTATTGAGTTACGTAGGATCGATGCCGCTGGCACATTTTATTTTCTGGTTTTTGGTTCTTTTTTAAGCCTTGCCCTTGCTTCTTAAGTTTCTGGTGAAACTTCATTTTTAAAAGATTGCCTTTTTCATTTTTCCTAGAGTTCTGTAGATTTTTGCTAATGACCTTACAATCTAGAAGAAAAGTTACCTTTTTACTTTTGTTTCTTCTACTTGACTGTAGTCATTAAACACTGAAATATTGTGTTTTTATTAATCCTATTGGAGAACATAACAACATTCAGGATTTTTATTGTTGACAAACTGCTAACTAAAATTTTTTTCCCAAAAATTTTATGAAATCATTTATTTTTATCTGAATGAACTACAGCTTATTTGTGGCTTGTGTTCTTTTATTTTTTCTTTCTTCCAAGCTGCTAAGTTTGTGTTATGCATGTGTTCTTTTAATGAACAATTGATGACAGAATTTTATTTTAAAACTTAAGTTAGAAGCCTTTAGTATTAATTGAAAAATTCGAAAACCAAGTTGTTTTTAAAGTACGTTATTTCATATTGTTATAGGGATATTTCACTTGATGTTTGTCTTTGGAAAATTATTATTATTTTTTTTTGTCTAAACTTTAGTCAAGATTTTATAAGATAGCCAACTAAAAACTGAATTCAAGACCAAATTTTTTTAAGTACCTTAAAGTTTTTTGGTGCTCATTTAGTAAAAGATCTTAATCTTCTCATACTTTCTTACAGTGGCAAGCTTAGCTGCCTCAATTGAATACCATCTGCAGAGGGTACTAATTCCTCTAGGCCAGCCACTAGATGATTTTATGAACAGGTCAATATTTACTCATTGTAGTAATGGTACATAGCAGGTGTGCATACTTCGTTGATCTTTTTTTAATAATAAAATTTTTTGGGGGAGATAGGGTCTCACTCTGTCACCCTGGCTATAGTACAGTGCTGCAATCATAGTTCACAGCAGCCTTGGACTCCTGGGCTCAAGCAGTCCTCCTGCCTCAGACTCCCTAGTAGCTAGGAATACAGGCTCGTGCCACCACGCCTAGCTAAGTTTTTTGCAATTTTTTTTCTAGAGGGGTCTCGCTATGTTGCCCAGGCTTGTCTCAAACTCCTGGCCTCAAGCAATCCTCTTGTCTCAGCCTCCCAAAGGGCTAGGATTACAGGCATGAGCCACTGTACCCAGCCTAAATTAGTCTTGTAATTATATATTAAGTTAAATGCTACTAGTAGGATGATTCAAGAGATTAGACACTATTTTCTCATTCTAATTAGATGCTTTGCTTTTCTATAGCTCCTACAAGTCAAATTGTAGGCGTTTGTACATATAAGTACAAAATAAAGATATTTCTACATAAAAAGATTATTTACTCTATTAATGGAAATTATATTGACAGTCTTACACAATAGTGTTTATATTTTAGTTCTTCAGTAAATATTTGATTGGAGTCTAAACTTTTAGAAAGGCCTTAATTAGCCCTTGTGTCCTGTTAAGCATTGCCTTCCTGATAGATGAAATCCCGGCTTAGGTACATAATCTCTTTTAGAAGTCTTCAGACATCTAAAACATCAGTTAACTCCTTTAGTCTACAAACTTTTCCATTTACATTCCATGTTAGGATAAAGAAGCAAATCATAAGAGGAAAAAAATTTTTCTGAGTATGTTTCTCAGATATTACAGAAGTGGTCAAAGACTAGATTTCAGTGCTCTGTCATTTACTGACTATGTGGCCTTGACCAAGTCATTTAAACATTTTGGTTCATAGTTTTCATGTCTCTAAAGTGATTTTTTGTGGATAAAATTTGAGTAGTAGGATAAAAATGTTTAAAAAACAAAAGTTCTATATAAATGTAAGGTATTATTTGTATAAGTTATTTCATTCCAGCATCTATAATCCCATGAAAATAGAATGAATATTCTTACCAATACTTTGGAAACAAAATTCTCCAGTGAAGAATTATGATGGTTGGTATAGGCTAGTTACACAGAAAATCTATTATGTATTTTAGAACATTTTTAAGAATAAGCATCTAAAGATAAGATTTCTGGTGACCATTTTATTCACTGGGTCATCCTATTAACATGAATATAAAATTTCCTAAGTATTTCTATTTCTAAAAGTTCAAATGCCCAATGGGCATGTATATGGAAAGCCTTTTGTATAGTGTCTAGCTATTAGCCACATGGATATTTTGAAAATTACAAAATTCCATAAAAGAGAAAATAATTTACTATTATTTGTTTTAGAAAAACTTCTATAGTCTGGCCTGTTAAAATATCAAAACATTGTTTCAGAATTTAAGCAATGAGTAACATCGATAGTTATGTGATTCTCTTTGGCAAGTTGGGATCATTTTAAACAAATCATCTTCTGGCTTATATATTCCAGAATATGTGTTGTGTGATATATTTATCAGTTGTATTCATCCTCAATTTACCGGTGAAAAACAATGTAGGCTTTTTCCAGATTTTTTGTTATCTACTATTAGGATTTTTTAAGAAGTGCCTACGTATTGAGTAGAAGTAAAATTTCAGTATGAGGTAGTTTTAGTTGTTTAACTTGGTAAATTTCAGTATGTTTGAAACTTTTAGTTATACTTTTTAAATTTCAGTGTGTTTGAAGAAACTGACACAGATTTACAAGAGCTGCAGGCCTCGATGGAACAGTTACTTAGGGAACAACCTGGTGAAGAATACAGTGAAGAAGAAGAGTCAGTCTTGAAGAACAGTGATGTGGAGCCAACTGCAAATGGGACAGATGTGGCAGATGAAGATGACAATCCCAGCAGTGAAAGTGCCCTGAACGAAGAATGGCACTCAGGTGCATGATCAGAGTTTTGGACCTTTTTCTTTTTCAGTTTACAAATATTTCAAGTAGAGTGTATTTTTCTAATCTCTGCTGTGAACCATTTCCAACTTTAAATACAACTGAAGCATGCCTCTGGGTCTCTCCCCTTTTTTCATTCTTTTTCTTTTCATACAAATGTGTGATTTTCCATTTTTTATTAAAGTTTTTATTTCTTTCCTATTATGTCAATGCTTTTTTGAAGCATTTTTATTCTAATCTCCATTTATTGACTGATTTTTCCAGTAATAAAGATAATAACATTGTTTTCTTGGCATTCTATATTTTAGAAAGAGCTTCTGCATATATTAACCAGCAGAGTTAACACTGAAAGCAGTTTTTAAAGTACTAAAAACTCTTTTCGTAAATTTGTAAACTTTCTCTTTCATAATATTACCCCTAAGATGCATAGAAAGTGTGTCTGTTTCAATAACTATATGATATTAATTTAGGAAGAAAAGCTAATGTGAAAAGACTAAGTAATTTTTTTCAAAGTATGTCGAGCACGTACATGACAAAACATATTGGCCATTTATACTTTCTAGGTGCTTTCCTGAAATGTAATGATGTATGTCTTAGGTTGTCTACCTTTTGCAGGCTTTTCCATGGTGTTTCCCGTGTTTATTACCAACTTTTGAAAATACTAGTTAGGGTTAGCTGCTTCAAAGCAAAACATGGAGGTGTGCTTTTTCCACTTTTTTTTTTTTATTTAAGTAACATCTCTAGGAGTGTTTTGATTCCAACCTGATTTATTTTTTATATCTATACATGAAAAGTAACATTCTTGTTTAGACAGATTTATACATTTTTTTTGCCAAATAAAGGACAAATATTAAAATGACAAAAACTGTTTATAATGAAAGTAGAAGTAGTCTATTTCAATGGCATTATTCATTTGTCATAGAATTTTAGTCTATTAGGGTATGAGTTATTCAGTCTTTTTAAATCAAATCTCTATTTTAATTTTGTTTTTTAGATAACAGTGATGGTGAAATTGCTAGTGAATGTGAATGCGATAGTGTCTTTAACCATTTAGAGGAACTGAGACTTCATCTGGAGCAGGAAATGGGCTTTGAAAAATTCTTTGAGGTTTATGAGAAAATAAAGGTAAGTGAAAAGTCAATTAAAACACTTAAAATGTGCTATGTTTGAAGGTTGAAGAAATGTTGATAATCTGTATTGGTCATTAGATTTATTATAAATAAAAAGTGAAGTCTGCAATTACAGAAAGTTATTCAAATATTAATTTATATTTGGGAATTTGGTATAGGCTATTCATGAAGATGAAGATGAAAATATTGAAATTTGTTCAAAAATAGTTCAAAATATTTTGGGAAATGAACATCAGCATCTTTATGCCAAGATTCTTCATTTAGTCATGGCAGATGGAGCCTACCAAGAAGGTAAGATTTCCTCACATGTCTGTATAATTTTCAGTAAATGTGAGAAAAACAAGATGATACATGTATATGAATCAGCTTACATCACATCCATTTTGTGAAATCTACTTGGGAACTATATAACTTTTAAGCAATAATAAAATTAACTTTGTCATGTACTTTTACTGATCTGTCATATACTTTTACTGACTTAAGTCCTTTAAGTCCATATTTTTAATTTAATTTACAAGTAACCTTTGAATGAGGTTTTTAAAAATCTTACTAGATAGATTTTTGGACAGCTCTAGCAATTAGAATAATCCTAGCCGGGTGCCGTGGTTTATGCTTGTGATTCCAGCTACTTGGGAGGCTTAAGTGGGAGGATGGCTTGAGGCCAGGAGTTTGAGACCAGCCTGGACAACATAGTGAAACCCTATCTCTACACACAAAAAAATTTTTAATTAGCTAGGCATAGTGGTGGGCACCTCTAGTCCCAGCTACTCAGGGGACTGAGGTGGGAGGATTGCTTGAGCCCAGGAGTTTGAAGCTGCAGTGAGCTGTGATTGTGCTACTGCACTCAGCCTTGGTGACAAAGCCAGACCCTGTCTCAAAAAAGTAAATAAATAAAAATAAAGAAGATTATAACTTAGAATAATTCATTTTTTTTTGTTTTTTTTGAGACAGAGTCTTATTGCCCAGGCTGGAGTGCAGTGTCGTGATCTCGGCTCATTGCAACCTCCACCCCCTGGGCTCAAGTGATTCTCCTGCCTCAGCCTCCCAAATAGCTGGGATTATAGGCGTGCGCCACCACACCTGACTACTTTTTGTATTTTTAGTAGAGACAGGGTTTCACCATGTTGGCCAGGCTGGTCTTGAACTCCTGATCTCAGATGATCCACACACCTCAGCCTCCCAAAGTGCTGGGATTACAAATGTGAGCCACTGCGCCTGGCCCTAGAATAGTTCTTATCAAGGATGTGGTATTAAACGTTTTTTGTGTGTGTGAGATGGAGTCTTGCTCTGTTGTCCAGGCTAGAGTGCAGTGGCACAGTCTCAGCTCACTGCAACCTCTGCCTCCTGGGTTCAAGTGATTCTCCTGCCTCAGCCTCCTGAGTAGCTTGGCCTACAGGTGCTACCATGCCTGGCCAATTTTTGTATTTTTAGTAGAGATGGGGTCTCACCATGTTGGCCAGGCTGGCCTCGAACTCCTGACCTCAAATGATTCACCCCTCCTTGGCCTCCCAAAGTGCTGGGATTACAGGTGTGAGCCACTGCACCTGGCAAAACTTGTAGACACAAAAAGCAATATGTAAAATTTTGAACAAGAATTTATTTCTAGATTATTTGCCCAAACATTAATTTTATTACTTTAAATGTTAAATTCATAGACTAAAATTGAGGGTTTTAAATGTTGATGCTTAATTTTAGCAATAAAAATGTTTATAAAATGTATTTGTATTCCATACAAAATGTGTTTGCATATTCATACAAAAAAGTCTAAGATTGCATTGAAATATATATATGTATATAGTAAGAGAGAAAATTAAGTTTTAAAAAAAAGTTTGGGGAAGTCAACAAATTGGACAAATGAGCACAAGCAGTATAACATGAAGCCAGGAATGAAGAATACAAACTTCATGTTCAAAAGGTTTCCACATTTTCTAAAAACAGGAAACAAATTTGGTGCTGGTCTTTCTCACAAAGCAGAAAACCTAATTAATTACATGAGTCACAGTATTCATGAGACAAAACATTTTAGTTGCTCAGAGGACAGCTATTTTTGGTATTGAAACCAAAGGAACAATTTTCCCATGATCTTTAAAAAGAGGGCACTATCATACAGTGTTCCTCAAACTTGAATAACATGTGGATCCCTTTAAGGAGCAAAAAGTATTTTTTTCAGGCATGAGAATCCAAGGGTCTATAAACCCCAGTAAAAAAAAAAAAACTCAAGTCTTAGTGGTAGAAAATTTCTGTTAGTTGTGAATTATTACTGTAAAACATGTTGTATTTTTCTAAATATTAAAAAATTTTATCAAAATGAAAATATAAAAGGTAAACATTTTCTGGTACTTGTGGATTTCTTATTTTATTGAGACCTTGGACTTCATTTTACAAAACAGTGCTATAATGGAATGAAAAGTATCCTCAGTAATTTTTACAATATTTAGATTTCATGAGGCTGTTTCTCATATGTCATGCTGTAAGTTAATGGCACGAAGCCAGAGGATGATTCCATTTCAGTAATTCTGTAGAGTGTATCAAACCAATTCTATTCATATTCAGACTATTCCACCTCCAGGCGGTTCTCCTTAAGTATTGTTTCAATAGAGCTTTTCATAAGTAATCAGCAACAATGTGCTTGGGGTTCAGTTTTGCTCAACAAGTATCTGGAGAGCTTTTAGTTTGCCTTGCCCCTTAAGTGGAGAGCTGTAACAATCAACTTATTCACAAGGTAGAATTGACACCCTCTTTTGACAACTGAGTGGCTTCAAAAGGATATAAGCCTACACAGAAGGCCATTTCCCCTGCAAAGGACCAAGAATCAGGCTAGGTTAATACACCACTCAGGAAGCAATATCAGATTTTCTCTAGTACACAAATGGAAAGGGAAAGAGAACCCCAGAGTTCTGTATCATAAAGCCTGACAGTAATTCCTTCACCCTAGAAAAAATGTAAAGCAATTGAAGATGCCTACCCTGGCAATCTTTTCTAAAACTCTTAGTACATACCATTACAGCAGGTGTAGCTTAAAAAAAAATTGAGTACAGCCCATAAAATATTGTAACTTGCTACTATAGCTACTAAAGAAACTGGTTATAAAATGGATATTGAATTATGTGGATGACTTGCTGTTTTGTATTGTTAATCATGAGAGTTAAATGAAATGACTAGATATAGATTTCATATTCATTGATTCAGAATAACCGTTTTGCACTCCTTCTTATTGGAAGTCAGTAGAGCCCATATATAGCTGTTCTTTTTGATTTGGGGAGTTTTTTGTTGGGATTTTTTTTTTTCTATGGAGACAGGGCCTTGCTCTGTCACCCAGGTTGGAGTGCAGTGGCATGATCTCAACTCACTGCAACCTCCGCCTCCTGGGCTCAAGCAGTCCTCCCACTTCAGCCTCCTGAGTAACTGGTACTACTGGCGTGAGCTACCATGCCTGACTCATTTTTGTATTTTTTTGGCAGAGATGGCATTTCGCCATGTTGATCTCAAACTCCTGGCCTGAAGCTGTCCTCCCACCTCAGCTTCCCAAAGTGTTAGGATTACAGGTGTGACCCACCGCACCCAGCCTACCTGTCTTAGAGATAGTTGTCCAGACAGCTATCTTTTAGGCCACATCTAGGAGATGGTAAAGCCATGTCATCTACATATGGTACTTACACACTTTTATTTTCTGTGTTGGGGAAAAGGGAGAGTAAAGAAGGGAAGGGGTAAGCAAAATTTTATCTCGCTCACCCGAAAGTGACATCAAGTCATTAAGATACAAGTTAAAAAGAAGATTGTCAAAAACACATTTCTGTTTTATTTCACTGGAAATTATATAAGTCCTGAAAAGACAGCCTCAGCTATTTAACTCTCCTGATACTGTTATGGTGCAGGTTTGGTAAGCGTCAATATCTTCAGCCGTTGATAAAGTTAATGCTTTTTTTTCCATAGCTAGATACTATCCAGAGTCAGAAGTCAAATAGAGCTAATAAAATGTGTAAGCGATTTGATAGTATTCCTAATAAATTCTTCCACAAGGAGAGGAGTATAACAGCTGTGGCCAGTGGCAACCTGGCAGAGGCTACCATGTTCTCACATTGAGTATTAGCATTAGCGGCCCAAGTTTATAGATTCTTCTTTTTTTTTTTTTTTTTTTTTTTTTTTTTTTGAGATGGAGTCTTGCTCTGTCGCCCAGGCTGGAGTACAGTGACATGATCTCGGCTCACTGCAACCTCTGCCTCCCAGGTTCAAGCAATTCTCCTGTCTCACCCTCCCAAGTAGCTGGCATTACAGGCATGTGCCACCACACCCAGCTAATTTTTGTATTTTTAGTAGAGACAGGGTTTCACCATGTTGGCCAGGCTGGTCTCAAACTCCTGACCTCAGGTGATCTGTCTGCCTCGGTCTCCCAAAGTGCTGGGATTACAGGCATGAGCCACTATGCCTGGCCATTATAGACTCTTAAGAAAGAGACACATACCTTCTCTTCATATTCATTTTAGGTGGAATATTGGGCTGCGTTTATGTAATGAAATTGTATACATCGGCTAAAATGAATGAATTAAATTCCGACTGTCAATATGGATAAGCCCCACAAACATGATGAGTTGAATAAGTAGAATATTACACCATTTATGTAGTGTTTCTAAACAATTTTATTTAGATGTGCATGTACGTAATAAAAATAAAAGCAAAAACCATGAGCGGGAAGAATACACATCAATTTCAGAGTACTGAAAATGCCCCTGGGGAAGAAAGGAAGGCAGTAAGATTGAGAAAGGGTACTCTGCATCTGTAATATGGTTTTACTTAAATAATCCAAACCACTATGGCCAAAAGTTAGCTTTTGTTAATTCTACATATTATGGATATGTGTGTTCATTACTTTCCTGATTATTTGAAAAGTAAGTAAATTATAGTCCAGTGATAAGTGTTACCTTGGAAGCAATAAAATGTATGTAAGTTATAAAGTAATGATCCAACTACATTGATGGTGACAGGATAGGTCTTCCTAGGGGAGAGGACATCAAAGTTGGATTCTGAAAGACAAATGGGAATTTAATGCAAATAAGTACTCATACATGGAAGTATGCAAAATGTAGTAGGGAAACTATAAGCAATTCAGTGTTCCTAAAGCATAAATTATAGGGGCAGTTAAGGAAGGTGGGGAATGAAATTTGGTAAGATGAGAAATATTTAAAAGGCCAGATCATGAAGGGCTTTGTAATCCACGTTAAGGAGCGTGGATTCCATTTTGAGGCAGCAGGGAGCTAACAAATGTTTTAAGCAGTGCAGTGATTTGACATGACCCTTGGATTTTAATGAAAGATCACTTTTGCTAGAATGTGGAAGATAGTGCTTGCATATAAGATTAAGTTAACCAGTCTGTTTAATTCACTTGATTATAATCTTTAGAATTAAAAAAATTGAAAATAACAAAAATGTCTATAAATAGTAATGGTTAGTTATGTCATATCCATTAAACAGAATACTCTGCAGACATTGAAGTCAACATAGAATATATCCATGATTTATTCTTTAACATTTTATTGTCAAATTTTTATCATATTGAAAATCTGAAAGAACTTTACAGTGATCACCCATGCACCCACCACCTAGATTCTAACATTAGCATTTTCTAATCTTACATTATCACTTATGTATCCACCTTTCCATTCACTAGGGTGTTTTCAGTGGAAAACCTATGTTTCAAAACTGCATTTTAGTGTAATTTTTAAAAGATATTTGTGTATGCATAGGAAAGCATTGTGGGAGGATTTATATAAAGTTAACATTGGTTGTCTTTCACTTACAGATGATTTTTGCTTCCCATTTTATTCTTCATTGTATTGTCTGAATATTTTACAAGGAATGTGTGATAAAATAATTTTAAAAGTATGTTTAAAACTACATTAAAGCTCTTCTCCTTTAGCATGAACAAGAATGGGTTTTTTTTAAAGTAGATACAGCTTGATTTGAAATGAAGTCAATTTTTTTCTTTTTTCTACAGATAATGATGAATAATCCTCAAAATGTTTTTTAATCCTCAACTATATGAAAGCATTTGAATTTGGCTTATCAGAATAACAAGCTTCAGTGGGAAATACAGCAATTATTTATTTAAAAAATCAGATTTAAGATGGACTTTCTTATTGCATGAAAAAGATGGAGAAACATGCCATTTTTCAGTGAAGATTCTAATATTTTATCTATTTTGTTCATTGAATTCCATGGTTAAATCTCATAAAATATATACTTTATTAAATCATCCAACCAAAGCATAGGAAACATTGACCCAGAACCTGACTTAATGGTTTTGAAGATTTACTATGCAATAGGGTAACTTTGAGTTTCAGCAAATGTCTTTAGGTTGAAGGAATTACCTATGTCATGAAGGACCTGTCTGTGGTTTTTCAATGGAGTCTTTAAGCATGATCTTTTTTCTGTCTAGTACTTGTTTTCATTCTGGCCAGCAGTTCTACATTAAATCACCTTGTCAAGGGCTCTGTTTACATCTATACATTTTGAAGATGAAATTTTTAGCCTTAAAGTTTATATTCTCAAGTCCTTTTACAATCAGTGTGTCTCCTGAACTAGCACACAGGCTGTAGAAACAGTCTTAGAAATCATTGAAAGATTTGATTATGAAAGAATAGCAAAATTATATTTCTTGACATATAAAAAGTTGGTTTAATGCCTTTATTTCTCTTTAAGGACCAGAACCAGGAATACTATATCGAAAAATTAGTCTGTGGATTTAACACTGACTTAGCATATAGCTTAAAGTTGCTCTTTTGGTTTTTAACTTCCTCCATACATAAGCTTCAAGGACAATAAGATGTTAAAAAGGAGGAAATAATTATTTTTATTTTGACACTGTGACAGTTTTGGTAACTAGGATCCTAGGGAGGGAAATGTTTGCCTGTTGAACTTCTTTCTGTTATGAGAGGATTTAGTTAGGTCATTAAGATGTTGATCACACAGCTTCAATCACAATATGCCAAGTATAACCTGGTTTCGTTAGAGGTGTCTACAGTCCAGATGTTCTTCGTAATAAAAGCAAAGTTTTTGAACCTCTGAGTCCAAAGCAGGCTGGTTGGCATAATATGTAATTTGAAAAATAAAATCTTATCTTGCAGCACTATCAGTATGTTGAATTTATTATGTATATTATTTCTAATATCCGAAACTAAATACTTGATTTTTTAATATGTGTGTTTATTTTATGATATTGCTATTAAATTTTTATTATCTACCTGAAGTATATCAATTGTCTTTTATTTATTATTTTACTTTTCTCAATAGAAGGCTTTTACATCAAGCTGATAATACTTTTGTTGGTTTTGTACCTGATGATTTCTTTCTTCATAATGGAAGAAAATGAATTCAATATTTTAATTCTTTACAATCCTGAAAGATGGGCATGATTTTGGGGAGGTTGTGTATTAATTCTTAAACTATTACAACTATTAGAAAAGGGTATAATATGGTAGAAAAAAATTGTTTTAGCCATATTTCAAAAGATGTTATATATGTGCAGGAATAAGGATGATCAATAAGATTTGTGCCATCTCCAGTCGATTAGCAGTGTGTGACTCTGGAGTGTTGTTATGGAAAGATTATGCCAGTGAGGAAAAGGGCTATTTTTCAGTAAGGTCTATTATAAGTGTTGGAATTGACATGTGGAAGCATCTGTAGATTAATAAATGTTAGCATTAAATGGGCTATCAGGATAACTTTGTCTTTTCTGCATTTAACATGCAAGGATATTGAACATGAAATTAAGTCACTTGTGTAAAGGGTCAGGGTCAGAGCAGTTTCTAGGTCTTACACTGTTATTAGTTGCACATTCTTATCTCCCCCAGAGAACCAAAAAGAATAAATTTGATAGGAATTTGGGAGGCCGAGGCAGGTGAATCATGAGGTCAGGAGTTCAAGACCAGCCTGGCCAAGATGGTGAAACCCCATCTCTACTAAAAATACAAAAATTAGCTGGGCGTGGTACTGGGGACCTGTAATCCCAGCTACTCAGGAGGCTGAGGCAGAGAATTGCTTGAATCCAGGAGGTGGAGGTTGCAGTGAGCCAACATTGTGCCACTGCACTCCAGCCTGGGCGACAGAGTGAGACTCTGTCTCAAAAAAAAATTTTTTTGATAGAAAATAGTACACCTGGCATTAATGCATTAAGAATTCTACAGGCCAGGCACACTGGCTCACACCTGTAATCCCAGCACGTTGGGAGGCAGAGGTGGGAGGATCACTTGAAGCCAGGAGTATAAGACCAGCCTGGGCAACTTAGTGAGACCTCACCTCTACAAAAAAACAAAATTAGCTGGACGCAGTGGTGTGCACCTGTAGTCCCAGGTACTTGGCAGGCTGAAGCAGGAGGATTTCTTGAGCCCACGAGTTCAAGGCTACAGTGAGCTATGGTCATGCCACTGCTCTCCTGCCTGGGCAACAGAGCAAGATTCCATCACTTAAAGAATATATATACTGATATTTCCTATTCTGGGAATAACACACCATTCTACTTACCATTTTAAAACTTCTCAGCAGAGAGGTTAAAGTCGGGGTTTTTCCCCGTAAATTAACACATATTCTAATGCTTATCACTTGATTGATGATGGATCTTTGAAGAGTGTGTGTGTGTTTGTTATACACCTAAAAACATGCACAAGAGGTAAAAAGATGATGAATTGCAAGACCAAAGCTTTGAAGAAGGCCCAACTCAGAGAAATAAGTAGAATATTGTAGGGGAAAAAGCCACTTTTGACCTGAAAGCATGTCCAATACCTCACACTTTGATATAGTGGGCTCATGGGGCAAAAAGGATGAAAGGTAAGGTCAAGGACCATCCTAATTGGAGAATCCCATAGGAAACCCCAAAGAGTTACATCTTCACACTAAGGGAGAGCTAAAACTAAACCCAACCCCAAATTAGGGACTGTAAGAAGGGAAAGGGACAGAAAAGCCAGATAAGTTGTGGCCACATATCAGCCTTCAGATGGTTTTTTTCTGTGTGTGTATGCCTTGAGCACAAAAGCCTGGGTGAACGAAGGACCTTTAGATTTCACATAATTTGAGTAGTTCCCAACCACTAGTGTCCCCCTGAACCTGGCAGAAGCCATTCCAGTACCTCTCTGAAGGAAGACACATTAATTAGGTGTTTTGCAAAGCACTGTAAATAAATTTTCAGGAGGAATGATGGACATGGGGTGAAAAATAAAATAGTGCACAAGAAATCAAGCTCTGCACATGCTTTAGATATAGAATTATGAGATATATTATTAAACAACTATGCTTATTGTGTTTAAAAAATGATCAGTGAACTTGAAAATATTTGTAGGGAAAGAAACTAAAAAGGGATACAAATTCAAAGATAAAATATAATTTATATACATGAAAAATACAATAACCAAAATTTTAAAACTCAGTGGACATTCTTAGCAGCAAACTTCATGGCAGAAGAGAGAACTAGAAAAAATTACCCATAGCATAGCACCAAGAGAGAAAAACAGTACAGAAGAGAAGAGACAAAGATTCAGTGAGAAGTTGTAATGAGTATTTGACTAGAGTTCCAGAGACAGAGAACGAGGTAAAGTTATTTGAGGAAATAAAGGCTGAGAGCTTTTGAGAACAATTGAAGACATCAATCCACAGACTGAAGAAGCCCAGTGAATTTCAAGCAGAATAAAGTAAAAGAAATATGCAACTAGTCTCTCAAGTGCAACTGGGAAATCAATGAAAAAAATCTTAAAATAAGCCAAGGATTGAAAGTTATACTGTCTTCAAGAAAATGCCCAAGACTGACAGCTGGCTTCTCAACAGTAGTAATGAAGCAGTGGAATGATACCTCCAATGGATAGAAAATAATTGTTCCAGGCTTACAATTGACCCTTGAATGATATGGATTTGAGCTGCATGGTTCCACTTTTTTTTTTCTTTTTGGAGTCAATCTCGCTGTGTTGCCCAGGCTGGTCTTGAACTCCTGTCCTCAAGTGATCCTCCCACCTCAGCCTCCTGAGTAGTTGGGATTAGAGGCATGAGCCCAGCTTGTGGGTCCACTTTGTGGATTTTCTTCGGTCTCTGTCACCCCCGAAAAGTAAGACCAATCTCTCCCCTTCCTCCTCCTCCTCAGCCTACTCAACCTGATGACAGGGACAAAGACTTTTATAATGATCCACTTCCACCTCATGAATAGCAAATATATTTACTCTTCCTTCTGATTTTCTTTTTCTTTTTTTAGAGACAGGGTCTCACTCTCTTGCTCAGGCTGGAGTGCAGTGGCACATAATTATAGCTCACTTCAGCCTCAAATTCCTGAGCTCAAGCAAGCCTCCTCACCCTCCTGAGTATCTAGAACTATAAGCACGTGCCACCACGCCAGCTGATTTTTTTATTAGAGATGGGGTTTTGCTGTGTTGTCCAGGCTAGTCTTGAACTCCTGGCCTCAAGCAGTCCTCCTGCTCCCAAAGTGTTGGGATTATAGGCATGAGCCACAGTGCCTGGCCTGATTTTATTAATAACATTTTCTTTTCTCCAGCTTACTTTAAGAATACAGTATATAGCAAGCATACAGAATATGTGTTAATTGACTAAGGCTTCCAGTCAACAGCAGGCTATTAGTAAAATTTGGGAGCAAGTCAAAAGTTATACAAGGATTTTCAAATGTGCAAGGAGTTGATGCCCAAATCCCCAAGTTGTTCAAGGGTCATCTGTATAGACTTAGCAAAACTATGTTTTAAGAATGAAGAAATGGGCTGGGCATGGTGGCTCACCCCTGTAATCCCAGCACTTTGGGAGGCAGAGGCGGGTGGATCACCTGAGGTCGGGAGTTCGAGACCAGCCTGACCAACATGCAGAAACCCCATCTCTACTAAAAATACAAAATTAGCCGGGCATGGTGGTGCATGCCTGTAATCCCAGCTACTCGGGAGGCTGAGGCAGGAGAATCGCTTGAACCCGGGAGGCGGAGGTTGCAGTGAGCCCTGATCGTGCCATTGCTCTCCAGCCTGAGCAGCAAGAGCGAAACTCCATCTCAAAAAAAAAAAAAAAAAAAAAAAAAAAAAGGAAAAGAAATGAAGTCTGACTCACACTTCTGCCCATGATGAAGAAAAGAAAGTGGATTTACTTCTAACCTGGAACACCAGACAAAATGCATGAACCAATGGGTTTCAAATAGCAACAGACAGCAAAGGACAGTGCCATGAAAGAAGGGAAACCAACAAGGTAAGCTCTGTGATTCCCCAAGTTTGCAGCACAGAAACAGCATGAGGTAGGTCGAAGTGAGGGGACAGACCCAAACAAAGCCCAGGAGTTTCCCTAAATCAAGGAGGCAGAATTTACAGAGGCGAAAACAGCCAGAATTTGCAAGGCAGAGAGGAGAAAGGAGAGCACTGCACAGGCGAGAAAGAGCTCCAGAGATCCGCACAGGGTTTCTTCTTATGTCTTCAGCTGAATACTGACGAGTGCAGCACATGAGGAAACGACCTAAGAGTGGTGGAAACCACTAGAA
Organism: Homo sapiens; assembly: GCF_000001405.40. Classification (NCBI taxonomy): domain Eukaryota; kingdom Metazoa; phylum Chordata; class Mammalia; order Primates; family Hominidae; genus Homo; species Homo sapiens. The sequence continues at coordinate 169,389,018 of NC_000004.12, read as the reverse complement.
TAGAGCAGCAGAATAATCCTTCAGTATGAAACGGGGTCAAGAATAGTTTGTATTTCCACCAGCCTGACTAGAAAGACCTAACACCTGAGGCATAGGAAACAGAAGGTATTGCATGTATCATTAGTGGAGCCAAATTATCCCTAGATAAAGGCTATTCTGGTCTTGCCTAACAGCTTAAAAGCTAGGCATGCAAACATGCAGGAAAATTGACTCAGGGAGAAAAATCTGTCAGTGAAAACTGCAGAAATCATACAGATAATATAGTTAGCAGTCAACGACACAGCTAAAATATACTCTACACAGTGGCTCTTTCTATCTGGAGGTTCCAAATCCGTAGATTCAACCAACTGCAGATCAAAAAATATTTGAAACAAAAATAGGACCTAGAACCAGAAATACCATATGACCCAGCAATCCCATTACTGAGTATATACTCAAAGGAATATAAATCATTCTACTACAAAGATACATGCATACGTATGTTTATTGCAGCACTATTTACAATAGCAAAGACATGGAATAACTCAAATGCCCACCAATGACAGACTGGATAAAGAAAATGTGGTACATATACACTGTAGAATACTACGCAGCCATAAAAAAAGAATGAGATCATGTCGTTTGCAGGGACATGGATAGAACTGGAAGCCATCATCCTCAGCAAACTAACAGGAACAGAAAACCAAACACCACATGTTCTCACTCATTAGTGGAAGTTGAACAATGAGGACACATGAACACAGGGAGGGGACATCACACACTGGGGCCTGTTGCGGGGGGGAGGGCAAGGGGAGGGAGAGCTTTAGGACAAATACCTAATGCATGTAGGGCTTAAAACCTAGATGATGGGTTGATAGGAGCAGCAAACCACCATGGCACATGCATACCTATATAACAAATACGCATGTTTTGGACATGTATCCCGGAACTTAAGAATGCAACAATTAAAAATACAAATTTTAAAGGCAATACAGTGTAACAACTATTTACATAGCATTTACATTGTATTAAGTATTATAAGTAGTCTAGAGATGATTTAAGATAAACAGGAGGATATGCATAGGTTATATGCAAATACTATGCCGTTTTAGTAAGGGACTTCAGCACCATGGAGTTTGGTATCCACAGGGTCCTGGAACCAATAACCCACAGATATTGATGGGCAATTGTACATTTTCTAAAGGTAGAGGAAAGCATGAACATGAAGAAGAAAGGCATGTCAGATTTTATGTATATATACCAAGTAGAAGTTCTATAGATGAAAAATGCATGTATAACAAATAGCAAATCAGCTACTCGGAAGAAAATAGTGAACTAAGCCCAACTGACATTTATAAAACATTTCATGTAAAACAAACAATATTTTCATGTGTACATGGTACATTTACTAAGATAAACCATAGTTTGGACATTAATAACCTATCAAGATATTTTAAATGATTCAAATCATACAAAGTATGTTTTCTGGTCTCAATGGAATTAAATCCATTTTTTAAAAAGATTTCTGGAAAAGCTTTACAAATTTGGAAACTAAACACATTTCTAAATAACTCACGGATGAAATGAGAAATCACAGCCAAAATTAGAAAATATTTTGAACTGATTGAAAATTTAAATGTGACATATCTAAATTTGTGGAATGTGTCTAAGACAGAGCTTAGGAGTGAAATTTATAACATTAGACACATTGTAAAAGAAGCAATTCAATAACTTAAACTTCCACCTTAAAAAACCAGAAGAAAACAGGTTAAATATAAAATAGAAAAGAGGAAACGGTTTTTTAAAAAAAGCAGAGAAACCAATGAAATGTAAACAGAAAATGAGAGAAGCCAAAAGCTAATTCTTAAGAACATTAATGAAATTGATAAATCTCTAGCTAGACTAAAAAGTGCTTAATACATAAATTTTAAATGTCAGAAATGAGAGAGGCCAAGTGACAGCTCTAAAAGACGTTAAATGGATAATAAGAATGTTGTGAACTATCTATGCCGATATATTTGACAATTTATTAAAAATGTTCAAATTTCTTGAAAAGAAAGCTGCCTATATTAGTCGGCTTGGGCTGCCATAACAAAATACCATAGACTGGGTGGCATAAACAACAGAAATCTATTTCCTCATAGTCCTGGAGGCTGAAAGTCCAAGATCATGGTTCTGGCTGATTTGGTTTCTGGCGAGGGCTCTCTTCTTGCCTTGTGGATAGTCACCCTCTCGCTACATTCTCACATGGCCTTTCCTCAGTGGTGCAATGGGAGGATGGGGGAATGTTCTGTGTTGTCTCTTCTTACAAGCACACAAAGGCACTAATCCTAGAGGATCAGGGTCCCACACTTAGGATCTTATTTAACTTTCATAGAGGCCCCATCTCCAAATACAGCTACACTGGGGGTTAGGGCTTCAACATGAATTTTGAAGAGTCACAAACATTCAGTCCATAACACTACCAAAGTTCATCCAAGAAGATACAAAAAATCTGTAGAGCCCTATATCTAATTATAAAATTCAATTTTAGTTTAAAACCTTCCCATAAAGAAAACTTTGGGCCCAGATGGCTTCAATGATTAATTCTACCAAACATTTCTTGAAGAAATAGTACCAATTCCACACAAGCTGTTCCAAAATAGAGGCCTGCAGGGAACATTTTCCCACTTGTTCTAAGAGTGCAACATTGACTGTTCCCAAAGCTAAAAAAAAAAAGAGGGGTGGGAGAATTATAAGAAAAGAGTACTACAGCCTCATACACCTCGTGAACATTTATGAAAAAAATTTTTTTTCAGCCAAGCACAGTCATGTCTGTAATCCCAGCACTTTGGGAGGCCGAGGTGGGAGGATCACTTGAGCCCAGGAGTTTGAGACCAGCCTGGGCAACACAGGGAGACCATTATCTCCACAAAAAAATTGTGTAACTAGCTGGGCATGGTGGCATGCACCTATAGTCCCAACTACTTGGGAGGCTGAGGCAGGAGGATTGCTTGAGCCCAGGAGATTGAGGCTGGTGTGATTGTGCCACTGCACTCCCCACTGGGTGATAGAGCAAGATCCTGACTGAAAAATATTTTATTTTTAGTATAGTAAATAATCAGTAACAGAGTCATTTATTATCATTATCAAGTAGTATGTGCTGTACATAATTGTATGTGTTATGCTTGATGAAAGAATGTTTATCAAAATTTTAGCAAGTCAAACCCAAAAATATATAAAAAGAACAATTCATCATAACCAAATGGCAGATAGGCCAGGAATGCAGGATGAATTTACATTTGAAAATCAATCAATGCAACTCATCATATTAACAGACTAAAAAAGAAAAACCATATGATTATCTTAATAAATGCAGTAAAAACATTTGAGAAGATTCAACCTCTGTTTCTCATAAAATATCTGCCAACTGGGAATAGAAAGGAAATGCCTCAATCTGGTAAAGTTCATCTAAAACAGTAATAAACAAATAAACCTACAGCTGACATACTTGAAATGACTCAAGTTAAAGACTTGAGAATGTGGTGCAGGGGAAGCTCACATACACTGCTAGTGAAAATGTAAAATGAGGCCAGGCACGGTGGCTCATGCGTGTAATCCCAGCACTTTGAGAGGCCAAGAAGGGCAGATTATCTGAGGTCAGAAGTTCGAGACTGGCCTGGCCAAGGTGGTGAAACCCTGTCTCTACTAAAAATACAAAACTTTGCTGGGCGTGGTGGCACGCACCTGTAATCCCAGCTCCTAGGGAAGTGGAGGCAGGAGAATCTCTTAAACCCCGGAGGAGGTTGCAGTGAGCCAAGATCGCGCCATTGCACTCTAGCCTGTGCAACAAGAGCAAAACTCCATTTCAAAAAAAAAAAAAAAAAGAAAAGAAAGAAAAAGAAAATGTAAAATGATATAGCCACTTTGGAAAAAACAGTTTGGCAGTTTCATAAAAAGTTAAATACACACCTTGCATAACTCCCAACCATTACATTCCTAGGTATTTACTTGACAGGAATGAAAACATACGTCCACATGAAGACTTGCAGGGGAATGTTAATATCAAATTTATTCATAGTAGCCAATAACTGGAAACAACCCAAATGTTTGTCAACTGATGAACGGATAAGGAACTGTGGTATATCCAGAAAATAGGATATTACTCAGCAATAGATAAGAATGAGCTATTGATACAATATGTTTAAGTCACAAAAATGTGCTGCATGAAAGAAGCGAGAAACAAGAGTTCATGCTGTAGGATTCCATTCATTTGAAACTAGAAGACTAATCTAGAGATGGATAGCCTGGAATTAAAAGGGGAGGGTGTTGAATAACTGAGAAGCAGCAAAATGAAACTTGCTTAGTGATACAAGTGACTGTATTTGCAAAAAAAAAAAAATTATTTTTGAGACATGGTCTCATTCTGTCACCCAGGCTGGAATGCAGCGGTGCAATCACTGCTTACTGCAGCCTTGATCTCCAGAACTCAAGCAATCCTCTCATCTCAGCCTCTAGAGTAGCTGAGACTACGGACCCGTGCCACCACACCAGGCTAAATTTTTTTTTTTTTTTTTTTTTTAGAGACAGGGGCTTGCTGTGTTGCCCAGGCTGGTCTCAAACTCCTGGCCTCAAGTGATCCTCCCACCTCATTCTCCCAAAGTGCTGGGATTACAGCTGTGAGCCACCACACTCAGCCCACATATAATTTTTAAGTCAACAATAGAGTATTCATAAGCTCCAGTGACATCTTCCAGATTTCAAAGTAGGTATTTAACTTCTGTCATTTGAACCCACTGTAACTTCAGGAAAGTAAGAAGTGCCTTCTTGCCCCTGCATTAAGTTAGGGTGGAGGCATTTGGTTGGAGCTGGACTCAAAACAGTTCTTCTTGAAGTTGGATGAAGTAGATGTATTGATCCAAATCAATTATCTTCCCTTCATTCTCACCAGTGATGTGCAAAGTTTTATACATGGAGACAGTTGCATTGATTCACGTATATTGGAACACTTCTTTTTTTAAACTATCTGCATAGACGTCATAGAAGTATCCACTAGTCCTTTTAGGCTTGGCATAGTAGTGAATTATAGAGCCTCTGAAGAATAAGATGTTGGTCTTAAGGCAAGAAAGGATGACTCATCTGAAAAACTCATGGTTTAAAAATTTCACTTGCAACATGCACTGAAATTTTTAATTCACGCACAATAATTATACATATTTGTGGGGTCCATGTGACACAGATACATGCATACAACTTGTAATGATCAAATCAGGGTAACTGGGATATCCATCACCCCAAACATTAATCATTTCTTTGTGTTGGGTACATTCCTAATCTCTGCTAGCTATTTTAAAATATACAAAAGATTATTTTTAAGTATGGTCACCCAACTGTGCTATTGAACACTGAAACCTGTTCCTTCTATTTGACTGTATTTTTAATTTTTTTTAAGAGATGGGGTCTCATTATGTTGCCCAGGCTTGTCATAAACTCCTGGACTCAAACTATCTTCTCACCTTATCCTGCCAAGTAGCTGAGATTACAGGCTCGAGCTACTGCTCCTTACTCTAACTGTATTTTAATACTGATGTGGGAGGAGGGCAGGGAAGTGCTGGGTACAGAAGAGCGGAGTCGCTGGTGAGGGCTTCACCCTCGGGCCTGTGCCCACGGGCCTAAGTGAGAACAGGCACTCCTGTTTTCACGCCCAAAGGTTCCATTTTCCAAGACCACTCTGGCCAGCCACTCTCCCATCCTGTGCCCATAAAAACCCGAGGCTTTAGCTGGCACAGACACAGAGGCTGGACGTCAAGAGGAGCAAAGGGACCAACCAGGAGACACCAGCAGATACTGGCAGACCAGCGATGGTGGAACGACGCAGCCATCGAGGGGAATTCGGCCAGGGGTGGTCGGAGAAAAGTCCGGCTGCTGGGCAGCGCGACTCCAGGGGAAGACTGCCTTCCACTCCATCCCCCTCTAGCTCCCCACTCATCTCGCTGAGAGCCACCTCCACCACTCAATAAAACCTTGCGGCCGGCGCGGTGGCTCACGCCTGTAATCCTAGCATTTTGGGAGGCCGAGGCGGGTGGATTGCCTGAGCTCAGGAGTTAGAGACCAGCCTGGGGAAAGCAGTGAAACCCCGTCTCTACTAAAAATACAAAAAATTAGCCGGACGTGGCAGCGAGCACCTGTAATCCCAGCTACTTGGGAGGCTGAGGCAGGAGAATGGCGTGAACCCGAGAGGCGGAGCTTGCAGTGAGCCGAGATCACGCCACTGCACTCCAGCCTGGGTGACAGAGCGAGACTCCGTCTCAATAAATAAATAAATAAATAAATAAATAAATAAATAAATAAATAAATAAATAAAACCTTGCACTCATCCTCCAAGATCCAATGTTCCTGGTACACTGGGCAAGAACTCAGGGTAGAGAAAACCCTCTGCCCTTGCGATAAGGCAGAGGGTCTAATTGAGCCAATTAACGTAAGCTGTCTGCAGACAGCGAAGCTGAAGGAGCACACTGTAACACATGCCCACTTGGGCTTCCAGAATCGTAAACACTCACCCCAGACTCTGCCATGAGGTCAGAGCCCAAAGGAGCTCCCTGCGACCTCTGCACCCACCCCGTCTGCATTGCCCTTCCTAGGGGTTTAAGCAGCAGGGCACCAAAGAAGTGAGCCACAACCCTGTCACACGCCCTGCAAGGAGAATAAGGGTGATCTCCCATTTCAATATCCGTTAACCAGCCTCTCTTCATTCCTCCTTCTGAGCTTCCGGTAATCATCATTATACCTCCTACCTCCATGAAATCAGCTTCTTTAGCTCCCACATGAGTGTGAACATGCAATTCATTATCCTCCTGTGCCTGGCTTATTTTATTTAACTTATTGACCTCCAGTTCTGTATTGCTGCAAATGACATGATTTCATTCTTTTTTATGACTGAATAATATTTCATTGTCTCTATCTACCACATTTTCTTTATTCAGCCATTAGGTTGATTCCATATCTTGGCTATTGTAAATAGTGCTGCAACGTATATGGGTGTGCAAATATCTTTCCAATATACTGATATCCTTTCTTTTAAATATATAGCCAGCTGTGCAATTGCTGGAACATATAGTAGTTTTATTTTTAGTTTTTTGAGAAATCTCCATACTGTTTTCCATAATAGCTGTACTAATTTACATTTCCACCAACAGTGTGTAGGAGTTCTCCTTTCTCTACATCCTCACCAGCATCTGTTATATTTGCCTTTTTTATAGTAGCCATTCTAACTGGGATAACATATCTCATTGTGGTTTTGATTTGAATTTCCCTGATTATTAGTGATGTTGAGCACTTTCTCATGTATCTGTTGCCCATTTGTATGTCTTCTTTTGAAAGGGATCTATTCAGCTCATTTGCCCATTTGTAAATCAGATTATTTGTTTTTCTGCTATTGAATATTTCAGTTCCTTGGATATTCTGGACATTAATCCCTTGTCAAATGAATAGTTTGCAAATATTTCCTCCCATTCTGTGGGTTGTTTCTTCACTCTGTTGATTGTTTTTATTTTGCTGTGCAGAAGATTTTTAGTTTCATATAGTGCCATTTGTCTATTTTTGCTTTTGTTGCTTGTGCTTTTGAAGTCTTTTCCATAAAATCTTTGCCCAGAACAACATCCTGGAGTGTTTCCTCTGTTTTTGTCTGGGAGTTTTACAGTTTTAAGTATTACCGTTAGGTCTTTGATACATTTTGAGCTGATTTTTGTATAGGGTTAGAGTTGGGAGTCTAGTTTTAGTCTTCTGTATATGGATATCCAATTTTCCCAGCACCACTTATTAAAGACACTGATCTTTCCCCAATGAGTGTTCTTGGTGTTGTTGTCAAAAATCAATTGGCTGTAGATATGTGGATTAATTTCTGAGTTCTCTATTCTGTTCCATTGGTCTATGTGTCTGTTTTTATGCCGGTACCATGCTGTTTTGGTTGTTACAGCTTTGTAGTATATTTTGGAATACGGTAATGTGATGCCTCCAGCTTTGGTTTTTTGCTCAGAATTTCTTTGGCTTTTTGGAGCTTTTGTGGTTCCATACAAATTTTTTAAATTTTTCTCTATTTTTGTGAAGAATTCCTGTGGTATTTTGATAGGGATTGCATTGACTTTTGGTAGTATGGTCATTTTCACAGTATTAATTGTTCCAATCCATGAACATGGAATGTCTTTCCACTTTTGTAATATCTTCAATTTCCTTCACTAGTGTTTTATAGATTGGCTTGTAGAGATCTTTCATTTCCTTGATTAAATTTCTTCCTAGGTAATTTTTGCTGGCTATTGAAAATGGGATTGCTTTCAAGATTTCTGTTTCTGCTAGTTTGTTGTTGTATAGAAAGGCTATAAATTTTCATATATTAATTTCATATCCTGCAACTTAATTTATTTATCAGTTAGTTCTAAGAGTTTTTTGGTTGAGCTTTTAGTGTTTTCCTATATGTAAGATCATGTCTGCAAACAAGAACTATTTGACTTCCTCCTGTCCAGTTTGGATGCCGGTCTTTTTTTTTTTTTTTTTTTTTTTGAGACAGGGTCTCACTTTTTCACCCAGGCTGGACTGCAATAGCATGCTCACAGCTCACTGTAGCTCAAACTCCCAGGCTCAAGCAGTCCTCCCACCTCAGCTTCCCAAGTAGTTGGAACTGCAGTCATGTGCCATCAAGCCAAGTTAATTTTTTTATTTTTAGTAGAGATGGGTTTCATCATGTTGCCCAGGCTAGTCTTGAACTCCTAAGCTCAAGCAATCCACCCTCCTTGGCCTCCAAAGTGCTGAGATTACAGGCATGAGCCACCATGACCAGCCTGGATGCCCCTTATTTCTTTTCTTGCCTGATTGCCCTGCTTGGACTTCCAGTATTATGCTCAATAAGAGTGAGGAGAGTGGGCATCCTTGTCTTATTTTTGTTCTTAGAGGAACCCATTCAGTATAATTTAGTTGTGAGTTCATCAGATATGGCCTTTATTGTGTTGAGGTATACTCTTCTATGCCTAGTTTCTTGAGAGGTTTTATTATGAAGGGATTTTGAATTTTGTCAAATATTTTTTTCTGCATCCATTGAAATGATCATATAGTTTTTGGTACTTCATTCTATTGATGTGATGTATCATGTTTATTTTGCATATGTTGCATTATCTTTGCATTCATTCCCCTTGACCATGTGAATGATCTTTTTAATGTGCTGATGGATGTGGTTTCCTAGGATTTTTGCATTTCTATTCAATGGGGATATTGGCCTACAGTTTTCCTTTTTGTTGTATCTTTGTCAGTTTTGATATCAGGGTAATGGTGGCCCCATCAGATGAATGAAGAATTCCCTCCTCTTTAATTTTCTGGAAGATTTTGAGAATCAGTTCTTCTTTAAATGTTTGATAGAACTCAGCAGTGAAGCCATTTTAGGACCTGGGATTTTCTTAGATGAGAGTTTTTTATTACTGATTCAATCTCATTACTCATTATTGTTTGTTTTGGTTTTCTATTTCTTCCTGGTTCCATCTTGATAGGAGGTATGCATCCAGAAATTTATCCATATCTGCTAGGTTTTCCAATTTGTTGGCATATGGTGTTCGTAGTAGTGGTTAATGGTCCTTTTTATTTCTGAGTTATCAGTTGTAATTTCTCCCTTTTCATTTTTTATTTTATTTACTTGGTCTTTTTACTTTTTTCTTAATCTAGCTAATAGCTTGTCAGCTTTGCTTATCTTTTTTAAAAAAAACAACCTTTTGTTAATCTTTTGTAATTTTTTTAGTCTCAAATTCCTTTATTTCTGTTTTATCTTTATTCTTTCTCTTCCTCTACTAATTTTGGTTTGGTTCGTTCCTGCTTTTCTAGTTCCTTGAGATGCATTGTTTTTTTTTTAATCTGAAATCTTTCTAATCTTTTCATGTAGGTGTTTATTGCTATAAACTTCCCTCTTAGCACTTCTTTTGCTGTATCCCATGTTTTGGTATGTTGTGCTTCTATTTTCATTTGTTTCAATAAATTTTTTTTTAATTTCTTCATTGACTCATTGGTCATTCAAAAATGTGGTGTTGGCCAGGTTCAATGGTTCATGCTTGTAATCCCAGTGCTTTGGGAGACTCAGGTGGGTGGATTGCTTGAGCCTAGGAGTTTGAGACCAGCCAGGGCAACATGGCAAAAATCCATCTCTACAAAAACTGCAAGAAACTAGCTGGGTGTGGTGGTGTGCACCTGTAGTCCTAGCTACTTGGGAGGTTGAGGTGGGAGAATCGCCTGAGCCCAGGAAATCAAGGCTGCAGTGAGTTGTGATCATGCCACTACACTCCAGGCTGGGTGACATAGTGAAACCCTGTCTCAAAAAAAGGTGGGGGGGGGGGCGTAATTTCCAAGTATTTGTACAATTTGGAAAGTTCCTCTTTTTATTAATTTTCAGTCTTATTTCATTGTGGTCAGAAAAGATACTTGATATTATTTCAATTCTTTTAAATTTCTTGAAACTTGTTTTGTGGCTTAATACGTGGTTTATCCTAGAGAATATTCCATGTGCTGACGAGAACAATGTGTATTCTACAGCTATTGGATAAAAATGTTCTGTAAATATCTGTTAGGTTCATTTGATCTAAAGCATAGTTTAAATGTAATGCTTCTTTGTTGATATTCTGTCTAGATTATTTGTCCAATGTTGACTATAGGTGTTGAATCCCCCACTATTATTGTATTGAAGGCCATTTCTCCCTTTAGATTTATTAATATTTGTTTTATATACCTGGGTGCTCCAGTGTTGGGTGCGGATACATGTACAATTGTTATATACCCTTGCTAAATTGAACCCTTTATCATTATATAATAACCTTCTTTGTCTCTTTTTGCACCTTTTGACTTAATTTATAAGTATATAGCAATTCCTGCTCACTTTTGTTTTCTGTTTGCATGGAATAATTTTCTTTCATTCTTTCACTTCAGTCTATATGTGTCTTTATAGGTGAAATGAGTTTCTTGTAGGTGGCATATAGCTGGGTCATTTTTCTTTTTTAAATCCAGTTAGCCAATCTATATATTTTAAGTGAGAAATTTAATTTGTTTACATTTAAGGTTATTACTAATATGTGAGGTCTTACTCATGTCATATTGTTAATTATTTTCTGGTTGTTTTGTATATCCTTTGTTCCTCTCTTACTGTTCATCATTGCAGTTTCATGGTTTTCTATAGTGATAAAGTTTGATTCTTTTCTCTTTCTCCTTTCTGTATTTGCTCTACCAGTGAATTTTGTACTTTGCATGTTTTCATGAGGGCAATTATTGTCTTTTCTCTTCTAGATGCCATACTCCCTTGAGCATTTTATGTAAGGCTGATCTAGTATTGATGAATTTTCTCAGTTTTTGCTTCTTTGGGAAAAACTTTATGTTGCCCTCATTTCTGAAGAATAGCTTTGCTGGGTATAGTATTCTTGGCTGACAATTTTTTTTTCATTACTTTGAATATATCATCTCATTCTCTCTTGGCCTATAAAGTTTCTGCTGAGAAATCTGCTGTTAGTCTAATGGGGATTCCTTTGTATGTGACCTGATGCTTTTCTCTTGCTGTTCTTAGAATTCTTTCTGTCTCTGACTTTTGACAATCTGACTATAATGTGTCTTGGTGAGGACCTTTTTGGATTGAATCTATTTAGGAACTTTTGAGCTTCCTGAATTGGATGTTCATATCTCTCTCCAGATGGGAAGTTCTCATCTGTTATTTTATTAAATAGGTTTTCTTTTTTTTTCATTTGCTCCTTCTTCTGAGGCATAAATAGGCTTTTCTATGCTTTTTCTATCTCTTCTTCTTCTGGACCTCTCATGTTATGAACATTTGTTCACTTAATGCTATCCCATAAGTCTTATAAGCTTTCTTCACTCTTTTTTATTCTCATTTCTTTTGTTTTCTTTAGCTGGGTATTTCAAATGACCTATTTGCAAGATCAGAGACTCTTTCTTCTGCTTGACCAAATCTGCTGTTGAAGCTCTCTAAACATATTTTTTATTTCATTCATTGAATTCTTCAGCTGCAGAATTTATGCTTAGGACTTTTTAATGATAGATATGTATCTCTTTGTTGGATTTCTCATTCATATCATGAATTCTTTTCCTGATTTCATTGAATTGCCTACCTGTATTTTCTTGTATCTCATTGAGTTTCCTTAATATCATCATTTTGAATTCTTTTTCTGAGAATTCATGGATTTCCTTTTCAGTGGGGTCTGTTGCTACAGAATTATGCTCCTTTGATGGTGTCATATTTCCTTGCTTTTTCATGTTTCTTGTGTCCCTGCATTTATTTTCGTGCACATGATGGAACAATCACCTCTTCCAAACTTTCTAAAGAGGCTTTCTTACAGAAGGACTTGCAACCATAATTGTGTCTTAGCATGCTGGTTGAAGGAAGGGTGTTGCAACTTTGTTTCTAGAGTGCATTCCAGGTATGGTGATATGATCTCCATGCAACTTCTTTGGCTGTGTTCAGTATCAGCAATAGCTGTGGATGCCTCAGTGGCTTAGACTGTAGAAGTCTGAAGTAACAGCAGTGGTGGCATCAGTTGTTAATGTCCTTTGCAGCAAGGGCCTTTGGGCTCCCTTTATATTCATTTTCCCCACAATAAGAGGACTTAGGTGAGGAGAGCCCTCCTGGTGTCAAGTCTGACACATCCTAAAAGCAGCTACAATGGTGCTGGGTTCCAGGTTTTAGGTGCAAATGTTTGGAGTGGCTCTGGGGCAGGGGCCTAGGCTCAGGGTCTTGCAAAGCTATTGTAGCAGCTGAGTTTGGGGGTATAGGTTTTTTCTGTGTGGTAAGGTTGAATATAGGTTGCACACTGAGCAAGTGTCTCTGACCCTAAGGCACTCCCTAGGAGCTTGGGTCCAGGGGGTCAGGTTGTAGCTGTGCTTCTGTTCCAGAGGGGCAGGGCACAGCCCTGACCTGACACCAGGGAAGAAGGGCTACTCTAAAGGTTTGAGACCACGGTACAGGGTATGGCTGCAATTCAGAAGTCTAAACCAATAGGGCTCGTGGGCAACCTAGGTCGTTAGGGATAGGTCCTTAACGATGAGGCACCATGTAGCAGTGATCCTAAATCCTGGGATGGTGGGGCTCAGCAGTATCTCAGATACTTTGAGGCTGGGTGCAGCAGTAGCAAGTACCCTAGAATGGATGAGGACAGCTGTTGTTTAGGCCCTGGAGGGCAGGGAGCAGCACAGTGATGACTCCACTCCCCAGGGAGAGGGGTATCTTAGCAGCTCAGGATCTAGAGCCCTAGTTCCTCTCCAAGGAAGCAGGTTATTAGAGATTTTTGGCCTGTAGGACAAAGTGTCTCAACTGAGACACTGCTCTGTTTCCCTGGGAGACAGGGTACTACATCAACTCAGCCCTGGACTACACAGCTACTCAACTTGGCCAAGGCACCAATTCCCAAGGGGGTGATGTGCCATTTCAGCTTAGACCTGGGGGACATGACTGTTCTGGGTGGTCCCTACACCATTTTTCCAGGATGTAGACCTCCACCAAAGCACTGTTTCCTCAGAAAGCGGTGCACAGTTTCAGCTCAGGCCTCTAGTGGTAGGACATAGCCAGAGCTGAGAGTGGTAGATGGAACCATTCTTCCAAAGCATCATTTCCCCAAGAGAGAGTGCACAGCTTCTGCTCTGGCCTGAGGGAGTAAAGGGAGGAGGAGTAAGTGAAGCAGTTCCACTGCTGCCCAACCCCAGAGGGAAGGGGGAAACAGTTGCTCACGGCTTGTCTTAGTGCAAAGCTATTGTGGCACCTGAGTTTTGGGGTGCAGGTTTTCTCTCTGTGTTAAAGTTGACTGTAGGTTGCACACTGAGACACCCTCTAGAGCTTGGGTCAAGGAGGGTAAGGTTGGCTGTGATTCTACTCCAGGGCAGGCAGGGCACAGTCTTGGCCTGACTCCAGGGAAGAAGGGATGCTCCAAAGGTTTGAGACCTGCGCTCAAGGTATCGCCATGCAAGCCACAGGAGGTGGCGCACAGTGTGAGGACTGCAGGGGACCCCAGTGGTGAGAACAGTAGGTGTCAAAGGTGTTGATGGGGGCTTCCTTAACCTCCTTGCCATAGGGAGAAGTTCTTCCTGGTTCCCAGCTGATACCAGCTAGGGGATGGGGTGCTGGAAGCCTGCTGTTTCCTTCTGTTCTCTGTGTGGCTATCCTGAGTTTCTGTGTTCATCAGGGTTTCTGTTAAATCCTTTGATGTACTCCGTCACACTCCCTTAGTTATTTGTTAAAATGTAGTTGCTCATTCATTATTTGGGCTGTCTGTGTCAAGGAGATGAGAAAAGGGGACTTCTAGTTGGTAATATTGCTAATGTCATTATTATTTAAAAAGGTTAATTTTCTACTTTTCTCATTTTTACCTTCCTTCTGAAGTAAAATCAGAACCAAATTAATGGAGATATTTAAGTAAATAGGGATCAACAATTTAATTTTTGAAATAGAACAGGTATTAAAGGACCAATGTTGACAAATAAGGTTCATTATCAGTACTTGGATATAGGGTCCATATATAATACTCAATAAATCCCTTCTTTTAAAACTTAAATAAATGGCTTGAACCCTCATTCTAAGCACTATTGGAAACCCAGCGTGTACTTTCTGGAATTGCTAGGGGACATACCTTCTCCTGTTTACCTCTTGACTTAATTTCCTACTTGGAATTATCTTAATTTTCTCATCTCTTTCACTATGATCGCCTTCTTCCTTGTCTTTGTTATTTCTTCAATTTCTTTTTCCACCTTCCTTCTTGGTAAATATATTATTCTATTTAAAACCATTGTGGATAGTACAGATTGTTAAAGTATCAACTAAGAGAATTAACATCTTGGAGAGGGTCCACAAATAAGCTCACAAACATGTCATCCATCTCAGTACTCTCCTGCTTGACGTGAGTTAAGAACAATGGATGCTTCGATATTCACAGGTCACATCTCTAGAATGTGTAGTTCTGTAAGTCTAATTCATTTGAAGTTGGTTAGAACTATATTCTGGTTTGGAGCCACAGATACCAGATACATTTATATTAGCAAGAAAGTCCAGTGATTTACCTTAATCAGCTTTCTAAAAATTTATGAAACCCCTGGTAACTATGGAATGTATATAACTTATAATTTATAAAGCATAATAATAAACACCCATATACCAGCTTAAGAAACAAAATGTTGTCATTATCACTAAACCCTTTTTTCACTTCCCTAATCACATTCTCTACATTCTCCCCAAAGATAATCGCCCTCCTGAGTTTTATTATCCTTTGGACATGTTACTCATGTATTTATATATAAAATATATATTGTATAGTTTGCTTGTCTTTGAATGTTGTCTAAACAATGTCAATGTATTATTCTCCTATAATTTGCTTTTTAAATTTTACCATTATATTCATGATTCATTCATGTTGATGAAAGTAGTTGTAGTTTCCTTATTTTATCTGTTGAAAAGTACAGCCATGTGCCACATAAGGATGCTTCAGTCAACAATGGACCACATGCACAACAGTGTACAATGCAGCTGAAAAAAATGCCTATTGTCTAGTGATGTTGTAGCCATGATAACATTCTAGTGCAATTACTATATTTTTAAATAAATTAAATATAGCCTAAGTGTACAGTAATGTCCTAGGCCTTCCCATTCACTCACCACTCACCCAGAGCAACTTCCTGCAAGCTCCATTCATGGTAAGTGCTTTACACAGCCATACCATTTTTTATCTTTTGTATCATATTTTTACTGTACCTTTTCTGTGTTTAGATACGCAAATGCTTACCATTGTGTTACAGTTACCTACAGTATTGAGTATAGTAACATGCTATAGAGGTTTGTAGCCTAGGAGTAATGGGCTATATTCCATAACCTAGGTGTGTAGTAGGCTATACCATCTAGGTTTGTGTAAGTACACTTTATGATATGTGCACACAATGACGAAATTGTCTAACTCATTTCTCAGAACATATCCCTGTTGTTAAGCCACACATGACTGTATTCAGATACACAAATACATCACAGTTTAGTTTCCCACTATCCTATCAATGGACTTCTGGAATATTTTTCAGTTGTTGTTTTTTTCCTTTTACAAACAATGATGCTCTTTTACATGGCTGCTGATGCATACATGTGTCAAGAATTCCTCCTCCTAAGAATAGAACTATTATGTTATAAGAATGATTCAATTTTACAAAGAAATGCCAACTTGTATTTCAAAGTTATTGTCCGAATTCATGCATTTATGAGTAGTAGTATTTCCTTTTGTACCACGTATCAATCCTTATTGTCAGTCTTTTTAAATTATTGTCAGTCTCATGGGTATAAAATTATATTCCATAGTGTTTCCATTTGAATTTTCCTAATTGCTAATGAGGCTGAACATATTTTGATATTTTCACTGGCCAGTTAGGTTTTGTCTTCTGGCAAGTGTCTGTTAAAGTATCTTACTTATTTTTTTTTAATTTAGGGGCTGGGCATGGTGGCTCATGTCTGTAATTCTAGCACTTTGGGAGGCGAAGGCAGGAGGATTGCTTGAGCCCAGGAGTTCAAGACAAGCCTGGGCAACATGCTGAGACCTTGTCTCTTTCTTTTTTTTTTTTTTTTTTTTTTTGAGATGGAGTCTTCCTCTATTACCCAGTCTGGAGTGCAGTGGGGCAGTCTCGGCTCACTGCAAACTCTTCCTCCTGGGTTCAAGCGATTCTCCTGCCTCAGACACCTGAGTTGCTAGGATTACAGGTGTGCGCCACCATGCCCAGCTAATTTTTGTATTTTTAGTAGACATGGGATTTCACCATATTGGTCAGGCTGGTCTCGAACTCCTGACCTCATGATCCGCCAGCCTTATCCTCCCATAGTGTTGGGATTACAGGCATGAGCCACTGTGCCCAGCCAAGACCTTGTATCCTAAAAAAAAAACAAAGTTATTTATCTTGTTGATTTTAATGAGTAAATATTTTCAGAATATTAATCTTTGACTGCTATGTGTACTGCATATATATCCTATGAATTTTGGGGTTGATTTTTACTTTTTAAAATATAGTAATTTTATGATTTGTACTTTTGGGGCCTGGTTTGAGATGAATTTTTAGGCAGAGGTTATGAAAGTCTTCAACATTATTTTCTAAAAGATTTAATTAAAGTACTTAATTCGTATAAAATGGATTTTTGGTTATCATGTAACACTTTTTTTATATATACAAATAAAATATTCTTTCAGCAATAATTGAGTGACCATCCTTTCCCCAGTAATCTATAATGGCACCCTAAATATGTGTAAAGCATCCTTAGACTTATGGATCTGTTTTAGGGCTATGTTAGTCCATTATCTCTCTCTCTTTTTTTTTTTTTTGCAACGCATAAATGCCAAATCATCTTTTTTTTTTTTTTTTTTTTTTTTTTTTTTTTTTTGAGGAGTCTTGCTCTGTCGCCCAGGCTGGAGTGCAGTGGCGTGACCTCTGCTCATGGCAACCTCCACCTCCAGGGTTCAAATGATTCTCCTGCCTCTGCCTCCCAAGTAGCTGCGACTATAGGTTGTGTGCCACTAGACCCAGTTAATTTTTTTGTATTTTTTAGTAGAGACAGGGTTTCACCATGTTGGCCAGGCTGGTCTCAAACTCCTGATCTCAGTGATCCACTAGCCTTGGCCTCCCAAAGTGCTGGGCTTACAGGTGTGAGCCAATGTGCCCAGCCTGCCAAACCATCTTAATTGCTATAGCTTTCAAATGCATCATGAACTTGTTTCCAGTCATGGAGGAATAACATGGAACAGATTTGTCTTCTTCTTTAGTCAAGGTCTCCAAAGAAACAGAACCAGGCCGGGCATGGAGGCTCAGGCCTATAATCCCAGCACTCTGGGAGGCCAAGGCAGGTAGATCACTTGAGGTCAGGAGTTTGAGACCAGCCTGGCCAACATGGTGAAACCCCATCTCTACTCAAAATACAAAAATTAGCCAGGTGTGGTGGTGGGCACCTGTAGTCCCAACTACTCAGGAGGCTGAGGCAGGAGAATGGCTTGAACCCTGGAGGCAGAGGTTGCAGTGAGCTGAGATCACACCACTGCACTCCAGCCTGGGTAACAGAGCGAAACTCCGTCAAAAAAAAAAAAAAAGAAAGAAAGAAAAGAAACAGAACCAATAGGATCTGTATATCTATATACCTATCTTATTAATATCTATATAGGACACACACACACACACACACACACACACACATATATATATATATATATATATATATATATATATATATATATATTTTTTTTTTTTAAGACAGAGTCTCACTATGTCGTTCAGGCTGGAGTGCAGTGGTGCAGTCTCGGCTCACTGCAACGTCCACCTGCTGGGTTCAAGCGATTCTCCAGCCTCAGCCTCCCAAGTAGCTGGGATTACAGGTGCATGCCATCACACCTGGCTAATTTTTGTATTTTCAGTAGAGATGGGGTTTCACCATGTTGGCCAGGCTGGTCTCAAACCCCTGACCTCAGGTGATCCGCCTGCCTCAGCCTCCCAAAGTGCTAGCATTAAAGGCAGGAGCCACCGCGCCCGGCCCAGGACCTATATATCTATAGAGATTTATTATAAGGAATTGGCTCACACAATTATGAAGGCAGAGAAATCCAAAATCCATAATACAGGCTGGCAGGCTTAAGACTCAGGAGAGCTGGTGGTGTGATTCTAGTCTGAAGGCTGGCAACCTAGAGACCCAGGGAAGCCAATGATGCAGATAATGTCCAAAGCAGCTGGCTGGAAATTTTATCTTTTGCTCAGGGAGGCTAGTCTTTTTGTTATATTCAGGCCTTTAACTGATTGGATGAGGCCCATCCAAGTTCACTGATTTAAATGTTAATCTCCTCCAAAAACATCCTTCAGGTAGATACATATAATTAACCGTTACACCTGCCTACCTTAAACAACTAAAAAAAAAAAAGAAAAAGAAAAAGAAAAAACCCACAAAATATAGTTTTGGACACAAGGCCGCATAGAACAAGGATCTCTTAGTGAAGGGAATCAAATTAGGTGAACCTTAGCATTGCTTAGTGATATGGTTTGGATTTGTGTTCCCACCCTAATTTCATGTCAAATTGTAATCCCCAGTGTTAGAATTAAGATGGCTGGGTGGGAGGCGATTGGATCACAGAGGTGGATTTTCCCCTTTGGTGCAGTTCTCATGATAGAGTTCTCACGCCATCTGGCTATTTAAGTGTGTAACACTTCCCCCTCTCTCTCTTCCTCCCATTCCCGCCATGTAGGAGGTGCCTGCTTCTCCTTCACCGTCCGCCATGACTGAAAGTTTCCTGAGGCCTCCCCACCCATACTTCCTGTACAGCCTGTGGAACAGTGAGCCCATTAAACCTTGTTTCTTTATAAATTACCCAGTCTCGGGTATTTTGTTATAGCAGTATGCTAATGGACTAATATACTTAGTGTACTGCCTGGAAAAAAATTAAAAGGATGCACTGTAGGGAGGAGCAACTCAGACCATGCTCTTCTCACTAGGATGAGGCAGAGTTGAGAATTTGAGGACACCAAGATGACAAAATCACATAGAATAAAATAGTACGTAGGAGAAAGTACTGCAGATAAAAGAGCGAGCTGCACAGAGAGCACCTGATATCCGCAGGTTTTCCTCAACTGTTCATGTTAGTCTTGGTTAGTGTGTGTGTGTAACGAAACTATGGGGAAAGAACTACTGGAAAGGAGTGGGCAGAACTACCTCTGGAACAAAGAAAGCCAGGAAGAGTTAATGTTCCCACCAGCTAGAGTGAAAAAACCTAATAATGCACAAGGCATTGGGTAGAGCGCTCAGAAGTGTATTGCCTCAGTAGCAGTGAAAAATTCTGCCTAAAGGCTGTTTTGATCCTTCATAACAGGACCAACTTGAAAGTAAGCCTCAAAAGGATCAAAATATTTATAAACAATTTTACTACATCCCATACAAAGCTCACGGATAGTTAAGGAATACAAAAAACATTAGCAACCAACAAGGTAAACAAATTACAATGTCTAATTGAAAAGTACAAAGTATGCAAAGAAGCAGAAAAATACAAACCATAATAGGGAGAAAAATCAATCAATGGAAAATGGCTCGGAAGTGATGCAAATAATATCACTAGGAGACACAGACATTACAGCAATTATTATAAATATACTCCACAAATTCAAGGAAAGAAGATAATGTAAGTATGTTAAGAAATTTTATGGAAAATATTAAAAAGATCTTAAACTGTTAGGAATAAAAAATATAGTATCTGATATGGAAAATATAGTGGATAGAATTAGTAGAAAATCAGCTATTGCAAAAGTTCAGTGAACTTGAGGGCACAGTAGTAAAAATAATCTAAATGAAACACAGAGTTGTTTTTTTTTTCTTTTTCTTTTCTTTTTTTTGGGGAATCAGGGGACAGGGTCTCACTCTGTTACCCAGGCTGGAGTGCAGTGGCACAATCACAGCTCACTGCAGCCTCGACACACTAGACTCAAGCAATCCTCCTGCCTTAGCCTCCCAAGTAGCTGAGACTACAGGTGTGTGCCACCATGCCCAGTTAATTTTTTATTTTCTGTAAAGATAGGGTCTCACTATATTGCCGAAGCTGGTCTTGAACTCCTGGACTCAAGCGATCTTTCTGCTTTGTCCTCCTAAACTGCTGGGATTACAGGCATGAGCCACCACACCCAGCTAAAACACAGAGATTTTTTTAAAATGAGAAAAGAACAGAGCATCAGTGAGCTGTGGGACAGCTTTAGGTGGTCTAATATATGTAAGAATGTAGTTCTCAAAGAATGGGGATAAAGGTAAAGTATGTGATAATAGCTCAATAGCTCATTTCTTTTTAGCACTGAATAATATTCTGTTGTATGAATGTACCATGATTTGTTTATCCATTCACTTGCTGAAAGACCTTCTAGTTTTTTCTAAGTTTAAGCAATTATGAATAAAATTTCTACAAATGTTCATATGTAGGTTTCTGCATGAATAAAATTTCTAATGCTATTTGCTTTTGACATGTCATATGTCTTTTTGTTCCCCTATTTGTCCATTACTTCCTTCTTTTATGTTAAATAGAGATTTTCTGGTTTGTTTTTTTTTTTTTTTTTTGGGACAGTCTTGCTCTATTGCCAGGGTGGAGTGCAGTGGCACAGTCTTTGCTCACTGCAACCTCTGCCTCCCATGTTCAAGTGATTCTCCTGCCTCAACCTCCCCAGTAGCTGGGACTACAGGTGCTCACCACCACGCTCAGCTAATTTTGGTATTTTTAGAAGAGATGGGATTTCACCATGTTGGCCAGGGTGGTTTCAATCTCTTGACCTCGTGATCCACCCACCTCCCAAAGTGCTGGCATTACAGGTGTGAGCCACTGTGCCTGGCCTAAAGAGAGATTTTCTAATACACTGCTTTAATTCCCTTGTCATTTCTTTTTATTATATATTTTTGACTTATATTCCTAGTTGTAGTCCTAGGGATTGCAATTAACATTTTAATTTATAAAAATCTAGTTTGGATGAGTAGCAACATAATTGCAAAAGTATACAAAGACTGTTCCAAAATAGCTTTATTTCTCCCCCCTTCCTTTGTGTGTTATTATCATACAATTACGTATTTATATGTGGTATGCCCATCAACACATATTTAGAATTGTTATTTTATACAGTTATCATTTTAGTAAGGTAGTTATATAAAAGTTACAACCAACAAATACATTTATACTGTCTTTTATATTTACCTATGTAATTTCCTCTGGAGTGATTCTCATGCCTCAGCCACCTGAGAAGTGGGGATTACAGGCATACACCACCAAGCCTGGCTAAATTTTGTATTTTTAGTAAAGATGTGGTTTCACCATGTTGGCCAGGCTGGTCTCGAACTCCTGGTCTCAAGTCATCTGCCCACCTCGGCCTCTCAAAGTGCTGAAATTACAGGCGCGAGCCACTGCACCTGGCCTGAAGGATGGTTTTGCCAGATACAGAATTCTTGGTTAGCAGTATTTTTCTTTCAGTATTTTAATGTCATACCACTGCATTCTGGCCTCCATAATTTCTTTTGTAAGAATCAACTGTTAATCTTATTGAGATTATTTATATGTGATGAATCACTTCTCCCCTGCTGCTTTAAAGATTATTTCTTTGTCTTTAGTTCTCAAAAATTTACTTACGATGTGTGTCAGTGTGGACTGACTTGATTTTATCCTACTTGGAGTTCATTAGGATTCTTGGATGGATAGATTAATAATTTTCATCAAATGAGAAGTTTTTGGCCATTATGTTTTTAAAACTCTTTTGCCTCCTTTTCTTTCTCTTTTCCTTCTGAGACTCTTGTTATGTGTATGTTGTCCCATGGGTCTCTGAGGCTCTGTTCACTTTTTCCTTCATTTTTTTTTCAGTTAAAAATACTGAATAAACAATTTACCAATTTCCAAATGTTCTATTTCTTTATTCTTCCTGCTCAAATCTGGTGAGACTCTCTAGTGAGTTTATCATTTTAGTTATTTTACTTTTCAATGGAAGAGTTTCTATTTAGTTCTTTTTAAAATAATTTCTATCAGTTTATTTACAGTCTCTATTTAAATAACCAGAATTTTCCTATTTTCCTTTAGCTTTTTACACATGGCTGCCTTCAGTTCACTGATATAAAGTCTTTGTCTAGTAAGTCCAATGTCTTGGCTTCCTTGGGTTTTCATTGGTTGATTTCTTTTTTCCCATCATAGGGACCATACTTTCTTTTTTTGTTGTCTCATAATTTTTTGTCAAAAACAGGACATTTAAAATAATATAATGTGGTATCTCTGGAACTCAGATTCTTCTCTCTCCCCGTGGTTTGGTGTTGTTGCTGTTTGTTCAGTGACTTTTCTGAACTAACTCTGTAAAGGGTATATTCATTTTCATGTATGGCCACTGGTTTTTTTGCATGGTTAGCCTAGTGGTCAGCTAATAACGAACAGATTTTCTTAAACACCTAGAGCTAATCAGTCTCCCAGTCTTTGCCTAGGGCTCTAGATGCATATTGGGGTATGACTTCACCACTCAGCCAGGCAGTGGACAACCCTGCCGTCACCTTTATTTCCTACTTGACAGACCCTCAAGGTCACTGAAAGATAAGAGGTTAGGATCTTCTTTAATCTCTGCAGAACATGTTAAAGAAGAGGACACACTTACCAACTACTTTTATGAGAACAGTAGTACCCTGATACCAAAAAAAAAAGAAAAAAAAATTAAAAAGAAAGAAAACTGGCCAGGCACAGTGGCTCACGCCTGTAATCCCAGCACTTTGGGAGGTCGAGGCAGATGGATCACAAGGTCAGGAGTTCAAGACCAGCCTGGCCAATATGGTGAAACCCCACCTCTGCTAAAAATACAAAAATTAGCTTAGTGTGGTGGCACACGCCTGTAGTCTTAGCTACTTGGAAGACTGAGGCAGGAGAGTCACTTGAACCCGTGAGGCAGAGATTGCAGTGAGCCAAGATTATACCACTGCACTCCAGCCTGGGAGACAGAGCAAGACTCCGTCTAAAAAAAAGAACAAGAGAAAACTACAGACATCATTGCAATAATTTTTAACCATATTTTAGCAAATCAAATCCAGCCATATATAAAAAGAATAATAAACCATCTTGGTAGAAAACAACAAGAAAGTCATATTATATTTTAATAGATTCAGGGCCAAGAGCTAATAAATACCGGCAGCCTCTGGAAGCTGGAAAAGGAAACAAATGGCCTCTAGAGCCTCCAGAAGAAACACAGACCTATTGGTGATTTTGGACTTTTGACCTACATAACTGTGAAATGATAAATGAGTGTTGTTTTAAGCCACTAATTTTCTGGTTATTTTGTTACATAGCAGTTAAAAAGATGAGTATAGATTTTGGTACCTGGAATTACGTGCTGACACAACAAATGTCTAAAAATGTGGAATTGGTTTTGAAATCAGACAGTGGGTGGAGGCTGTAAAAATTCTGAGGAGCATGGTAGTAAAAGCCTAGACTGCCTTGAATAGAAGAAGACTGTTAATAGAAATATTCATGTTAAAAATATTGCTGTTGGGAACTCAGAACAATATGAGGAAGATTATAGAGAAATCCTAAACTGCCTTAGAGAAAGCCTCCATCATCATGAGCAAACTATTAATAGAAATCTGGACATTAAGAATGCTTCTGGTGAGGATTTAGAAAAAAAGTGAGGAGCATATTATTGAAACAGGAGGAAGGAAGATTCTTGTTATATGTTAGCAGAATTTTTAGCAAAATTATGTCCTACAGTGATGTTGGAGTACAGAACTCATAAGTAATAAATTTAAATATTTACCTGAGGTAATTTCCAAGCCAAGCAGTGAAGGTGTTTTCTGATTTCTTCTTGCTGCTTATAGTAAAATGTGAGAGAAAAAAAACAGGATTGGAGAAGAACTTTTTTTTTTTTTTTTTTTTGTGACAGAGTCTTGCTCTGTCACCCAGGCTGGAGTGCAGTGGTGTGATCTCAGCTCACTGCAACCTCCACCTACAGGATTCAAGCAGTTCTCCTGCCTTAGCCTCCCAAAGTCGCTGGGACTACAGGCATGTGCTACGATGCCCAGCTAATTTTTTTAAAACATATTTTTAGTAGAAACAGGATGTTGCCATGGTGGCCAAGCTGGTCTCGCACTCCTGGCACCAGGTGATCCACCCATCTCAGTGGATCAAAGTGCTGGGATTACAGGCATGAGCCACTGCACCTGGCTAGGGAAGAATTGTTACATAAAAAGAAAATAGGACTAGATTTAGAAAATTCTGGGGCCTATCCAGATTGCAAAAGACACTAAAATTTAGAAATGTCTCTTGAAAGCATGGCATAGAAAAATAAATGCCAAAAATGTGACTTTACAACTCTTTGCTGGAACCTTGGACTGATCAAAATGGCAAAGTATTTATTCACAAGAGATTAACAGTGTGCCTCATAGTTCTCAATCAAACTGGAAGTCTTCTAGAAAGCCTAAGAGCATTGTCCCTCAGCCGTCATAGTAGAAACAAAATATAGAAAAAGGATTAGCTGGGCGCAGTGGCTCAAGCCTGTAATCCCACCAATTTGGGATGCCCAGATGGAAGGATCACTTGAGCCCAGTAGTTCAAGACCAGTCTGGCCAATATAGGGAGACTTCATTTCTACAAAAAAAAATAAAAAATAAAAATCAAAATAAAATAAAAAGCTGGGCATGGTGGTACATGTCTGTGGTCTCAGCTGCCTGGGAAACTGAGGCAGGAGGCTTGCTTGAGCCTGCAGATCAAGGTTGCAGTGAGCTATGGCCATACCACTGCACACTAGCCTTGGTGACACAGCGAGACACTGTCTCAAAAAAAAAAAAGATTATATCCAAAAGATCTGTGGGTTTAGTTCTTTGAATGGAATAAATCAACTCAAGACCCATATGGTTCTTGAGAATTTCATACCAGCAGAAACACTTACAGCTTGGACCAAAGGGGACAGAGTGTGTACAAAATGAAAGAAGAATATCAGATATCACAAATTCTACAGACAGAAAGCAGTCTGATAAAACTGCTCAGCTGTAAAATAATGACTCATAGGGTGAAACCCAGAGTGCGTCAGCAGGAGCTGAGAGCCTGTATGGCAGGGATGTGGATGATTATTCCCAGTCCATGAAGCCCAATCAAGGAACTTCAGCTAAAATTTGCTCAGCTAGATTTCAAAATTACATTGCTATAGTTTGGATATTTGACACCTCTGAATCTGATGTTGAAATTTTTTTTTTTTTTTTTTTGAGACGGAGTCTTGCTCTGTCACCAGGCTGGAGTGCAGTGGCGTAATCTTGGCTCACTGCAAAGTCCACCTCCTGGGTTCAAGCGATTGTCCCACCTCAGCCTCCCAAGTAGCTAGGACTACAGGCACACGCCACCACACCCAGCTAATTTTTGTATTTTTAGTAGAGATGGGGTTTCACCATGTTGGCCAGGGTGGTTTCAATCTCTTGACCTCATGATCCGCCTGCCTCAGCCTCCCAAAGTGCTGGGATTACAGGTGTGAGCCACTGCACCCGGCCCTGATGTTGAAATTTTATCCCTAATGCTGGAGGTGGGATTTGGTGGGAAGTGTTGGGGTCGTGGGGGCAGGTCCCTCACGAATGACTTGGTGCCACTCTTGTGGTAGTGAGTGAGTTAGTTCCCATGAGAGCTGGTTGTTTAAAAGAGACTGCATCTCCCTTCCCGGCTTGCTTCCTCTCTGGCCATGTGATTTCTGCACATGCAGCTTCCCCCTTTGCCTTTCGCCATAAGTGGGAGCTTCCTGAAGCCCTCATCAGATACGGATGCTGGTGCCATGATTCTTGTACCACCTGCGACACTATGAGCCAAACAAACCTGTTTTCTTTATTAATTTCCCAACCTCAGGTATCCCTTTACAGTAATACAAACAGACTGATATACATTTAACTAGTGACTTAACTGGCATATCTTTAACTTTTTATCCTTCCATTTTTTCCTTTTGATTTTTTAAATTTTTAACTTTTGCGGGTACATAGTATGTGCATATTTTTACAGGGTCCAAGAGATATTTTGATACAAGCAGGCAGTGTGTAATAATCACATCAGAATAAATAGGTATCCATCACCTCAAGCATTCATTCTTTCTTTGTGTTATAAAGAATCACTGTAGTCACCCTGCTGTGCTATCAAATGCTACATTTTATTCACTCTAACTATATTTTTCTACCTGTTAACCATCCACGTTTCCCCCTCAACCACCCCCACCCCCACTCCCCTTCCCAGCCTCTGTTAGCCACCCTTCTACTCTCTATCTCCATGAATTCAGTTGTTTTAGTTAAAATAACTAATTAATTGAAATTGTTTAATTTTAGCTCCCACAAATAAGTGAGAACATACGAAGTTTGTCTGTCTGTGCCTGGCTTATGATGATCCCCAGTTTTATCCATGTTGTTGCAACTGACAGGATCTCGTTCTTTTTTATGTTGGAATAGTACTCCATCGTGTCTATGTGCCACATTTTCTTGATTCATTCATCTGTTGATGGACACTAGATTGCTGACAAATCTTGGCTCTTCTGAACAGTGTTCCAACAAACATGGGCATGCAGATATCCTTTTGACAGACTGATTTCCTTTCCTTTGGGTATATGCCAAGCAGAGAGATTGCTGGATCATATGGTAGCTCTATTTTTAGTTTTCTGAGGAAACTCCAAACTGTTTTCCATAGTGATTGTATTAATTTACTTTCCCACCAACAGCGTATAAGGGTTCCCTTTTTTCCATATCCTTGCCAGCATTTGGTATTGCCTGTCTATTGGATAAAAACCATTTTAACTGGGGTAAAATGATATCTCATTATAATTTTGATTTTTGTTTTTCTGGTAATCAATGATGTTGAGCACCTTTTCATATACCTGTTTGCCATTCGTATGTCTTCTTTTCAGAAATGTCTATTTAGAGCTTGTGCCCATTTTAATTGGATTATTTTCCTATAGAGTTGTTTGTCTTCCTTATATATTCTGGTTATTAATCACTTGTTAGATGGAAAGTTTGCAGATGTTTTCTCCCATTCTGTGGGTTTTCTCTTCACTTTGTTAATTGTTTCCTTTGCTGTGCAGAAGCTTTTTAACTTGCTGTGATTCCATTTGTCCATTCTTTATTTGGTTACCTGTGCATATGGGGTATTACTCAAGACACTCCATTTGTTTGGAAGAAAGTAAGGGAAGAGAACATTAAGGAATCCAGAGAGTTCTTCTGGATCTTATTCAAGACCACCAAGCGGTACCACTATGAATCTGCAAGAACCACAGCATTATTGGGCTTGGAGCCCAAGTCCTTTGGAATATATGGAAAGCCTTCCTAAGAAGAACGGGCACAAACAAGCCCAGATTGTGAAAACTACAATAAATACCTAACTCTTCAATGCCCAGACACCAACAAACATCCGCAAGCATCAAGACCGTCCAGGAAAACATGATCTCACCAAATAAACTAAACAAAGCACCAGGGGCCAATCCTGGAGAGACAGAGATATGTGATCTTTCAAACAGAGAATTGAAAATAGCTGTGTTGAGAAAACTCAAAAAAAATTCAAGATAACACAGAGAAGATATTCAGAATTCTATCAAAGAAATTTAACAAAGAGATTGATATAATTAAAAAGAATCAAGCAGAAATTCTGGAGTTGAGAAATGCAATTGACATACTGAAGAATGCACCAGTCTCTCAAAAGCAGAATTGATCAAGCAGAAGAAACAAGCAGTGAGCTTGAAGACAGGCTGTTTAAAAATACAACCAGAAGAGACAAAAGAAATAAGAATGAAAAAGAATGAAGCATGCCTACAAGATCTAGACAATAGCCGCAAAAGGGCAAATCTAAGAGTTATTGGCCTTAAAGAAGAGGTAGAAAAAAAGATAAGGGTAGAAAGTTTATTCAAAAAGATAACACCAGAGTACTTCCCAAACCTAGACAAAGTATCAATATTCAAGTACAAGAAGGTTATAGAACACAAGCAGGTTTAACCCAAAGAGGACTACCTCAAGGCATGTAATTATCAAACTCCCAAAGATCAAGTATAAAGAAAAGATCCTAAAAGCAGCAAGAGAAAAGAAACAAATAACATACAATGGGGCTTCAATACATCTGGCAGCAGACTCTTCAGTGGAAACCTTACAGGCCAGGAGAGAGTGGCATCATATATTTAAAGTACTGAAGGGAAAAGACTTTTACCCTGGAAGAGTATGTCTGGCAAAAACATCCTTCAAGTATGAAGGAGAAATAAGCATTTTCCCAGACAAACAAAAGCTGCGAGATTTCATCAACACCAGACCTGTCCTACAAGAAATACTAATTGGCATTCTTCAACCTGAAAGAAAAGGACATTAATGAGCAATAAGAAATCATCGGAAGATACAAAACTCACTAGGAATAGTAAGTACACAGAAAAGCACAGAATGTCATAACCCTGTAATTGTGGTGTGTAAACTACTCAAGTAGAAAGACTAAACAATGAGCAAATCAAAAATAATAACTACAACAACCTTTCAAGACATGGACAGTCAATGATACATACAGAGAAATGACAAAAAGTTAAAAATCAGGGGAACAAAGTTAAAGTGTAGCGTTTTGATTGGTTTTCTTTTTGCTTTCAGCCTCAAGAGAGCCTAGGTCGAGAACCCAGTCATGCAATGCCAGACTTCTAACCTACAGAACTATGAGATAATAAATGGATTTTGTTTTACAGTGTTAAATTTGTAGTAATTTGTTATGCAGCAAAAGAGAACTAAGACACTGTAATCGTGTATTAATCTACTTCTCCTTGCAGTCATATCTGGTTATGTTTCATATATTTTGAAATTTTATCATTAGATACAAAAACATTTAAGGATTGTCATGTCTTCTTGATAAATTGGCCCCTTTTTCATTACAAAATGACCCTCTTTATCCTAATATTGTTTGCTCTGATATCTACCTTGTCTAATATTAGTATAGCCACTCCAGCTTTCATTTGGCAAATGTTAGCTGGTATTAATTTTTAATCCTTTTACTTTAGTCTATTTATATATTAATATGTAAAATGGGTTTCTTTTGGGAAGGTCTTCTAGTGATGAATTCTTATGGCTTTCGTATGTCTAAAATATGTTTATTTTGCCTTTTTTTTTTTAAAGATGTTTGTTATGTTTATAGAATTCTTGTTACTAGAGGTTTTTTCTAGGCCTTAAAAAATGTTACTTAGCTGTCTTCTTGTTGCCATTGTTTCAGACAAGAAGTTTGCCATCAGACTGCCTATAAATTGGGCATCTTTTTTCTCTGGCTGCCTTTAAGAATTTGTCTTTATCAGTGATTTTTATTATTTGTCTTAGTGTCATTTTATGCATGTTTCTCGTACTTGGTGTTTGGATCTGTGGGCTCATAGTTTTCATCATATTTGGAAACTTTGTGGCCATTATTTGTTTATTGTGACAAAAAATACTAACATAAAATTTACCATCTTCATCATTTTTAAGTGTTCAGTTCAGTGGCATTAGGTGTGCTCATATTATTGTGTACCATCACCGCCATCCATCTCCAGAACTTTTTTCATCTTCTCAACTGAAACTCCAAATCCCTTAAACAACTTCCCACCCACTCCCAACCCCTAGCAGGAACCATTCTACTTTCTGTTTCTATTAATTGGCTATTATTTCTTTTTTATTTTTATTCCTATGTTTCGAGACAGAGTCTCACTCTGTCACCCAGGCTGGAGTGCAGTGGTGTGATGCTGGCTCACTGCAGCCTCCGCCTCCCTGGTTCAAGAGATTCTCCTGCCTCAGCCTCCCAAGTAGCTGGGATTACAGACGTGCCACCACACCTGGCTAGTTTTTGTATTTTCAGTAGAGAGGGGGTTTCACCACGTTGCCAGGATGGTTTCGATCTCTTGACCTCGTGATCCACCCGCCTCGGCCTCCCAAAGTGCTGGGATTACAGGCGTGAGCCACGGCTCCCAGCCATGAAGTGGCTATTATTTCTTAAAATATTTTTCTTTTCCAATCCCTCTCCCCTCTTTCTGGGACTTCGATTATACATGCATTAGTCCAGTTGAAGCTGGAGCTGTCTGTCTGTGAGGCTCTTTCCTCTCGGATACTTCGTCCTGTGAGATCCGGCCTCTTTGGTCTCTTTAGACTCTCAGATTCATTTCA
The DNA here is from genome assembly GCF_000001405.40 of Homo sapiens. Lineage (NCBI taxonomy): Eukaryota > Metazoa > Chordata > Mammalia > Primates > Hominidae > Homo > Homo sapiens. Next base: position 169,358,414 of record NC_000004.12, on the reverse strand, counting down.
AGTCAACAAGGCTGCGGGGCCCCACCAGGTTTGCCTTTGTCTGTGATTCAGCATGAAACATTTCTCTGGCCATTAAGCTGAGGCAAATTGTAGGTCTCACTTTGTTCCTATCTTTTGGTGATCATCATCCTCTATTACCTCATGTCCAGTGTCTGAAAATCATTGTTTCATATGTTTTATCCAATTATTAGTTGTTTTATGCAAGAGGGTATATCCAATCCCTGTTACCACTGCTTGGTTAAACCTGTAGTTTCCTGACTTTTGAATTTGGATGCTTAGTTCATTAATCTTAAGTCTCCCTGTTTTCTATTAAATCCTACAAGGATATGCATTTCCAAGTACTCCTGTAGTTGCTTTCTTCAAGTTTTGTATTATTTTTGTTATTGTTCAACTTTTATTGTTTTCCAACTTCCCTTTTGATTTCTTCTTTGACCTATGTATTATATACAATTGTGTTTTTAAGTTTCCAAACTTTTTTTGGACTATTTTATTTTGTTATGCTATGGTCAAATAATACAGTCTATATCGAGGGGTTGGCAAAATTTTTCAATAAAGATCCCAATAGCATATAATTTTCTCTGTTGCTGTTATTTAGCTCTGCCACTGCAGTGCAAAACCAGTCACAGATAATGCATAAACACACGGGCATGACTTGTTCCAATAAAACTTTATCTATAAAAACAGATGGCAAGCTGGGTTTGGCCTACACAGCATAGTTTGCTGATTTTTTTTTTATATGATACCAGTTAGTTAAAATTTGTTGAGATATACTTTTTCCTAAAAGAATGTGCATTCTGAAGAAGTGGAATCAATGTTCTACATACTCATTAATAATTCTTTTTTTTTGAGACAGGATTTTACTCTGTCACACAGGCTGGAGTCCAGTGGCAAAATCATGACTCACTGCAGTCTCAAACTCCTAGACTCAAGCAGTCCTCCCACCTCAGCCTCTCAGGTAGCTGGGTCTACAGGTGTACATGACCATGTTCAGCTAACTTTTAAATTTTTGTAGAGACAGAGTCTTGCTTTGCTTCCCAGCCTAGTCTCGAACTCCAGACCTCAAGCAATCCTCCCACCTCAGCCTCACAAAGTGCTGGGATTACAGGCGTGAGCCACTGTGCCTGGCCTCTGTTGGTAAACTTTCAATTTAGTATTATTCAACTGTTATTTATAGAATTTTATTGACTTTCCATCAATTGCAGAGAAATATATGTCCAAATAGCCCATTATGATAATAAACTTATGCATTTTTCCTTGTAGCTTTGTCCATTATTGCTTTATATATTTTGAAGCAATCTTTCTTTCTTTCTTTTTTTTTTTTTTTTTTTGAGATGGAGTCTCGCTCTTGTTGTCCAGGCTGGAGTGCAATGGTGCAATTTCGGCTCACTGCAACCCCCGCCTCCTGGGTTCAAGTGATTCTCCTACCTCAGGCTCCTGAGTGGTTGGGATTACAGGCATCCCCCACCATGCCCAGCTAATTTTTGTATTTTTAGTAGAGATGGGGTTTCACCATGTTGGCCAGGCTGGTCTTGAACTCCTGACCTCAGGTGATCCACCCACCTCGGCCTCCCAAAGTGCTGGGATTACAGGAGTGAGCCACCGTGCCTTCTTATTAGGCTATATATCATTTTTATAAATTGAAACTTTTATAATATAGTAATTTTATTTTTATAAGGCAAAAGGCATATCTAGACTTAAAGAACATGAGTTAACTGTAATGTAAAAAGCATTTCTAGAGTTAATTCTTCCATCAGTGTTGACTCATTGGTGTGTTGGAACTGCCTCATTCCAACCTGTGAGATCTGATTATTAAATATTCAGGACTTTCATGAACTTGTTGTAAAACCATTGATAATCTAACCTCAAACATGATGAGAATAATTACAATATAGTGTTTTGCAAATACTACAAATCAGGGCTTTAATTTTTTTTTTTTTCTCAAAGCCAGTTTACCAGCATACCACTGAATCTAAGCTATTCTGTAAACCTCCTATTGAATTTTTTTTCCTTTAAGTAAAATTGTTATTTAAATATAAACATGAGTACAGAAAAGTGTCCAATTATAATTGTTCAACTCAATTACTTTTTTTTTCAACTTTTATTTTAAGTTCCAGGGTATCTGTGCAGGATGTGCAGGCTTGTTACACAGGTAAACGTGTGTCATGGTGGTTTGCAGCACAGAGCAACCCATCACCTAGGTATTAAGCCCAGCATCCGTTAGCTGTTCTTCCTGATGCTTTCCCTCCCCCACCCAACCCCCTCCCACAGGCCCCAGTGTGTGTTGTTCCCCTCCATGTGTCTACATGTTCTACTTTTCAAAGAGTGAATACACTCACATAGCCAGCATATGGATAAAGAAAGAGAACATTATTAGCACTCCAGAAGTTCTATTCTAGCATTACTCCTCAAGGATAACCTCTGTCTTTTCTTCTAAAATGATAGCTTTGTTTTGAGCTATATATAAACGGAGTTATATAATATGAATGCTTTTGTGTTTGGCTCTTTTGCCTGACGTGGTGTTTGTGATATTCGGCCATGTTGTTGCACTTAGTGCCGTTTGTTTACTTTGTTCATTCTCATTAATATATTTCATTATTAAAATGTTCCACAATTTACTTATCTATTTGCTGTTGACAGACAGTTGGGCTACTTACAATTTTTTGATATCCTGAACAGAACTGTAGCAAATGCTTTTTCTATATGTCTTTTGGTGGACAGATGTATGAATTTCTGTTGAGTATATATCTAGAAATGGAAATTTGGGTCTTAGGATATTCATATGTTCAATTTTAGTAGACACTGTTAAGCAGTTTTCCAAACTGGTTGTACCAATCTCACACTCCTTGCAGTACTGTAGGAATGTTCCAGTTGCTCCACATCTCTGCCAACACTTGGTTGCAATTAGCTTTTTATTTCAATTATTATATTATTTACTTACAAAATTTCTACTTTTCTTTCTAAAATTTCCACTTCCATTTCAAATATATTTGGAAGTTGAAAGATGTCCATGAACTGAAGACAGAGAATTTGTGTGTGAGACTCAAGAAAAAATCATAATTATTAGTAGTTTTGTAGGCAGTCTTGATTCTACTATTATTATTGATGATAAAATGTAATTATATACACATACGTATTTTGGGTATAAAAGTTGATTTGCTGAAGACTTTCTATCCTCAGAGATGACCACAATGGATTAGTGGTCCATTTCCTCATATTTTTTATTTAATAAAAAAGTTACAGGCATACCTACACAAACATGATAGACATATATAGGTATATTGAATAATCAAAGGAAGAATTCTAATAGAGAATTGAACTTGAAATTATGTTTTTGAAAATATCACACAATTTGTTCAACAAATATTTGAGTGTTATTACCTAACACTGGGCCCTGTTTTAGGCACAGGTGCAGTGGTAACATGATAAGCCAAGTGCTACTCTTTGGAGCTTAACTTCTAGTGGGGACATTAGAGGATAAGCAAATAAACAAAAATATATAATATAATGATTTCAGGCTGGGCATGGTGGCTCACACCTGTAATCCCAGCACTTTGGGAGGCTGAGGCGGGCACATCATGAGGTCAGGAGATCGAGACCATCCTGGCCGACGTGGTGAAACCCCGTCTCTACTAAAATACAAAAAATTAGCTGGGCGTGGTGGTGCACACCTGTAGTCCCAGCTACTCAGGAGGCTGAGGCAGTGGAATCGCTTGAACACAGGAAGAAGAGGTTGCAGTGAGCCAAGACTGCACCACTGCACTCCAGCCTGGAGACAGAGCAAGATTCTGTCTCCAAAACAAAAAAAAACAAAACAAAACAAAACAAAAATATATATATATAATGATTTCAGATATCTATAATCTTATTAAGAAAAATGACAAAAAATAAATAACTCATAAGAATTAATAAAGCTTGCCAAAAGAGAATGACTAGGTTAAAAAGATTATTCTAAACAGGGCAGAGAAATTTGTTTTCCAATGTAAAGAACTGTAGGCACGTGAAAATGGAGGTTCGTTCGGAAAGTGGGGAATCAAACAGAGTTGGCCTGAGGCAGGCAGAATGGGCAGAGGACTAGCGGAAGACAAAAATAGGTAGGTAAAAGATTAAAGACAACAGGCCGGGCGCCGTGGCTCACACCTGTAATCCCAGCACTTTGGGAGGCCGAGGCGGGTGGATCACGAGGTCAGGAGTTTGAGACCTGGCCAACATGGTGAAACCCCGTCTCTACTAAAAATACAAAAATTAGCTGGGTGTGGTGGCGTGTGCCTGTAGTCACAGCTACTCAGAAGGCTAAGGTAGGAGAATCGCTTGAACCCAGGAGGCGGAGGTTGCAGTGAGCTGAGATTGTGCCACTGCACTCCAGCCTGGGCAACAGAGAGAGACTCTGTCTCAAAAAAAAAAAAAAAAAAAAAAAAAGATTGAAGATAACAAAAAATTAATAGAGATGATACAGCTGAAAAGTAAGACTGCTTTCTAACAAGAGAATCAGTCCCGTTAAATAGCCCCTCCTTGGAGAGGAATATAAAGTATCGCCATAGAACTAGGTTTTCTGTTCAGTGGAGTTGCATGTAGCTGTGTCAGATGAGTGCTTCCTGAGCTGTGTGTACCGCTGAGATATATGGCCAAGATATTTTGTGAGTACAAGGAGGAACATTTTTTCTTTTTTAGCAAGGCAGGGAGATGGGGGTGGGAGGGGTTTTTTTTTCCTTAAATCCAAGTCCTCAGAAGCAGATACTGAGACTAGGATTTGTAGGCCAGGGATTTATTAAGGAAGTGTCCCCAGGCGAGACTGGTATGGAGAAAGGTGGGGGTAGGACACGGAAGGGTGAAATCTAAGGCAAAGTTTTGCAAAGGGTAGGAGCTTCATCCTGCTCTCCCAGGGGAACTCCCCCAAACCTAAGTAATGGAGCTAGGCTTTCATATTCCCATACCTCTCAGGCATTGGTTAAATGCCACCTCCAGAACTTACATTCTCAGGTACTAGGGCTCTGCGAGTGTAGGCAAAGTTGCCCCATTAGCTGAAGTACAGTTGGTCAAAGAAAAGTCACGAGTGTTGACTGTGGGAAGCAAAAGCATGCTGAAGCTGAGAGAGGACACAAACATGTTAAAAAGTGATCTGCAGGCAACATTGCTCACTGCAAATATTGTTAGAGAAATGTAATTGCACATCACAGACAATTTAATGTTTTTGTTTTGTTTTGTTTTGAGACAGAGTCTTGCTCTGTAGCCCAGGCTGGAGTGCAGTAGCATGGTCTCAGCTCACCTGCAACCTCCACTTCCTGGGTTCAAGTGATTCTCCTGCCTCAGCCTTCCGAGTAGCTGGGATTACAGGTGCCTGCCACCATGCCTGGCTAATTTTTGTATTTTTAGTAGAGACAGTGTTTCACCATGTTGGCCAGGCTGGTCTCGAACTCCTGACACCTCAGGTGATCCACCCACTTCAGCCTCCCAAAGTGCTAGGATTACAGGTGTGAGCCACCGCGGCCAGTCCAATTAATTTTTTTAAAAGAGTCATCTTAAAAAATCATATCAAGTAAACAGTGCTATAAACAATATGTAGATATGTAAAAATTATTAAATTCATATAAAGATGGCTGAAGGTTGGTACCTGCTGGTTGGGGTGTTTGCTTTCATTTATATGCCATATTCAGGAGTTGAGTTTCCATTTGGTGGTGGCCACTTTAATCTTTGCCATTCTCCATTCCCTCCTCCCATCCCAAGGCAGTGTTCATTCCTCCTTTCTCGGAACACCTCAATGCTTTATATTTACCGCAAACTTTTGCACTTCCTATATTGCATCAAAATGATTGAGTTGATATTTCTTCCCTAAAGGCTTTGTGAGGTTCTTAGAGCCAGGACTGTGTCTCACTCACCTCTGCATCTCTAGTGAGTGTCTGGTGCAGGGCCTCGTTTAGAGTAGGTATTCAATAAATGGTTATTGAATTGGATGAATAAAGAAATCCATTACAGCCTGTGGAAATTCTAGAAACTAAAATTTATCTTGAGTATAAAGTTTGTATCTTTTATTAATGAGACAGAAGCAATTAAAATGATAAACCCCCTCTAGCATTCCAATAAAAGTTATTGAGCCTCATCTGATAACGTCTACATTTGGCACAGAAAGGTTCTCACCTGAAAATGGAAATGTAAAACTTTAGTTGAGAAAAGCTTTCTTGATTAAGAGCACTTGATTAAAAAGAGCTCATTAATGAAGAACAATACTATTTTTATAAGGACTAAGCTCTTTTTATCTTGCTTTGCTTTCGTTTCACGCTTCAACAAACACCACCTTTTGGCAGTCACAGCTCCTTGTACTGCCAAATGCAGTTTCGTGACTCTGGTTATGCCCTTCCTTGACGTCACTCTGAAAGAGGTCATCAGCTAATTAGCTGCATAAACTGGCGGCCATTATTGTTTCCAAGCCCCAAGTTGTGCAGTCTGATGGAATCACAATGACGTATTTGAATTGATTCTTTTTTCTTGATGGCACAAAAATGCTTCTTAGAACGTTGAAACTTAGGACACTTACAATGGAATGTACCTGATTAAAGGTGATCTATAGACATTCAGGAGAGCAGAAAAAACTCGCTTAGACAGGATGAATACTTTTGGCTTTTTCTCCAGATTAGATCTGGAAATAGTTTCTGTTTTTCAGATTTTGGCTTCTCACTCTCCAACTTCCATCTCCCAATAATATTATGTGCCATTCTTCAACATGCTGTCTACTGTTTCGCTCACAAAAGTAGAATCTGTCTTCTGGGCTCCTTTACTCACAACTCTTTAACTTTTTTCTCTGAATAGTCCGCACCTTTATTCTTACTTCCCCTTGCCTGCTCAAACTCCAACCCAAGACCTCAACTCAAAAGGTCTTGCATGTCCTGTTTTCTGTCGGTAAGGACCATGTTTCTGTTTTCCAAAGCAATATTTACTCAGTTTGAAATCTGTCATTTTTATCTATGTATATCTATTTATGGTCAATCGTTCTCAAATTGTCTTAAAGTTACTCAAAGAAGCAACTGTGTGTAGATTTCAATCCTTGTTGCACACTATCAGGGAAAGGCTCACAGAAGAGGGAGGGTTGGTTTTGAAGGGCCCTGGAATTATAGCATAAGTATTTTAGGTCTTATTTCCTTCTCCATTCTTCTGCCTGAGAATGAATTTTCAATGCAGAGCTTTTTTAACATTGAAGATGTAAAATTTAGAAAGAGTCAACTACTTCATTATGTTAGCCAAAGGCTGTTACAAAGTACAATACAGTCTTTAAAATAAGTAATACAACACAGAATAAAGACTTGATTTGTGACCATAGAACTTTGGAATGGAATTCTCATGTTTATTTGAAATATATGCTCACCTAATCAAAACATCACAAGGAATAACACACTAAGTTGTGAGTTCCATAGTTGGGAAAGGGACTATACTTAGTTCCCTTTTGTTTTCCCAGGGCATCCAGCATGGAGCTTCAGAAACTTGTTAAAGCTTTATCAATATTCTTGAGTCAATTAATACAAATAAGAGGCTTAGGGCCGGCCACGGTGGCTCACGCCTGTAATCCCCAGCACTCTGAGAGGCCAAGGCAGGCAGATCATCCGAGGTCAGGAGTTCGAGACAAGCCTGGCCAACATGGTGAAACCCCGTCTCTACTAAAAATACAAAAATTAGCCAGGCATGGCGGCGCACGCCTGTAGTCCCAGCAAACGGGAGGCTGAGGCAGGAGAATCACTTGAACCCGGGAGGCGGAGGTTGCAGTGAGCCGAGATCACACCACTGCACTCCAGCCTGGGCAACAAGAGCGAAACTCCGTCTCACAAAACAAACAAACAAACAACTAAATAAGAGGCTTATTTGGATCACAGACTTTTACATAAAACAGTAATATGCCCTGAGAAAATCCCTTGACTGGTGAAATTTGCTCCAGAGAGAAGTGAATTCTAGCCTGGAAACCTAGCTCAAGTTACTTTGCAGGCTATACATCTGTAAAATGGGACTGCCTCAAACTATTGTTGAAGTTAAGCAAGCTACATAAAATGTCTTGCGTAGTCTGTGGTCCACAACAAGCGCCCAATATTTGTAAGTTTCCCTTTTACTTCTTTCAGATTTTATCTTGAACAGCCCCAGTGCACATGTGACATGGCTGCATATACATGAGCAAAATATAAGACAGTGAAAGATATACTGTAACTCAGGAACTCCAAACATAGCTACCTACTGCACTAAAAATCCTACAACCCCTCTTTGTTGAGATTTGTGCTAATTGTCTTACACTATACCCTATTAAAGACCCTTGGGAAAATTATGATCTGGTCTTAACAATAGAAATAGATATATTTCTCACAAGCAACTAGTTTGTATTTTAACTATGTGTTGTGTAATTGATCACATTTATACCTGTTGGCTACTAGGAAGCTTATAATCAAATGTATTGCTTCATGTTTAGCAACTATATAGGACATCATTGTAAATGTCCTGGCATTAATTTTACTCCTGGCTCTATTTTATATGTCTGTGAATGTTTTCTCCTTTCAATACATTTTTGTCTACATTTAATGTGATTTTGGTATATTGTATATTTCTGTATAAGCTGTCTGAAATCTTATGAAATAGACTAGGAAATACATATACATGCATATATGTATGTGTGCATGTGTATTGTATTAGTTCATTTTTACACTGCTATAAAGATATTACCCAAGACTGGGTAATTTATAAACAAAGGAGGTTTAATTGACTCACAGTTTTGCATGGCTGGGGAGGCCTAAGGAAACTTACAATCATGGCAGAAGGGGAAGCAGCCATGTCTCACATGGCAACAGGTGAGAGAGAGCATGTGCAGGGGGAACCATCAAACACTTATAAAGCCATCAGATCTCGTGAGAACTCACTCACTATCCTGATAACAGCATAGGGGAAACCACCCCTGTGATTTAGTCACCTCCCAACTGGTCTCTCCCTTGACATATGGGGATTATGGGGATTACAATTTGAGATGAGATTTGGCTGGGGACGCAGAGCCAAACTATATTTTATATATATATACATATATATGTGTATATATATATGTTTGTGTATACATATACATATGCATATGTGTATACATATACATATGCATATGTGTATATATATGTACATATATACGCACATATATATACACGTGTATATATATATGTATATATATAGAGAGAGAAACAGAGGGAGAGAGTCTTTCATGGCCACAAACATTGGTTGGAAAAGGAAGTTAAAAGAAAAACAAAAGACCAAAGCACCTTGTCCATTCCTTTGACAAAACAAAATAATGGAGGATTTCCCTGTTCTCTGTGCTATTTTACCCCTAAAAGTATGCTCATCAAAGTTATTGCTATAGCCTTACTATGCCGGGTTTTTTAAATTACAGGTAGAAAAGGAATTTATTTAAAGGATATTGGGAAGGTCATGAAGTCAGCAGGAGTGTTGGAAACCATATCTGAGAAATCTTCAGGAACCTAGTTCAGCCAGGCGGCTGGAACTATAGTCTAAGTCACAGCAAAGAGCCAGTGTAGGGAGGACGCTTGCTGCTCTAAACCCTGGATCCCTGTGCTAAAGCCATCACTCCACCAGCAGCAGTGCAGGACTGCTGCCCCTGCCATCTGTGGAAACAGAGTGTTGCTGCCACTGCTGCCAAAAGAATAAATTCTCCACAGCCTCCTTTTCTTTGTATCACTGTTTCTGATTCGAAGTTCTGGATTGAAGCCTCTCAGTGGCTGAGCTAGGTCATGTGATCATTCTCAAGTTGCAAGGCAGCCTGGGAAAATGAGTGCTGGCTTTTTTCTCATCTTTCTGTGATCTGGTCTTTTCCATCTTTCCAGTCAAAAGGCGGGATCTGCTCCTTTCCACACACAGCCAGTGGAGAATTTCCCAAACACAGAGACAGGGTTCAGATCCTGGATAGGCAAAAGCCACACGTACCTTTTACCTCATACCTACATTTTTTAAAAGGATTTTATCTAACCAAAACATACAACAAAAAACACATTTAACCTCTCCCTAATGGGATATAAACCAAAGCCTTATCAGTCACTACAGACAGCTGCATTCCCCCTTGATACCATTTGGATCTATGTCCCCACCCAAATCTCATCTTCAGTTGTAATTCCCCAGTGTTGGAGGTGGGCCCTGGTGGGAGGTGGTGGGATCATGGGGGAGAGTTCTCATGAATGGTTTAGCACTATCCCCTTGATGCTGTTCTCATGATAGTGAGTTCTTGTGAGATCTGGGTGTTTAAAAGTGTGTAGCACCTCCCCCTTCTCTCTCTTGGTCCTGCTCCTGCTACATAAGACACCTGCTCTGGGTTTGCCTTCTGCCATGAGTAAAACCTCCCCAAGGGCTCCTCAGAAGCAGATGTCGCCATGCTTCCTATACAGCTTATGGAACAATTACCCAGTCTCAGGTATTTCTTTATAGCAGTACAAGAACGAACTAATACACCCCTCTAGTTTGGGTACAACCTTGACCAATAGTCTACAATCTATTTAAGTTTCACTATGAATAGCACACTCTATGTAAAATAAAGCAGAAAAAGGAGAAAGAAGTTTCAACTTAATTAAAATATATAAACTTATATTCATTCAATTAAAAAGAAAAGAAGTGTTATTCATTTTATATATTCTACAGAAAAACTATCAATCAAGCTGGAGAAATTTTGATCCATATAGAATCTTTGTGTTCTATTAAAATGTACATACATAAAAACACACTTTAAAACTTTTCATTTCCTGGTTAAAATTTTAGTGATAACTCAAATATAGTTATAGTTTATCAACAGAAACATAATTCTGAACTGCATTTTGCTCTTGATAGAATGTTATGTTTTATTGGGATTTATGAACTCATTATTCTTGTAGATGATTGTCCTGCCAGACCTCTATCGAGTTGGATAGGGATGGCACCGCGTTCAAGAGGCCGAAGGAGAACTGGAGCCAGCAAACAAGACACGAGGTTTACTGAGGTTTATTCTTTTCTCTACAGGTTAAAGCTGGAGTGCACCACTGAGATAACACAATGTGGTCTGACGCCTCCTATACTGATGAGATTAATAAGATTAATACAATGAAATTAGTTTCCCAAAGCCACATTGCTTGCATCAGCAACCATCATTACTCACAGATCTTGCCCTATTGTAATCTTGGTCAGAGATTATAACAGTTGAAGCAGGTTTGAGGACTACGAGGCATAATCCCTCTATAAAGAATCTTATCCTGTCACAGTCCCGCTATCTCCATGTCTGACAACTTCACTCTATGGAGAATACTGTGGTCTTTTTTTTTTTTTTTTTGTTTGAGACAGGCTTACTCTCGTTCAGGCTCGAGTGCAGCGGCTTGCTGTATCCTCCGCCTACCGGGCCCAAGCAATCCACTCGCCTCAGCCTCCCGAGTAGCTGGGACCACAGGTACTTGCCACTGTGCCTGGCTACCTTTTTTGTATTTTTGGTAGAGACGGTTTCCCCCATGTTGCCCGGGCTGGTCTCACACTCCTGAGCTCAAGTGATACGCCCGTCTCGGCCTCCCAAAGTGCTAGGATTACAGGTATGAGCCACTGCATTCAGCCTTTTTTTAAACTTTATTTCAACTTTCTCTTTTAAAGTCAAATACTGTGGTGTCTGCATTGGAAATGTATGGCCCAGTGACCACAATAACATTAATAATGTCTTATTTTTTAGAATGCTTCAAATATTTTATTTAGAATCATTGAATTTTGGAGTGGAACGGTGACTTACATATCCAGTCGTATGGTTCTCAATCTTGGCTGTTTAGTGTAATCACCTGGGGAGTTTAAAAACCACTGATGCTGATTAAACCCCACAGATTTCAATTTAATTGGTGTCAGGTGTGGTCAGGACACTAGCGGTTTAAATATCCCTAAATGAGTCTAATATGCTGTCAGGTGTCTCTGATATCATCTAGCTACTACTTCCCTCTCCACATTCATTTTATAGATTAAGGGAGGCTTGGAGAGTGTTTGCCTTGCTCATAATCGCCAGCTGGTTAATCATATTTAGTTTGAAACATCAGTTTAGCCCCCTTTTCCTGATAAGGACCAGGACCAGTGGGTGAACTTGAGATTTTCACTTGCAGGACTGCCACAGGCTAAATTGGGACAGTTGGCAGCACCTGTCCTTGGAGCTTCTAGAACTGCCACAAAAGACAAGACTCATTACTGAATCAAAACATCTCTGTGAGGTTGGCGTGAATTACCTCCAGTTTATAGGTGATGAAACTAGTGTTGAGATAGGTTTTCACAAGTCACATAGTTATATTGGGAAACTTTTGAACAAAATCCTGCTATAATTACCTCTAAAGTACACCTAAATTATCTTCTTTTATTTTTAGGAATCATATCCCTTGTCTTTGCACTTAAAACTTAATTGATTCCCAGCCTTACTCATAAACTGAATGAAAGGAAACAGTCTTAAAATAAAAAGAGAAATGCATTATTGTATGAAGGTATAAACACTTTCACCCTTGCGGCCATTTCTGGTTAACAAGGTTTTTTTAAAATGCCAATAATTTATTTATCATGGCATTCATATAAGAGGATTTTTCTAATGGGAAATATTAACTGGCATGAGTAAAATGCATGAGGTTGTATGTAAAAGGATCATACACAAATAACTGCATTTGTTAATCCTATTCTGAGAGCGGGAGGTAATTATGGCTTCACTGGGAAGGCTTGCCTGAGTAAGCATTGACCAGTCAGCCTGCTGACATTTGGAATCCTGTTGGCAAAACTCTCCTGTCACCACCAGATGTGAACCCCCTGGCATTGAAACGGGGGGGTTATTCAGAAGAACAATGACTCTGGTTGATGACAGGGGGGTGAGTGCACAAAAAAGGGCCATCCCTTGACTGCCTAATTCACAGTGACTCATGCTTTGACCTCTGAGGAAACAGTCACATCTTTCACACTGTTGCTTCTAACTTCTTTTTATTGGAAGCCTAATGGTTATTGAAAATGTTCCACTGGGGGCACATTCTTCAGCTGTCCAGTCTCTCACCAGTTGCTGACCAAACCCAGAAGCTGGTGGGAGTGCTTCTCTTTCAGCCCCTGCGGATATCCCTGGCCATCCACCTGTGGCTGGACAGTCCCTGTGCCTGCTGTGTGGGGTCACTGTAATTCCTTAGAGTCTTGGAGATCTGACAAACTGCCCATAAAACGTGCTGCCCCACCCATTGCCTTTCTTCGGTAAAGGTTAAAGGAACAGGGGGTAAGAATTCTCTCTCCTTTTCACTGATGTTATTGATTTCCAGAATGTAACAAAAATATATCTGATAGATACATAAATATGTAGGTAATAAATACTAGTTCTCACCCCTCCCATTTCTCTCTCTCTCAGCAAATAAAAAAAGATTGAAAGAAAATACACCAAATTGGTAAATAGTGGTGGAGGTTTTTTTTTAATCTACTTTGTTACTGTATGTTCTAATATATAAAACACATATTACTTATATTTACAAAAATAATATGTGAAATATATTTTACTTATATTTACAAAAATATGTGAAATATATTCTACATATATTTACAAAAATAATTTGTAAAATGTTTTTCTGGTATTGGTGTAAACAATCCTATCTCTTTGATCTGTGGCAGTCTAATTAGCTAAGGCACTGATTTACCTTACAACCAGGAAGATGGGTTAAGATATTGCTGCTATGAAAAGGCAACATCCAGGATCCTGGTGGTGATGGAATGTTCTATATCTTGGCTTTATCCATGTCAATATCTTGGTTGTGACATTGTACTATAGTTTTGCAAGATGTTACCATTGGGGAAAACTGGTTAAAGGGTATATGGGATCTCCTGTTTTATTTCTAACAATTACATGTGAATGAACAGTTACCTCAAAATAAAAGGTTTCCTTTTTTAAAAGCCCATAAAAGATATTGCTCAGCTATTTCTTAGGTACATCATCATTACCCATCTTAGAGTCATTCTGCAGGTGAAGATTTAATATTCTCTCCCAATGATTTTGATAGTACAAATTTTGTTGCATTGTCTTTAATATTTTAGGCCACAGAGATATATTTCAAAATAACTGTGAACACCTGAAAGAATAAAATGAAAATAAGCATTTTTGGGAGGCAATTCTCTGTGGGTCTCCAGTGTGTCTGCACATCTTGTGAGGCAGACATTGACCACCCTTTGATCTGGACTCTCTCTTCACGGAGGTTTGCTTAGTGAACCGCCTTAGGAGATAGAATGTCTCTGTTTAGAGCAAAGGGCGGGTATGCTTGTTGTCCACCTAAAATGTAGGTTCCCTAAGCTCAGGGTTCCTCTCCTAGAACACAACCCAAGATGTCATCTGGACCTCTTTGTGTCACCCTGTAGGAATTGGGGACCAGGGAACCTGTGAAAAAATGCTGATACTAAGGCTACTTCTAGTGCTGTAATAAATGGTCCCTTAGCATCTATGAAACTGTACCAGGCTAACTTGTTAACTTGTGAGTACGCTAAAATCTCAGACCCGTCACAGTTCTTGACAATTCTGGAGATGAGGATGGGAGGCTGACGGAGACGTGGCTGCTGGAACAGGAAAGCAAGGGTCTTGTAAGTGAGATAATGGGACCTAATGGAGCCCATGGGAGTTGGCAGAGGCATGTTGACTCCATTTTGTGGTCAACAGGACAATCAATGGTCTTCCACTTCATTGCCTGTTTATGAGGAGAAATCGGGAAGCTGGTTGCAGGCTGAACACCAGGAAGTAAATTCAAAGACAACTCCCCAACTACCTTGGTTGTTGCTAACTACCCTCCAGATGGAGGGCTTCCTTGCCAATCTGAGAGCAGCCTCAGGTCCACCCCATTGTAACTACTAGTACCAAGATTTGTTGTGGGTGGGCAGAAGGTTCTTCTGCCTTTTGAAATAAATGATATCAGCCACAAGGACATTGCCATCCAATGTGGAACCCTGTGAATGCCAAAGGCAATGCAAGTTCATTGGGCTGGAGTAATGAGCCATGCTCTACAAAAGTAAATGCAAAGCTTTTTTTAATGGGCAGAGCCACTCTCTCCTTCATGACTCATTGCTTTCCTCCTCCTCTACTTCAGCTTAACCACTTTAATGAGAAAAACAATTAGAGGTGAAGCTAAGGTCTCCCTGGTCCACATCAGGCCTCAAAGGTCATACTCATCTGTCCAAGTGTGCTGGAGATTTGAGGGGAAAGGAGAGACTTCCAATTTTATGGATCTATTAGATACCTATTAGATACAGGTCCCAAGTCACTGTCCTCTCTGGTCCTGTGGAAAGAGAGAATTCCCAACTTAACCAATGGAATTTGGGCAAGATTTGCAGTGGAGAAGGAAAGCTACAGTGGCCTTGTGCCAGAGCCCTTTGAGCCAATTTATGTGTGCTGTTGTGGACTCCACTGCTGAATGCATAATTATTATTAATGTTTTACATCCTTGTATTGTAACTGTCTAGAGGGGGTTCTCCTGATTCAGAAGAGTCACATTTAGAGACAAGTTAGTGAAACACATACATTGCTCTGCAGACCCCTCCCTGCACCCTTTGGGGTGTTCCAACAGAAACAATATAGACTCCCAAGGGGGAGAATAATCTTGATTAAGAATTTAAAGGCAGTAAGGATTGTATACAACAGGCCTGTATGGCCAGGAAAAAAGGCTAACAAGAGGCAGAGGCTTGCAGTAGATTATTGCCCACTGAATTCAGTTGCTGATTCCATATCCCAGCTGTTCCAGACATTGTAACTGTAATTGAATCCATTACGCAGACCAATGGCACTTGGCATGCTTACCAATGGCTTCTTTGCCATACCACTGGCACCTAAGCATCATAAACAGTTCCCATTCACATTTCAAAGCCTCCAGTATACATTTGCAGTAGTCTTCCATGAGCACCTAAATTTCTCTGCCACTTGCTACTAGTGGAGAGGAGGGGTCAGAATTTAGTGCAAGGGCCTCTACCCTCTGATGTCCATAGCTTTGGTTATGTAGATGACGTCCTGTTGGTTGGCAAGCCATAAGTGCCCGTCTCAGTGACCTTGAGAATGGTATTAGCATGCCAGCAGGTGAAGCTGCCAGCAGGTGAAGCTGATAAAACCTGACAAAATCCAGGAACTAGCTCACCAGGCAAAGTTTCCTGGGACTATTTACAGCCACACTGGTAGTCAGGGAAAAATTGCTATCTCTTCAGCACCCCACCCCCATCACCCAAAAGGATGCCCAGAACCTTAATGTACTCTTTGGATATGGGAGACAGTGTGCACCTCACTGGGTATCCCATTGTTTCTTTTCTCATATCACATCAGCATGATATGAGCAGGGTCCAAACAGACTGCATTAGAAGCTGTCCAGCAAGCTGAGACACACTCTCCAGCTTCAGGGCTCAGCAATCCTAATGAAACCTCAGCTCTATGTCTCTGCAACTGATGACTTTGCCAACTGGAGACTCTGGCAAAAGGAGTCAGGCTTCATCCAGAGCCACCTCTTGGAATTTTGGACTTGTTGCTTCCATGACATTGTGACCAGGTCCACCCTCTTTAAAAAGCAGCTCTGAGCTCGCTAGTGGGCTCTTGTCAAAAAGGAGGGCCTGACTCTCAGAAGCCTGTGAGTCTTCATCCTGTATTCTCACTTTGTGGTGGGTCAACTTTGACTCCATGACTAACACAGTGGGAAGGCCCCAACCACCTCATTTGTCAAATGGAAATAGTAGGTTCAAGAACACAGCTGGCCTGGCTCCCACAGTATCTTGGTTTTAGGTGAAAAAGTGGCAGCTGTTCCTTTGGGGGAAATTCCATCCCCATGCTACCGCCTGCAGCAAAGCTGCTGGCTCAGTGTGGTCCTGCCCTCACAGTGTTCCCCTCAGTGCCTGGGCCGGCTTCGCTGGTGATTTGGCTAAGCTGGTACCTGACAGTGTCACTGGACTATTGTGTCTGTTCAGCTTTAGCACCAGCTATGCAGAACCAAAAATAGAGGTGGTCGTTCTCCTGTGCGGGCAGAAAACAGGAGCATTCTCATCACTCTGGCCAGTACTCCTTTTGATGAAGCTAGTTATGATTTTACTGACTCTCTGGTGATCGTTGGTGGCTTAGATGCCACTTTGAAAACTATACATTAAAGACAACTATCTTTGGACCAATGAACTGTGAACTTTGAATTGTGAGAACAAATTGTGGCTGCTGCTGGAACCGCCTGGATCACTCACATAAACACCCACATTAAAGGCCCATTCTCTTGTGGGACCAACGGGGACCAAACTTGAGCCTGTACCATCCACCCTGCCACCACTGCCACCTCGATCCATCATCATTGTATAAGATGTGGCAACATCCACCGTTATAGACTTGGCACACAGTAAAGGACTCTTTGTTTCCAATGGAGAGGCTACTGCTGCATGCCAGACTGTGGAGCCTGTCACAAATGGACCCATTTGTCTTGTGGCAAGAGAGGCCACATTTCACAGGGTGTTGTCTCTGTAAACTCCTGGCAGATTGAATAAATTGAACCTTTGGCCCCTTCTGGTACCTATTGGGGGTGCCTTACCATTATTGATACTTTTTTTATATATATAATTTTTTTTGTTGTTGTTTTTTAGAGACAGGGTCTTGCTCTGTCGCCCAGGATGGAGTACAGTGGTGTGATCCTGGCTCTCTGCAGCCTCAAATTCCTGGTCTCAAGAGATCTTCCTGCCTCAGTCTCATAAATAGCTGGAACTACAGGCTTGCACCACCATGCCCAGCTAATTTTTAAATTTTTTTAGTAGCAATGGGGTCTGGTTATGTTGCCCAGGCTGGTTTCCCACCTCAGCCTTCCAAGAAGCTGGAATTATAGGTGTGAGCCACAGTGCCCAGCCTGTTGACAACTCTTTTAGGTTACAACGTTGCTGTTGCAGTGTGTACAGCCAACTACTCACACCACAGTGGCCCTTCAAACTTCTCTGTGATAAGCTTTTGGCTTTCTGGATGATTTACAGTCTGACAACAGTACACCTTTGATTGCAAAAACTATTCAACCAAGTGCTAATAGTCAAGGTATTTAGTAGGCCTTCCATGCTCCCATCATCCACAGGCCTCTGGCCATTGCAATGGCCTCCTCAAAACTGAACTCAAAAAGATTTCTGACTCAACCTCCCTGACTTCCTTCAGATTCCCACATGTGTCTAAAACAGTTTGGTCACTGAGTGAGGCTGTCCCAGAAAGTGATCATCTTCTCTCAGCTGCTTCCTAGGTAATAACTTGACAAAATGGGAGGAGACCTTTTCTGGAAATTTGGGATTCTTCTCTAGCACTTCCTGTGTATGGTGTGTCTTTCTTACTCCTAGGAGTAACCCCCAGCTGGCCAGGCTTGTACTATCTGAGTGGCCATCTGTCTCAAATGGGACCCTAAGAAGTCTGGATTCTCCTGTTGGATTGACATGTCCCGGGTCACCAGGACAATGACCACTGGTTGAATACATTGCTCAGAGTCTCCCTATGCTGGCACACATGGGCCAAAATGGAAGATATAACGCATCTCTGTAAGTTTTATAAAAATGCCCTAAGCAAAAATTGACAAATGGGATCTAATTAAACTAAAGAACTTTTGCACTACGAAGGAAACTATCAACTGAGTGAGCAGACACCCTATAGAATGGGAGAAAATTTTTGCAAACTATCCATCCAACAGAGTTCTAATATCCAGCATCTATAAGAAACTTAAACAAATTTACAAGAAAAAAAAAAAACCTCATTAAAAAGTGGACAAAGGACATGAACAGACACTTTTCAAAAGAAGGCATATATGTGGCCCACAAACATATGAAAAAAAGCTCGTCATCACTGATCATTAGAGAAATGCAAATCAAAACCGCAATGAGATACCATCTCACACCAGTCAGAATGGTGATTATTCAAAAGTCAAAAAATAACAGATGCTGGAGAGGTTGTAGAAAAAAAGGAATGCTTATACACGGTTGGTAGGAATATAAATTAGTTCAGCTTTTGTGGAATACAGTGTGGTGATTCCTCAAAGACCTAAAGACAGAAATACCATTTGACCCAGCAATCCCATTACTGGGTATATACCCAAAAGAATATAAATCATTCTACTGTAAAGATACATGCACATGTATATTTATTACAATGCTATTCACAATAGCAAAGACATAGAATCAACCTAAATATCCATTGATGGCAGATTGGATAAAGAAAATATGGTACATATATGCCATGGAATACTGTGCAGCCATAAAAAGGAACAAGGTCATGTCCTTGCAGGGGCATGGATGGAGCTGGAGGCCATTGTCCTTAGCAAACTAATGCAGGAACAGAAAACCAAGTACCACGTATTCTCATTTGTAAGTGGGAACTAAATGATGAGAACAAATGGACACATAGAGGGGAACGACACACAATGGGGCCTATTGGAGGGTAGAGGGTGGGAGGTGGTAGAGGATCAGGAAAAATAACTAATGAGCACTAGGCTTAATACCTGGGTGATGAGGCCAGGTGCGGTGGCTCACACCTGTAATCCCAGCATTTTGGGAGGCCGAGGCAGATGGATCACTTCAGGCCAGGAGTTCAAGACCAACCTGGCCAACATGGTGAAACCCCGTCTTTACCAAAAAATAGGGAAAAATTAACTGAGTGCAGTGACATGCACCTGTAATCCCAGCTACTAGGGAGGCTGAGGCATTAAAATTGCTTCAGCCTGAGAGGCGGGGGTTGCAATGAGCCAAGGATGGGCCACTGCACTCCAGCCTGGGCAAGAGAGTGAGGCTCAGTTTCAAAAAAAAAAAAAAAAAAAAAACCTAGGTGACAAAATAATCTGTACAACAAGCCCCCATGACACAAGTTTACCCATATGACAATCCTACACATGTACCCCTGAGCTTAAAATAAAAGTTTTAAAATATGCCTTTATCCCTCTTGCACCTAATTTATCTAGACGAAGATGTGGGTGAAGTAGGAGATGAGTAACCACTGGAATGAACACAATGATTCTCTGGTGGTGAGAGCTGGGGAGAGAGTTCCTCCAACCCCAGAAAGTATGAGGGTGGGAAGATACCCTGAGATCTTCCCCAGGAAAGAAAACACTCCAATGCACTAAGTGCCTTGCCTTTAACTAACTACTGGGCCTGCCATCCTCTGCCAGATAATTATCACCAGGACTTGATTTCCATTCGTGTTAATCTTACCAAGAAGTTTAACAGAAGCAGCAGGGGATAGCCCCAGTTCTTGCCACCCCATTCAACACACTTGTTCTTGCCACCCCATTCAACACACTTGCCAAGACCTCTAGATGTCTTTGCCCCTCCCTTTCTTGTAGGTATCACTCAATCATCGCCCAGAACAAACAAATGCCACCAGCTGGTGGCATGGACAAAAAGGTCAGGTTAGACTCACTGCTATCAGGTAGTTCCTCCACAAAGAAGGATTAGATTCAACTGTTCTTTGTGGAAAACCCTAATGCCAACCAGCCAACCAGGAGAATATATTTGCAGCATCATGAACCATGGTCCCCAACGAATGCAGGTCCTCCTTGAGTGGCATCGGCAATTGCAAACATCTCTTCCCTAGGGCACCATGTGCATCTCAGAAACTGTAATTCTTATGTGGAAGCCAGACATTAACTTGCCTCTCTTCTGGAAACATAGTCACATACCCCTTAAGTATAGTCATAAAAGAGCTTTGAGTATTTTGGGAAAACAAACCTCAGCCCTGTGAGGCATTCAGATAGCTTCAATTCACTGGCCAGGATTGTTAGGAATGATTGAATTGCCCAAGACTTCCTCCTTGTGCTAATACATCCTGCTGTATCTGGAATAATACCTCAAGCCAAGTGGAAAAGTCAAAACACAAAGAGCAAGCTAGTTGGATTTCCAAGTTAGACCATGATGGTTTATAGGATTGGTTTCAACTTGAGGCTGGGACTCTGGGGGATATGATTGAGTTCCACAATGTAAATAGGCCACATTGTGTTGCTTCAAGTCTTGTTAATTAAATTCTGCATAAGACTATTTGAATGGGGCCGGGCACGGTGGCTCACATCTGTAATCCCAGCACTTTAGGAGGCCAAGGTGAGTGGATCACCTGAGGTTAGGAGTTCAAGACCTGGCCAACATGGTGAAACCCTGTCTCTGCTAAAAATACAAAAATTAGCTGGGCATGGTGGTGGGTGCCTGTAGTCCCAGCTACTGGGGAGGCTCGGGCAGGAGAATTGCTTGAACCTGGGAGGCAGAGGTTGCAGTGAGCCGAGATCACGCCACTGCACTCCAGCCTGGGTGACAGAGCAAGACTCCGTCTCAAAAAAAAAAAAAGAAGAAGAAAGAAGACTATTTGAATAGATTTGGTTTCAGCCTCTGTCAGTCAGTTTAATCAACATGGCTGATGGAGTGGGGTATTCATGTGAAAATTTATCAGAAGCTGAGATGGTTGGGTTGAATGACACCCACCCATACAAAAGATATATCCACTTCTTAACCCCCAGAACTTGTGATGTGACTTTATTTAGGAAAAGGATCTTTGTAGATTAATTAAATTAAGGATGTCGAGATGAGATCATGTTGGATTATCTGGGTATCTGGGTAGGGTTATCTGGGTAGAATCATGTTGGATTATATGGCCCCTTATGAAAGATTCAGATTTCCTAAACTCAATCCAATGAAATGAGTCCGTATAAGAGAACATAGATGGGGACACAGGAGCTAAGAGGGGAAGGCTATGCAAAGACAAAGGCAGAGACCAGAGTGATGCAGCCACAAGCCAAGGAACACCAGAAGCCACCAGAAACCGGAAAGGGCAAGGAAGACTACTCCTCTAGAGTCTTGAGGGGAAACAGGGCCATGCCAACAGACGCTTCACCTCTAGAACTGCACAAGAAGAAATGTGTGTTGTTTTAACCCACCCAGTTTGGGATGATTTGTTATGGCAAATCTCTGGAAGCTAATGCAACAGTATTGAAATGAGGGTTGCACATTGTTAGGAGAAATTTTCCCACAGGTTTGTCACACTCCTGTACTCTCATAAGCAAAGGCTAACTGCTCTTTGTTCTGCATTATCTTTTCAAGGAGGTTTGTTTATCAATCAGTCTTGGAAGATAGACATAATATTTTCCTTCGGAGCAAAAGGCAGGTGAGATTATGGCCCCTGATGAAAGATTCAGGTTGCCTAAACTCAAGATTTTGCCCTTGTAATGTAACTGACTGCATGTATAGGATTGTTCCAGTGTCATCTGGCCCTCTTCCTATCACCCTGTGGGAGGTGGGTCTTACCAGTGCAAATATGCTGATACTTTGACTATTGCTATTACTGGGAGTAATAAATTGTCTTCTGTCTCTAACCCCAGGGGCCTCATACCTTCTACCAGCATCCATGGAACTATGGCAGGTTAACTTGTGAAATTGAATGTAGGTTAAATCTCAGACTCTTCACAGTGATCGACAGATATTGTTCTTAAATCTCCTGCAGTGAAGCTGTAAGTACCACTTTACCTCTCTCTCCGTCCCCTGTAAATGCCTAATTTAAGGCTATCTCCTCTCTTACAATTCCCTAAAATTATGTCAGCATTATCGGTCAAAAAGCAGATAGATTGTAAAGAGATTGATCTATTACAACACTTCACCTTTTCATCAGTTAGGACAGGGAATAAAAGAGGGAAGTTTTTGCCTCTGAAAAGCTGCCGAGGCCAGAACTGGAGACATTGACGAACATGTGAACATGAACACATTTTATTATCTTTACAAAGTCATCTGGAGCCAAGAATGCTTTAGCTGGAATACATCACCCCACTTGTCACCTCAGATTAGATGAAGAACTGATTTGTTGACAACTTTTCTTCAGGCTAGAGACACATATTCTACTCCGATCTCCCACTCCCAGCCCCAGAGAGCTGAGATAAAGGATAGTCCTGGCGCTGTTGAGCTTTATGAGATGACTAATTGGTGCCATTTGTGGTTAAATGTCATAAAGGCATCATATCTACAGCACTGTCATCATTCAAAACTAGGCAGGAGAAAGGAATAGGAAGAATGTTTTCGTTAACAAGCCTAAACCAGTCAGGGCGGGCTGTAGGCAAAGTCAGGAAACTGTTGAAGTTTGTCTCTGGCACCACCCACTCCTTTTCTTGTTTTAGTGCCTTTCCCCAGGATCTGTAGGACCCCTTCCAGCTGCCTTGGGCCGCACAGGCAGTGCCAAAGCGCTGTTCTTCCCAGAATCCTTACCATGCCGTGGAAATGTACCTGCCCAGGAATTTCCAAATCGTCACTGTTGCAAACCAACAGTACTCTATTCATCTTTCCTTTCTTTTTAATTAAATCACTCATGGAGAGACCCAGAAGACCAATTGGCAACATTATAGACTGAAAGCTATATGCTAAACTCTGGGAAACTGCATCTTTGTGGGTTGAATTGAGAAATAAATTTCTATGTATGTACACTTTGCCTTTTGAATTGAAGAAAAAAGATGGCTATAAAGAAGTGGGAAAATATTTCCCACTTTAGGGTGGGGAGGAAGAACTAACCAGAAGGGCACTCCACACTGTAGTAGAATTCTCTTCTCAGCCACAGACCCTGCCACCCACCTGCAGGAGTCTCCTCTTAACACATTCATTCTGTGACTTCCATTCCCTGTAGGCAGCATGGCTGAGGGCGAGGGAGGATGTATTGGGACCTCTGGAGAGGCTCAGAGGCAATGGGAGCAACACAGGCCTCTGTTCATGAATCATGAATCTCCTCTGTAAACCAAAAGGTATTGGAGACAGGTCTCAATCAATTTCGAAAGTTTACTTTACCAAGGTTAAGGACGCACATGTGACACAGCCTCAGGAGGGCCTGACAACGTATACGCACGGTGGTCAGGGTACAGCTTGCTTTTACACATTCTAGGGAGACATAGGGTTGGTCTAGTAAGGCAGGACAACTTGAGGTGGTCATAAGGAGATAAGAGACAAAAGGTTGCATTCTTTTGAGTCTTTGATCAGCTTTGCACTGAATACACAATTTAGTCTGGCTCAGTGAATCTGCATTTTCACCTAAACAATAGGGCAGAGGAAGCACTCAGATAAGCATTTGTCTCAGGTGAGACTCAGAGGGATGACTTTGAGTTCTGTCTGTCCTTTGTCCAGAAGGAATTTCCTTGTGGCCAAATTGTGAAGGAGATATGTAGCTTTTTATTTTGTAGCGGTCTTATTTAAAAATAACATGGGAGGCAGGTTTGCCTGACATAGTTCCCAGCTTGACTTTCCCCTTGGCTTAGTGATTTTGGGGTCCCAAGATTTATTTTCCTTTGACATCTCTAAAATGGAGAGGCAAACCAACCAGTCTCAACCAACATTGACAGTTAACAAAAGCAGTTGCCATTGTATTTGTTAAGACTCCTTCAGTCTTAAGAGACACAATCCCAAATCAAAATAGTTCAATTTCAAATGAATGTACTGACTCATATGATCAAGTCCAGGAATGGAGTACATATCAAAAGTTCAAGAAACTCCAGAGATGTCAGCAGGTGTCCCCTCTCTCTTTCTTAGCCTCTGCCTCTCTCTCTCTCTTTCTCTCTCTCGCCTCTGCTTTTCTCTGTCAGCTTCCTTCTCTCCCAATACACATGGATGTCTTCATTATGGTGGAGGCATCAGAGAGTTCCAGGCTTTCATCATCCCAGTCCCAATTCTGGATTCTAGAGAAAGTGGTTCCTTCAAGTGCTTGTATATAAAATTCCAACTGAGGTCACATACCATTTGGGGACCACTTTCTGAACTAAGAATGGACAGGCCTGTGTCACTTCCCCCCAACCCTGTGCAGAATGATGAACAAGGAATGAGGAGGGCTAAGCCTCTTTTGGGTAAGGGGAGAGTGGGAGTGTGGGGGCAAAGATCCCAGCCAGATCTAACAAAGAACGGCAAAGGTTTATGCAGGCCCAACTCTGATAAGGCAGTGAAGCTAGGTGTGTTCACACCTAGAAAGATCATCGCTCGGGCAGTTTGCCACTTGATTACACAATTCGCCTGTGTTTAGTCTGCCATTCTCTGGAGTTTTGGACAATTTCAGATCACTGGTGTCTGGGGCAAGCACTTCATAAGCTAAGTCCACTGTCATATATCACTGGGTATTGTGGAATTGAGTCCCTTAAAAGCTTCAAGGAGGCCAGGCCCTTTAAGCCCAGCTTACTATTAATTTTTATATCTTATGTCACACCTGTGGACAGCCATTAGAACAGGGGCAGCAGATAGGTGGCATTCATCCTGCCACTCCCTGCTCCCATGCCCCTAGCAGATATAACTCATTAATGAAAGCACTCTTTCCCACTGAGCCAGAGAGGGCCTCAGAATCATTCTCAACAAAGTTCCCCAGGCAGCCACCACACCCACTGGGAGTTGGTATGTGAGGCGAGACCTATTTGTTATCTCACAGCTATGGTGTCACAAGCCAATTAATTGATGATCTTTTTTTTCATTACGCTATGGCCAATCAGCAGAGGGAGGACCTATATGAAATTTCCCATCGGTAAAGTTGTCCAAAGACTTCAAAGATTGAAAAAGCAGCATGGCCCTTTAAGGGCTGTGGCAGGGGCTGAGCATTGTGGGAAAAGCCTCTCTAATTAAGACATTGTGTGAAACATGCACTAAGATGCAGGTACAACAGTGTTACTCAAGGTCATCAGATCCAGTAGATAGCCAGATATTTTCCAACAGATTGTATACACATGCTTCCTCCGGATTTCCTTACTTAAAGATGAATCAACTGAAACAACAATACAGGGACCATGATAGTTCAGAAAAGAATAAAGAGCATGGCCCTGAAGATGCAGAGCAAATGCATATTTTGGAAGATGATTTACAGTAGAAAAACATGGAAGTCAACCTTTGAAAGCAACCTTTTTGTGATCTCAAACAATTACAGGAAAATACTAACATTGCAAAATTATACAGAAGATATGAAAAATAAATAAAGATGCAGGTTGACATATAAATGGAATTGGATAAAAAGGATGAAACAAAAGTAAAACATAACCAAAATACTTTGAAGGCACTGTACAGCAGAACAGATAGTGTAGAAAAATAAATTTGCATGTAAAAGACAAATTAAGAATCTTTGCAAATACACAAAGGCATACAGACACAGGTGATTTGAACCAAACAATTAACAAGCTTCAGCTAATAGATCTATATGTATAAACCTGCAGTGGGTTTAGATAGCTTTATAAATGAGTTCTGTCAAATATTTAAGGACTAGGTCATCTTTATTACATATACATTGTTTTAGAGAATAGAAAAAAAGAGAAAGTTTTCCAATTCATTTTATGAGACTATAAATATTCTTGATCTCAAAACCAGACAAAAATAGCAAAAGAAAAGAAAATTATAAGCCAATTTTACTAATAAACATAGACTTCATAATGCTAAATAAAATGTTAGTACATCAAATTCTGCAAAACAATATTGTAAAAGAATAATATATCAAGACCAATTGCAAGGCTGTAAGGATGTTTTAACACTAGGCAATGTAATGTAATTCAATGCATTAACAGATTAAAGAAGGTAAACCATCTTGGTGAAACAGAAAACTCACAGATAAAATTTTTCATTCATTCATTCATAATTTATGAAGAGAAGCTTCTTAAACTGAGACTAGAATAGAATTTCCTTAAAATGATGAAGAGTATCAATCAAAAATCTCTATCATGCATGATAGTTAATGTCAAAATCGTGACTTTTCCCTTTAAAAAATCAGATGCAGCCAGGAGTGGTGGCTCACACCTGTAATCCCAGCACTTTGGAAAGCCAAGGCGAGCAGATTGCTTCAGCCCAGGAGTTCAAGACCAGCCTGGGCAACCATCTCTACAAAAAATACAATACAGGCACTTGGTGGTGTGTGCCTGTAGTCCCAGCTACCCCCGAGGCTGAGGTGGGGGGATCACCTAAGCCCAGGAGGTTGACGTTGCCATCAGCCATGACTGTACCACTGCACTCCAGTCTGGGTGGCAGAGCAAAACGCTGTCTCAAAAAAAAAAAAAAATCAGATACAAAAATGCAAACTATCAGCACATCCATTTGACATTGCATTGGAGATCTTAGCTGCACCGTAAGACAAGGAAAAACAGAAGGGATAAGGACTAGAAAGGAAGAAGCAAAACTGTCATTATTCACATGTTATGTAAAGTTTTGGTGCCGCAAAAGGAATAGCACTCGAGTCTAAAATTTTCTTTTTAATTCTCAGCAAGGCAAGTTACTTCTATAGAAGGGTGCACCCTTCCAGATGGAACAATGGTGAGCGCACACTCGGACAAGAGAGGGGAAGAGGTTCTTATCTATGACGCACGTGGCCCCTGCTGCTGTGTCGTTTCCCTATTGGCTAGTGTTAGACCGCACAGGCTAAATTAATTCTGACTGGCTAATTTAAAGAGAATGACCGGGTGAGTGCTTCGGCGGGAGTCAGGGCAGAGCAGGTAGCAGATAATCTGAACGAGTTAGGGTGGAGCAGGTGATTAGAATGAGTTAGGGTGGAGCAGGTGATCGGAATGAGTCAGGATGGAGTAGGTAATCGAAAAAGGTTGCTTTACGAAGAAGTTAAGTTTAAAAGTAGAAGGCAAAGAATTGAACATACTGACATATTAATTCTTTGAAAAGAAATTTAGAACTCATATCTAACACACAGATAACATTAATTTCTACAAAGAAAATGCAAAATAATCTGCGGGAAAATTATACAGATTTATTAAACACTTCATATGCTATATATTGGTGTATGCATGTTTGCCCTATACACACACATTTAGTGAAGAATATTCAGTGCCTGCCCTGTGCCAGGTCCTGTGACACATGCGGGGTATAGAGTGGGGAATAGAAGAGATAAGACCCTGCCTTCACAGTTTACAATCTAGGTAAGGAGACAGGCAGTGAAACAAGAAGATAATAATACAGTGAGATAAGTGTTATCACAGGAACAGAGGGAGAACTTGAGATTGTGGCAGAAGCCTCTAATCCTGGGCAGAGAGAGGCAGGGGGTCAAATAAATCATCCCCCCAAAATTAAAATATGAGCTGAGGTTTGAAAACTGAAAAGCAGTTAGGCAGAGAGCCTAAGGAGGAGTGTTCCAGCTGCGAGAGTGCCATTGGGAGGTTCCAGACAGAGGGCATGGCTCAGAAGGTCTGTAGAGCCACGTGGGGAGGTGGGAAGGCAGGCAGACTGTGAGGGCCCAGTGGAGAGAGCGGAAGTGGGAGCAGTGGGGTGAAGGGCCTTGAAAGCCACGGCTAAGCTGGTTGAGGTGGCTCGTGCTTGTAATCCCAGCACTTTGGGAGGCCAGGGTGGGCGGATAACCTTAGGTCAGGAGTTGGAGACCAGGCTGGCCAACATGATAAAACCCTGTCTCTGCTAAAAATACAAAAATTAGCCAGGTGTGGTGGTGGGCTCCTGTAATCCCAGCTACTCGGGAGGCTAAGGCAGGAGAATCACTTGAACTCGGGAGGCGGAGGTTGCAGTGAGCTGAGATCGCTCCATTGTACTCCAGCCTGGGTGATAGAGTGAAACTCTGTCTCAAAAAAAAAAAAAAAAAAAGACATGGCAAATAGTCAAATAGTCTGAGTTTTATCCTATGGATAAGGGGAAGCCATTCAAGGCATTTAAACAGTTTGCATTTTAGGAAAATTACTCTGGGCTGGGTGGGTGGCTCATGCCTGTAATCCTAGCACTTTGGGAGGTCAAAGCAGGAGGATCGCTTGAGCTCAGGAGTTTGAGACCAGTCTGGGCAACAGGGTGAGAACTTATCCCTACAAAAAAACTAAAAAAAAAAAAAAAAAAAAAAAATTAGCTTGTCGTGGTGGCATGCACCTGTAGTCCCAGCTACTTGGGAGGCAGAGGTGGGAGGATCAGTTAAACCCAGCAGGTCGATGCTTCAATAAGCCATGATCACACCACTGCACTCCAGCCTGGGCAAGAGAGCAACACTCTGTCTTAAAAAACAAACAAGCCAAAAACTCCTCTGTCTGCAGTACGCCAAATGAATGTGGACAGCGTATGCCAGACTGGAGCTCAGGAGACTGGCTGCTGGGAAAATGCGCTAATCTAGGCACGAGGTGAGGTGACATATATGAGGGTAGAGCTCATAGGAATTGATGGATTTGAGAAGTATTCCGAAGATAGGGTCACAGCAGGTGGAGATGGCATGGGTGCAATGACATTCAAGCTTTAGGGTATGCCAAAGACTGGAAGAAAATGCACCAGAGTGTTAAAATTATCTCTCAGTTGTAAAATTATAAAGGATTTTTGTTTTCTTCTTTATATATTTTTTCTTCTTAATTTTTCTATAAGGTATTTAGGACATTCATGATCAAGAAAAGGTTACAAATAACCATTTTCTCGTTCCTTTTATTTTTAGTATTTATTTTCTTTTTTTGAGACAGAGTCTCGCTCTGTCACCCAGGCTGGAGTGCAGTGGTGTGATCTCAGCTCACTGCAAGCTCCGCCTCCCAGGTTCAAGGGATTCTCCTGCCTCAGCCTCCCAAGTAGCTGGGATTGCAGGTGCTCGCCACCATGCCCGGCTAGTTTTTTGTATTTTTAGTAGAGACGAGGTTTCACTGTGTTAGCCAGGACAGTCTTGATCTCCTGACCTCGTGATCCGCCTGCCTCAGCCTCTTGTTCCTAACGTCTATTGTATAGGACTTAATGCCCTTCTAGGAAAATGATTGTAACCCATGCTAACAGAATAATGGGTCAGCCATGTGCTATTCTCCCATGTGAAACAATGTGCTTTTTGTTGTGGTTTCTGATGATAACTTGTAATCTCAAGGGACTGGATGTTTTAGAAACTAGCAAGTAATATGGAAAAGTAGGAAAAGCCTAGACTTTGTAGAAACAGGGAACTCTACTGCTTACCAGTTTAGCAGTCTTGGGAAAGTCACATAACCTCTCTGGAAGTACCAACTATCATACTTTCATTGTCAAGTGTAATAGTGTATATGAAAGCACTTGTCAAACACCATACCAATGTTTGTAGCTATGTAGCATTGACTACAGGATAAAGAGTGAACTCCTCTCCTGGCTCTTAGAGCTTTCAAAAACTTACCTGAAATTAACCCTCCAATTCTATCTTGTTACATTTCACTCTTCTGTTGAATACTCCTTATAACTGTACTTTATTTTCTCAACCCCTTGTACATTTGATTGTTTGCAAAGACTGTGGCAGCAGTGCACATATTCTCAAGATGATGCTGTATAGTGTAGGTGATCGTATGTCCTGGTTTGCCTGTTGCCCTGGCATCTCATGCATTTTATATTTATCCTAGATAACTGTGCCCTTTTGTATTCAGCATTAGGAACTTCAGACCTACTCGATCTGATAAATGCTGGTGGACTTTGATTTCAATTCCACAGCACTCAGACCTTGGACAAATGATCGATACCTCTCTGAACTTCAGTTTGCTCATCAGTAAAGTGGAGATAATAATATCTGCCCTGTGATTATTAGAAATCATATTCAATAAAGTGACTGGCACATAGTAGGTATTCAATAAATCAGTAGCATTATTGCAGAAGTGCTGTTGCAATTAGTCTGGTGATTTTGCATTTTCCCAAACCAACAAAATTGCATTATTGTCATCAGTATAATCAGCTTTTTGGTAAAGTAGGAATACAGATTTATATTTAAAATAATGTTTGTACATATTTTTATGTAACATACAATTTTCTATGCCCAGTTTGTTTAATTCTTTCAAGAATTCACTGAAATTTTTTTTCTTTTTCTTTTTTTAAGTCAACTGAAGAACACATCCAAAGGAATTCACTGGATTTAACCCAACTAAAGGTAACCATTTATATTAGTCAGGGTTCTCCAGAGGGACAGAACTAATGGAATATATATATACATATAAAGGGGAGTTTATTAAGTATTAACTCACATGATCACAAGGTCCCACAATAGGCCGTCTGCAGGCTGAGAGCCAGTCTCAGTCCCAAAACTGAAGAACTTGGTGTCTGATGTTCGAGGGCAGGAAGCATGCAGCATGGGAGAAAGATGTAGGCTGGGAGGCTAGGCCAGTCTAGCCTTTTCACATTTTTCTGCCTGTTCATATTCTAGCCGTGCCCACAGATGATTAGATTGTGCCCACCCAGATTAATGGTGAGTCTTCGTTTCCCAGCCCACTGACTCAAATATTAATCTCCTTGGCAACACCCTCACAGACACACTCAGGATTGATACTTTGCATCCTTCAATCCAATCAAGTTGACACAGTGTTAACCATCACAAGTCTGCCCCTTGTCAACTTGAACCCATACACATCTCCTGAGATCATACATAATCTTCAAATAAAGACAATAATAAGGTCATAATTACACCTAACATAATACAACTATCCTTTGTACAATTGGAAATGCACCAATCTCCAACCCAAATACCATTACATAAAGTTAACAATACTTAAATGCTGACATGAAGTCAATAAATTTATGTCACATGATAAAGGAGAAAGGAAATAAAATGAAGATATTTTCTTAGTACATGTGTACACATGCACAAATATGTTTTTAACAAAAGAAGGAAGAAATACTCATGACAATTACAGTCCTCATTTCTGCAGCTGGTCATGTGGTCATAGCTGGTATTGATGACTACCTTCTTCTACTACCCATTCTGTATTCCCTTTGCCTTCAGCAAGCACCTCAGCAGGTCGTGGTTTTTTTTCCTGGTGGAGTGACCCAAACCTTCATTCCTGAAGGGTCTGGGTCATTTGTAGTCCTACCTGGGTTGAGCTGTTGTAGTTTCCCATTAATCTTAATCACAGGTCATGGTAATACTAAGAGATACCCTAATGGATCTCCTGAGTTCCATCCATACTCTTCCTTACCTCCGTTGTGGAGTAGTAGGCTGATTTCATCTTGATAGTCAGGGTCAATCACCCCAGCTAACACTGTAACTCCCTTCTTGGCCTGTTGACTTAAAGGTAGGAGGAGCCCATTGGCCTGTTGACTTAAAGGTAGGAGGAGCCCAAAGTGTCCAGGTGGCAATCTTAACTTCCAGTTTAATGGAATCCTTCTTTTGTCTCCTGGTGGCAGCATTCCTTCCTCTGGAACCAAGACCTCTAGGCCAGCAGTACATAATGTTGCAGGAACAGGAAGCAAAAATTTTGCTAGTGGATCACTAGGGGTGATGGTGAGTGGTGCCACTTCTACTTCTACCCATTAATTCCTAGACCCATGAATCCTGGCTATGGGAGAAACAGTATCACATATTGGATACTGATTCAGAACATACACAGCCTTCTGGAGAACTTTGCCTCCACCCTGCAAAGTATTGTCACCTAGTTGGTGTTGTAATTGTGACTTCAAAAGGCCATTCCACCATTCTATCAATCCAGCTGCTTCAGGATGAAGGGGAACATGGTAAGACCAGTGAATTCCATGAGTGTGAGCCCACTGCCGCACTTCTTTAGTAATAAAGTTAGTGCCTTGGTCAGAGGCAATGCTGTGTGGAATACGCTGACGGTGGATAAGGCATTCTGTGAGTTTATGGCTGGTAGTCTTGACAGAAGCATTGCGGGTAGGATAGGCAAACCCATATCTGGAGTAAGTGTCCATTCCATTGAGGACAAACCTCTGCTCTTCCATGATGGAAAAGGTCCAATATAATCAACCTGTCATCAGGTAGCTGGGTGATCACCCCGAGGAATGGTGCCATATCAAGGGCTCAGTGTTGGTCTCTGCTGCTGGCAAATTGGGCACTCAGCCGTGGCCATAGCCAGATCATCCTTGGTGAGTGGAAGTCCATGTTGCTAAGACCATGTGTCACCTCCATCCCTGTCACCATGGGCACTTTGTTCTTGGGCCCATTGGGCGATGACAAGGGTGGCTGGGGAAAGAGGCTGAGTGGTGTCTACAGGACGGGTCATCCTATCCACTTGATTATTAAACTCCTCCTCTGCTGAGGTCACCTGTTGGTGAGCATTCACATGGGATTCAAATATCTTCACAGTTTTCGACCACTCCGAGAGACCCATCCACATACTTCTTCCCCAAATTTCTTTGTCACTAATTTTCCAGTCATGCTTCTTCCAAGTCCCTGACCATCCAGCCAAACCATTGGCTACAGCCGATGAATCTGTATACAACCACACATCTGGCCATTTCTCCTTCTATTCAAAGTGCACAACCAGGTGCACTGCTCGATGTTCTGCCCACTGGGAAGATTTCCCTTCACCTCTGTCCTTCAGGGGTGTCCCAGAAAGGGTCTGTAGTGCTGCAGCTGTCCACTTTCAGGTAGTGCCAGCGTATCGTGCAGAACCATCTGTGAACCAGGCCCTGGTCTCCTCTTCCTCTGTCAAGTGATCACAGAGAACTCCCTACAAAGCCATCAGTGCAGGCTCGGGGAGAGAAGGCAGGGTGGCAGCAATGGAGACCACGGGCATTGGAGCCATCTTCTCATGTAACTTACTTGTCCCTTCAGGACCTGCTCGAGCCCGATCACATATATGCCACTTCCATTTGATGATGAAATGCTGCTGTGCATGACCCACTTTATGGCTAGATGGGTCAGAAAGCACCCAGGTCATGATAGGCAGGTCAGGATGCATGGTGACTTGAGGACCCATAGTTGAATGTTCAGTTTCCACCAAAACCCAGTAACAAGCCAAGAGCTGTCTCTTAAAAGAAGAGTAGTTATCTGCAGAAGATGGCAGGTCCTTGCTCCAAAATCCTAGAGGCCTCTGCTGTGATTCAACCTATGGGGGCTGCCAAAGGCTCCAAACAGCATCCCTATCTACCACTGACACCTCAAGCACCATTGAATCTGCTGGGTCATATGGCCCAAAGGGCAGAGCAGCATGCCCAGCAGCCTGGACCTGTTGCAGAGCCTCCTTCTGTCCTGGACCCCACTCAAAACTGGCAGCCGTTCGGGTCACTTGATAAATGGGCCAGAGTAACACACCCAAATGAGGAATATGTTGCCTCCAAAATCCAAATAGGCCCGCTAGGCATTGTGCCTCTTTCTTGCTTGTAGTTGGGGCCAAAACACAGCAACTTATCCTTCACCTTATAAGGACTATCTCAACAGGCCCCATACCACTGGACCTCTAGACATTTAACTGAGGTAGAAGGTCCCTGAAACTTAGTTGGATTTATTTCCCATCCTCTGGCATGCAAATGTCTCACCAATAAGTCCAGTGTGTTTGCTACTTCTTGCTCACTGGATCCAATCAACATAATGTCATCAATGTAATGGACCAGTGTTGTATCTTGTGAAAGAGAAAAGTGATCAAGGTATCTCTGAATAAGATTATGACACAAAGCCAGAGAGTTGCTATACCCCTGAGGTAGGACAGTAAAGGTATATTGCTGGCCTTGCCAGATGAAGGTAAGTTGCTTCTGGTGGGGCTTTGGACAAGAATGGAGAAAAAGGCATTTGCCAAGTCAATGGCTGCATACCAGGTACCAGAAGATGTGTTAATTTGCTCAAGCGATGAAACCACATCTGGTACAGCAATTGCATTTGGAGTTACCACTTGGTTAAACTTATAGTCATTCCCCAAGATCCATCTGTCTTCTGCACAGGCCAAATGGGAGACCCAAATGGGGATGTGGTGGGAATCACCACCTCTGCATCTTTCTTTCTTTCTTTCTTTTTTATTATTATACTTTAAGTTCTGGGGTACATGTGCACAATGTGCAGGTTTGTTACATATGTATACATGTGTCATGTTGGTGTGCTGCACCCACTAACTCATCATTTACATTAGTTATATCTCCTAATGCTATCCCTCCCCCCTCCCCCCACCCAACGACAGGCCCCAGTGTGCGATGTTCCCCTTCCTGTGTCCATGTGTTCTCATTGTTCAATTCTCACCTATGAGTGAGAACATGCAGTGTTTGTTTTTTTGTCCCTGCGATAGTTTGCTGAGAATGATGGTTTCCAGCTTCATCCATGTCCTTACAAAGGACATGAACTCATCCTTTTTTATGGCTGCATAGTATTCCATAGTGTATATGTGCCACATTTTCTTAATCCAGTCTATCATTGATGGACATTTGGGTTGGTTCCAAGTCTTCGCTATTGTGAATAGTGCTTCAATAAACATACGTGTGCATGTGTCTTTATAGCAGCATGATTTATAATCCTTTGGGTATATACCCAGTAATGAATGGCTGGGTCAAATGGTATTTCTAGTTCTAGATCCTTGAGGAATCGCCACACTGACTTCCACAATGGTTGAACTAGTTTAAAGTCCCACCAACAGTGTAAAAGCATTCCTATTTCTCCACATCCTCTCCAGCACCTGTTGTTTCCTCACTTTAATGTAATGATTTCCATTCTAACTGGTGTGAGATAGTATCTCACTGTGGTTTTGATTTGCATTTCTCTGATGGCCAGTGATGATGAGCATTTTTTCATGTGTCTGTTGGCTGCATAAATGTCTTCTTTTGGGAGGTGTCTGTTCATATCCTTCATCCACTTGTTGATGGGGTTGTTTGTTTTTTTCTTGTAAATTTGTTTGTGTTCTTTGTAGATTCTGTATATTAGCCCTTTGTCAGATGAGTAGATTGCAAAAATTTTCTCCCATTCTCTAGGTTGCCTGTTCACTCTGATGGTAGTTTCCTTTGCTATGCAGAAGCTCTTTAGTTTAGTTAGATCCCATTCGTCAATTTTGGCTTTTGTTGCCATTGCTTTTGGTGTTTTAGACATGAAGTCCTTGCCCATGCCTATGTCCTAAATGGTATTGCCTAGGTTTTCTTCTAGGGTTTTTATGGTTTTAGGTCTAACATTTAAGTCTTTAGTCCATCTTGAATTAATTTTTGTATAAGGTGTAAGGAATGGATCCAGTTTCAGCTTTCTACATATGGCTAGCCAGTTTTCCCAGCACCATTTATTAAATAGGGAATCCTTTCCCCATTTCTTGTTTTTGTCAGGTTTGTCAAAGATCAGATGGTTGTAGATATGTGGTATTATTTATGAGGGCTCTGTTCTGTTGCATTGGTCTATATCTCTGTTTTGGTACCAGTACCATGCTGTTTTGGTTACTGTAGCCTTGTAGTATAGTTTGAAGTCAGGTAGCATGATGCCTCCAGCTTTGTTCTTTTGGCTTAGGATTGTCTGGGCAATGCAGGCTCTTTTTTGGTTCCATATGAACTTTAAAGTAGTTTTTTCCAATTCTGTGAAGAAAGTCATTGGTAGCTTGATGGGGATGGCATTAAATCTATAAATTACCTTGGGCAGTAGGGCCATTTTCACAATATTGATTCTTCCTATCATGAGCATGGAATGTTCTTCCATTTGTTTGTATCCTCTTTTATTTCATTGAGCAGTGGTTTGTAGTTCTCCTTGAAGCGGTCGTTCACATCCCTTGTAAGTTGGATTCCTAGGTATTTTATTCTCTTTGAAGCAATTGTGAATGGTAGCTCACTCACGATTTGGCTGTTTTTCTGTTATTGGTGTATAAGAACGCTTGCGATTTTTGCACATTGATTTTGTATCCTGAGACTTTGCTGAAGTTGCTATCAGCTTAAGGAGATTTTGGGCTGAGACAATAGGGTTTTCTAAATATACAATCATGTCATCTGCAAACAGGGACAACTTGACTTCCTCTTTTCCTAATTGAATACCCTTTATTTCTTTCTCCTGCCTGATTGCCCTGGCCAGAACTTCCAACACTATGTTGAATAGGAGTGGTGAGAGAGGGCATCCCTGTCTTGCGCCAGTTTTCAAAGGGAATGCTTCCAGTTTTTGCCCATTCAGTCTGATATTGGCTGTGGGTTTGTCATAAATAGCTCTAATTATTTTGAGATATGTCCCATCAATACATAATTTATTGAGAGTTTTTAGCATGAAGGGCTGTTGAATTTTGTCAAAGGCCTTTTCTGCATCTATTGAGATAATCATGTGGTTTTGTCTTTGGTTCTGTTTATATGCTGGATTACGTTTGTTGATTTGCATATGTTGAAGCAGCCTTGCATCCCATGTATGAAGCCGACTTGATCGTTGTGGATAAGCTTTTTGATGTGCTGCTGGATTCAGTCTGCCAGTATTTTATTGAGGATTTTTGCATCGATGTTCATCAGGGATATTGGCCTGAAATTTTCTTTTTTTTTGTTTTGTCTCTGCCAGGTTTTGGTATCACAATGATGCTGGCCTCATAAAATGAGTTAGGGAGGGTTCTCCTTTTTTCTATTGTTAGGAATAGTTTCAGAAGGAATGGTACCAGCTCTTCTTTGTACCCCTGGTAGAATTCGGCTGTGAATCCATCTGGTCCTGGACTTCTTTTGGTTGGTAGGCTACTAATTATTGCCTCAATTTCAGAGCCAGTTATTGGTCTATTCAGGGATTCAACTTCTTCCTGGTTTAGTCTTGGGAGGGTGTATGTGTCCAGGAATTTATCCATTTCTTCTAGATTTTCTAGTTTATTTGCGTAGAGGTGTTTATCGTGTTCTCTGATGGTAGTTTGTATTTCTGTGGGATTGGTGGTGATATCCCCTTTATCATTTTTTATTGCATCTATTTGATTCTTCTCTCTTTTCTTCTTTATTAGTCTTGCTAGCAGTCTATGCATTTTGTTAATGTTTTCAAAAAACCAGCTCCTGGATTCATTGCTTTTTTGAAGGGTTTTTGTGTCTCTATCTCCTTCAGTTCTGCTCTGATCTTAGTTATTTCTTGCCTTCTGCCAGTTTTGAATGTGTTTGCTCTTGCTCCTCTAGTTCTTTCCATTGTGATGTTAGGGTGTCAATTTTGATCTTTCCTGCTTTCTCTTGTGGGCATTTAGTGCTATAAATTTCCCTCTATGCACTGCTTTAAATGTGTCCCAGAGATTCTGGTATGTTGTGTCTTTGTTCTCATTGGTTTCAAAGAACATCTTTATTTCTGCCTTCATTTCATTATGTACCCAATAGTCATTCAGGAGCAGGTTGTTCAGTTTCCATGTAGTTGAGCGGTTTTGAGTGGGTTTCTTAATCCTGAGTTCTAATTTGATTGCACTATGGTCTGAGAGACAGTTTGTTATAATTTCTGTTCTTTTACATTGCTGAGGAGTGCCTTACTTCCAACTATGTGGTCAATTTTGGAATAAGTGCGATGCAGTGCTGAGAAGAATGTATATTCTGTTGATTTGGGGTGGAGAGTTCTGTAGATGTCTATTAGGTCCGCTTGGTGCAGAGCTGAGTTCAATTCCTGGATATCCTTTTTAACTTTCTGTCTCGTTGGTCTGTCTAATGTTGACAGTGGGGTGTTAAAGTCTCCCATTATTATTGTGTGGGAGTCTACATCTCTTTGTAGGTCTCTAAGGACTTGCTTTATGAATCTGGGTGCTCCTGTATTGGGTGCATATATATTTAGGATAGTTAGCTCTTCTTGTTGAATTGATCCCTTTACCATTATGTAATGGCCTTCTTTGTCTCTTTTGATCTTTGTTGGTTAAAGTCTGTTTTATCAGAGACTGGGATTGCAACCCCTGCTTTTTTTTTGTTTTCCATTTGCTTGGTAGATCTTCCTCCATCCCTTTATTTTGAGCCTATGTGTGTCTTTGCATGTGAGATGTGTCTCCTGAATACAGCACACTGATGGGTCTTGACTCTTTATCCAATTTGCCAGTCTGAGTCTTTTAATTGGAGCATTTAGCCCATTTATATTTAAGGTTAATATTGTTATGTGTGAATTTCATCCTGTCAATATGATGTTAGCTGGTGATTTTGCTCATTAGTTGATGCAGTTTCTTCCTAGCCTCAATGGTCTTTACAATTTGGCATGTTTTTGCAGTGGCTGGTACTGGTTGTTCCTTTCCATGTTTAGTGCTTCCTTCAGGAGCTCTTTTAGGGCAGGCCTGGTGGTGACAAAATCTGTCAGCATTTGCTTGTCTGTAAAGGATTTTATTTCTCCTTCACTTATGAAGCTTAGTTTGGCTGGATATGAAATTCTGGGTTGAAAATTCTTTTCTTTAAGAATGTTGAATACTGGCCCCCACTCTCTTCTGCTTGTAGAGTTTCTGCGGAGAGATCAGCTGTTAGTCTGATGGGCTTCCCTTTGTGGGTAACCTGACCTTTCTCTCTGGCTGCCCTTAATATTTTTTCCTCCATTTCAACTTTGGTGAATCTGACAATTATGTGTCTTGGAGTTGCTCTTCTCGAGGAGTATCTTTGTGGCATTCTCTGTATTTCCTGAATTTAATGTTGGCCTGCCTTGCTAGGTCAGGGAAGTTCTCCTGGATAATATCCTGCAGAGTGTTTTCCAACTTGGTTCCATTCTCCCCATCACTTTCAGGTACACCAATCAGATGTAGATTTGGTCTTTTCACATAGTCCCATATTTCTTGGAGGCTTTATTCATTTCTTTTTACTCTTTTTTTCTCTAAACTTCTCTTCTCACTTCATTTCATTTCATTCATTTGATCTTCAATCACTGATACCCTTTCTTCCAGTTGATTGAATCGGCTACTGAAGCTTGTGCATTCATCCCGTAGTTCTCATGCCATGGTTTTCAGCTCCATCAGGTCATTTAAGGACTTCTCTACACTGGTTATTCTAGTTAGCCATTCGTCTAATCTTTTTTCAAGCTTTTTAGCTTCTTTGCAATGGGTTCAAACTTCCTTCTTTAGCTCGGAGAAGTTTGACCGTCTGAAGCCTTCTTCTCTCAACTCTTCAAAGTCATTCTCCATCCAGCTTGGTTCCACTGCTGGTGAGGAGCTGCGTTCCTTTGGAGGGGGAGAGGCGCTCTGATTTTTAGAATTTTCAGCTTTTCTGCTCTGTTTTTTTCTCCTCCTTTGTGGTTTTATCTACCTTTGGTCTTCGATGATAGTGATGTACAGATGGGGTTTTGGTGCTGATGTCCTTTCTGTTTGTTAGTTTTCCTTCTAACAGTCAGGACCCTCAGCTGCAGGTCTGTTGGAATTTGCTGGAAGTCTACTCCAAACCCTGTTTGCCTGGGTATCAGTAGCGGAGGCTGCAGAACAGCGAATATTGCTGAACAGCAAATGTTGCTGCCTGATCGTTCCTCTGGAAGCTTTGTCTCAGAGGGGTACCCGGCCGTGTGAGGTGTCAGTCTGCCCCTACTGGGGGTGCTTCCCAGTTAGGCTACTCGGGGGTCAGGGACCCGTTTGAGGAGGCCGTCTGTCCATTCTCAGATCTCAAACTGTGCTGGGAGAACCACTGCTCTCTTCAAAGCTGTCAGACAGGGACATTTAAGTCTGCAGAGGTTTCTGCTGCCTTTTGTTGGTGGCTATGCCCTGCCCCCAGAGGTGGAGTCTATGGAGGCAGGCAGGCCTCCTTGAACTGCGGTGGGCTCCACCCAATTCGAGCTTCCAGGCTGCTTTGTTTACCTACTCAAGCCTCAGCAATGACCCCTGCATCTTTCAAGTCCTTAATGGTGGCACTAATCTCTGTAATCCCTCCAGGGATGTGATATTGTTTTTGATTTACTATTTTTCTAGGTAGGGGAAGCTCTAATGGCTTCCATTTGGCCTTTCCCACCATAATAGCCCTCATCCTTAGTATTCATTCCCATGCCTGTTCTTCAGATTTCTGTTTATATAAATTAGAAAATGCAAGCAGTTCTTTTTGAGTGTAGCACACCTCCTCATGGGTTACATTCTCAACTTCACCTCCAGGGACCTGCCGGGACTTTAGTCTAGTTATAGGTCTGGAAGCAAACAGGGGTGTTGGGGGTGGCTCCTGGGGAGAATCAACATTATCTTGCCTGGCAGCTGCCTCAGGGGAGGCCATCACTGCTGCCTCAGGCAGTGCAGGGTTTATCTCCTCAGACAGAGATGGAAAGGCTGATGGCAGCATGGGTCAGGGAGGGATATTGCCCCTTCTGGGGATGGGAAAGATGTTCCCTCTGGCAAAAAAGGTTCATCAGAGTTTACAAACTCAGTGCCCCCAGCTTCATCAGGGTCCTCCCACATGTCCCTATTCCATGTTGCAGGGTCCCATTCTTTTCCAATCAATGCCCTCATTTTAACAGTAGACACCTGGCAAGGCTGTGGATGCACCTTTTGTTGCAGGTCAGCCACTCAACATGATAAGAGCTTGTGTCTGTTTTTCCATAATTTCAGCTCTTTTTCTACAGGCGATAAGACTCTCATTAGGATAATCTTAGCAGATTTGAGGCTCAGTGTCTGCTTCTAAAGCCGGGAGACAGAATCCCTGAGTTCATCATTTTCTTTCATCACTTTGTCCATTGAACTTAGAAGTAACCAATCAGCTTCATTATGCTCCCTGGTTCTCCACATATGGTCAAAGGTATTACGTATAGAGTCACTAAGCTCTTTGCCTCTCACGAGTGATGAATCAGGAGTGTCAAATGCATTTATTTTGCATAACTCTCTAAACAGTTCACGACAAGGACTATCAGCATTCTCCATACCATTAGAAGTAAAGTCTTTACCATTTTTGGGTCTAATCATATTAAGAAGCAAACTCCAGAAACCCCAAAACCAATGAAATAACTCCATCCTTAATATTCTGTCCCTCTAGAGCCACTCCTGGTACCAAAATCTGTATTTGTCAGGGTTCTCTAGAGGGACGGAACTAATGGAATATATATGAAGGGGAGTTTATTAAGTATTACCTCACATGATCACAAGGTCCCACAATAGGCCATTTACAGGCTGAGGAGCAAGGAGAGCCAGTCCGAGTCCCAAAACTGAAGAACTTGGTGTCTGATGTTTGAGGGCAGGAAGCATCCCGCATGGGAGAAAGATGTAGGCTGGGAGCCTAGGCCAGTCTCTCTTTTCCACATTTTTCTGCCTGTTCATATTCCAGCCGTGCTGGCAGCTGATTAGATTGTGCCCACGCAGATTAGGGGTGGGTCTGCGTTTCCCAGCCCACTGATTCAAATGTTAATCTCCTTTGGCAACACCCTCACAGACACACCCAGGATCAATACTTTGTAT
Source organism: Homo sapiens (assembly GCF_000001405.40). Taxonomy (NCBI): domain Eukaryota; kingdom Metazoa; phylum Chordata; class Mammalia; order Primates; family Hominidae; genus Homo; species Homo sapiens. Next base: position 169,316,592 of record NC_000004.12, on the reverse strand, counting down.
CTTTCAATCCAGTCAAGTTGACACTCAGTATTAACCATTACACCATTCAATCAAGACAAGAAGATCCCCAAATCTTTAGCACCCGCTGAATAAATTATCGAAGAGAAAACTCCATCCTTTCACCCACTGCTCCTCTCAACCTATTTTGTAATTCAAACTAGGTTTTCAGACATGATAGACAAACAGACATAACACACAGTGAAGCTGAGGGGGAAGGAGAGGTGGAGGGTTAACAATCAGAGGAAAATCGATCCATCAACCCTCATCCCTTCCTGCTATGGGATGAAAAACACTTTCAATTACTGTGTCCCCTGGGAAGCACAGAATTCAAAAAAATGTAAGCATCACATAAATTAGAAGTCATATTAAAATTACCTTTCACCCTTTCAAACATCCAGACTGAACTGGACCTCAAAGCCTTCAGAAGCTACTTCCTCCCTTGGGATAAGCAAGTGGCAGCAGCAGCGGCTGTCAAGTGCTTCAAAGGGCTGGGCTGAGATAAGGGCCAGGGATGTCTCAAACTACACCAGTCTGTCGTCAAGGAAAAGCAAGGACCTGGAGGCACCAATTGACTCTTTGCAGCAAGGAAGGGCCAGGGCTGGACTTCTGGGGCAACACGACATTTTTCAACTGGCCTTTGGGGGAAACAAAAATTTCTTTGCCCTTTTCTAAGACCAGGGAAGCTAAGTTTCACTGTCTATTTTCCCTGGGATTTCTTCAAGAAATAATGTGCTGCAGGCATTGTGCAGCCTGCTTTATGGGGCCTCAATCTAGAAGCAGGGCCACAAATAGGATAGAACTACACAGCCACAGGGGATGGGAGAGAAAAACTGCAAAGAATCATGCAGTATAAACAGGATCTTTCTTGCATAAGCAAAAATGTTCCTGTGGATTCCCTTTCCCAGAGATGATTAAGTCTTATCTCATGGCAAAATAATTCCTTTCTCCATATCTGTTTGGGCAGCGCTATGAAAATAAGTCAAACTAAACTATTGGCATGATCGTATTAGTCTTACTCTCAGAGAATATTTATTCTGAGAGCTATCAGTTGTCTTGCTCATTATCTATTTGGGTAAATTTCAAGAAATTATTCCATCTATTATTTCTTTTTGTACTTTCTGATGTCTTCCTTTGATATTTAGGAAAATAATTTATTTACAAACAGGAATGGTTTGCAAATAGCTTTTGTTCTAAAAGAAAAACTTCCAGTACAGGCTGTAAATCAAGATGATCAGATGCACTGTTTTCCAGAGATGAATCTCCAGATTTTAAATGTTTGGGGGACTTTATATAGAGCTTTCAAACCCTGAAGAATATATCTTCACCTCACATCTATCTTTAGAGTTGGAAGGGTGAAGACACTTGTCTATAAAAAATGAAATGAGATCCTTGGGAATTTGATGTCAGGGGGTCTCCAGGAGAGTACACTGAGCAGCGGGAACGCGAGCATTTGAGTCACATGTTCAGGCAATGAGTCCGAGGGTGTTTGGCTGCAATTCAAGTGAGCATGGCGCTGGCCTGGAGCCAGAATCATGAGCTGCAGAAACCATTTGCACTTTGGACTGCCGGGAAAGTGCCGGTGGATTTTGGAGCATGCACATACAGGTTACCTCTGCAGAGCTCACGAACTCTCTCCCTGAATTCCTGAATCACAAGCTCTTTTTTACTATTCAGTTAATTTAGTCATAGTCCCATTTCTGTGCTTCAATTTTTAACAGAAGACTTGGAACAATACTTATATTCCTATACTTCACTTAAGGGAAATATTTGAAGGGATTTTATTAATTTATGAGCTGAAAAACCATATAAACTGTTTAATAGTTCCTTGAATAAGACTTGAAGTACCAAGGTGACATTTTCCAGGCATTAGAAACTTGACAAGCAAGTCCTCTGGTTTTGATATGTCTTTGTTTTACCACATCATGAAGGGACAAAGGAGCAGGGTGTTTAAAAAACTGTTGTTATTTAATTTCTTTGTGCTTACCTGTTTATTGGAGATGATAACACAGAACCTTCCTAGGTTGGGGTGAGGATCACACATATGCCAACAACATCTGGCAGATGGTGGGCAGTCAGTAAATATTAGGTTCCTTTCTTTACCCCAAAGTTGACCTGAAAGCTCTGAAATATGTTATTCCAGGCCATTCATTAACTATCAAATAAAAACCAATGATTTCTTAGAACACCAGAAATGTCTAAGAGCACAAGGATAACCCTCCTCATGGGTTCAGGATCATGAGGCAAACTGAGGAATATTTTAAAACTATAAAGTATATAAATAATACAAGAATAAAAAGACAATCCAGTTATTCAGAATAAACAGAGACCTTCTATAACTACACCACAAAAAGACCAATAACTCAATTTAAAAATGGGCAAAGGATCTGAATAGACATTTCTCCAAAAAAGGTGGCTGACAAGCACATGAAAATATGTTCATCATCACTGCCCATCCGGGACATTGACATCAAAATCACAAAGAGATACCATTTCACATCCACTACGATGGCTGCAATTTAAACATAGATAATAAGTGTTGGCAAGGGTGCGGATAAATTGGTACCCTCATACACTGCAGATGGGAATATGAAATGGTGCAGGCACTTAGGTAGACAGTGTAACATTTCCTCAAAAGGTTAAACATAGAGTTACCACATGACTCAGCAATCTCACTCCAGGTATACACCTAAGAGAAATGAAAACCTGTCTGAATCTGCATAACAGCAATACTCATAATAGCTAAAAAAATAGAAACAAGCCAAGTGTCTATCAACTGATAAATGGATAAACAAAATATGATATAGCCATACAATGGAATATTATTCAGCAACAAAAATAATGAGGTACTGATACAACATAGGTGAACCTTAAAAATATTATACTAAGTCAAAGAAACCGGTAACAAAAGGCCACATATTATGTAATTCCTTTTATACAGAATGTCTAGAACGGATTAATCTCCAGAGGCAGAAAGTAGTTTAGTGGTTTACTAGGGGGTGGAGGTGGGGAGCATCGTTGGGGTGTGCCTTAGATTCCTAGGGCTGCTGAATAAAACTGGGTGGCTTAGGACAACCGGAACGTATTCTCGCCATTCTGGAGGCTGGAGGTCTGAAGTCAGCGTTGGCAGGGCCACGGTCCCTCTGGAGGACTCAGGGAAGAACACTTTCTTGCCTTGTCTTGCTTCTGGGGTTTGCCCCCAAATCCTTGGCATTCCTTAGTTTGTAGCTGCTTCACCGCAATCTCTGTCTCCATCTTCACACGGTCTTCTCCCCTGTGTGTCTCTGTCCCTGCATCCAAATTGCAGTCTTATAAGGATGCCAGTCATGTTGGATTCAGGACCAACCCTAATCCAGTATGACCTCATCTTTACTTGATTACATCTGCAAAGACCTCACTTCCAAACTGGGTCACATTCACAGGTTCTGGAGGTGAGGGCTTGAACATAATCTTTTTGGAGGGGACACAATCCAACCCACAGCCTGGGTGTGGAAAATGAGGAGTGACTGCTACTGCAGGAGAGTTTCTTTGGGGGATGATGAAAACGTCCTAAAATTAATTGTGAGGGTGGTTGCCCCACTCTTATAAGCATGCTAAAGAAAATCCCACTGACTTGTACATTTTAAATGGGTGAATTGTGTGGTATATGAATTATAGCTCAATAAAACTGTCATCATAAAGCAAAACTCTAAACAATGATCCTGCCCTCCGGTAGTTTATGGTTTAGTTAAGGAAACCAGTTTGCTCACATCAAGCAAGTGAACAACAGAAGTCCCTACAGAATGAAACATAAGGTTGTGCCACATAATGATAGATATCGTAGATGCTTAGAAAGGAAGGAGATAAACGAGAGTAGCCTAATCCCAGAGCACTTCATAGATAAGGTGTGATTTAAATGAAACCTTGAAATATGAGTAGAATTTAAAATTACTTCTCCGGGCATTTAGAATGGCTTGAAATTCCCTCAATACCAGTGTTCTCTCTCTTTTTTTTTTTTTTTTGAAATGGAGTCTCACTCTGCCGCCCAGGCTGGAGTGCAGTGGCACCATCTCAGCTCACTGCAACCTCCACCTCCCAGGTTCAAGCGATTCTCCTGTCTCAGCCTCCCGAGTAGCTGGGACTACAGGTGCCCACCACCACGCCCAGCTAATTTTTCTATTTTTAGTAGAGATGGGTTTTGCCATTTTGGCTAGGCTGGTCTTGAACTCCTGACCTCAGGTGATCTGCTGGCCTCGGCCTCCCAAAATGCTGGGATTACAGGCGTGAGCCACCATGCCTGGCCTAGCATTCTCTTTTGTCTCCAGCTTTTATTCGTCTGGTCCCTGTGCCCTGAACACTCCTCCTGGCCACTGGCTCCCTGGGGCTATGTCTGGCTTCTGTGCTGGGTCCCAAGCTGGGGATGCCAGCAGTGCAGCAATTGCCTGCATGGCGGGGTAGGAGGGACTGTCCTGTGTTTCTGTGCCTCCCAGGGGAGGTGTGGAGCCTGGGCTTTGCTAAAACGGAGATTCAATGCGAGTCCGCTGATTCTGGGGAGAGAACAGTTTGCTGATATTTTAGATATGCCCCTGGGAAGAATCAGAGAGACTGGAATTCTGTCTCTGCAACAGTCTTTAAGGAGAAATCGGAACCTACCCCTTGCAAGAAGCTAGGACTAAGCCCACGGTGGGGAGAGGAAGAAACTGAAGAAGCCAGGAGCAGGGTGATTCTAGGAGGGCCCTCTGGTTGTTGCCGTATGGACTGAAGAGGATTTTTTCCACTGGGGGCAGTAAAGAGTTGGTTTTGCATCCTGTTCTGGACTCTGTGTAGATAATAGTAAGATGATTTTCTTTCTGGCAATGGCCTGTTTCCTGCAGACCCTGCCAGTTGCTGTGGACACAAGCAAGAGGTTTCACCCGTTTACCTGTCTACGTTTCCCATCAGACCATAAGCAATCTGAGGGCTGGAACTGAGTCTTGCTTGTTACAGTGTTCTCTGACAAAGTGCAGCTCCTGGGGCTTGGTGGTCCTCAGTATATCTTATTGTACGTATATGTTAGTTTATTTCTAACTCTTAGGCACCGATTTCTTGTTTTACTTAATACACCCACTTAATATTGTCATAATTTCTGAAGAAAAATAGTCACTTGTAGAATGTTGTGAACAGAATAAATCTTGATAGAGAACTATTTTCATACCATTGTACAAAGGTCAAGTAAAAATTAAGATAATGGCCAGGCGTGGTGGCTCATGCCTGTAATCCCAGCACTTTGGGAGGCCGAGGCAGGTAGATCACCTGAGGTCAGGAGCTGAAGACCAGCCTGGTCTTGTGAAACCCCATCTCTACTAAAAATACAAAAAACTAGCTGGGCATGGTGGTGGGCACCTGTAATCCCAGCTACTCAGGAGGCTGAGGCAGGAGAATCCCTTGAACCCGGGAGGCAGAGGTTGCAGTGAGCTGAGATCGAGCCATTGCACTCCAGCCTGGGCAACAACAGTGAAACTCTGTCTCAAAAAAAAAAAAAAAAAAAAAAATTAAGATAATACATTAATAATTATTTTAAGTAATGCTGTTAACATTACCTGAAGGCCATCATCATTATGTTATGCAGCATATTTTCTTATATTATACCACTTATGTAAATTTCTTTTTCTTCCAAGAAGAATGTTGAGTGTTTTACAACAAATAACATATAAAAATGAGGTCGGACACGGTGGCTCACGCCTGTAATCCCAGCACTTTTGGGAGGCGGAGGCCGGTGGATCACCTGCGGTCAGGAGTTCAAGACTAGCCTGGCCAACATGGTGAAACCCTGTCTCTACTAAAAATACAAAAATTGGCCAGGCACGGTGGCCAGCGCCTGTAGTCCCAGCTACTCAGGAGGCTGAGACAGGAGAATTGCTTGAACCCGGGAGGCAGAGGTTGCAGTGGGCCAAGATCGTGCCATTGCACTCCAGCCTGGGTAACAAGAGCAAAATTCCATCTCAAAAAAAAAAAAAAAAAAAATAGGCCATAGATTCTCAAACTTAACTGAGCATTAGGATACCTGGGATGTTTGTGTAGAATGCAAATTTCTGAATCTCACTTCTGGAGTTTCTGATTAACAAGTCTGTGAGGGGTCTGAAAATCAGCATTTTTAACAGACACCTACAATGATTCTGATACAGGTGTTCCCAGGCCACACTTTGAGAAAAACTGCAATAGAATCCCCAAGCTGAAAATCAGGATCTAAGAGAAGTCATATAAACATGATGGAACTGAAAGGGTCAATACAGTGGCTCTCACTGAGTTTACAGTTATTTTGAGGTTCTTGGCCACTCTTACAGAGAGAGAGAGAGACAGAGAAAGGGAGAGATGATAGTTTACATGGCTCTTATTATTGAAAAAGTAGAATATACTAGTTCCTTAGGGGAAAAGAAAGTATTTTCCTAATATCAGATACTAAAAAGTATTTTTTTTTTTTGAGACGGAGTCTCACTTTGTCACCCAGGCTGGAGTGCAATGGCGCCATCTCGTCTCACTGCAACCTCCGCCCTCCAGGTTCAGGCGATTCTCCTGCTTCAGCCTCCCAAGTAGCTGGGATTACAGGCACCCACCACCATACCCGGCTAATTTTTGTGTTTTTAGTAGAGACGGGGTTTTGCCATGTTGGCCAGGCTGCTCTTGAACTCCTGACCTCAGGTGATCCACACGCGTTGGCCTCCCAAAATGCTGGGATTACAGGCGTGAACCACCGTGCCTGGCATTAAAAAGTGTTTCTTGCAAGGGGACTTTACAGAGAGATTTACTCCAAGGGATACTTCCAAGGCTGGACACAGGAAAGGATGTTTGCTGAATGGGAGGTTACCAGTGGCTCTGTTCTCAGGAATGCAGCAGTGGGAACAAGGATAAAGTCACATGCAGATTAAGTTTTGTTCCACAAATATTGATTTGCCATTTACTATGTGCCAGATATTCTACTAAACATTTGTGAAACAGAGAGTAAGACAGGTCCTGCTCCCGAGAAGCTGATGAGCAAGTGACACAGGGGCTGGCAGCAGAAGCCAAAGGTTGTGCCCTGAGCACACAGCCGCCCTAACAAGTGGGCAGAGTTCAGGTCTAGAAAGTGGGCTGTGCAGGAGAGTTGCCCAACATGTGATTGGAAAGTGCTGAGACGTTTGGACCGAGGCAAGAAACTGCACCTTTTACTAGGGTGAACTTTTCACATGGGTCTTAACTCTGCTTACGGAATCCAGGGCCTCGCCTGACAGGAGCCACACCAGGCCGGAGACGGCATCTTAAGTGGTGATGTCAATCGTCATGTCCAGCGGATGATGACCGGCTTTCCACATGAATTAGGTTCCAGATTAGCATGTGAGGAAAAAAGCATGTTTAATCCAAATTCCTCTAACAAAACTCCTTATATTGTCGATTAAGTGAAGTATACATACACACAATATTTGTAGACCTATACAGTATAATAATCAATAGAACATATGCAAAATATAACTTTTATAGTATTTTATGTTACATCATTTCAATTATTTCCCTCTCTGTACCCACTGTCCAAGCACAAATATCTGCTTCACATAAGTTAAATGCACGTATAATGAGATGTCACTGCAAGAGATCATGGCTTCCATGGAATTCTTCTTTTGCAACAACTACAAAAACAGATTTCATAGGAACTGGTACTTACAGCCCTCTTCAATAAAAACTGAATGCTAAACACTGAACTGTAAGCCAGTTAAGATGATTTTAGCACTAAGCACTCAGTAAATAGGTTCTACAGTAGAGTGTTCAGCAGGCTAACTTGAATTAAGTAGAATTTACAGAGCCTAGAATTGCTGAATTCTAGATGCTTCATCTCTATTGACACTCCCAAAATATTGCCATTCAATAGGGCTCTTTGTAAGACTAGGCTGCTGTGTTAGTCTGTTCTTATGCTGCTAATAAAGACATACCCCAGACTGGGGAATTTATAAAGGAAAGAGGATTAATGGACTCACAGTTCCACATGGCTGGGGAGGCCTCACAATCATGGTGGAAGGCAAAGGAGGAGCAAAGTCACATCTTACATGGCAGCAGGCAAGAGAGCTTGTGTAGGGGAACTCACCTTTATAAAACCATCAGATCTCATGAGATTCATTCACTATCAAAAGAACAGCATGAGAAAGACCCACCCCTATGATTCAATTACCTTCCACTGGGTCCCTCCCATGACATGTAGGAATTATGGGAGCTACAATTCAAGATGAGATTTGGGTGGGGACACAGCCAAACCATATCAGCTGGCAAAAAGCTTAACCATTTGCTCCCTGGTAAGGGCTGCAGTGCTGGTGTTCTCTATTGCTAATTCAAATCAGCTCTTTTTAGGAAGCCAAAAGAGGTGATTATAGAGGTGATCTTCAAATACGGAAGTTGTGGAGCCTAGCCTATGATTTTGACAGAGTAGAAAGGTATCCCACATTCACAAAGAGTGGCCACATAAATATACATTTTTCTCAGGAACAGCTTTGGACTCACCTTAGTATTTAAACAAATGTTACCCTGAGACCCTGGATTCCTCACCCTATAAAGCAAGGCAGAAATAGTTTTGGTCTGGAAAAAGTTTCAAAATAGATGCTACTGGCTGTGCACCATGGACATATAAAGGCTTCATGAGTGGCCTGTTTGGTGGTGAGCAATGTGGCTTATCTGTTGTGGCCATTAGAATAAATTAGTCTTAAAATATATTAGGTTTCTGATCCCAGCCTGTCTCCAACTTGCTTTCATTGCACGGCTGGGTTCTTGCCTCATGTACACACCCTCCCTGACACCTGAACATCAGCAGCCGTTGTATTAAGGTCCTTTCTTTTCTGTGTTGACAGCTCATAGTGACCTCACTTTGTCAACAGTGGGGATAGGCTAGCTACTTTACACCTAATCACCTATGGATGGAATTCTAAAGCAGCATTGTCCCAGAGAGCCTAGAATTACAGGATGTAAAGCTTGAAAATACTTGAAACCATCACAGAATGATTCTATTACTTTCATGAGTTCTTAACACAAATTATCTTACCCTGATAGCAAAGTGTAGCTGTTAATCATGATTTGGCTTATATAAGAAGTTTACTTTATTATTTAACTTGTGGAGATTATGGCTCAATTTGCTTTCATACTTGCATGTTTTTACCAAGCTTGAGATACACACACAGATTGGCTGCCTCTGAAGTCAACCTGCTGGGCCAGCCTAAGGGTTTGGATTTCTATGGTACCTGCTTGGAGGTTGATTTGGAGTCTTGACCGACAGGGCTTTTGGGCCAGTCTTAAGGCAAGTATTTCTTGGCATATAATCTAATACACATGAAACCAGTTCATCCCAGCAGGAGTAGGTCTTGTCAGAGGCATTGTGTGGTAATTCTAAAACTATAAGCATTTTTCCAACAGGTCATCACTTACCTCAAAGACTTTGTAAATAGAGTGTGACTCCAGTCTTCCTATAAAATAATGAGCCCACAGTGTAAGGATTGATTTTTGATAAGCCTGGGGATATCAAATTGAGTTGGATTCACAATAGAGCAGACAGAGCTCCTGGAGCTCCTTGGAAGTGGAACAGGATTCTCAGGAGTGGGCATTGCCTGTAGACCCACTTGCATTGCACCTGAAAGGGGAAACACAGACATGAATGAAACACTTGAGTGTCCCTTCTTTGCCAGATCTGCCACTAGGTCCTTTATGTATTAGTTCATTGAAACTGATGCCATATGTAAGATTCTATACCTCTAAAAGATCAGGAAACTGAGGCTCAAGAAATAGATAACTTGCCCAAGATAATATACTGAATAGGTGGCAGAGCCAGAATTCAGATCTGGAACCATCTGACTCCACAGTATTATACTTGCCTCTCATCCTGGGACTATTATGAGAAAATTTATAATCACCTTGATCATTCTAATAAGAAATTGACATGAATAAATATATTCATTCCTCTGTGTGTGTAGATACACAGATGCTTATTGCTTACTCTAAATATTGGGGTTATTTTTTAGTTGCATCTTTTCAAAATTGTGGTAAAATATATACAAACATAAAATTTACCATTGTAACCCTTCTAAAGTGTACAGTTCAGTGGCATTAAGTACACCCACATTGTTGGCAACCATCAGTACCATCCATTCTCTAGAACTTTCTTCATCTTCTCAAATGAAACCTCTGTACCCATTAAATACTAAGCCTCCTCCCTCCTTCCCCTCTTCCAAATGTTTTGTGTAGGGTTTGATGCACATGAAGCATTAGGCATGTGAAGGAGTTTAGGCCCTGACTTCTCCCATTCATTCCTCTTTCCCTCCAGAGCTTTCACAAATAGGAAGGTTAGATCGGAGTTTTGCTGGTCAAGTGTGGAGCAGGGCATAAACGATTAATGGTGAGTAGAGTTTCCAGGAAACTGTGTTGGAGGATGAAGCTTAGAAATGAAGCCTTTTGGGGTTTTCTGCTCCCTTCTGAAAAATAGACTTTGAGGGCCCACTTAGTCCACTTACACAGCAGCCACAGAGAACCTCAAGCTGCCTTCATCCTCCCAATTGCTAGAAAGGAGAAGATAGAGGGAGGAGGAATACTTTACACAGAGGGGACAGGATGTGAAGGGAGGTTCAGGCTGACTAATGGTCACAGACCCACTAGAACCACAGTCTGGGACACCTGTGACCTGAGACATACAATCTATCTCCTAGTAAGACATGGCCCAGGGAACACCAGGCGCCTCCCTCCCCGTCCCACCCCACAGCAGGTGTCCTCACTCTGTATTCCCCTCTCATGGCAGGGAACAGCAAATCCTGTCTGCTTTGGAAACATGAACAGGGATGATAAATATTCTTGAGCATTTGAGCTATGCCAAGAGCATGACTGAAAACCAGAAATAAACAAGAGGCCTTGAGCCAAGAGGAGGTCACAGTGACAATCTCATTATCCAAGCAAACTTCATGCTCACAGGATTTCAGGGCCTTGTCATTGTCTACCCAGAAGGAGATGGCATCATGTTCTCTCAGCACAAAAATATTTAAATTTTCTCTTTGGTCTAAATCTATATTCAGTTTGCTTTTAATTTTTCTTAATTTTTTTACAGTAAAATACAGTGCTTTATAGGAAAGTATTGCCTTATTTTGAACAAAATGACTCTAAATCCATTGTGCTACTTTTCTGTTTGCACTAATTGGCACAATCTTCAAGTAGATGCCAACAAAGCAAGCACTGAGGTTGCAGCTACTACCAAGTTACAGGAACTAAGGAAATTTTTTTCACATTTTATTTGCGTAGTGATATAATTATCTATGGTAGTTACAAATTTACATTGTTCCTATTACCAGTTTTATACTGGAGCTTTTCCAGTAGTATAAAGCATTGCTGTCCTTCATTAATTACAATACCAAACTCTTACATGGTGCTTACCATATCCCACACACTGTTCCCTATATATAACCCATTTAATTCCACAATTCTTTAAGGTACTCTTATTTGCTTCACTTACCAGATGAGGGAACTGAACTAATAAAAAAAAATTTTTAGTTTTTTAAGAGACAAGGTCTCTTAAAGACAGGGTCTTCACTATATTGCCCAAGCTGGTCTCAAATTCCTGGCCTTAAGCAATCCTCCTGCCTCAGCCTCCCAAAGCTCTAGAGCTATAGGTACGCACCACCACACCAGGCCCCAAGCAAAAATTTTGAAAGCTATTTTTTTATATCAAGAGATAGGGATATATTGTATAACACACACACATGAGTTTTTCCTCACTAGCCAAAAGTGTGTGAGTGTGTGTGTGTGTGTGCATGTATGTGAGTGTATTTTTTTTTTTAGTAGGCTTTATATTTTAGATCAGTGTTAGGTTCACACCAAAACTGAGTGGAAGGTATAGAGATTCCCCATCTACCCCGTGCCCCCATTCATGCAACTCACCCATTATTAATCTCCTTCAACAGAGTGGTACATCTGTTACAAATTATCAACCTACACAGACACATCTTGTCATCCAAAGTCCATAGTTTACATTAGGTTTCACTCTTAGTGTTGCATATTTTATGAGTTTGGACAAATTTATAGTGACATGTCTCTGCCACTGTAATGATATACTGAGTAGTCTCACTGCCCTAAAAGTCCTCTGTGCTCTGCCTATTCACCTTTCCCTCCCCGCAACCCTTGGAAACCACTGAACTTTTTCCTGTCTCCATAGATTTGCATTTTCCAGGTTGTCATAGAGTTGGAATCATACAGTATGTTGTCTTTTCAGATTGGCTCCCTTCACTTAGTAATAGACATTTAAGACTTTTCTATGTCTTCTCCTGGCTTGGTAGCTCATTTCTTTTTACTGCTGAATCATATTCCACTGGCTGGATATACTGCAGTTCATTTATCCATTCAATTACTAAAGGACATCTTGATTTCTTCCAAGTTTTGGCAATTATGAATAAAGCTGTCATAAACATCTGTATGCAGGTTTTGTGTGGAAATAATACTTCAGCTTCCTTGGGTAAATACCAAAGGGGATAATTGCTGGATCGTATGGGAAGAGGATGTTTAGTTTTGTAAGAAACCACCAAACTGTCTTCCAAAGTGGCCGTACCATTTCGCATTCCCATAAGCAATGAATGAGAGTTCCTACTGTGGCTGGTCTTACCTTCCAGTTCAGTGGAATCATTGTTGTGTCTCCTCGTGAAAGGGAGTCATGGTGTTGGCTGGGGTGATTGATCCTGACTCCCAAGGGAAAGCTGGTCTACTTTGGTTGTAGTAGACCAACCACAACCAAAGAAAGAGCATATGTGGAATACAGGAGGTCACGTGGGGCATCTCTTAGTATTACTGCATCCTGTGATTAAATTACAAAAACCCAGTCCAGCCAGGATTATTAATGTCCCAAATCCTTCAGGAATAAAATTTTGGGTCACCACACCAAAGAAGAATCACAACCAGCTGAGGAGCTTGCTGAAGGCAAAGGGAATACAGAATATGTAGTAGAAGGTTCCTCCTTCCTCCACCCATAGTTAAAAATACTGGCTACCACCATGACTACAAGATCAGTTAGGAATGTAATTGTCATGATTATTTTCTCCTATGTTGCTATGAATATGTGTGTATATAATCTTTGTTTTCCTTCCTTTCTTACTGCCTTATCATGTAACCTTAGATGTACTGATTTTATATCACAGTATTTCAGTATTGTTAACTTTACATCATAGTATCTGAGTTATGAGATACGAAGGAGAAGAGTTAAGTATCACTAAAGGACCTTACCTCCTTTCCTAGGGAAGAGGTTTGTGCGCTTTTGATTGTTTGCAGGATAGTTGTGGTATGTTAGGCAGAATTAAGACTTTTTGTTGTCTTTATTAATATGGATTGGGGAGGTATGCATGGGTACCAAGTTGACAGGGGTGGATTTGTGAAGATTAATTTTATGTGTCAATTTGAGTGGGTTTAGAGGCACCTGGATGAAACATTGTTTCTGAGTGTGTCTGTCAGGGTGTTTCCAGATGAGATTACCATTTGACTATCCATGGATTTAGTTGATTGCCCTCCCCATTGTGGCTGTCATCCACAACAGCAATCAATCAATCCATTAAGGGCCTAAACAGAACAAAGGTGGAGAAGGGAGGAATTTGCTCCCTGCCTCCTCTTTTTTACCTTCCTCACTGCTGCATCTAGGACATCTCATATCATTTTCAGACTGGGATTTACATCAATAGTTCCCCTTGTTCTCAGGCCTTCAAACTCAGAGTAAATTACACCACCAGCTTTCCTGAGTCTCCAGCCTGCAGATGACAGAGGAGGGACTTCTCAGCCTCCATAATCGTGTGAGCCAAGTCCATATAGTAAATCTTCTTTTATATCTATTGGTTCTGTTTCTCTGCAAAACCCTGACTAATACAGATTCAGCATTTGGTGTTGTCAGAGTTGTGGATTTTGGCCATTCTAATAGGTGTGTAGTGGTATCTCATTGTTGTTTTAAGTTGCACTTGCTGCATTTCCTAATGACATATGATGAGCATATCTTCATAAGCTTATTTGTCATCTGTAGATCTTCTTCAGAAGTGTCTATTATGTTCTGTGGTCTATTTTTTTAATTGGGTTGTTGTTTTCTTATTGTTGAGTTTTAAGAGTACTTTGTATATTTGTATAACCGTCCTTTATCAGATATAACTTTTGAAAATATTTATTTCAGTCTGTAGCTTGTCTTTTACTCTCTTGAAAGTGTCTTTCAGCCAGGCGCAATGGCTCACGCCTGTAATCCCAGCACTTTGGGAGGCCGAGGCAGGTGGATCACTTGAGGCCAAGAGTTCAACACCAGCCTGGCCAACATGGTGAAACCATCTCTATTAAAAATACAAAAATTAGCCAGGTGTGGTGATGCATGCCTGTAATCCCAGCTACTCGGGAGGCTGAGGCAGGAGGATCGCTTGAACCCAGGAGGTGGAAGCTGTAGTGAGCTGAGATTGTGCTACTGCACTCCAGCGTGGGTGACAGAGTAAGATTCTGTCTCAAAAAAAAAAAAAAAAGTGTCTTTCGCAGGGCAGAAATTTTTTATTTTAAGAAAGTACAGCTAATCAATTCTTTTTTTCTTGTATTATGTCTTTGGTTTTATATCTAAAAGTCATCATCAAACCCAAGGTCATCTAGATTTTCTCCTATGTTATCTTGCAGGACTTTTATAGTTTTGTGGGGTTTTTCTAATTTTTTTAATAAAACAAAATTTTGTAAGTATGCAGTAGGTGTATATATTGATGAGGTTCTTGAGATATTTTGATATAGACATACAATGCATAATAATCACATCAGGGGAAATGGGATATCTATCGCCTAAAGAATTAATCCTTTCTTTGTGTTATAAACAATCCTATTAAACTCTTTTCCTTATTTTAAAATGCACAATAAATTATTGTTCACTGTAGTCACCCTATAGTGCTATCAAATACTAGATCTTATTCATTCTAACTACATTTGTCTACCCATTAACTATCTCCACTTCCCCTCCATCCCCCTCCCAACCTCTGGTAATCATTTTTCTACTCTTTATCTCCATGAGTTCTATTGCTTTAATATTTTTAGCTCCCACAAATAAGTGATAACATGCAAATTTTGTTTTTCTGTGCCTGGCTTAATTCACTTAACATAATGACCTCCAGTTCCATCCATGTTGTTGCAAATGACAAGATCTCATTCTTTTTTTTTTTTTAAGATGGAATCTTGCTCTGTCACCCAGGCTGGAGTGCAGTGGCATGATTTCAGCTCACTGCAACCTCTGCCACCTGGGTTCAAGTGATTCTCCTGCCTCAGTCTCCCCAGTAGCTGGGATTACAGGCGTGTGCCACTATGCCTGGCTAATTTTTGTGTTTTTAGTAGAGAAAGGGTTTCAGCATCTTGGCCAGGCTGGTCTTGAACTCCTGACCTCATGATCCACCCATCTCAGCCTCCCAAAGTGCTGGGATTACAGGCATGAGCCACTGCACCTGGCCGGATCTCATTCTTTTTTATGGCTGAATAGTACTCCATTGTGTGTATGTCCCACATTTTCTTTATCCATTTGTCTGTTGATGGACACTTGGTTGCTTCCAAATCTTGGCTATTGTAAATAGTGCTGCAATAAACGTGGAAGTGCAGATATCTCTTCAATATACTGATTTCCTTTCTTTTGGGTATATACCTAGCAGTGGGATTGCTGGATCATATGGTCATTCTATTTATAGTTTTTGAGGAATGTTCAAACTGTTCTCCATAGTGGTTGTACTAATTTACATTCCCACCAACAGTGTATGAGGGTTCCCTTTTCTCCACATCCTCGCCAGCATTTTTATTGCCTGTCCTTTCAATAAAAGCCATTTTAACTGTGGTGAGATGATAATCTCATTGCCATTTTGATTTGCATTTCTCTGATTATCAATAATGCTGAGCATCTTTTCATATACCTGTTTGCCATTTGTATGTCTTCTTTTGAGAATGTCTGTTCAGATCCTTTGCCCATTTAAAAAATTGGGTTATTAGATTTTTTCCTATTGAGTGATTTGAGCTCCTTATATGTGCTGGTTATTAATCACTTGTCAGATGGCAAGTTTGCAAATATTTTCTCCCATTTTGTGGGTTGTTTTTTCACCTTGTTGATTGTTTCCTTTGCTGTGCAGAAGCTTTCTAACTTGATGTGATCCCATTGGTCCATGTTTGCTTTGGTTACCTGTGCTTGTGGGGTATTACTGAAGAAATGCGTGCCCTGATCAATGTCCCAGGGATTTTTTCTAATGTTTTCTTTAAGTAGTTTCATAGTTGGAGGTTTTAGATTTAAGTCTTCAATCCATTCTGATTTGATTTTTGTATATGGCAAGAGATAGGGGTCTAATTTCATTCTTCTGCATATGGATATCCAGTTTTCCCACACCATTTATAGAAGAGACTGTCCTTTCTGCCAATGTATGTTATTGGAATCTTTGTTGAAAATAAGTTCACTGTAGATGTATGAATTTGCTTCTGGGTTCCCTCTTCTGTTCCATTGGTCTGAATGTCTGCTTTTATGACAGTACCATGCTATTTTGGTTAGTACAACTCTGCAGTATAATTTGAAGCCAAGTAATGTGATTCCTCCAGTTGTGTTCTTTTTGCTGAGGATAGTTTTGGCTGTTCTGAGTCTGTTGTGGCTCCTCATAAATTTTAGGATTTTTTTTTTTGTATTTCTGTGAAGAATGTCATTGGTATTTTGATAAGGATTGCATTGAATCTCTAGATTGCTTAGGTAGCGTGGACATTTTAACAATATTGATTCTTCCAATCCATGAACATCAAATACCTTTCCTTCTTTTGCATGTCCTCTTCAATTTATTTTATCAGTGTTTTATAGTTTTTATTGTAGATACCTTTCATTTCTTTGGTTAATTCCTAGGTATTTTATTTTATTTGTAACTATTGTAAATGGAATTCCTTTCTTGATTACTTTTTCAGATTGTTTGCTGTTGCCATACAGAAATACTACTGGTTTTTGTATGTTGATTTTGTATCCTGCAACTTTACTAAATTTATCAGTTCTAATCATTTTTTGATGGAGTCTTTGGGTTTTTTCCAATATGGAAGCATATCATCTGCAAATAAGGATCATTTGACTTCTTCCTTTCCAATTTGGATGCCTTTATTTCTTTTTCTTATCTGATTGCTCTAGTTAGAACTTCCAGTATTATGTTGAATAACAATAGTGAAGGTGGGCATCCTTTTCATGTTCCAGATCTTAGAGGAAAACCTTTCAGTTTTTCCCCATTCAGTATGATACTAGCTGTGGGTCTGTCATATATGGCTTTTACTGTGTGGAGGTATGTTCCTTCCATATGCAATTTTTTTGAAAATTTTCATTATGAAGAGATGTTAAATTTTATCAAATTCTTTTTCAGCATCAGTTGAAACAATCATGGTTTCTGTCCTTCATTCTTGTGATATGATGTATTACTTTAGTTGCATCCTTGCATCTGTGGAATAAATCCCACTTGATCATGATGAATGATCTTTTTAATGTATTGTCAGATTTGGTTTCCTAGTATTTTGTTAAGGCTGTTTGCATCAATGTTCATCAGGAATTTTGGCCTACAGTTTTCTTTTTTTGAAGTGTCTGTATCTGGTTTTGGTATCAGGGTAAAACTGGCCTTGTAGAATGAGTTTGGAAGTATTCCCTCATCCTCTATTTTCTGGAATACTTCAGTAGGATTGGTATTAGTTCTTTTTTAAATGTTTGGTAAAATTCAGCAGTGAAGCCATCTGGTCCAGGGCTTTTCTTTGCTGGGAGATTTTTTATTACAGCTTCACTCTTGTTGCTTGTTATTAATCTGTTCAGGTTTTGGATTTTTTTTATGGTTTAATTATGTGGTTTGTAAGTGTCTAGAAATTTATCCATTTTTTCTAGGTTTTCCAATTTATTGGCATGTAGTTGCTCACAGTAGCCTCTAATGATCTTTTGAATTTCTGTGGTATCAGTTGTAATGTCTCCTTTTTCATCTCTGACTTAATTTTAGATTTCTTCTCTTTTTTCTTAGTCTGAAAAAAAGTTTGTTGGTGTTGATTTTGTTCATCTTTTTAAAAAGCCAACTTTTCATTTCATTGATTTTTTGTGTTGTTTTCTTCATTTCAATTTCCTGCATTTCTGTTCTTATCTTTATGATTTCTTTTCTTCTACTAAGTTTGAGTTTGGTTTGCTTGTGCTTTTCTAGTTCTTCAAGATACACCATTAGGTTGTTTATTTATTTTTTTTCTACTTTTCTGATATAGGTGCTTATCGTTGTAAACTTTTCTCTCAGTACTGCTTTTGCTGTATCTCATAGGTTTTGGCATGTTGTGTTTCCATTATCATTTATTTCAAAAAAATTTTAAATTTCTTTCTTAATTTCTTCATTGACTCACTGGTCATTCAGGAGCATATTGTTTAATTTCCATGTATTTGTATAGTTTCCAGAATTCCTCTTGTTATTTATTTCTAGTCTTATTCCATTGTAGTCAGAAAAGATACTTGATATAATTTCAATTTTTAAATTTTTTTTTTTTTTTTTTGAGACAGAGTCTTGCTCTGTCACCCAGGCTGGAGTGCAGTGGCGCGATCTCAGCTCACTGCAACCTCCGCCTCCCAGGTTCAAGTGATTCTCCTGCCTCAGCCTCCTAAGTAGCTGGGATTATAGGCATATGCCACCATGCCTGGCTAATTTTTGTACTTTATATCAGTAGAGATGGGGTTTCACTGTGTTGATCAGGCTGATCTCGAACTCCTAACCTTGTGATTCACCTGCCTCGGCCTCCCAAAGTGCTGGGATTACAGGCGTGAGCCACCGCACCCGGCCAATTTTTTTTTTAATTTTTAAAGACTTGTTTTGTGGTCTAACATCTGGCATATCCTTGAGAATGATCCGTGTGCTGAGGAGAAGAATGTGTATTCTGCAGCCATTGGATAAAGTGTTCTGTAGATATTGATTAGGTCCATTTGGTCTATACTGAAGATTAAGTCAGATGTTTCCTTGTTGATTTTCTGTCTGGATGATCTATTCAATGCTGAAAGTGGGGTGTCGAAGTCTCTAGATATTATTGTATTGAGGTCTATTTGTCTTTTTAGCTCTAATAATATTTGTTTTTATATATCTGGATGCTCCAGTGTTGGGTGTATACATATTTAAAATTGTTATATCCTTTTGCTGAATTGACCCCTTTATCAGTATGTAATGACTTTTGTCTCTTTTTATAGTTTTTGTCTTGAAAATCTATTTTGTGTCACATAAGCATAGCTTCTTCTGCTCTTCTTTGGTTTACATTTGCATGGAATATCTTTTTCCATCCCTTTATTTTCAGTCTTTGAGTGTTTTTATATATGAAGTGTGTTTCTTGTAGGCAACAGATTGTTGGGTCTTTTTTTTTTTTTAATCCATTCAGCCACTCATTTCTGTGTTTTATATTTAGCTCTGTGATGTAGTTTGAACTAATTTTTGTAAAGGGTATAAGGTCTGTGTCTAGGTTTTTTGTTTGTTTTTGTTTTCATTTTTGTTTTTTTTGAGACAGAGTCTCGCTTTGTCACCTAGGCTGGAGTGTAGTGGCATGATCTTGGCTCACTGAAACCTCCACCTCCCAGGTTCAAGTGATTCTCTTGCCTCCGCCTCCTGAGTAGCTGGGATTACAGGTGCATGACACCAGTCCCAGCTAATTTTTGTATTTTTAGTAGAGACAGGGTTTCACCATGTCGGTCAGGGTGGTCTTGAACTCCTGACCTTGTGATCCACCCACCTCAGCCTCCCAAAGTGCTGGGTTACAAGTATGAGCCACTGCACCCGGCCAGGTTTTTTTTTTTTTTTTTTTTTTTCTGGCATGTGTATGTCTACTCATTCCAGCAGCATTTGTTGAAAAACCTGTCTTTTCTCCATTGTATTATCATTGCTCCTTTGTGAAAGATCACTTGACTATATTTATGTGTGTATATTTTAGGGCTTTTCTGTTCCATTGATCTATTTGTTTATTCTTTCACAAATACCACACTGTCTTGGTTACTGTAGCTTATAGTAGGTCTTAAACTTACATAATGTCAGTTCTCCAAATTTGCTCTCCTTCAATATTATGTTGGTAATTCTGGGGCTTTTGCCTCTCCATATAAACTTTAGAATAAGTTTGTTGGATATCCACAAAACAACTTATTTGGATTTTGATTGGGATTATGTTGAATTTATAGATCAAGTTGTAAAGAACTGACATCTTGACAATGTTGAGTTCTCCTATCCATGAACATGAAATGTCTCTCCATTTATTCAGTTGGTCTTGTTTTTTTCATCAGAGGTTTCTAGTCTTCCTCATATAGGTCTTGAACATATTTTTTTAGATTTCTAACGAAGTATTTCATTTTTAGGGGTCCTAAAGTAAATGATATTGCATTGTTTTAGTTGAAATTCCACTTGTTTATTGTCAGTAAATGGGAAAGTGATTGAATTTTTCATTAACTTTGCATTCTGCAACCTTGCTATAATCACTTAGTAGTTCCAGGGCTTTGTGGAGAGTTTTTTTTTTGGTCATTTTTTTTTCTACATAGACAATCATGTCATCTGTGAACAAAGACAGTTCTATTTCTTTTTTTCCAATTGGTATACTTTTAGTTCCTTTTCTTGACTTATTGCATTAGGTGGGACTTCCATTATGATGCTGAAAAGCAGTAGTGAGAGAGGAGATGTCCTTGCCTTGTTGCTGATCTTAGTGGGAAAGCTTCTTGTTTCTCACCACTTAGTATGATGTTAGCTGTAGGTCTTTTGTAGATATTCTTTATCAAGTTGAGGAAGTTTCACTCTTTCCTACTTTATTGAGAGTCTTTATCATGAAATGGTCTTGGATCTTATCCAATGTTTCTTCTGCATCTGTTGATATAATCATATGATTTTTCTTCTTTGCTTGTTGATGTGATGGATTGCATTAACTGATTTTCAAATGTTGAATCAGTCTTACATACCTGGGATAGCTCCGATTTGGTTGTGGTATGTAATTCTTTTAATATAACATTGGATTTGATTTGCTAATATTTTAGGATTTTTGCAACCACATTCTTGAGAAATATTGGTCTGTAGTTTTCTTCTAATACCTTTGTCTGGTTTTGGTACTAGAATAATGCAGGCCTCGTAAAATGAGTTAAGAAGTAATCCCTCTGCTTCTATCTTTTGAAAGAGTTTGTAGAGAAGTGATATAATTTCCTTATTAAATGTTTGGTAGAATTCACTCATAAACCCATCTGGCCCTGGTGCTTTCTATTTTGAAAAGTTATTAATTAATTAATTCAATTTCTTCAAGAGGTATAGGCCTATTAAGATTGTTTCTTGTTGTATGACTTTTGGCAGACTGGATCTTTGAAGGAATTATCCCCATTTCATCTAGGTTATCAAATCTGTGGACACAGAGTTATTCAAAGTATTGCTTGATTATTCTTTTAATTTCTCTGGAATCTGTATGTATATATAATTGAATACATTGTTGCTATTATTATGTTGAACAAACTGTTGTTAGATAATTAAGAACAAGAAAAATAAAAATTTTCTTTCCCTTACTTATTCCTTCCTTGATGCTCTTCCTTTACTTATGTAGATGGTAGTTTCAGACCTGTATCATTTTTCTTCTCTCTGAAGATCTTCTTTTAACATTTCTGGCCAAGGATGTATACTGGCAACAATTTCCCTCAATTTCTGTCTGTCTGAGAAAGCTTTAATTTCTCCTCACCTTTTGAAGGATAATTTCACAGGGCACAGAATTCTAGGTTTGTGGTGTTTTTTTCCATCCACGCTAAGTATTTCATTCCACTTTCTACTTGCCTGCATGGTTTCTGAGAAGTCACATATAATTCTTATCTTTGCTCCTTTATAGGCAAAGTTTTTTCTCTCTGGCTTCTTTTAGGATATTTTTTCTTTACCTCTGATTTTCTAGTCTAAAAATGATATGCCTAGGTAGAGTTTTCTTTTGGAATTTATCTTGTTTTGTGTTCCCTGAGCTTTTTCAATCTATGGTTTGGTGACTGAAGACAATTTGGGGGAAATTCTCAATCATTGCTATTCAAATATTTCTTCTGTTCCTTTCTCTCATTCTTTTCCTTCTGGTGTTTCCATTTGTGTATGTCCCACTCTTTTCGGATATTCTGTTCTGGTTTTTTGTTTTTTTTTTCAGTCTTCTTTTTCTGTTTGCTCTTTAGTCTGGGAGGTTTCTACTGAGGTATCTTCAAGTTTACAGATTCTTTTTCGGCTGTGTGCAGTCTGCTAATAAGCCATCAGACACATTCTTCATTCTGATTACACTGCTTTTGAGCTCTAGCATTTATTTTTGGTTCTTTCTTGGGATTTCCATCCCTCTGCTTACATTGCCCATCTGTTCTTGCATGCTGTCTACTTTATCCATTACAGCCCTAAGCATGTTAATAATAGTTGTTTTAAATTTCCAGCCTAATAATTCCACCATCCCTGACATATTTTAGGCTGGTTCTCAGGCTTTCTCTGTCTCTTCAAACTACATTTTTGCCTTTCAATATGTCTTGTAATTTTTTCTTGATAGCTGGACATGAGGCACTGGTTAAAAGGAACTGCTGTCGATTAGCCTTTAGTAATGTGGTGGTATGGTGTTGGGGTGGGGAAGTGTTCTATAATTTCACAATTAGGTATCTGTTCTTTAGGCAGCCTGTGCCTCTGGACTGTGAACTTCACAGATGTGTCTCAGTTCCCACCCTGCACAGGTGGACTGAATGGCTAGAGTGGGTTGGAGTTGGGCATTTATTTTCCCTGGGTCAGTTAGGGTCTGATGAAACCCCAGCAGGTTAGGCTCTGGTTAAATAGTTTCTCCTGAGGGCAGGCATTGTTAAGAACACAGTTTTCTGGCGTATTTCAAAATGGTTCCTTTTCTCCTCCCCATGCCAGAAGGAGAGGATTCGTCTCCAATATTCACTGCGAGGAACTGTTTGAGCTCCTGGAGGGGGACTCAGTCCCCTGGAATATTTATTAATATCTCTCAAACTTGTCCACACTGAGCCTCCAGCAATTCATCAGTTGCAATTCAGGTTTCCCTTCCCCAACACAGGTTCCTGAGAGGTTTCAGCTTGTGGGTTTCCGCTCAGTTGCTCCATTATGGGGGCAGCGGTTTGCCCTGTGACTTCACTTCTCTTATGGATCTAAGAATAGAATTGTTGATTTTTCAGTTTGTTCTGCATTTTATTTGTGGTGGGAAACAGTAGCAACTTCTTATAAGCTAGACTGGAACCACAAGCCTATTTTTTAGTTTGGTTTTCTTTAGGTAGAATGAATGGAGGCAGGACAAAAGTGGGAATCCAAGTTTTGAAATGAGTTATTTTGAGACCTCAGGTGTCTGAATTTGAGCAGAGTGTATCGCATTCATTGGCCTTTTACATATATCCTATATCGTTATTCAGAGATTGGTTTGATTTCAACTTGGCCCTGGGGATATGAACCTAAATACGGTACATTTTGAGTGGGATCCCTGATGTGATCGGCCCTGAATGATCCTATCACATCTCAAATAAAAGTTGACTGGAAGGACTCAGATTGCCTCTCTTTGATCCCATCCTTAGGTTCTTCCGTTCCCTCCCGTGCGCTGTTTCGTCTGCGGCCCCCTCCCTTCTGGAGTTCTGTGCGTGTGCTCCGGTTGACCTGGCTCCTCTCCAGGCCTGCTGCACCGCTCATACTCGGGAACGGCCCCGCACTGTGCTCCCTGCCGGGATTGACTTTTTCTTAGTGCTCACATTTTCTTCTTTCTTGTTTTACTCTCTTGTTTGCTTGAGGACATCTTCACATTACCTATTCATAAAAATACTCGAGAAAGAGGATTTCTGAGGGTTTTCAGGTCTGGAAATATTTTTGCCCGTCTTCCTACTTAAATGATAGGTTAGCTGGCTCTAAGAATCATTTTCCTCACATATTCTACCACAGCTACCTAACGTGCACCTCTGTGTCTCCTTTTCCTCTCCCAGCTCCATGTAACTGTAACTCCTTCTCAAATGGAGCCTAGGAGGCAGAAGGAAGGGCATGCAGGGTTTTAGGTGCTGTGGGGATTCAATACAGAGAGGGCCTGTACTGGACCTGGGCCGGAGCATCCTTCAGGCCAGAGAGAGCTTGGGGCCTGAGAGGTACCTTGAGGCAAGGGTCAGAGCTCTGAGGTTACTGAAGAGAGCTTGGCCCATGGGATCCATAGACAAGAGAAAAGACAAGAAGGAGAACAACCCAGCTGATCAGTGCAGACCAATTTTTTTTTCTTTTTTTTGAGACAGTCTCTTTCTGTTGCCCAGGCTGGAGTTCAGTGGTGTGATCTCGGGCTCACTGATCCTCCGCCTCCAGGGTTCAAGTGATTCTCACGCCTCAGCCTCCCAAGTAGCTGGGGTTACAGGCAACTGCCACCACGCCCGGCTAATTTTTGTATTTTTAGTAGAGACGGGGGTTTTACAATGTTGGCCAAGATGGTCTTGAATTCCTGACCTCAAGTGATCCGCCCACCTCAGTCTCTCAAATTGCTGGGATTACAGGTATGAGCCAACACGCCTGGCCTTAGGGCAGCCAAATTTACCCAAAAGAGAGAAAGAACACACAGCTAAATTCCAACTTCACCAGCCTGGGCGACAAAGGGAAACCCCATCTCCACAAAAAATACAAAAATTAGCCAGGCATGGTGGTGCGTACCTATAATCCCAGCTACTCCAGGGAGCTGAGGATAAGGGATTGCTTGAGCCCAAGAGGTCAAGGCTGCTGTGAGTTCTGATTGCACTCCAGCACTCCAGCCTGGGTGACAGAGTGAGACCCTGTCTCAAAAACAAAACAAAACAAAAATTGAATTTTAGATCAATAATGAATAATTCTTTTTATGTAAGTCTGTCCCATGTAATATATTCTACCCAGCAACCCAGCCTACAGCTGACACAACTATACCTAGAAGGACTTGCTGGTCTCTCTGGCCCTCAAGGAGTGGCGAATGAAATAAGACTTTGTATCTTTGGCCAAGCTTGGTGGCTCACACCTGTAATCCCAGCACTTTAGGAGGCTGAGGCGGGTAGATTGCTTGAGTTCAGGAGTTTGAGAACAGCCTGGGCAACATGGCGAGACTCCATCTCAATTATTTTTAAAATTTAAACAAAAAAAAAAGACTTTGTATCTTTACAACTAAGAGAAAATTAACCTTTGTAGCTAAGGAAACTGGGGAGCAGAGAAGATAAGATAAGCATTTTCCAGCTGAGGACTTGTCTGTCTACAGGATCAGAGACCATGGAGCCTCCTGTACTCAAGAGATAGCTGCTGCTGAAGACCTGGCCCCAGGTGAATAACATAGGCAAAGGAACAACAAAGCCAGAATGGGGAAGAGTGAGCAGAGCATCCAGAAATGGCGGTTGCCAGCAAAATAGAACTGCTGAAAAAGGGCATGGCAACTTGAACAGAAAAAGTAATTAGTGCAATTGAGGAGCTTCAATTACAGCGTTAAACTGGAACTCAAGAACATGATTTTTTAAGTTTAAAAATATAGCAGATGTACTGAAAAAGTGTATGGTAACTATTGAGAAGTGAACAGAGGTCTGGAAGTACAAGGGAAAGAAATCTCTCAAAAAAGCAAACATTTAAAGTCAGACATCAAAAAAGCAAATATAAAGGAACCAGAAGATGGATCTAGAAGTTGTAACTTGTAAATAAATAGGAATTTCAGAAGAGTAAAGCAATCGAAGGAGGAGAGACAATATTTAAACAAACAGGTGAAGAAAATTTTACAGAGCTAAAGAAAGAGTTTCATCCTCAGAATTCTTTGAGTTTCAAGGAACAGGGGATGAAAACCGGAACACACTAGAGATTCCATTACTGTGTTGTAATTCCAAGGGTAATGACAAAGTTCTACAGTCTTCTAGATAGAAAGAACAAATTGTTTACATAGAAAAAGATTAAGACTGGCTTTAGATTTCTAACTACAACTTTAATATCAGAAAGTAGTAGGATAATAACTAGTGGCAACTGACGGTGTGATTTAAAAATCAAAACCCAAACACATATTACTTAAGAAACCCACGTTAGGCCAGGCACTGTGGCTCACACCTGTAATCGTAGCATTTTGGGAGGCTGAGGCGGGCGGATCACTGGAGATCAGGAGTTCAAGACCAGCCTGGCCAACATGGCAAAACCCTGTCTCTACTAAAAATACAAAAATTAGCTGGGCGTGGTGGCACATGCCTGTAATCCCAGCTACTCAGGAGGCTGAGGCAGGAGAATCACTTGGACCCAGGAGGCAGAGGTTGCAGTGAGCCCAGATCATGTCATTGCACTCCAGCCTGGGTGATAGAGGGAGACTCCGCCTCAAACAAACAAACAAACAAACAAAAGAAACTCACTTTAAACAAAGTGAGAAAGAAAAGTTAAACTTCAGAGGATATGTAAAAAGATACTGCCGGGCACGGTGGCTCACGCCTGTAATCCTAGCACTTTGGGAGGCCAAGGCGGGTGGATCACCTGAGGTTAGGAGTTCGAAACCAGCCTGGCCAACATGGTGAAACCCCTTCTCTACTAAAAATACAAAAAAATTATACAGGTGTGGTGCAGGCACCTGTAATCCCAGCTCCTTGGGAGGCTGAAGCAGGAGAATCGCTTGAAGGCAGACGTTGCAGTGAGCTGAAATCGTGCCACTGCACTCCAGCCTGGGCAACAGAGCGAGACTCCATCTCAAAAAAAAAAAAAGATCCACCAGATAAATATAAATCAAAAGAAGTCAAGTCTAGCGGTCCTATTAGCGGTCCAAACAGCATGCATATTAATATGTAATGACAAAAGGCAAATTGATAACAGAGGTATAACAATCATAAGTCATGTTCACCAATCATTGTAGTAGCTAAACATATAAAGCATAATCTTTATGTTAGGAGATTTTAACACACCTTTTTCAGACTCACATATATCTAACAGACAAAATAAATAGAAACAGAAGAATAGAATAAAACAAACAACAAATTTGACCTAAAACATGTATGGAATGTTACATTTCATAACTATATTTCTTTTGTGTTTTAATGGAACATTTACAAAAGTTAATCTTGTTTTTGTTTCCAAAGGATATCTAAGTCAATATACAGGAGTAGAGATTTTATAGGCCACATTCCCTGATTATAATCCAAAAAAGAAAATAAAAGGAGTAAGTAATGAAAAGGGATACCCCTCAAAAAACCCTCTAATTACTTGAAAATTAAGAAAAAATATTCTAGGCCAGGTGCGGTGGCTCACTCCTATTATCCCAGCACTTTGGGAGGCTGAGGTGGATGGATCACTTGAGGCCAGGAGTTTGAGACCAGCCTGGGCAACATAGTGAAACCCCATCTTTACTAATACAGAAAGAAAAAAAGAAAAAAAAAATTAGCTGTGTGTGGTGGTGCGTGCTTGCAGTCCCAGCTACTTGGGAGGCTGAGGCATGAGAATAGCTGGAACCCAGGAGGCAGAGGTTGCAGTGAGCTGAGATTGTGCCACTGTACTCCAACCTGGGTGACAGAGCGAGACTCTGTCTCAAAAAAAAAAAGAAGAAAGAAACAATATTCTAAATAACTCTTATCAAAATGTAAACAAAACTGAAATTACAAACCATATACAAAGCAATGAGGAAAAAGTTCATACCAAAATATACACAACATAGTTCAAATTATTCCTATGGGAATTCATAGCCTTAAATATTTTATTATTAAGGAAAAAATTTAGGCCAGGCACAGTGGCTCACCCCTGTAATCCCAGCACTTCGGGAGGCCAAGGCAGGCAGATCACTTGAGGTCAGGAGTTTGAGACCAGCTTGGCCAGTATGGTGAAACCCTGCCTCTTCAACAAATACAAAAATTAGCCAGGCATGATGGTTGAACCAGGAGTCAGAGGTTGCGGTGAGTCGAGATCGTGCCACTGCACTCCAGCCTGGGTGACAGAGTGAGACTCTGTCTCAAAAAAAAAGGAAAAAAAGTTAAAAAATATTTAAGGTCCAGTTAAAAAATTTAGAACAAGAACACCAAAATAAACAAAACATAAATTTGGAAGAGAGAATAAAGATGAAAATTAATGAACAGAAAACAAAGTATAAAGGGGAAATAAATCTAAAAGCTGATTCTTATGTAAGACTCCCCCAAAGAGATAAAATTTCAGGGAAATCTCCAAAGGCTCAACTGCCGCACACCAAGAAAGAACTAGAATTTGAAAATGTGATGTGAGAGAGGTCATATGACAGGCAAGAGAAAAGTGCAAACAGTGCTGCTGGCGTGCCTTCTTCCCCGCCCCCACACTGCCCACCCCAACTCTGGAGGAGCCTTGTGGGGGTGATATGGTTTGGCTCTGTGTCCCAACCCAAATCTCATCTCTAATTTGTAATCCCCATGTGTAGAGGGAGGGAGGTGACTGGATCGGGGGGCAGTTTCCCCATGCTGTTCTCATGATAGTGAGTGAGTTCTCATGTGATCTGGTGGTTTTACAAGGGGCTCTTCCCCCTTCGCTTTCTCCTGCCACCTTGTGAAGAAGGTGTCTGCTTCCCCTTCCACCATGATTATAAGTTTCCTGAGGCCTCCCCAGCCATGCAGAACTGTGAGTCAATTAAACTTCCTTCCTTTATAAATTACCCAGTCTCGGGTAGTATCTTTATAGCAGTGTGAAAACAGACTAATACAGGGGGGCAGGTAGGTAACAGGAGCAATCAGACCCCTCCTAGCCAGTGGCATGGAAGGTAGTGAATCAGGCCTGAGCTAGGGAGAGAGGATAAACTTTGAATTGGATGAGATACTGAGGTTTTACTTTAGGTTGGATGGAACTACATAATCTAAAAATGGTAGTGTTGTTAGAATCTGAAGTGACTGAAAAACTCATGGGATCTATCGGAAAAGTCACCAAGAGCAAGGAAAATGTTTCTGACAAAAAATGCTTGAGGCAAGAGTGGAAGAAAACAAAGCTGTTCCCTGACTACACCCTATTAAGCCCGGCTAAGTCAATAAGCCTGTTGTTACACCTGTGTTTCTGGCTATCATTTTCCTTCACTGGACTGGGAGAAATTAAGCATCAAAATTATGAATTAATGATAGTAACACATATAGTCCTTTGAAGGAAATTAAGAACCATGAGTACATATTGGTACATATAAATATATGAATAAATTAAAAGTTTGATAAGAGAGTATTTACTTAGTTTCAAAGTACTTCCTGAAAGAATACTAGAGAAAGAAAACATAAATTCATGCTGGAGAAGAAGAAAAGACATCATCTTAAATAAGCTATCAAATTGGACAACAAATCCAAGGCATGTGCCATCTGACACGAGGAATACAATGTTGCTTCTTGCTTCATTGAATTTTTTTCCAAAGGTGCATAATTTGAATCTAATAATGAGGAATATTTTCAAACCCAAATTCTACAATATATCTGGCCTATAAACTTAAAAAGAATTCAAGAATGAGAAATAATTTCCAAGTTGAAGAAAATTAAAGACACATGAGAAAGAAATGCAATGTGTGCTTCTGAATGGGATGGCTTTTTTCTCTTAAAGCAGGGGTCCCCTACCCCTAGGGGCCATCACTGGTACTGTGTCACACAGCAGGAGTTGAGTGGCGGGCAAGCAAGCTAAACTTCTGTATTTACAGCTGCTCCCCATCACTTGCATTACCTCCTGAGCTCCACCTCCTGCCAGATCAGCAGTGACATTAGATTCTCATAGGAGCATGAACCCTATTGTGAACTGTGCATGCGAAGGATCTAGGTTGTGCACTAGGTTATGAGAATCTAATGCCCGATGATCTGTCACTATCTCCCATCACCCACAGATGGAACTGTCCAGCTGCAGGAAAACAGGTTCAGGGTTCCCACTGATTCTTATGGTGAGTTGCATAATTATTTCTCCTACTGATTCTTATGGTGAGTTGCATAATTATTTCATCATATATTACAATGTAATAATAATAGAAATAGAGTGCATGATAAATATAATGCACTTGAATCATCCTGAAACCACCCCCTCACCCCTGGTCTGTGGAAAAATTGTCTTCCATGAAACCAGTCCCTGGTGCCAAAAAGTTTGGGGACTACTGATCTAGAGGATATTATTGGGGATTATTATTATTATTAGCAAAATTTACTGATCACAATATATGAATGTTAATGTCCCAATTTTGATGGTTGTATTGTGGTTATGTAGGAGAATGTCTGTGAGATGCCAGGGCATCACATTGGCAAATTATTCTGAGATGGCTCAGGAAAATAAAAGTTCTTTATATTGTACTAGCAACTTTTCTGTAAGTTTGAAAGTGTTTCAAAATTGTTTAAAATTAAAAAGTTATAGAGAAAGTGAAAAGACTATTTACCAACTGGGAAAAGTATTAGCAATGCAAATATCAGATAAGTGGTTAACTTTTTAACATACAAAAAGCCCTTATTAAACTGAGGAGATAAACACTAATCAATTCACGGGTGGGCACAGTGGCTCATGCCTGTAATTCCAGCACTTTGGAAGGCCGAAGTGGGCAGAACACTTAAGCCCAGGAGTTCCAGACCAACCTGGGCAACATGGCAAACCCCAGCTCTACCAAAAATACACACACACAAAATTGGCCAGGCAGCATGGTAGCGCGGCCTGTGGTCCCAGCTACTTGGGAGGCTGAGGTCAGAGGATCGCTGGAGCCCGGGAGGCAGAGGGTGCAGTGAGCTGAGATCATGCCACTGCACTCCAGCCTGGGTGACAGAGCGGACCCTGTCTCAAAAAAAAAAAAGACTGATCAATTCAACTAAGAGAAAACCCAACTGACAAATAAACTAATTAAAAGAGATTACTAGTAGTCAGGAAAAAATGCAATTTAAAATACTGGCCAAGCATGGTGGCTCATGCGTGTAATCCCAGCACTTTGGGAGGCTGAGATGGGCGGATCGCTGGAGGCCAGGAGTTGAGACCAGCCTGGGCAACACGGTGAAACTCCGTCTCTACTAAGATTACAAAAATTAGCCTGGCAGTAGTGCACGCCTGTAATACCAGCTACTTGGGAAGCTGAGGCAAGAGAATCGCTTGAACCCAGGAGGTTGCACTGAGCAGAGATCATGCCACTGGACTCCAGCCTGGGTGACAGAGCAAGACTCTGCCCCAATATATATATTGGCCGGGCGCGGTGGCTCACACCTATAATCCCAACACTTTGGGAGGCTGAGGCAGGCAGATCACCTGAGGTCAGGAGTTTGAGACCAGCCTGGCCAACATGGTAAAACCCCATATCTACTAAAAATACAAAATTAGGTGGGCATGGTGGCGCATGCCTATAATCCCAGCTACTCAGGAGGCTGAGGCAGGAGAATCACTTAAACCTGGGAGGCAGAGGTTACAGCGAGCTAAGATCGCGCCATTGCACCCCAACCTGGGCAACAAGAGCAAAACTCTGTCTCAAAATAAATAAATAAATAAATAAACACACACACACACACACACACACACACACACACACACGTATATAACCACACATACATACATATATACACATATATATAATATGTACATATATGTATATCAGATATCATGAGGCACCTACCAAAGTAATACAAATGTAAAAGCACAACAGCCAGCAAGGGTGATTTGGGAATGTGGAATGGATACTTTCATGCTTTCATGATAGATATCTGAATGTTCCATTTTTGTGGTATGAAATGTGGCAACATCCATTAGGAATACGCATTCCCCTTGACCAGCAAATTCCATCCTGAAGAATCCATTCTCTACGTAAGGATATAGAAACAGGAATGTTTATTGCAGCTTTGTTTTTCATAGCAAAAAACAAAATAATGAATGACTACTAACAGCAAAATGATTGCGGGCTGGGGGTGTGGCTCATGCCTGTAATCCCAGCACTTTGGGAGGCTGTGGCAGTAGGATGCTTGATCCCAGGAGTTTAAGACCAGCCTGGGAAACATAGTGAGACTCCATCTCTACCAATAAAAAATAAAAATAAAAAAAAAATGCTGGGTACGGTGGTGTGTGCCTCCCATGGTGGAAAGGCTGAGGTGGGAAGATTGCTTGAGCCTGGGAGATCAGGGCTGCAGTGAGCCATGAGTTGTGATAGTGCCACTGCACTCCAGCCTGGGAGACAGAGTGAGAAAGAAAAAAAAGAAAAGAAAATTAAGAAAGAAAAAGAAAAGAAAAATGATTGGGATACAATCATCTCATGGAAAACTATGCAGCCATTAGAATAAGTCAGCTCTATGCCAGTTGACTGAATAGGATTCTTACAATATATAGTTTTAGAGAGGAAAAGCAAGATGCAGAGAAATGTATATGTATAAAACAGAATCCTTTTTTTTTAATTTTTTTTAGAGACAGGGTCTCACTGTCTCATCCAGGCTGGAGTGCAGTGGTGTGATCATAGCTCACTGCAGCCTCAAACTCCTGGGCTCAAGCAATCCTCCCACCTCAGCCTCCTGAGTAGCTAGGACTACTGGCGCACACCACCATGTCTGGCTAATTAAAAAAAATTTTTTTTTGTAGAGATAGAGTCTTGCTATGTTTCCCAGGCTGGTCTCAAACTCCTGGTCTCAAGCAATTCTCCTGCCTCAGCCTCCCAAAGCACTGGGAATTATAGAATTGAGTCACTGTGCCTAGCTGAATCCTCTTTTTTTCTTTATATGTACATATGCTTTATAAATGGTTACATGAGCATGTAGAAAGATAGGAAAGCAAGCCACATAGCCATTACATTGGTTAGGAGGGAATGATGGATACAGGTAAGAAAAAGGAGATGAAGTCCAGGCACGGTGGGTCAAGCCTGTAATCCCAGCACTTTGGGAGGCCGAGGTGGGCAGATCAAAAGGTCAGGAGATCAAGACCATCCTGGCTAACACGGTGAAACCCCGTCTTTACTAAAAATACAAAAAAATTAGCCTGGCGTGGTGGCGGGCGCCTGTAGTCCCAGCTACTGGGGAGGCTGAGGCAGGAGAATGGTGTGAACCCGGGAGGCAGAGCTTGCAGTGAGCGGAGATTGCACCACTGCACTCCAGCCTGGGCGACAGAGCGAGACTCCATCTCAAAAAAAAAAAAAAAAAAAGAAAAGAAAAAGGAGATGAAGAACTTTGATGGTATTGTTGCATTTTGACTAATTTCTATCACTCTACTCACAAGTCTTACGATATAGGTTAATTGATTACTGAGATGCTAGCAGTGTGGATAAACTAAGTGAGAAAGACTGCTACTGTGGAAACAGTGAGAAGAAATCGTCTGCTGCCAAGCCTCAAGTAATAAGGCTGGATCTGAGAAAACCAGCAGTTGGAAGCAAGACAAGTGACTAACATGCTCAGAAAAAAAAATGTGAGAACGGAGGTCCAAGAAGAATTAAAGATAAAATCTACAGGGAAAGATTATTTACCAAAAGTGGGTGAAGAGGTGGTGAGTAGGAGAGGAGGATTCCAAACGTAAGAGTCAAGCATCAGAGGATGGCACAGGCCAAGAATGTGTAAAGACTTAGGATCAGGTTCTTACAATGAGAATCACGTCAATGAAATCTGGGTCTGGAGCTCAGCAATATCAGAGAAGTAAAGGTGCTGGCAAAGCAGTATGGTTGGAGTGGGCCCTCCAAAACTCTTCCTCCTATATGGCACTTCCAAACCCTCACCATTAAAGGTTTGGGCGGCTTCTGATGGCTGTAAAAAGAGAAGAAAGAGAAAACAAAAGAAAAGTTTCTAAGTACAGTCATGCATAGCTTAACAACAGTGATATGTTCTGAGAAATGTGTCACTGGTGATTTCATCTTTGTGCAAACATCATAGAGTACCCTTACACAAATGTAGAAGGTATAGCCTACTACACATCTAGGCTATATGGTTTAGCCTATTGCTCCTAGGCTACAAATCTGTACAGCATGTTACTGTACTCAATACTGCAGGCAACTGTGACACAGTGGTAAATACCTGTGTATCTAAACAGAAAAGACACAGTAAAAATAGGGTATAAAAGATTTTTTAAGTGGTACACCTGTCTAGGGACAATTACCGTGATTGGAGCTTGCAGGATTGGAAGCTGCTCTGAGTGAGTCAGTGAGTGAGTGGTGGGTGAGTGTGAAGGCCTAGGACATTACTGTACACCACTGTAGACTTTATAAACACTGTACACTTAAACTACACTAAATTTATAAAAAAAATTTATTTCTCCAATAGTATAGTAATCTTTGCTTACTGTAACTTTTCTACTTTATAAACTCTTTAAAAATCTCTTTACTCCTTTGCAATAATACAGCTTAAAACACAAACACATTGTACAGCTATACAAAAATATTTTATTTATATCCTTACTCTACAAGCTTTTCTCTATTAAATTTTTTTATTTTATTATAGATTCAGGGAGTACCTGCGCATGCTTGTCACATGGGTATATGTGTACTGGTGCAGTTTAAACTTCTAGAGTACCTATTACCCAAATGGTGAGCATTGTACTCAACAGATACTTTTTAAATCCCTGCTCCTCATCCACCTTCCCTCCTTTTGGAGTCCCCAATGTCTATAATTTCCACCTTTATTTCCATGTGTACTTATTGTTTAGCTCCCACTTATGAATGAGAACATGTGGTATTAGGTTTTCTGTTTCTGAGTTCACTTGGGTTAATGGCCTCAAGCTCCATCCATGTTGCTGCAAAAGACATGATTTCATTCTTTAATATTTTTTTTTTCATTTTAAACTTCTTTGTTAAAAATGAAGACATAGGCTGTGCGCGGTGGCTCATGCCTGTAATCCCAGCACTTTGGGAGGCCAAGGCAGGTGGATCACAAGGTCAAGAGATTGAGACCATCCTGGCCAACATGGTGAAACCCCGTCTCTACTAAAAATACAAAAATTAGCTGGGTGTGGTGGCCCATGCCTGTAGTCCCAGCTACTCAGGAGGCTGAGGCAGGAGAATTGCTTGAACCAGGGAGGCGGAGGTTGCAGTGGGCCGAGATTGTGCCACTGCGCTCCAGCCTGGGCGACAGAGAAAGACTCCCATCTAAAAAAAAATAATTAAAAAAAAAAGACATAAGCACACACATTAGCCTAGGCCTACACGCTGTCAGGATCATCAGCATCACTGTCTTTCACCTCCGTATCTTGTCTTACTGGAAGGTTTTCAGGGGTAATAGCACACATGGAGCTGTCATCTCCTATGATAACAATGTCTTCTTCAGGAATGCCTCCTGAAGGACCTGCCTGAAGCTGTTTCACAGTTAGTTTTGTTTTTAATAAGTAGGAGTACACTCTAAAATAATGATTAAAAAGTATAGTAGAGGAAATACATAATCCAGGAACATAATCATTTATTACCATTAGCAAGTATTCTGTACCATACATAACTGTATATGCTATGCTGTTATACCACTGGCAGCACAATAGGCTTGTTTCCACCAGCATCACCAGAAACATGTGATTAACACGTTGCACTATGACTTTATGACGGCTACAACTTCACTAGGCAACAGGAATTTTACAGCTCCATTATAATTCTGTGAGACCACCATCATATATGCAGTGTGTTGTTGATGGAAAAGTCACTCTGTGGCATGACTGTGCAAGATTTAAAAATATAGAATTCTAGTGTTATCAAGAGAAAACTGCTACTAAAAGCCTCAAGGCAAAATAATCATGGCAATACCAACACTAATACTAATAATACCAGGACTGGTTAAGCTTTACTGAGTTCTAAGTCCCATGTAAATACACTAAGCACTCGAATGTATTACCTCTTTTGGCTGGGCGCAGTGCCTCACGCCTGTAATCCCAGCACTTTGGGAGGCAGAGGCTGGCAGATCACTTGAGGTCAGGAGTTTGAGACCAGCCTGGCCAACATGGTGAAACCCCCATCTCTACTAAAGATACAAAAATTAGCCAGGGGTGATGGTGCACACCTGTAATCCCAGCTACTTAGGAGGTTGAGGCAGGAGAATTGTTTGAACCCAGGAGGCGGAGGTTGCAGTGAACCGAGATCACACCACTGCACTCCAGCCTGGGTGACAGAGCAAGACTCTGTCTCAAAATAAATAAATAAAAATTAAAACAAACAAACAAACAAATGTATTATCTGTTTTAAGCTTCACGACAACCTATGAGGTAGATACCATTATCTCCATTTTACAGACAATGAAACTAAGGCTCATATCTTAGTTTCTTAAGATAGTTTCTAAGGCTTAAATATCTTTCTTTTTTGTTTTTGAGATGGAGTTTCACACTTGTCGCCCAGGCTGGAGTGCAGTGGCGCGATCTCGGCTCACTGCAACCTCTGCCTCCCAGGTTCAAGTAATTCTCCTGCCTCAGCCTACCTAGTGGCTGGGTTTAGCGGCATGTGCAACCACACCCGGCTAATTTTGTATTTTTAATAGAGACAGGGTTTCTCCATGTTGGTCAGGCTGGTCTCCATCTCCCAACCTTAGTTGATCCACGTGCCTCAGCCTCCCAAAGTGCTGGGATTACAGGCATGAGCCACCGCGCCTGGTGGTTAAATATCTTTCTTAAAGTCACATAAGTAGAAATTTTGAGCCAGGATTCAAACCCAAGTCTGTCTGACTCTATAGTCTTAACTACTACATTTGTACAGTAACTGATGTTTATAATGATGGCTCACAGTCATCTGTAAATGTTAATTTTTTCAATGTCTTCTATTTCAAAAGTCAGTGATACATACTATATATATATTATATATATATATAATTTTATTTATTTACTTATTTATTTATGTTTTTTGAGACAGAGTCTTGCTCTGTTGCCCAGGCTGGAGTGCAGTGGTGCAATCTCAGTTCACTGCAACCTCTGCCTCCCGGATTCCAATGATTCTCTTGCCTCAGCCTCCCGAGTAGCTGGGATTACAGGCATGTACCACCAGGCCTGGCTAATTTTTTTTGTATTTTCAGTAGAGAGGGAATTTCATTATGTTGACAAGTCTGGTCTCAAACTCTTGACCTCAACTGATCTGCCTGCCTCAGCCTTCCAAAGTGCTGGGACTACAGGTATGAGCCACTGTGCCTGGCCAATACCTACTGTATTTTAAATGTTTTCCTCCAAATAAGAGTTGGTTTTTTAAGGCGAACCATTCTTTAATAATTCTGGAAAGCTGTAACTTTAACTATACTTTTAGTAATTGGAGCTTTACAAATTGATTGAAATTGAGTTGCAAATAAAAGTTTTATGAAATGCTATAAAATATATTAGTTGTAAATTCTGAGTACTACATAAATTCTATCTATTGCATTTCCTTGTGAACTTCAATTTTTAAAAAGCCTCTTTAATGTTTTTGGCAGGATTTTTTTTCTAAATAATGCTTCAATAAGGACTTTTTCTTGGCAATCCATGTGATTTCCTGGAAGTTACTGCTGAGTATATACTTACTATGTAAACATAAAACTTGATTCTCCTAGTAAAAGCATCAACCATTTCCAAATGCCAATAGGCTTTATAAGTAATTTGCAGCTTGTGAGTAAAGCCATCCCTCTTTTTTCCCCATATTTTCTTTAATGCTTTGTAGTATGGGCCACAGACTATTTTCAAATTCTTCTTTGCTTTAAGATCCTCCCTCCCCCTGACCTTTTGACTAAACATTTCTTCATTTTCCTATAGTGAAGGATCTGATTTTAAAACTCTGGCCAACTTACCTGATCACATTTCCTCTAATATGTCAACTTAGCCATAACAGCTTTGAACATCTAACCTTTCCTTAACCCCTGTCACATTCATACAACTACACATAACAATATATACAGTTCCTTTTCATTTATCAAAAGAAAGAATCCTTGGGGAATAAAGATTTGACAGTGCCTGTTACAAGATAATTGTAATACTTTAAAAAAGGAGAGAAAGAGAGATGAGACAGATGGTGTACACTGGAGACATGTGGAAGTTTGCTTGAAAAATAGCTTCAGAAATTCAATTGAGACTGAAAAGAAATTATGCAAATCATCATTTTTGCATAAAAGCATTATGGAAAACAAGGAAATTATCTTAATCTTTAGTCTTCTACAATCTTGTCAAAGAGAAAGAATGTCAACTGGACTGATATCATCTTGGGTTCCTATTTTTTTAAACACTCTACAGCCTTTTATTTGAATTACAGGGGAAAGAGATTATTTGAGAAAGATTATTTAAAACATTATTTTCTATATTGCTACACTTAGGTTTAATTCAGTAACATCAATCATTACTAAATTTTTTGATGAGTTACTCAGCACTTTTATTATATGTATAATTTACATGGGGAAAGCTTTGTAATAAATGTATCAGATACTCTATCAGATTAATTTATATGGCATAAAAAGATGATGGAATTTAATTTTTAAAGTTATGTTGGCCAGGTGCGGTGGCTTATGCCTGTAATCCCAACACTTTGGGAGGCTGAGGCAGGTGGATCACTTGAGGTCAGGAATTTGAGACCAGACTGGCCAACATGGTGAAACCTCGTCTCTACTAAAAATACAAAAATTAGCCAGGCATGGTGGCATGCGCCTGTAATCCCATTTACTAGGGAGGCTGAGGCAGGAGAATCACTTGAGCCTGGGAGGCAGAGACTGCTGTGAGCTGAGATCGTGCCATTGCACTCCAGCCTGGGCAACAGAGTGAGGCTCTGTCTCAAAAAATAAATAAATAAAAATAAATAAATAAATAAATAAATAAATAAATAAATAAAAGAGTTAGCTATAAACAGAAGAAAATGTTATGATGGGATCATTTCTACTCATTATGGAATCAGAGAATATAGGCTTGTATTTGATTACACATATGAATTAGGGTGGGTAAAACTGATAAAGGCGGCCAACATCCTTTGCCTAACACTATAATTTAAAAAGAAACCTGGGTCATAATTTTTGAGTTTCTGGTGAATCCATGCACATGTTTGCTTTTTGTGTGTATTTTTAAGCTGGCCTATTTAGATGCATTAGAAAAGTTTACCATTATCTTTAAATTTGATCAGAAAGAAAGAAATCTGAAAATTGATAAATAATCTTTAATATATAAAGATGGTTACCGAGGAAGATTATGGAATTTCATTTCCTGAAGATGGTTAGATAAAGTGATGGATATTTATCTAGTCTCTCCCTAATACTTTGGTTTAGGTAAAGTTTGCTTGTGAGCAAAAAGACCACTTCAAGGTTTGAACTTTTAAAATGATAATGGCATTTGACAAGAAAAATTAGTTTTAATAGAAAGGAACAACTCCTATTTTTTTTTCCTCATATAGGTTAAATTTATCTTTGAACTTTGGTCAGAAATATATTAGAGGCATCTAATTTTCAGGCATGTTTTTGTTGAAATCTAACAGTACTAAACAACAGGACCTTCTGAGGCTTGACACGGGTGACCTCTGTTCACATTTGGGGTCCTGGAGTGGGCTGGGGCCAGCGTGTGTGTTTCTCTGGGCAGGCTAATATTTTAGCTCCCTTTTAAAACTGATATCCTTTAAAAATCTGTCCAGCATTTATTAAGAGGAGAGGCTGAGTGCTGTATGGAGGGTGGGCAGGGAAGAGGGGCACAGACTGGAATGAATGGAGGTGGCCACACTCAATCCCTCTCCTATTGTCCCTAGCAAACTAGCTCTGGCTCATAGATCCCATATCCTTCTCAACAAAAACAAAGCCCTAGAGTGCCCTTTTAAAATTAGCTTCCCTGGTCAGTGCCTGGGTTATTTCCTTTTAAATGTGCCTCTGGACAAGCCTACCTTTGTGTTTCTCAGTTTGTGGTCCCAGCATCATGTACATGAGAATCACCTGATTCTTGAACCCAGGCTGGACCTACTAACTCTCCAGGGATGAGGCGAGCACGTCTGAATTTTAAACCAGTGTTTCAGGTGGTTCTGATTGCATTAAACCTCAAGAATCTCTCCCTGAAGGCTGGGTTAGAATTAGTCCGTATAGAGAACTCTAACTTTCTCCAGATATTTCATTGTCAAACACAGCTTCTCTAGCCGGGTGTGGTGGCTCATGCCTGTAATCTCAGCACTCTGGGAGGCCAAGGCGGGTGGATCGCTTGAGCTCAGGAGTTCAAGACCAGCCTAGCAAACATGGCAAAACCCCATCTCTACCAAAAATACAAAAACTTAGCTGGGCATGGTTGTGTGTGCCTGTAGTCCCAGCTACTCGGGAGGCTGAGGTGGGAGGATCGCTTGAGCTGGGAGGTGGAGGTTGCAGTGATATTGTGCCACTGCACTGTAGCCTGGGTGACAAAGCAAGACCCTGTCTTAAACAAAACAAAACAAACCAACCCAAAAAACAGCTTCTCAAATGTTCAGACCTGTTTCAAGAAGGCTGGAGGAAGATGCAGTTCAGTTACCTCCTACTCATCAGTCTAACTTTCTTCCTAGCATCCTTCCTGATCGAACTGAAATCCTTGGGGAGTGCCTATAAATATTCCATCTGCTCAGATTTTTTTGCCAGACAGTGGAGTTTGCACCACCTTCCCACTACTGCAGACCAAAATAGCCTCTCTGGGCTTGCCTGACTCTAAGAGCCCAGTTTCCTGACAACTATGGTGCCTCATGACCACTTGGCTTTATACAAGGGGATTCCATTGCCCTTAGATGTCCTTTGTGCAGTTGGGATGGAAATAATTAACGCTGGAAGGAACCTTAGATAAAATCCAATCCACTTCCTAATTATATGGAAACAGATGCAGACAGATACGTAGTAAAAAAGGCAAGAAACAAACATTTTATTGGGTCCCTACTAAGTGCCAGGAAGGTGCTATACTAGGCTTTTCATTTTGTCCCTAGTTTTTTTACATCAGGCTTTCAAAGTATATATTATATCCATTTGTATAGATAAGGAAGTTGAAACTCAAAAAAATTAAAGAAATTTGCAAAGTCATTCAGTTAGGTAGTGGATCTATAAAAATAATACTGTCATTAATTAAGCACTTACCATGTGTCAGGCATAGTTTTAAGCATTTCATTT
Organism: Homo sapiens; assembly: GCF_000001405.40. NCBI lineage: Eukaryota > Metazoa > Chordata > Mammalia > Primates > Hominidae > Homo > Homo sapiens. The sequence continues at coordinate 169,275,758 of NC_000004.12, read as the reverse complement.
TTATTAATGTATATAAAATCACCACAAAAACTCTGTGGTAGGTAGTATTGTTATACCTATTTTACAGGGGGAACTCAGGCACAGAAGACTGGAAACTTGCCCAAGGTCACCCAGTTAGTAGGTTGTAGAAACGTTGACTCCAAAGCTCTCTCCATAATCAGGTACACTAGAGAGAAATGGAAGCAGATACTTATTGTCCAAGTAGGAGATAGGCAGGACTGAAATAAGGATTGGGAGGAAAAGAGAGATGTAAGAAGCACTTCTGATGCTCTCTGGATCATCCATCTGGATGGTAGGAGGGGGAGGGATCAGGGGGGGAAGGGGAAGCTGAAGATAATCTGCATTTTCTTGCTTGCCTGGGGAACTGAGGGGATGGTGACGTCATTAACTAAGACCTTGAATAAAGATAAACTGGCATTGCGTTTATGTTCTGTGTTACAGAGCTGGTGTTAAGCTGTTTCTGCAGCTTAACTGTGAAACATAAGAGGAAGAATCAAGAATCATGTGTCCTCATCTTCTACATCAAACTTACTGATTGATAGTTTATAAGAAAGACTCTCAATGGAACTTGGAACATTGCTTGCCTGATTTCCCATCTGTAGGGCAGTGAGGTACTAAATATCTATGTAGATTTAGGATAGCAAGAAATGTAACTGTATACTTGATTAACTCCTTATTTGAGAATTAGTTACTGGAACCCACTATGTGTTGGCTGTGAAGGACGTAATGGTAAAGAAGACAGACCCAGTCACTGACTTCAGGGAACTTATATTCAGGTAAAGAAGATAGGCAATAAATAAGGAATCAAAAAAATTAGACCACAAAAAGTGCTGCAAAGAAGACAGAAAGAGTACTATGCTGGGATGCAGTGGTGCAGGGTCCAAGTGGCAGTGAGTCTTGTAAGACAAAGACTATGTTTGACTCTAAATTTCAGGCATGATGGGAAGTAATTGATGAGTTTGGAGCAATGTAGTAACTGATATGTTATGCATTTTTTGTTGCTCACTCTGAATGTTACTACATTCTGGGCGAGATTATGGGGACAAGAGTGGAAACAGAGAGGCTGGTTTAGGACGGACAGAGACAAAGGGTGATGGTGGCTTAAATAAACTTGCACTGGAGGCAAAGGAAAGTGGGTATAAATTGAAATATATTTTGGGAGAAGCTAGCAGAATTGATGGAGAGGAAAAGGGAAATCAAAGATGACCCCTAGGTTTCTAGTTTGAACAACTGAATGAAGAGTGCTATCATTTACCAATATCATGGCAACTGGAGAAGAAACAAGGTTTGAAGGAAAATGATAATCAGACACATGTATATATATCCGTGTGAAAGCATAGTACCAAAGTTTACCAAAGAGTGCTCTGGATTGGATATTTAAGTATCTGATTTTTGTCACCACTTAGAGCAATAACTTATCTACATCTTGTTGTTTCCCGTCTACATGGAAATAATCATATCTGTCTTTACCGCTTCTGAGGGATGCTGAGAAGACAGATGAGATAATATATATGAAAGTCCTTTGAAGTCTTGGGAGGATAAGAACTGTGTAAACGCAAGCTATCATTATTATGTCACAGGGTGTGTTTTATGTTTTTCATGGTTCTACTCAAAGTCACAGGGATCTTAAGCACAACATGCTTACATTCCTTCCTTCATGTTCAGTTCCCAGACATGAAAAGATGAACATGCTTCTCTTCCCCAACTGCCCCTTTCCCTATATTATTGACAGGACTTTGCAATTACTAGAATTATACCAAACTTATTTATTTATTTGAGACAGAGTCTTGCTTTGTCACCCAGACTGGAGTGCAGTGGCGCAATCTCGGCTCACTGCAACCTCCACTTCCCAGGTTCAAGCAATTCTCCTGCCTCAGCCTCCCAAGTAGTTGTGATTCCAGGTGACTGCCACCATGCTTGGCTAATTTTTTTTTTTTTTTTTTTTTTTTTGTATTCTTACTAGAGACAGGTTTTCACCATGTTGGCCAGGCTGGTCTTGAACTCCTGACCTCAGGTGATCCACCTGCCTCGGCCTCCCAAAGTGCTGGGATTACAGGTGTGAGTGACCGTGCCTGGCCTATCCCAAACTTTTTTAAGACCCTGGGAAGAAAGGACTTTGCCCAGAATAACTGCCTGGGTGATTCTTGGCAGATTATGATAATGATGCTATCTGACTTTAATAGAGATATACAGATTACAAAGAACCAGCATGTTGTCTCATCTAGTCATCCCACAACACTCTGAGAAAGATATTTTTTTTTTCAACCATTTGACAGAAAATGGCTCAGGAGGTTAAAGTAACTTGCCTAAAACTTCACTTTACAGCTGGAGTAACTAAAGCTAATAAAAGTGTTGTGTTCTAAAAACTATAGAACATGCACCAGGGGCATTCAAAGAACTGCAGCCACATCCCAGATAATATTCATGAGATGTATGCCAGATTCTTCGACCACTGCAGTCTTGGGACACACTGTCTTCAGTTCTTTGAAAACGGGTGTGGCCAGGCGCCGTGGCTCACGCCTGTAATCCCAGCACTTTGGGAAGCTGAGGCGGGCAGATCACCTGAGGTCACAGGAGTTCGAGACCAGCCTGACCAACATAGAGAAACCCCGTCTCTACTAAAAATACAAAATTAGCTGGGTGTGGTGGGTGCCAGCCTGGGCAATAAGAGTGAAACTCCGTCTCAAAAAAAAAAAAAAAAAGAAAAGAAAAGAAAATGGGTGTGACTATTGATTTTCTTTTGCCAGGAGTTTCAAGAGCTGCACCATTCTATCTATGACCTTGTGTGCTGCTCTCTAAAAATACATAGGAAACCAAAATAAGAACACAATAAAAACTGTCCCTTGCTTTCGAGTAATTACATGATTAACAGTTTCTTCTTTCCCTTGGGAAGAGACACACTGCTTTGCTTTGCCTAGGGTGGGGATATGACGGTCCTGTGCAAAAGACAGGGCCTTGGAATGGTGCAAAGAGAACTGGACTTGGAATCCAGAGAGCTGGGACTGAGTCTTGGTTCAACATTACTTACTGTGTGACCAGGGGAAAGTTAACCTATTTGAGCTTCAGTTTTAATAACTGCAAATAATCCCTATCTGTTTATTGACTGTAATCTTCTGGTCAGCCTCATCTTCATCTATCTGCCCAGTTCCACATGCAGAACTAAGTAGTAACTTTCAGTTTGCAAACTGGACTAGAAATTCTCCATTCCATTCATTCCTTCCGTCGTCTTTCTCAGCTCAAATGCCCATGTATTTGCTCACTTCTAATGGAAGGGGAAGTGGGCTATTATTTTTGGTTTTCATACATTATGACTCTCAGCATATGAATCTATTTAGAACAAGGCTGAGAAAAGATGACATAGAGGGTTGCTGAGAGAATTGAACTGATGCATGAAAAATGTTCAGCACAGTGCCTGATTTACAGTGAGTGATCATTGTTAGCTGTCATAATTTTTTCAGGCTTATGTGATCCTTATGTCTTGAATGGTTTAGCTGTGGCCCTAGCTGGAGACTAGAGGATAAACTGAGACTCCTCGTCAAATCATAAACCTAGTTGGTGGCTGGGCAGAGATTTCTTGCATCATCTGTTGTAACCCTTTCTTCTTATAACCACCTAGTTTCTGCCCACCTTTGAGGAGGGGTATTTGGGATAACTTTTTGTAAATTGATGGTAAATGCAAATATAGTAATGTCAACTTTAGATCAGTGACAAAATTTTAACTTGCTTCTCCACTAAATCGAGACTGAAAAACCTCAAAACCTATGGACAAGATGTTTTTCAAAACTCCACTTCGGTTTACAGGTGTGTGCTTGGGGCAACCAAAACAAAGATTACTGCGATGATGGCAGCCACCCAGGCTCAGATAAAAGAGGCGCCTCTCAGCGTGCTTTGCGGTGCCAGCCCACCTGAGGTCAGACTCAATTCTCCCCACTTAGGGCAGGGATAACAGAGCCCCCGAGCCTGGGTTGGAAGTCCGTACTACCGTTTTCCTAGTCTTGGGCTTTGGGGTCAGCGGTCCTCCAGGCTTGCTCCGGTTTGGGTCCTGGGGTGACTGATGGCTGGGTGCGGACAGGTGGCCGCGGCACTGTCCCCATCGATTCACCACGCCGCTCTCGGCCCTAAGGGGCAACACTTCGCTCCGACTCTACCAAGTAAGTGTCCGGGGTGGGCAACCAGACGCAAAGCGCAGCGGGATCGGTTCCCGCCAGGGCTGCTCCCGCCGCCTCCGCGGACCCAGCCCCTCCCGCGCCGCGACTCGCCCAGCCTGGGGAGGAAGGGTCCGTCCAGGGCTCCCAGCCCCGCCGGGGGGAGGAGGAGGCGGCGGGACCCTGTCCCGGGGCTTCTTCCTGCTTCCCCCAGCCTCCACTCCCGCCGCCTTCCCGTCCGGTGGCTCCATTTTTCAGGCGCGTTCTCCTCAGGGAGAAGGCGTCCGTCCCCGAGCCTTCCCCTCGTAGTCCCCTGGGGGCCCCGCTCCCCATCCTCTAGGCTCTTGCAGCGCCCCCTCAGGCCGCCGCCCCAATCCCGCCCCCGGGCTCCGGCGGGGTACTGGGCGCAGGTCACCTCAGCGCGGGAGGCCGGCGCGGCGGCGGGTGGCTCCGAGAGGTGCCGCGCCCGCTCCCGGGGAAGGCGCTGTGGCGCGGGGCCGCCCCCTTGCGCCCCGGGCGCCGGCTGCGTCCCGGCCTCCTCCTCCTCTTCCTCCGCCCTCCTTGGCTGGGAAAGTGGGAGGCGGCGGCGGCGGCGTGGTGTGTGTGCGCGCGTGAGGGGGGCAGCAGAGAGGAGTCTCCCGGTGCCGCCGCGGCGTCAGAGACACTGCGAGCGGCGAGCGCGGTGGGGCCGCATCTGCATCAGCCGCCGCAGCCGCTGCGGGGCCGCGAACAAAGAGGAGGAGCCGAGGCGCGAGGTAGGGCGCGCGGCCGGCGCGGGGTCGACGGGGACCCAGCGTCGGCGGACCCCTAGCCGCGGAGAAGGCGGTGGTCTCGACATTCCCCCATCCCCGCCCTGGGTCGGTCTCTCTCTCCCCTCGCCCTCGGGTCCCCGTGGGCCGGGAATCAGGACCTGCGGAAGCGGAGCAGCCCGCGGCCTCTGCCTTCTCCGGGCAGGAAGCTGCCAGGGCTCCGTGCCGCGGTCTCCCCGGGCGCAGCCCAGCACCCCCTGCTTCCCGGATGGCGCGGTCTCTCTGGGGACTGTCGCCTTATCTTGGCTGGGCTAGAAAGCTGCTTCCCCGTGGCACTCTGTGGGGCTGAGTTTCGCAACTTAAGCCTGCGCATTTATTTTTAAGTCCTTGAAAACTTCCCGCAGTCGTGTAGAGGGATTTGTGTCCCCGGCCTGAGCTAAAGGGAGGCGGAGATGAGGGAGGCTGTAGGGTGAGATCCCCACGCCGGGACCGGCCGGGCCGCAGCCCCAGGCCGCGACCGGCTCCTGCCGGGTGCCGCCGACACCTGGCCCCGGGGTGTGTCTGCGGCGAGCGGCCGCCGCGCCTCCCTGCGGGCTTGGGAGTACCTGTGCTTGGCGCCGTGGGAGCGGGGGTGCAGCCCTGGGGCTCCCCCGCTCCGGCTTTGTCAAGAACAGCTGTTAATGCTCCCAGCCAAATCTTTTTACTCCCGTTCTCCTGGGCATTCACTTTTACATTTATTTTGGCGGTGGGGGGAGAGCGGCGCAGTAAGTGGCTTGCTTTTTCCTGAATGGCCTCATTTTCATATGCCCACAGTTTCCAGTCCAACCTTCCATTGTCGAATTCTTTTGGTGATAATTTTGCCAGCTTTTCTGAATGGGATTAGGACAGGCCGTTCAGAAATGTGTTTCAGAGTTTATCAACTACTGCCCTGAAGGGCGCTTTTCTGTTTTAGCTGCTTTCAAGCAAATCTGTGTCTTTTAGAATTGTCAACCTTCAGCTCTTTTTGGTTGGGCAAAATTAAACAGTTCTATTTTTAATAACAGCGAAGAAACATATGTATTTAATATTGGGATCATTTACCACGAGCGATTACATGAGGCATGGTTTCTTAAACGCTAAAGTGGCTTAAAAAAGGGAATTTAGTTGGATATAAAAGTAAATTTCAGGTAGAGGAAACTTTCAATGGCCTCTGTCAGCTTCTCCTATGAGTTGAAGACTTTATTAAGGCAGCTGATACCACTTTCAGAGCTTAAGAAATTATGTTCCTTATTGCACTTCATAAATCCTTCTGCGGGAATTATGTAATACTCTGTGCCTTGTGTTTGCCCAGTGAATCCCTAGATATCTTTAGGGGTTAATTTTGCGTTGTTTAGAAAGCCTGTTTTGTTTTCAGTTGTTGACTTTGGAGTTTAGGAACCCACATTCCAAAGCAAAGCTACACTATTCAGACAGGGAATAGTGTACTTTTGGGTACTTTTTGATTCTTGGCTCCTTTGAACTTTTTCCCTAGATAACAACACTCATGTTCTCTTTTCCCCCTTTTCCCCATGACTCTAGAGCAAAGTCTGAAATGGATGTTACATGAGTCATTTTAAGGGATGCACACAACTATGAACATTTCTGAAGATTTTTTCTCAGTAAAGTAGATAAAGATGGATGAATCAGCCTTGTTGGATCTTTTGGAGTGTCCGGTGTGTCTAGAGCGCCTTGATGCTTCTGCGAAGGTCTTGCCTTGCCAGCATACGTTTTGCAAGCGATGTTTGCTGGGGATCGTAGGTTCTCGAAATGAACTCAGATGTCCCGAGTGCAGGACTCTTGTTGGCTCGGGTGTCGAGGAGCTTCCCAGTAACATCTTGCTGGTCAGACTTCTGGATGGCATCAAACAGAGGCCTTGGAAACCTGGTCCTGGTGGGGGAAGTGGGACCAACTGCACAAATGCATTAAGGTCTCAGAGCAGCACTGTGGCTAATTGTAGCTCAAAAGATCTGCAGAGCTCCCAGGGCGGACAGCAGCCTCGGGTGCAATCCTGGAGCCCCCCAGTGAGGGTAAGTAGCCTACAGAGGTAGTTTGGTGAATAAAGGTGGTAATGTCCACATTTTTTCTTTATTCTTTAGCTTGGTGTTTTCGAAGTCAACTCATTGCTTAGGAAACCATACATACTGGAACAGATAGATTATACCTCTGAATATTTTTTTCCCCCATCTTGGAATGAGATTGGATATAAATAATAAATTTTATTGTTTTGAAAATTATCTCTAGATAGTCTCTGTTATCTTTTAAGATAAATTTTGGGAAACAAGTAGCAATTAGTGAATGAAATCTAAACCAGCTTTTGTTCTGTGCCCATTTTAAAATGGAAATTTGGTATTTTATCATTTTGATGGGGCTCAGAGTCATAATTACATGTATGTAGTACATATGTAGTATATATGTTGTAAGTATGTGTGTGGGTAAATCATAAATAGGAAATCAAGCCTTAATTTTTATGTTGCTTAGAATCATTCTATTGGTTTTATGAATACACAGCACAGAATTTACTCGTTGGTGGAATTCTTAACAAATCATGGCTACAGGTAGCAGAGTTTCGTTGCTGTAGCAACAAAATGTCACTTAGGACTACACTAAAACATCTAGCTTTATGTTGGGCTTTATAGTGAATGAAATGAAGTATTTCCATCGAAATGATTTTTCTTGGGATTTGAGTTTGGGCTGAAATAATTTTAGATGAAGCTAATTATTTGGACAGCTACCACAACTGTCACACAAAATTTCTGTATTTATTAGAAATATATATAAATAATCTGTATTTATTAGAAATATAGGTATTTCTAATAAATATAAATTATGTTGCAGGTGATGGATTCCTGATAAAATGTGCTTTCTCATTTTTGCAAAAATAAAAAGTAGTCAAGAGCATCAGTAATTAAAACAACTTCATTTTTGTAAGAAGAAGGAATTCTAAATTATTGGCCAAACTGGTAAAATCTGCTTTTAAAGAACAATTAATCTAGATGAGAATATTTTTTTCAAATGTCTTCAGTAAGCACTCAAAAGTGATGTCTTTCATTTAATACAGGAACTGCCCATTGGGATAGCATTAGTTCCCATAATTCGCAGATGTGGATACCAGGCAGTTTTAACAGAATAGTTTTCCTACTACTTTCTCAGGCTCATCTTTTGTAAATGATAGGAAGTATTTAAGTATATAGACCATTTTAATCACTGGAAAACCTGATCAGAAAACAGTTTCATCATTAAGGCTGTCAGGTTTCTTTTGACATATTTATTTATTTAAAGATAGTGAGAACTCTGGGATAGGGAGGTTTTCTTTTCCTTATTTGGAGCCCACATGTTGTGAAACTGATCTGCTTACAGTGCTTTTCTTAGATTTCCTTTATTTTATGGAGTTTACTTATTTGGACTCGAATATTTTAATCCCAGAACCAGTGATCAAGTTGATAATTTCTGAGACACCTGATGTAGGTCTGTTTAGCTTAATAAAGGTGTAGATTTGCATCTTTGGAAAGGTTTTGTTTCCCTGTTAATTAGACTAGGGAAGGCATGGCTTCCTGGAATACTGTATCTTAGTTGTTGACACTGCCTTACCTGTTGTGAGGAATGCATTGAATGTTTGTTCACTGATAAAGAGGAATTTAAGGAGAGGCTCAAACACTCAACTTAATGTCTTTTGAATTTTAAGTTTTCTTGCTAACATGGAAATTGACTATGTAATTCTCATTTATCTGAACTGCTAAGCTCCCAAAATTGAACTTCATAGGTAAATTATTTGGAGATTTTGATCATGTTAGTATTATTTTTCTGGTTTATATGCTTTTCCTAATTTACTTCATGTTTCTTCTTTAGCATGAGAAAAATTACTTGCCAAGAAACTCAACTAAACTTGAGCCTTATAACTGGGATAAAATAGTTGAGGTGGATGGAACAGGAAATATGTCTGTTACTTTGCTGGGGGAGGATGGAGGACAAAAACAAACCTATTCAGTAGTCTGAGTTGATGCAATTGATGCAATACTTAGAAAAAGAACAGCCTTTTTTCTAGTTTAAAATAGTTTTTCGAGCCAGGTACTGTGGCACTCGCCTCTAGCCCCTAGCTACTTGCATCTTCAGTCCTAGCTACTCCAGAGGCTGGGGCCGGAGGATCACTTGAGCCCAGGAGTTCAAGTCTAGCCTAGACAACATAGCAAGACCCCTCCCCCTGCTACCCCTCCCCCATCCCCTGCCCCCCACCCCCCTTTTTTAAAAAAAAGCTTTCTCAGTAAGTTACTAGTACCTTTTGCTTTCAAATATTCAGAACAGTCAGGGCCATACATATAGTTCAAACACCTGAAAGGTCAATACATTTCTAGAAAAGACTCCTTTTAAGAGTGAGAATTCTGTAACATGAAGCCACATGGATATTGTAAGGCACTTCTTTGGACGCTTCCCTTAGGTGAGTGACTGTAATAAATCCCAAATGTGCATCCTCCTCCCTTAAGTGTTCTGACACAACCAAGTGGTGCAGTGAGCCTGTTTCCATATGTTGTGCAAAGCTGAAAGTGATAACGTGGAATGTTGCTTCAGTTTATTAGTTATGTTCTGTGTTTGGTTAGGCTGTGACCATGTGGCCTCCTCATGCGTTTAGCCAAAGTATATTGAATGTTATCAACAGATTTGAACATTTCCAATGTGTGACGCACATCTTGTTCCCAAAATTTTAGTGTTTCCTGCCTAATTTGAAGGAGAAAAGGAGAGTGTGGGATTGGAATCACCATGGGAATCCATCAGTTTTTTACCTCTAAGTAAAGAATTCCTGTTGGTTTTAGGCCAAAGTCAAGCAGTGGAATGAGCCATAGGGAGAGGGACACTGCTGATACCTGTCTATGGCCTAAGAAATGTAGCTGCAGAAGTTAAAATGCATATATATAAATTAGATAAGGAAAGCATGGTTTTTAAGTAGTTCCTATAGAATTTAGACCTAATAGTTTCTGCTTTTTATGCGCAGTTCCAATGATTTAAGGAATCATTAAGTAATGATATGTAAACATAAATATGCATAGATATTAACTTCTCTTTAATATTCTCTTAAGCTGGCCAGGTGTGGTGGCTCACGCCTATAATCCCAGCAGTTTGGGAGGCCGAGGAGGTGGGTGGATCACTTGAGGTCAAGAGTTCCAGACCACCATGGTCAACATGGTGAAACCCCGTCTTTACTAAAAATACAAAATTAGCCGGGTGTGGTGGCACGTGCCTATAACCCCAGCTACTCAGGAGGCCAAGGCTGGAGAATCGCTTGAACCTGGGAGGCAGAGTTTACAGTGAGCTGAGATCGCACCCTTGCACTCCAGTCTGGCCAAAAAGAGCGAAACTCCATCTCAAAAAAAAATTCTTTTAAGTTCTCTTAATATCTCTTAACATTAAGTTCTCTTAATATCTGTGCATGTTTCTGTTTAGATATTATTACTTAATGATTTCATGATGCCTCTACTTCACAGCAAATTTATTCATCCAAAAAATAGATCACATGAGACCCCCTGATTTATACTAATTTATACTTAGTTTATTCGTTGCTTTATTTAATAAATACTTCTTAAGCACTCATTAGGTGCCGGGCACTACACTAGCTGCTGGATAGGTAATGGTAGACAAACCATTCTTAGCTTTTGAATGTGTAGTCCATCTTGTGGGAGAGACACATTAGGTTTTGAATGTATAGTCCATCTTGTGGGAGAGACACATTAAGAAAATAATAACAATGCAGGCATGTAATTAAGTAAGTTCTAAGACACAAAGCTAGGGGAGAGGATAGAAGAAAGACCTGCATTTAGCGTGAGGGTGAATTGTGTGTGTGATCTTCAAAAGCTTCCTGAGGAAGAGGCATCTGAGCTGAGATCTTAAGGGTGAAATGATATTAATTAGGGAATGGGGGCTGGGCAGGGAAGGGGCAGAGGCGAAGAATATTTCAAAGGGGCTGACCTAAACAGGAAGGGATGTGCCTCCTAGGAAGAACTGACAGAAGGTAAGTGTGAACTAGGCAAGCCACAGGGATGGTGTAAGATGAGGCCTCAAATTTGATAATGTAGAAGGCATCAAGAACTGCCCCAAGGGCCACGTAGGGTGAAGGGTCAGATGGGTAGGATAGATAGGAAGTGCTCTGCATTTGGGATAAGAAAGAGGGACCATTGGGACTGAGACGATTAGCAGGGCTTCAGAACAGATACGGGATTGGAGCTTGTGTCAAAGAATGGAGAGATCGGGAAAGAAAGGTAGGGAATTCTAGATATGAGGGAACACACATGAAATTTATTTTCCCCTGTAAATGCTGTGTCTGCTTTCATTTCTCCATAGCACAGTCATACCTCCTTTCTCCCTCTTTCCCTGTTGCTGACTGTTAGGGGCTGAATTATGTCCCCCAACATTGCTACGTTGAAGTTCTAACTCCTAGTACCTCACAATGTGGCCATATTTGGGGATAGGACCTTTAAAGAGGGGGTTAAGGTAAAATGAGGTCACATGCATGGGCCCTAATCCAGTAAGACCAGTGTTCTTATAAGAAGAGGAGATGAGGATGCAGACACATAGGGAAGACCATGTGAAGACACATGGAGAAGATGCCACTTACCAACCAAGGAGAGTTGCCTTCAAAGGAAGCCAACCCCACTGACACCTTGATCTTGGACTTCCAGCCTCCAGAACTGTGAGGAAATACATTTTTGTTGTTTAAGCCACCCAGTCTGTGCCCTTGGATGTAGTAGCCCTAGCCAACTTGTACTCTGACTGTAGACATACTCCTAAAGGTCAGCCCCTTGAGTGGCCTCTCGGTCCACTGCCAATCCCTTCAGTCCTGGTTTCCCCAGAAACTGGCAGTGGTCCAGCCTTCTGTGTTCTGTCATGGAATACCTTTGAGAAGTTGTTCAGCCCCTCCCTACTCCCTCAACTACCCACATTGCCTGGCATAATTTCTTAAAATAGACAGGCATGTTATAAGGAAGTTGAAGTTTATGTGACAGTATACCAGATGCACAGAAAGTTCTGGAGGAAATGAAGGAAATATTGAGAGGGGAAAACTACTACTTTCTTATCTCTGACAAATTGGATTGATCTGTAGCTGGAGTCTGGAGAGAGTGCTTTCCAGGACTCAGTAGTACCTAAGGCATTACTCAAGGGATAGGTAATGATGGACAAACCAGATACAGATCCTTACTTGGTGCTTTCCAGGGCTAAGTAGCACCCTAGTAAGGCATTCTAGGCTTTATTCCAAGGAATGGCATTGGCAGAAAGAATTGAAGGAAGTAGTGGGAGAAAGTTAGGACAACTGAGTTGCTCCAGGTTTGGTGTGGAAAGCAACTGCCAGCTGTGAACTGTGCCGTGGGACATCTTTGACATCCATCTATGAACAAGCACCTGTAGAGAGCTTTCAGGTCCAGTTATGTTCAATAATCTATACTAGGTCAAAGATGACATTAATGCATGTTTCTGTTGAAAAAGTTTACATTTGGGGGAGGTAACACACAAGAAACAACAAGTAAGGCAGCAGATAGTGAAGCATCAGGGGGTGGGATAAGATATAGAATAAGTCTCTATCTATGATGGGGTTCTTTTTTGTAGTTCGTGGTCCTTGGATTAAGTGCATGGTCAAAGAATACCAAGTGTGGACCAGAGTGGTTGGGACATGCTCCCCTGGCGTGTAAGGTTCACTACAAACACTGACGGACAAAGGAGTTGTTGTCTTCGCACAGATGGGGATGGGGATGTGTATTAACTCATACCGGACCCAAGCAAGACATTTAATGTGGTGGTTTGGATGAGGGAAATGTTTCTGTGTGTTTCAGAATGATTGAATTAAAACGGAAAAGGTGGGTTTTGTTTGTTTGTTTGTTTTGGCTAAACCATGTTTGTTGCATGCTTGACCTCTTATTTTATCCATCCTTGATCCTTACTCCAGGCTTCATGTCTGCCCCATCCCTGACCTTTACTTCATTCCTGAGCTAGGCTTGATGGTGAGACTCGGAGATGAGATCTTGAACAGGGTAGAAGGAAGGTATGGGAAAGGGGGTCTGTGGTGCATACTAATTGATAATTTTTTTAAAAAAGTAATGATTCTTTTTTATATCACATAAAGTGTCATGTAACCATAATCATGTAAACCTCACAACAGCTTTCTGGGGTCAAGTGTTATCATTTTATTTATTTATTTTTTTGAGACAGAGTCTCACTCTGTCACCCAGGCTGGAGGGCGATGGTGAGATCTCAGCTCACTGCAACCTCAGCCTCCTGGGTTCAAGCGATTCTCCCACCTCAGCCTCCCAAGTAGCTGGGATTACAGGCGCCTACCGCCATGCCTGGCTAATTTTTGTACTTTTAGTAGAGGTGGGTTTTCACCATGTTGGCCAGGCTGGTCTCCAACTCCTGACCTCAAGTGATCCACCCACCTTAGCCTCCCAAAGTGCTGGGATTACAGGCGTGAGCTGCGGCACCCAGCCTAAGTGTTATCATTTTTAAAATGAGAAAGAATGTAGATTTCAAAATGTATGTAAAAGCATTCTGGTTGTAAAAAAAAATTCAACCATATAGAAGAATATGTTATTAAGTGTGTATATACTTGCAGATCTTTTCATATACATTTATATGTGTATGCATATAGTTTCTTGATTTTTTGCAGAACTAGAATTTCATGCTCTGGAGATTCAATGATTTGCTAATTCATTTACTATATCTATGAAATCTCTTCATGTTTAAGCACATAGACCTACTCCAGTTTTTGAAAAAACTCTTTATTGATGTATAATATACACATAGAAAAGTGTACTAATTATGTGTACCATTCATTTAATTTTTCATAGTATTTTTCTCATAGTATTTTTACTCATAGAATTTTTCTTCATAGTATTTTTCTCATAGCATTTTTCTTTCTGTTTAAAAAATACTCAGTGTAAGAAAAATACTCATAGTATTTTTCTTTGTTTTAAGAATTAAAAATAATACATGCTTATGGTAAGAAATGTAATAGTAGAAGATGATGTAAAGGAGAAAATCAAGGCTTCCAATATCTCTACTCCTTTGTTCCTAATCTCTAGGGGTAACCACTGTCACAAGGTTTTTTTGTGTTTTCTTTCAGACAAAAAATTGAATAGAAATGGAATCACATTGTATATGCAGTTCTGCAACTTGTGGTTTTTAATTTAATGATAAAACTTGGATAGCTTCCGTATCTACTCACATTGATCTATAAGAAGCTATTATGCATTCTTTTTTTTTTTTTTGAGATGGTCTCACTTCTGCCCAGGTTGGAGTGCAGTTGGAGTGTTTACGGCTCACTATACATTATTATTCTTATTTCATGGATGTAGGAGGGGTGGCTGAAAGACTTTAAATAACTTGTCCAATTTCTGATCCCAAATGCTTCCTTCCCTTACCTGCAGTTGACTTAAGTGACAAACATTTTCCCTGGGACCTCATGTTGCTTTTAGCAGGGGAATCTTTTCTCAGTTGCAGCTGGCAGAGGTTATTCTTTCCTCACTGTCCTTGCTTCCTATTTTGTTTTGACAAAAAGAGGACAAATAAAGCTCCTTTACAATGACAGTGGACCAGGAAAGCAGACTCTCCTTAGCTTGATGTATGGGGAAGAGTGTGGTTTGGAGGTCAGAAGTTGTGGCCTCTGGTTCCAACACTGCCATGGGCTGGCTGTGGGGTTTCTCTGGGCTTCATTTCTTCAGCTCAAAGATGCGGAGCCATAGGGACCTAAGCTCCATGCAGAGTGGTTGTGGGAATGGGGCTGGTGAGGGGGCTGAGTTTGGTCCATCTTTGACTTTTCAGAGCCCTTTGTAGTGTCTGGCACAGAGTACACACTCACAAGAGGTTTGTTGAATAAATGAGTGAATAAGTGAGTGGAGTACCAACCTCTCTAGGGATCCTTAGCTGTATATTTAATTTCATTTCTATTTGGGATGATGAGAACCAAAGTTACTGAAAAGATACCGAAAAGATTATAAAGTGGATGTAGTGTTTGGCTGTAGAGCTACATAAAATACAGACATGAACTCAGTTATGTTGGTTTCCTGTGTGTGAAAAGTAGCCTGATGCAGATCTCTTTGGCAACCCTGATCCCCCACCCGTCCCAGTTTCCTTCATTTATTATCACTATTGCTCCAGTCCTTATTTATTTATTTATATTTCTCTTTTGCGTGACTGAAGGAGAGAAATTATTCTGTTACTGCTGGCTGGGCAGGGAAAAGGAAAATCCGAGGGAAAGGGAGGAAAGAGATAAAATCTAGTTTTGCTTTAGCTGGAGGTCCGTCTTGTTCTTGAGTTTCTTTGAAAAGTTCCACCTCTGCCCTGGCTCTCTGGCTTTAGCACTTCATCCCTGGCTTTTGCATCAGCTGCTATAGAACCTGTGTTGAGTGTTAACTTCTCTGCCTTGCAGCACCTTGCACTGCCCTGGCCTGCAACTGTGGTCTGTTCTTTCCAAGTGGCTAAAAGAGGCGCAGTGGGGAGCCGGTAGAACAGACAGGGGGAGCAGGAAAGCAGTCCTTCTCCATTGCCTTCCTAAAACTGCTTCTCTGGGTTGTCTTCTCAAAATGCTTTGTTTTTGTTTTGCCCCATAATTAAGTCTCTGGTCTCAGAAAAGCAAAAGAATAAAATCAGAGGCTCAAAAAAGGCATGTGAGTAGGGGCAGTATGTCAGTTCAAGCCCCTGACTATTTTGCTGTTGCCTGTGGTCTTTTCTCAGCATTCCACGAGCCCCCAGCTCTCCTTTGCACACCTCCATTCCTTAACTCACTCTATTGGGAAGAATGCCTGCTTTTTTCCACTCTGGTCAGACGCTCACTCCATTTATTAATCTATCCCCTCTCTAGTATATTGCTTAATGTAGTTTAAGCAAACCCAAGACAATATGTAAAAAGACTTTAAAATTTTAAGGTCAAAAGGCAAATGACTTTGTAATTCATGCTGTGGCAGGATTCTTCCTAAGGATCCACAATACTGTAGCAACCTAGCACAAATATTATAGTGAGATGTACTTGTGATAGAAATACTACACATAGCGACATAGTATGGATAGTGAGGAACTCAGATAGCAGGCAAGCCTCATTTACATAGCAACATAGTATAGTGAGGTGTACATATGATAGAAATATTATGCTTGGAGGCTGCCTTGCTGGTAAGGCTCCCTCATTTAGAAACTTCAACTCCCTCACCCTCCCAAAGCTTTTATTATAAAGAGTACATGTATCTTCTGCTCTCTTACAAATTTTGATTTTTAGTTTTTTCTGAAGGTAGTAACCTTAAAAAGAAAAATTCAGAGCCCCAGGCACCCTTTTTCGTGGCTCTGCAATCCTTTTGTCGCGTATATGTCTGCCAATGCCTAGTCAAGAGGATGGTAGCAGTTGCTTCATGAATGGTGACATATGGGTGGCTGTAAACACAGCCATTTTAAAGATAGATGTGTGAGTGGGCTCTTTCGGGGTAGCTGGGAAGGGAATGGAGGTGCCATTTCAGATGGCTGACAGAGCAGTTAAATAGTAGATTATTTGCGTTGTGAAACATGAAAAAAGTGAGCAGTAGGAGGATGTGCAAATGAATTTTTAAGTTACGTAGTGCAGAAAGGCAAGGGCTGTCAATGTTGAGCATTTTTCTGTTAGCCTAAGGAAATAAATTCCTTAAGGATTAAGGAAATTATTATTATTATTATTTTTTGCCAGAAAAAACTGCTTATCAATTCAGGAATGAATGAACAGGAGTGAATTTTCATTATTTTAATATGTAATGAGTGGTCCTAGGCAATCAACATTTATACAGAAAGAAAGCTAAAGTTAGCTATAGGATGCTTCATATCTAGTTTTAATTTATGTGAAGTACCCCAAAATAATACCGTAGCAATGTAAGTAAGAGTGTCAGTGTGGGATACAAATATCCCTAGCATTTGTATAAAGTTCCTGGAAATGTGAGCAGTAATGTTGAAAAGCTGAACATTAGATATGTTATAAGGAGATTCAATTCTTGTAGAGCTAAAAAATATTCTTACATTCCTAATTATATAACTGCTTAGTTTTTAAATATCCTTAAAAAACTTTAAAAGTTTTTAAAAACAAACACATAGAATAAACATTATATAATAAAACTAGATTTCAGACCTTAAGTTTTCATTTGCCCACCTTATCCAGAGTGACATTTAGTTTACTAATCTCTATTATTTCAGTTTTTTTCAAAATCTTTGAACAGTTTTTTCCCCATTATTGAACTTGTGTTTTATGCACAGTGATGATTATTTTTCAGCATTTCATATGCTTTTTTTCTGCCACAGTTGAAGTCTGAGGCTAAATATTTTTGCCATCTTTGGTAGATCGTATTATTTTCATTCCTGTCTTAACTGTACTATAGTAGCACTTTTATTTTTCTTTTTTCTACTCATTTTTGTAAAACAAGTCTGAAATATTAAGAAGACACTGGAAGTGTTAACACTGTTGTACAAAGCCTGTGATGTTGCTGAAGCTGAAGTGTTGGTTAAAGGCCCCAAAGTGTGACAGCTTGAAATGTTTACATAGCAGCTGTTCCAAGAAAGTTCAAATCTGGCAGCAGAAAAGTACTGGGTCTCCATATATGAAGCATGAAAATATATGATGTGTGGAAGCTGAGAATCACCTATATGGTGGAAAGAATGAGGAGACCTGCTTTCTAGTCCTGGCTATGTGATTTGAGGCCAGTGTTTTCTCTTCTGTAGGACATAGTTTTCTCTTTTATAAAATGAGGCTTTTCTGATATCTGAGTTCTTTTGTAGCCCTGAAATTTAAAAAGTAATTACCGTAGCAAAAGCCAACTTTGATATCAAACATTTAGGACAAACTCAGATTGGCACCTGGATATGATCTTGGTGCATTGAGGTGACATGTGGCTCTCACATTTGCCCATTGACACCAGTAATCTGCCTTTAATGTTCCCTTAGAAGCCCACACTGTGCCTGCCACAGGAGCCTTCAGATGAACTGTTAGATTTAGAAGTGAGGTAGAGCAGAAAAGCAAGGACAGTTTAGGGAGCCTGACTTTGGATTAAGCTCTAAATAGGGCTGGTTTGCTTGCTAGATCTCATCTGCTAGAATTATCCACCTCTGTTCTGCCAGATTATTATCTTCATCTAAAGTTGTTACACTGCTTGAAATTCCAACAATTAGAGATTGTCTGCATATTAAAATGTCCTGCACTTTAGAACCATATTTAGAATTACCTAACCATATTTCTTTTCTCAGTTTTTACTGATGTGAGAACCCCTACTTTGATGGACAGGGCATTTATTATGCTGAAAGAGCGGGGAGGCAGGTAACTGAGCTGCTTTGAGGTCAGGCAAGCCTGGATGGGGGAAGCTGTAGTGAGGGGTTTAGACAGAGCGACCATGTCGTTTATCCTCTACCCTGGGACATTTTTGAGAGTGAAAAGGATGTTGTTGATAATTTTGCAGAGTCAACAGGAGTAAGTCAGGACTGTCTGAGGCGAACAGGGCCATAAGTTTACCCTAGCTGAGAGCAGTGTGAATGAGCACAGGATATAGAAAACAGGATTCATTAAGCATAGGGGAGATGCCAGAGAGTACAGAACTTTTCAAAAGTGTTCAGGGGAAATGCAGAGGAATTAATTTCTTCCTCTGAATGTTCCTTTTTTGTGTGCTCTGTGATTCCTGCTGGACAGAAAGTGTCTGGTAATAGGAAAAGCAGGAGATTTATTATCAGGCAGAACTTCCTCTGTTCCTTGTTATCTGTGTGGCTCTTGGGCAAGTTACTTCCTTACCTAATTTCTTCATTTGTAGAATGATGAAGAGCTGCTTTCCAAGTTTGTGAGGATTACATGAGATAAGGAATCTCAAATGCCCAAGACCTAGTACATGCTCAGTAAACATTAGTATCTTCAGTTTTCCCTCTTTCTAGAAATTAGAACTTTTAATACCATATCACAGTTATATTGTAAAATAAACTCTGGGGCAAGTGGATTGGCTCACATCTGTAATCCCAGTGCTTTGGGAGGCCAAGGTGGGAGGATCAGTTGTGGCCAGGAGTTTGAGACCAGCCTGAGCAACATAGTCGGATCCCCATCCCCCTTCTAAATTTTTTTTTTAAATTAGCTGGGCATGGTGGCATGCACCTGTAGTCCGAGCTCCTCAGGAGGCTGAGGCTGGAGGATCGCTTGAGCCCAGGAGTTTGAGGCTGCAGTGAGCTGTGATCTTGTCACTGCACTCCAGCCTGGGTGACAGAATGAGACCTTGTCTCTAAAAGAAAGAAGGAAAGAAACAAACAAAACAGACTATTGGTGTGTATGTAGTCTGGTAATTTAATTAATTAACACTTATATGTTAATACCATAGAACATTTCGTTCTGTTTTAAACAGCTGGCTTAAACTTCAGATACCCAAGCTGTTCATAAATTAGTGACTACATAAGATAGTTCTGGTTTTACGACTATAGTGTGACACTGGTTGAGTCAGTCAGCTTCTCTGGGCCTCATCTGTAAAAGGAAATGGAGAGCAACATTATCTATACTCCCTCCCTCCCTCTATTTCTCCCTCCCTTCCTTCCTCCTTCCCTTCCTCCCTTTCTTCCTCCCTTCTCCCTTTCTCTCTCCCTCCCTGCCTCCCTCCCTTTCTTCCTTCTCTGCCTCCTTCCCTGTGATTGGGGAAAATAATAGCTCAAGTAATTTTAAAAAAATTCAATTTAGTTATTTCTTTAGCATATTACTAAAGACTTAGACTCCTAAGACTTTCCGTAAGGGAAACTAGATGTGCTTTGTAGTGCAGTCCTAATTTTTAAAATTTAAGGAGCCCAGGCATGGTGGCTCACGCCTATAGTCTCAGAACTTTGGATGGCTCAGGCGGAAGGATTGCTTGAGCCCAGGAATTTGAGACCAGCCTGGGCAACATAGCAAAACCTCATCTTTACCAAAAACAAAAAAATTAGCTTGGCATGGTGGCTCGTGCCTGCTCTCTCAGCAACTTCAGAAGCTGAGGGGGGAGGAACGCTTGAATCCAGGAGGTCGAGGCTGCAGTGAGCCATGATCACGCCACTGCACTCTAGCCTGGGCAACAGAACGAGACTCTTGACTCAAAAAGAAAAAAAAAAAGTAATGTTAGGAAAGATTATTATGCCCATTGTTAAAACATGGATGTTTTAATGCACTGTTGGATAGATGGATGGATGGGTGGGTCAGTTGATCTATCTGGACTCTGTGTGTGTGTGTGTGTGTGTGTGTGTGTGTGTGTGTGTGTATGTGTGTATGTATGTGTGTATGTATCCATGCATATGCACATGTGTGTAGTGTTTTATTCCTTTGTGACTGATTTTTGCTTACCCTTCCCCAACCTTGCCCACCCTTCCCCTCACTTCCATACCATTAAGATTATGTGGCTTAAGTAGTTATTACTGGTCAGTTTTTCCATGTTTTGGTTATTTTTTAATAGCTCATATCTAGAGCAGCTGATTTCCCTTTTAAAAAAATTGTGACATATATAAACAGATATAAACAAATGCATTTATGTACTTTACTGATGCATTTTGCAAATGCTGCAACAGTGAAGAGCCTTGCTATGCTTCAAATTTCAATAAATTTATATATTTTTTAATGGAGTTTCTATTTATAGTTAAAATATTCACGTACTGATTTTGTAGCTAAAATATTCATGTACTGTTTTGGGTAAGAAACGACACTGGGTGAACATTTTTTGAAAATGGTCATCTACTGGGTTTTTAGAAAGTCTCTTCTAAAGGACATTTCAAAAGCTTGTTGATACAAACTTATTCCAGTGCCTTACCATCTTCCTAGCCAGAGGAGGTTCTTTTTTCTGTTAAACATAAATTCCTGTCCTTGCAATGTACTCTCATTCCTTTCATCCCATCCTTAATGGAAAAGAGGTGCTCCCCTGTACCTCTTCTTCCTGACCTTGCAGGCTGTGGTGCAGCCCTGACCTCCTCTCTTTTTATCTGGACTGAATAACTGAGTTTCGTTTACATGTCCTCATAGGACCCATTTCCTAACATTTTAATCATTTTAGTCACTCTCCTTTGGACGCTATCCAACCCCTGCTTGCTGTGCTTGGGTTCAGGTCCAGAAGAGCTCTTAGTGTGGTGATAAAGTTCTGAATGGGGCTTCAAGTTGTGGAAGGGCTGTCATGGGACCCTCCTGCTCCTTGTTTTTACATCCTCATGTTATGTACCTTTAAAAATAACTCACTACGTTGCTGGTTCATGCTTTGCCTAGATCTCAGATTTTCTCTTTTCCTTAGATAAATTCAGTTTCCCCCATCTCTCGAGTGGTTAGTTTTTACTACCCTCCGGATTAAACTTGTTTCTGTAATCTTTACGATAGTGTCAGCAATTGGCCACTATCAACAGGAATTGAAAAATGCCAATCCAAAATGCAATTGCTTTAATACATATTTGTGATCATATGGATACCTGATCTTAAACACATATATACCTTGTTTATTACATTTATTTTGAATATTCTCTGGCCCCATTTGGTATTGTTCTCTAATTAATTGTGCTTTAGTGTTGTCTCCTGTACCAAGTTATAAGGAACTTGAGATCAGGAGCTCTTTTGAATTTTATACCTCTTTTCTGCTCATGACTGTGGAAAAAGTAGTAGGTGGTCAGTTCAGTAAATACTTCTTGATGGAACTGATAGATGACTACTCACATTCCAGAATTCCAAGGTCCATCGGAACACATTCACATCCTTGTAAGTTGGAGTGTCTAACCACATGTATATTTTGGTAAGCTTATTCACATTCATCTTCCCACTATTTAAGTCAGCAATGACAGTAGTACTCAAAGGCTAGGTAAACCCTTATGAAACTTGACTGTAATTGGATATTGAATAACAATTCTCTTGAGAATGGCCCTTGAAACATTTTGGTTGCACCCACCATGGTGGTCTAGAAATCATGTTTTCCTAGTTTATTAGAAAGAATGTTCTGCTGAGTTGAGTCAAAAGCCTTATAAAAGTTAAAATATGTGATATGTTATCTCCTATCCCCCAGGCACATCATTCTGACATAGAGGAAAATGAAATTGATCTAATAGGAATTGGCTGTCCAACTGTCATGTTGATCTTTACCAAACACCTTATAATTTCTCTGCTTGCAAATCTTTTAGAATGCAAAATGTTACATGTATAATGGCTTCTTTTGATGCAGATCATCTGTATACTAAGTAATTCCAGAGGTGGGTAATCCTGTGGATGGTAGGAAGCACAGGTAATGTGGTTAGCAATAGCACCTCTACATTTTGAATCCTATGAGAGGCAACATGCACATTCAAAATTAAATTAAAATTATTGAGAATGGAGCGGAAAGAGGGAAGAAAAGGGCAGTTAGAATAAATTAGTCCCAAGGGATCCTTTCCAAGTCTCAAATCATAAGCCAGCCAGCTGTGATATGAAACATGACAAAAGCCCATGGGCTCTCTAGCTCAGAAAGCTGCAAGGCTGGATTCTCTGTGATTGTTAATGTATCAACAATTTAACTATATACATGGAAATACCTTGAGTTATTACTTCTCTCAGGAGACTAAGCTATCTGATACTTACAAATAAGTAACACTAGGTCTACCTAACATTTCCTTATGGATTAAGAAGAATGGCAGATTTTGAGAAGCAACATGCTAGGAAGGTTTGGTAACTTTAGAAATGTGCCACGCTGTGGTTTCTAGGTATGCTATGAATGAAGAGCTTTGTGTGTAAGAAGTGGGAATTCTATGTGAATATTTATTATGTAAATTCTCATGTGTTACTAGGTTTATTTAAGTTTCTTCTTTGCGATCCAAACTTTTCCTTGAGAGGCAAGTTTATTTTTCACATTAACCTGATATGTAAATTTCTCAGTCACCCCCACCTCCCACCCCTAGGGCTTTTTTCTCCATCCAGTTTCATGGTATCAGGTCAGTATTTGGGCAGAGGGTGTTTATCATTAACAACTAGCTAGAGTCATATTTTTGTTTAACTTCCCCTTTGCTATAATCCACCCATCCTGCCTGTTACTGTGGGTTGTTGCCAGTTTAGGATTTATTTAACATGCCTTATGTTCAGTGATATATGTTGAAATTTAGAATGTATGAAAAAAGAGCCTGTGTTTTGCTTATGAATACGTCAGTCCATCAGCACGTATTTATTCTCTGTCCCTGAACTGAAGGTCATCGTTTCTTGGCAGCATTACTAGACATACTGGGATATTAAGCCAAAAAAATAGAATAGGTTGGTTAAAGATAGATTGAGGCAAAAATTGATTCACAGTTTGATACTTAAAACCAACTTTCCTGGTCAGTTGACTATTATCTGGCAATCAGGCAGAGTTGCTAATTATTGGCACCCAGGTGCCAGATGGTAGGGAGTAATTAGATTACAACTATCTTATCTATCAGTAGCTTTAGAATGAGAATAGTAGCAATTTTCATAGCCCTTTTCAATGGTCATGAAAACATTTTAAAAGCTGATCCTATGGAATATTGTATATCTGACTCCAGAAAGTAAATTTTTGACACATTACCTTGGGGAAAAATATGTGACAAGATATTTTATAATCTTGAAAGAGAGAAGTAATATTTTAGCAACTCTGTGTCCTGTTTGTTGCATCTGGGTTAGCCATGAATGAATTCATTCTGTTCTCAAAGAACTTGTTTTGCATTGATATCACTGTTTGAAAAAGTAAGCTGTGATAGAATTCATAAGCTGGAAAACTCAACATGCTATAAAATGTGAAAACGCAGGCCCTCTTAAGTGCAACCTGAAACAAGAGTGAATTGCCTTTACCTAGCACATCTCACGTGGTTCTTGAGTCGCTGCGGAACATACCAGAGTCCTCGCTCTTGTAGGCACACCACCTATCTTTTATAGGCTTCAACTGAAAAATACACTTAGTTGGCACAAACACATGTATGATCAAAGGTGATCTGAATAAAATATAGTTTTGATTGATGAATATGCAAGGCTTTTCTTTAATGTTTGAAGGAAGAATGATATCACAGTTTTGTTAATAAAATAGAGGTTAAAGAATGGAATTGTTTCTAGTAGGCTGCGCAGCCCTAAATCAGTCAAAAGTAATGAAGCAGTTTTCTGAAACAGATTGGGTTTCCTTACGAAGGAAGCCACCTTTGTTCCATGTCACTGATGCATTCCTTATAGGTGAGGTCACTCTGCATTGCTGATATCTTCCTCCTTTCATAAAAGGGAGATGGGGACCGCTCCCAGTGCATTCCATTTCTCACAATCCTTAAAATAAGGCTTAAATGTACCTGTCCATTAAAAGCTTTTGAAGGACGAAAGCCAACCTCAGAGGCTTTGTGAACCATGAATTGACAATGAAAGACAGTATGCTTCTGTTTTTCGGATAGCCTGTTTAAGGACAAAAGAACTATTCAGTCTTACATGACTTTCATTTAGTTATAATAAAAGGGATGAGGATGGTCATCTTGTTTTGTGCACGATTTTAAGGCTGCTTGACTGAGATTATCTGAAACAATACTCTTCAGTTATTCTGACTAACAAAGTCACTGAGAGGAATGTGTGTTACAGCGTGTATACATGACTTTACGTGTATTTGTTTAGATATAATGAAATTTAAAAAGTAGTTTCCTACCTTCCACCCTCCCTGTAAAACCTAAAGGGTGAAAGCATTTTGAGGATATCAGGTTAAGCTCTATGTATTGACATAGTCTCCTAACTAACCTTCTGTCCACTTGTGTCTCCCAGAGTAGCTCCCTTGAACCTCAGTTAGTGTGACATGTCACTCTTGCTCAAAACTATGTTATATAATGGTCCATTAGACTTCAGTCGCATAACTGAGTCCTGCCCTTTTCCTCCACCTTATCTCCTCAGCTTAAGTATTCTGCTCCAGCCATACAGACTTTCTTGCTGTTTATCAAACCACCAAAGCCTAGGGCCTTTGCACTTAGTCTTTGCCCTGCCTGGAAGGAAGGTCAGCTTTTACCCAGGTCTCAACATGGCTTGCTCCTTTCCTTCAGTTTGGTCTCTTTTCAAATGTCTCTTCCTTATAAGGGTCTTCTGTGACCACCATATCCAAAAAAGCCCCACCCCTCACTCTACTGCCAATCTTCTAGCCTTGCACTGCTTTGTTTTTCTTCATGGCACTTATGTCTGTCTAAAATCACATTATACATTTATTTGTTTAATCCCTCCTACCCCCATCCCCACTACCCCACAATAGGCAGTAGGCTCCATGAGAACCAGGACTTTGATTAAATTTATTCCTGTCTGTATCCCCAGCAGGTAGAACACTGCCTAGTACATAGTAGGTTCTCAATAAGAATTTGTTAACAAATAAATCAGTGAATGGTTATACTTGATGTATGTTGATGTTACTGAGCACACCTCATGTTGAAAAATATTGCAAATAGGAGAATGACTGTTATTCATTCAGATGTTTAAATTGAAACAGTTTTAATAGATGAGTAAATTAAAGTGTCATATATGCTTATTTGGCAATTCACTTTGTATTGTTTTATGAAGATAAATGTGGAATGATTTAAAAAATAATCTTGCCGCAAGCTTTTTTTTTTTTAAACCCAAGAGATGAGCAGTATGATTCCAAACCATAGCAGCATCTCTGTTTTTAGCTCCCAGAAATGAATACAAATCCTTTATAACTGACAGCATTGGTGTACTTCAGTGTTCATACTTTTAAAGCTACCCAGAACACCAGAAAATGAGAGCATGGAAAGGAATGCTTTTTTATGCATTTCTGCAAATTTCTATGCTTAACATATTCTTAGGAAGAGAAGTGACATTGTTTTTTGTACCTAAAACTGTTTAAGGAGTGGGTGGAAACACCTATTAATCTTGGCTGTGTCGTGACTTGAGCATATTTCCTCATTTGATATAGTGTGGATTCAAATCAGACTTCAGATAATCGTTTTTTTTTCCTTTGCAAAATAATACAACCATATTGTGGGCCGATTCTGTTGAGTGTCTGGAGCCTGATGATTAATGTCAGAGATGAATTTCCTTTTTCTAATATAATCATTGCTGTATGGGTTATATGTACAACTCATTGAAATCTCTCTTTATAAGTCACTCATAAACATGACTGCAGTCATATGCCTCACAGTTACTGTACTTTAATCTGCACTTGCTTCCTCCTACGTATTTACTTAAAGAGTCACAGCTTGCTGGAAATGTATCCTTCCTACTGTTGCTCTGTGTGTCTCCAACGGGGGGATTGGATCCTTGTATGTTTTTTTAACCAGCAGATAATTGTGTGCTTTAACATGCATTGGTACATAATCTGCTTTCCACATAGAATTAGAGAATACCCTTATATCTCCAGTGGAGTGTCTTAGTCCATTTCTGCTGCTGTAACTAGAGACTGGGAAATTTGTAAAAACAAATATACCCCAAATTTATTTCTCACAGTTCTAGAGACTGGGAAGTCCAAGATCAAGGTGCTGGTAGGTTCAGTTATCTGGTGAGGGCAACTCTCTGCCTCCAAGATGGTTCCTCTGGAGGGGAGGAACACTGTGTCCTCACATGGCCCTCTATGGGCAAGCTAGCCTAATGGTGGGTGAAGCCTCTTTTATAAGGGGCTTTATCACATTCACATGGGAGGAGCCCTCATGGCCTAATTGCCTCTTTTTTTTTCTTTTTTCTTTTTTTGAGACGGAGTCTCGCTCTGTTGCCCAGGCTGGAGTGCAGTGGGACGATCTCGGCTCACTGCAAGCTCCGCCTCCCGGGTTCACGCCATTCTCCTGCCTGAGCCTCCTGAGTAGCTGGGACTACAGGCGCCCACCACCATGCCTGGCTAATTTTTTTGTATTTTTAGTAGAGATGGGGTTTCACCGAGTTAGCCAGAATGGTCTCGATCTCCTGACCTCGTGATCTGCCCACCTCGGCCTCCCAAAGTGCTGGGATTATAGGCGTGAGCCACTGGGCCCGTCCCTAATTGCCTCTTAAAGGCCCTACTTCTTAATACCATCACATTGGCAACACCTGAGTTTTGGAGCGGAGCCATTCAAACCATAGCACAGGAATCACCAAAAACAATGTTGAGTAGTTCTATGAGGTCACTGAAAGTAAGCAGTGCACTTCAATCTGGAGTAGCCTTTGTTGTCTGTGTCTGAATAGTCACAAACACCCACCAGGTGAACAGCTCCAAGTTCCAGATTGGGAAACTGGACTGCTCACGTGGATGTTTCCCCTTTTCCTATTACTTTTTTTGAATTTTTTAAAATTTTACTTGAAGTTCTGGGATACATGTACAGAATGTGCAGGTTTGTTACATAGATATACATGTGCCATGGTGGTTTGCTACACCCATCAACCCATCATCTAGATTTTAAGCCTGGCGTGCATTAGGTATTTGTCCTAATGTTCTCCCTTTCCTTGCCTCCCACCCCACAACAGGCCCTGGTGTGTGATGTTCCCCTCCCTGTATCCATGTGTTTTCATTATTCGACTCCCACTTATGAGTGAGAACATGCAGTGTTTGGTTTTCTGTTCCTGTGTTAGTTTGCTGAGAATGATGGTTTCAGCTTCATCCATGTCCCTGCAAAGGACATGAACTCATTCTTTTTTATGGCTGCATGGTATTCCATGATGCATATGTGCCACATTTTCTTTATGCGGTCTATCATTAATGGGCATTTGGGTTGGTTCCAAGTCTTTGCTATTGTAGATAGTGCTGCAGTAAACATACGTGTGCATGTGTCTTTATAGTAGAATGATTTATAATCCTTTGGGTATATATCCACCAATGGGATTGCTGGATCAAATAGTATTTCTGGCTCTAGATCCTTGAGGAAGTGCCACACTGTTTTCCACAATGGTGGAACTAATTTACAGTCCCACCAACAGTGTAAAAGCATTTCTGTTTCTCCACATCCTCGCCAGCATCTGTGGTTTCCAGACTTTTTAATGATCGCCATTCTAACTGGAGTGGCGTATCTCATTGTGGCTTTGATTTGCATTTCTCTAATGATCAGTGATGATGTGCTTTTTTTCATGTTTGTTGGCTGCATAAATGTCTTCTTTTGAGCAGTGTCTGTTCATGTCCTTCATCCACTTTTTGATGGGGTCGTTTTTTTCTTGTAAATTTGTTTAAGTTCCTTGTAGATTCTGGATATTAGCCCTTTTCCTATTTCTATTCCCATTGTTAGCTCCACAGTTTCTGTCGTGTGCAGGAATGTCATGATGCCTCCTCAGACTCAGATCGCAAGATCCACAACCCCTTTATTGTCTTCAGAACAGTAATCCTATTCTCTCTGGCCCATATAGTTGTACTCCTATCCCCCACCCTATATGTGTTATTACCATTTATCAAGCGATGCTACTTTGTTCACCTATCTAGATTCCAGACTCTCAGACACAGATCATGGTAGTCTGGAGTCTGCATCTTCTCCAGGCTCTAGCTCACACCTTCATACGTGCCTCGTGTTACCAGGCCTGCCTGCAGCTCTGTGGCTTCCTTCACTTATCACATGTTCATCACTCTCCCCTGGACCAGGTTCATAGCTCTAATGTTGCTGTGGATGCCGTCCACCATTCACTCTCTCAGTAAATATTTATTTGGGGGAAGATCCCTCAGCGAGTGTGTCTGCCTCTCCTGTTTACCACTGCAATCTCTGTCTAAACCTATCAAGCTCACTTTTGCTCTTTTCCCCACCTCTTCCCTTTTGGTTTGCCTCTTCTTGACCCTCTCCACTGTCCTCTTCTGGCCCCATCTCCAGTTTCAGTGTCTGAACCTTTGTCCTCAGTCATTATGCTTTTCCCAGTGAGCACATCATGTCTTACTCTGCTAAATAGCCCCTTGAAGTCCTCTTTTAATGCCTTAACTGCTTTTGATTTATGGTAGAACAATCAGTGGAGAGTAAAGCACATGGTAAAAGGTAGCTTTAATAGTGTACATTTCTAATTTTCCTGCAGAATGGAACTTTATTGCTTCCCCCTTCCTCTTTTAGATGAAGAGCTATGAGATTATTCAAGTTTTTCTTTCTACAGCAGTCTTGCAAGATTGTCATATTTACCAGGGAATTATTTTATAGATGAAAAAATTTGAATGGGATTTTAGTTTCAGAATGAAATAATTGCTAGTTAAATGACTTACATTAGTGGATCAGACCCAGTTAATGTAAGTTTGTGTCTTTCTTAAAATAAAAGTTGAAAAATTAAATTTGCTCCTTGGTAATTTGATTTGTAGGAAGTGGGGAACAAAGGATTCCAAACAGGTCTTTTAAAATCAGTTCTAATTAATTGCATGTGCAGATGCATCAGCTAAGATTGGGAGGCAATTAGTCTAATTATGTTTAAAATACAGTTGCATGCTTAAATAGACAGTCACACCCTCAGGCCTGCCTATCTTTTTCTACTTTCTCCTTTAGGCACGTAGTGAATTTTTTGGCCATTAAGCATGACCTCTTCAGTGTCTGTGGAGCAGAACAAAGTGACAGAATACAGATGAGCGGGGTTGCACATACTCCTAGCTCAGTTTGATACTTCAGTGATAATATCTATATAGCACACCGAGGTGGAAATATTAAAATATGCTGGGGAAAATTTGTGTTCTCTAGTTAACTCCCCCTTTTTTGGGTAATCTTATTTTTGGAAATCTGAGCTCTCTTTATGAAATACGTGTCTCATGCTTCAATTTGGAATAAACTGTAGCTGAGTCTTATTTCAAATATTCTGAAATAATTTGATTTCAAAGTAAAACTTGACGAAGTAACACCTTGCATAGTAATATACAATTTGCATGAATGACTTTGCCAACTTCAGACACATGGTTCAGAGGGGCCAGTGAAAGTATCATCTGGGCTTCTGTAGTAGTTTTATACCCATCACATCTTCAATTGCTCTGACTTAAAGTGGATATGACACCCCTGGCAGACTGTGTTTTCCTGTTTGACTTAAGCAATTGATATTTGAACAGGTGAATGAGCATAGATGTTTATGATTGTCTTGCCTGCCTTTGATTAAAAACTAATGTGACCACTTTTCAGTACATTTGGTTTTATTGGAAGAATCTATTGAAGGTGGTCTTGTACGGATACTCCCCTGTTGCCCTTCCTTTGGTTTCTGGTAACATTAAAAATTACTTACAAATTACATTTCACTTTATAGAATATCCTGCAGTTACAAGGTTACAGTCTTTATTACTGACCTACCACCGCCATACGGATTTTTCTATCAGCTGAACTTGCTGTATTTCTGGCCATATTATTTGTAGCAGAAACTGAGGTTTACTATCATTGCTATATTTATAGGTGGATTATCCGGTTTTCTCCAAGTAGGCAAGAATGGGATCTTGAGGACAGTTAGTTGATGATGTTAGACCAATTGGAGCTTTGTTTTCTGGACTGTTTTTGCTACCCCTGGTATAAGGACATAAGCTTATGTCATCTGTGTGCTATCAAAATATAGTAGATTTTAGTGGACTATATAGATAAATTTAGATGGATAATTGAAACATGGACATTTAAATATGTAGACTATTGGTCAACATGGCTTTTGTTGTGACTTGAGTATACACAATCATTACTCAAAATTTCACGTTTTCTCCATAGATATAGGCTTAAATCTAAGTAGGTTTGCTCAGAAGAGGAAGTTCCATTTTATTTTCTTCTTTGAGGTTACTCAACATCCATCCAGTTCTGACTTCACAGTTAGTAGTTGGTAGCGTTAAAGTTGTATTTAATAAGTTGATTGTTACTTTGTTCTTTGAAACAAGTTACTCTTCTTATTGTGGTAAATATAAACAACTTCTTTCAAAATCTAGACCAATTTAGGATTTTGGTTTATAATGTAGCATGATAGATATATTATTTTAGCAGATGTTTGATGCCAGTCCTACTATCATTAAGATGGAATATCCGCTTACAGAATACGAGTATATGTACTGTAGTATATTTACTTCTGTATGTCAGGTGATCTGTATAAATAAGCAACTTTTATTTTGCAAAACCTTTTCTAAAAACTGGACTTGTATTTTTGGTTTGTTAACTTTTACCTTTTTTCACACAGTCTTATATACCACTTTTAAATTAATACAATGTTAAATAATAGTACAATCTAAAGATTAATCAACAGGTTATAACAACGGCAAAAAACACTAATAAAGTTTAGAAAAGTGCAGCACTGTGGCGTTGTCATTGTGTTTTGGTAACACATGCGCAATTTAAAAAAATTCTGTCATGTGTTACTTTGTAAAATGTCCTTTACATATCAGTTTAGGTTAACTCTTTCTACCTACATTTTGGTTAGTCAGGATGTTGGATCTTGTGTGTCTTTCTCTGCCAAGCAGTGCTGGTTATAGTTAG
This sequence comes from Homo sapiens, assembly GCF_000001405.40. Taxonomy (NCBI): domain Eukaryota; kingdom Metazoa; phylum Chordata; class Mammalia; order Primates; family Hominidae; genus Homo; species Homo sapiens. The sequence continues at coordinate 169,244,572 of NC_000004.12, read as the reverse complement.
ATGAATTTAAATTATTAACTTACGTTGTAGGAGAATTTAGATTGATTGACATTCTGCCATTGACGGTGTAGTGTGTTCTTGAGTCCACAAAAAAGAAGTATTGTGAAACTCTAGAATTGGGTAGAAAGAGATCATCTGTGCAGTGGCTTAAAAAAAAAATACTGGGAAGAGCTTTTACAAAAGCAGCAGGAAGTACTTACTGAATCAGCACTGGTCCATTGTGTGGAGGGGTTTGCAGATTTTTAATTAAGCTGCTGAATACTTACAGTCCTCAATTCACATGGAAAAATTTAAAAATGGTGGTGGGTGCATGCACATTTGTGTGTTTGTGCAGGGCAGCCAAATATGATTTGCTGGGTAGTGAAAATTAGAAATAACATGTATGAGAACAGCAAGACAGATTGAAATAAATGTCTTAAAACATATTAGAACAGCAACCCAAAACTCACTCCATGTAATTTTGAGATCAGACAAAGGGATGGCCAGAGCATAATAGGAGCATGTAGAAGCCTGTTGCTAAATCAGAAATGAACAGGAATGCAGTTCAAAACCTCATTTACTACTCTTTAGTCTGTTGCCCTAGAGACAGACTTCACATATTGACTTTGGCAACTCCAGGGTAGCTTGCCATGTTTGCAGTTATTTAAGTAAAAGTATCTGAATTTGTAACTTAAAAATACAAGTTTACTGTAGTCAGTGCAACAAATTACATTTGTAGTCAGGAGGGAATTTCTAGACATTCTAAGTCATCTTTTGGAAAATCATGAAATAGAAGAAATAAATAATTCTGATTCTAAAAAGTTCAAATAGGGAAACAGTAAATGAAAGCAAGACTTCTTGAATATCCAGTGCAAGAATCTGTTGAGGACAGATTTAAATTTCAGGCATTACCTCACCTTGTGGCATGAATGAAATAACTGGAGAATATAGATAACAAAACTAATAGGGGAGTGCTTAAAATACTGTTTGAAGATTAAACTGAGGGAATTAGCCTAGCATAATCAAGATTCTATCCAGTTCTAATTTTATTATTTATTATTTATTTATCTATTTATTTATTGAGAAGGAATCTTGTTCTGTCGCCTAGGCTGGAGTGCAGTGGCACGATCTTGGCTCACTGCAACCTCTGCCTGCTGGGTTCAAGCAATTCTTCTGCCTCAGCATCCTGAGTAGCTGGGATTACAGGCATGCGCTGTAATGCCTAGCTAATTTTTGTATTTTTAGTAGAGACGAGGTTTCTCCATGTTGGCCAGGCTGGTCTCGAACTCCTGACCTCAGGTGGTCCGCCTGCTTCGACCTCCCAAAGTTCAGTTCTAATTTTAAATTATACCTTAGAGCAAGTGAGCTTTTCAGTTTTCCCTTATTCTTATATGCCTTGCCTTTTGGTATTTTTATTGTGTAGTTGTAATGAGAATAACATTTCAAAGGTTTTCTTTATTCTAGGCTAATGAGAGATTGTTTAAAAACTGTCTAATGAAATAAAAGTAGTATGGATTTGGGAGAAGGGGTTTGAAGACTGGACAGCTGTCTTGGAAATGAGTTCTTTTTCATGCAATGCTGTTTCTCAAAGTCTGGTCCAAGGACCACCTGCATTAGAAACACCTAGATGCCTGTTAAAAATGCACATACCTGGTGTCTTGGTCCATTTGTGCTGCTATAACAGGCTGGGTGATTTATAATGATAGAAATGTATTTGGCTCATGGTTCTGGAGGCTGGGAAGTCCAAGATTGAGGGGCCAGATCTGGCAAGGGCTTCCTTGCTGCATCATCACATGGCAGAAGGCATCATATAGCAAGAGAGCAGGCAGGAGATGGATGGCAATGGGGGCCAAACGCGCTTTTATAACAAACCCACTCCCTTCATAAAGGACAGTCCATTTATGAGGGCAGAGCCCCCATGACCTAAACATCTCCCATTGGGCCCATCTCCCATCACTGTTGCATTGGAGATTAAGTTTCCAATACATGAATTTTGGGTGACACATTCAAATGATAGTATCTGGGCCCCACCTCAGATCCACAGAATTTGATTTCCTGGAGCTGGGACCCAGAAATTTTCATTTCAAACAAGTTTCCCAGGAGATTTTTATGCACACTAATGTTTGAAGAAAAATACATCCAAAATGTAAGTGCAAATCTTAGCTATTAGGACATATGAATTTAATATTTCAAATCTCTTTTTCCACTGGGGATAATTTTAGAAGCGATATTTCATTTTAAAAACATTGCTTGATAGGAAAAATTACAAAGATGTTAGAACATGGGTCGCTGCATAAGTGGTATTTTTGTGGGGAGAAAAGTTTTCAAGTGAAAGCAGTTTTATATTTGTGATTAAATTATACATCAGATCAATGATTGGAATGGGTTTAGGCAGAGTATTTCTCCTTTGGGGAAGAATGAAAGAATCATTTAGCATTATAATTTTCACTCCTCTACAAAAAAAAAAATTTAAATTGAAATAGAAAAATATTTGATTAAGAATTTATAGATCCCTCCTTTCCCACCAAAGGATCCTATTTATAGTATTCTTTGACATATAATCTTCATTGTTCATATATATAATCTTTTCAGATTTTGTTTAAAATCTGAATAAAACTCTCAAGTGACTTGAAATTTTATTTCACATTTTAAATCTAGTGTTTAATGCTGTGCTTTCTGCTGTTTAACTACGAGCAAGTCTGGTAACAGACTTAGGGCCTCCAGCCATAAGGGCCAGAGAAGAGGGAAATCTCAAGGTTGACTTTACCGAGCATCTGAGGGCCTCACAGGAGGAAACCAGTCCCCATTTCCCAAGAAGTGCAGTATCTCAGTAACCATGCTGCAAGGTCAAGTTCTGCCCACACAGTGTTTCAGCAGGATTTTGTTTCAGCCTGTGTTTTTTATTTTTCATTTTAGAAAGATAGCTACATTGTCCTTTTGGTGTAGAGGCATTTCTGGAGCAGCTGAACTTGGGCCCTACTCCAGGGCACACTGGCTTTCTCACTGTCTCCTCTGGTGGAGTTCAGGAGTGCTGATGTTAGCTATGGACTGCGCCAAAGCACATCCAGATGCTCTCAACCCCTAAGGCCTTTACTTCCTAAGGCCTTTACTTCCATGGATGATGGATTAAAATGCAAACAGAGCTCCTACAAAATTAGACCAGGTAATCCTATGCAGAATTGGGGGTGAAGTTCACTGCCTTTCGGCTGAAGGGTGAGTTTGCTGAAGAAAATCTATTCAAGTCGCTTCTGAATAGTATTTAGCATGTATTTCCAGTATTGATTTCAATGTGTAAACTTGGATACTTTTCACATGGACTTGGGCAGTTTTATTTTATTTGTTTGTTTATTTATTTATTTATTTTGAGACGGAGTCTCGCTCTGTCGCCCAGGCTGGAGTGCAGTGGCGCGATCTCGGCTCACTGCAATCTCCGCCTCCTGGGTTCACGCCATTCTCCTGTCTCAGCCTCCTGAGTAGCTGGGACTACAGGCGCCCGCCACCACGCTTGGCTAATTTTTTGTATTTTTAGTAGAGAAGGGGTTTCACTGTGTTAGCCACGATGGTCTTGATCTCCTGACCTCGTGATCCGCCCACCTCAGCCTCCCAAAGTGCTGGGATTACAGACGTGAGCCACCACGCCCGGCCTGGGCAGTTTTAAAAAGGAAAGCTTCACTTCACTTAAAAGGCTTCCTTGCAATGAGGGGGATGCTTGGGTGATAATTAGTTTGGTCTGGTGAATACATGGATCATCTTACTGAGGGGCTTATGTACAAGCGGTATAAGTATGGTAATGAATAAAACAGGCAAGTGCAGCATGGTGACTGTGGTTAGTAATAATGTGTTATGGACTTGAAAACTGCTAGGCCAGTAGATTTCAAATATTCTCACAAGAAATGACAGGTGTGTGAGGTGATGAATATGTTAATGAACTTGATATAATTTCACAATGTATACATATTAAAAATGCTGTACACTGCAAATAGATACAATTTATTTATTTGTTAAAGAAGAAAACTCAAAAACTCCTTAATACACGTTGGTATCTTTAAATTGAACAGTTTCTCAAACTGCTTTCTTAAATAATTAAGTGAAGGGGGCCAGATGCAAGGGCTCACGCTCTGTAATCCCAGAGCTTTGGGAGGCTGAGGTAGGTCGATTGCTTGAGCCCAGGAGTTTGAGACCAGCCTGGGCAATGTGGTGAAATCCCATCTCTGCAAAAAATTAAAAAAATCAGGCGGGCATGGTGGTTTGTGCCTGTGGTCCCAGCTACCTCAGGAGGCTGAGGTGGGAGAACTGTTTGAGCCCAGGAGGTTGAGGCTCAGTGAGCTGAGATTGCACCACTGCACTCCAGCCTGCGTGCCAGAGTGAGACCCTGTCTCAAAAAAAAAGAAAAAAAAATTAAGTAAAACTGAATTTATTATAATACCCCTTGAGAAGTTTTAATTGACTTTTGAAAAGTTGATTATTTTAAGAAATACCTTGGTGACTTTACTCTTAGATGTTCCAGTGTGCAGTTGGAGTGTTTGTGCTTTGTAATTCTCACTGTAGATGTGAATTACTTTTGTTTTTTTTGAGGCAGTCTCACTCTGTTGCCCAGGCTGGAGTAAAGTGGCGTGATCTTGGCTCACTGCAGCCTCTGACTTCTGAGTTCAAGAGATTCTCCTGCCTCAGCCTCCCAAGTAGCTGGGAGTATAAGTGCACACCACCACGCCCGGCTTATTTTTGTATTTTTTTCATTAGAGACGGGGTTTCACCATGTTGTCCAAGCTGGTCTTGAACTCCTGACCTCAGGTGATCCACCAGCCTCAGCCTCCCAAAATGCTGGGATTGCTGGAGTCAGCCACTGCACTCGGCCGATCTTAATTACTTTTAAAGAAATTTCTAATCTTGTGGTACATCTTGTGGTATGCCTTGCAGCTATTCTGAGTATCCTTTAATGTACTTGCTTTCATTAAGATGGAAATGTGTGAAAATAAGGTGGACTAACCATTGCTAAAGGTAGAATGGTTAAATTTTTGAAACCTTAACGTGATGCCTTTTTATTTCTTCAGAAGTTAACTTGGATGAAAGTTAACTTTGAACAGTTATTTTAATAAAAACATACATACATATGGACTGAATAACAGTGACTAGTTCCAAGGTCAGCCTTCACAGATGTCTTTTTTTGTTTTCTGAACAGCACTTGTGATTCAGAACTCACTTCATTAACCTCTCATTATTTCTCTGTATGCTTGGCTTTCTGAATATCAGCTTTTTTTTTTCCTGCGTGTCACTTGAACACTTGGCCTTCAGTGTTTCTTTCATGTTTTAATAGAGATATGCAATGGTTACAAAAATATTCCCCTTTTACAAAGTAGGTAGATTTATAACCAGTCTTGTCGGCACAATCTTGGCAGAAATGGCTATCCACATATTGTGAAAAGGCAAAATTTCCAAGTTGAGGAAGGAGGTAAATAAGAAGAAAGATTGGTGAAGAATGACTTAAATGAGCCAGATATGTCTAGTATATTCTAGTATATTTAAGAATTGACCCAGAACGGCACTGTGCAGTTAAGCCATCATTTTTGAGAGTGAATAGAGGACTGACATGGTATCTTGAGACTGAAAAAGGGCAAGGGGTGGGGGGGGGCGGAAATTAGCTTTGAAGTCATTTACCTGTCAGTTTTATGCCAGAAATACTTATATAGATAGTCTTCAAAGTCAACTAGAAAGAAAGAGGATGGGGAAGCTACAAATGCTTCTTTTGAAGTGATGGAAGACAGAGCTAAATATGAGGAGGAAGACAGTAATAATAAGAGAATTCTTTATAGCAATATATTAGGGCAGCTGAAATGTTTTCAGAGTGGAAGCAAACATGCCCTAAGCTGACAAACCTAGTATACTTTGTATTTAGCAGTTAGACCATGTGGAAGAACAAACCTTGACAGTTGGCTGGTATGTGCCAGATTCAAGGAGGCAATGACTCACTCCGTCAAAACAGCACAGAGCTGATTCTTGACCTTATTGCTGTCAACTTCAATTTTTGGAAAGTCACTTCAGCCTGATAGACAACAATTCATAATTCTCAGCCCTGCCTACCTCACAGGCATCTATCAGGACAAGATGTATAAGAATGTACTGGGTGTTTGGAACAGAGCATCCTGTAGATTCATGGTAATGGTAAATTAAGAGGGCAGCAGAGTGTCTGTGGCAGCTCAATATTCATTTTCCTGAAGGTGAAGATGGCTTGTGAGGCCACTGTATTTGGCCAGTGCTAGCGTTCCTCACATCCTTCCATGCCCATGACACCTGGTAGGTAGTTCCTTTCTCCCTGCTGTGCGGAGTATTAATAGTGCAGGTAGGTGTAGGTACACCCTAATTCTGACCAAGCTTGGATATGTTAAAGGAAAAATTATTCTGATGCTGGTTGAGATGGTAAGTAAAGCTTTATTGAAGACTATATTGCATTAGAGTATTACAGTAGGAGGCAGAGATAGGGCTCTATTCTGAATACAGCAAAGACAGCTGGAAATTTATAGCCAATGGGCAGAGTGTGAGGGGAGAGGAAAATTCACTAAGAGGGGAAAATTATTAAGAGGAGACATCAAGTGTAGGGGGATTCTTGCTAACCCGACCTAATAGGACTCTTGCTAAAGGCAGGCCAAGGACTTACAGATCAAAGGTGGGAGATGAGGAGCTATATATCAAGGGTGATCAGATTTCAAGGGTGTGGAGCGGGGGGGAAATCATAAATTGATTTAGCAGGATTCTTGCTAAAATTGGTCCTACAGGTCTTGAATAAGCTTATTTCTTATTTCTTATAAGACTGTAGGGTATACTCTTTTCAGTCTTATTACTAATTCTTTATCAGTAATATGTATTCATCTTTACTGTCTTGTGTCTTTTTGCTGATTCTTCTGGTCTTAAGGCACTCTCCTTAATAAGTTTTGAAATCTGTCCAGAACTCACTGCAGCCAAATTTCCTGGATTTGTTTACTGTACCTGTGATTCAGCTGGAGATATAATTCCCAAATTCATATTTTTAGCATGCTGGTGGTCAATGTAGGCAGCTACCTTATGGGTATGTATAACCATTTCCCCTCTTGAAATCAGCCTCTCTTTTTTAAAAAATTAAAAATAGAGATGGGGTTGGGCTGTATTGCCCAAGCTGGTCTTGAACTCCTGGCCTCAAGCCATCCTCCCACTTCCACCTCCCGAAGTGTTGTGATTACAGGCATGAGCCATCGTGTCCAGCCTGAAATCAGCTTTAATTGTCCCCCAGGTAAATAAACACCTGGTGAAAGTCACCTTTGGAAAATTAATGCTTTTGAAAATAATCCATGAGTCTAAGTATGACTTTCAAATCACCTTCACCGTGTGTCTGGGAACATTTCAGGTTGATTTCCTACATCACATCACTCCTCTTCTGCTTATTGTATTCCCACTTACTAGACGTCAGGTGTTGGTTTATTAGGAGACATTGCTGTGCATGTCACACAGCCAGTTGGCACCACATTTTTGGCTCCTTCTGTTGAATCTCTTTCTAGTTGGCTGGCAAGTTAAATCTGTTCATTGAGAAGGGAGCGTGTGCATATTTGTGCTTGTTTATGTATGTATTACTGGCAGGGGATGAGACAGAAGCAAAAGTTGGGTCAGTTAAATACAATCGTCTCTCTTCTACTTTGTAGTTTTTGGAGATATTTTTCCATGCCATTTTGTAACAGATGATATCCTGGGTTTTATTATTCAGTCTTTTGTGTCTGTCAGTGAATTATTTGTTAGCCTTTGAGCCTACATATGTAGCATTTTATTATGGGAATAATAATATAGAAGCAATGTATGTATTTACATATCCATGTCTCAGATTGTTAGAGACTGGTGACCAGAGTAATGATATCCATGAGTTAGCTTACATGAGAATTTCTGGGGACAGTAGTGGGTTCTTACTGTGTGCCAGGCAATGTTTTAGGTACTTTATGTATATTAACTTATTTAATTCTCATAGCAACACTACGAAGTAGTTGCTACTATTATCTCCATTTTCCAGGTGAGGAAGCAGACATAGAGAGGTTACATAACTTGTTTAAGGTCACACCAACTAATAAGTAACGATATTACTTAGTCTAAATTATGGAATAGTAAGAAACAACCCTGAAATTTGAGATGCTTAATACAGCAAAGGCTTATTTCTCACTCAAGGTATACGTTGTGTGGATTGGCAGAGGGACACCGCTCATTATAGTCATTAGAGTCACTCAGAGACCCAGCCGACAAAGGCTCCATCTCAGCACATGCTTCCAGGAAGGGAATTGGCAAGTCGAGTTCTGGCTTAAAGCTTCCATCTGGAAGTGACATGTTTTACTTCCCACATTTCATTGTCCAAAGTGAGTTACTAGGCCATGATTCCATTTCAAGGAGGTCGGAAAGGGCAGTCCTGCCATGTGTCTAGAGGGAGAGAAGAATCGTAATGTTTATGGTAGAGCCAGGACTGGGATCTGGGCAGTTGGGCTACAGATGCTGTGCCAGTGGCTAGAACTGTCAGAAAACACATGGCAAGGATCCTGAGGCAAATGTTGTCCAGAACAGTTTTGTCACTTAGGTTGCAGAGGAAATGTCACTGAAAGAAATTAAGTAGGCCAGGCACGGTGGCTCACGCCTATAATCCCAGCACTTTGGGAGGCTGAGGTGGGTGGATCACCTGAGGTCAGGAGTTTGACAGCAGCCTGGCCAACATGGTGAAACCCTGTCTCTTCTAAAAACACAAAAAGTAGCCAGTCCTGGTGGTGCACACCTGTAATCCCAGCTACTCAGGAGGCTGAGGCTTGAACTGGGGAGGCGGAGGTTGCAGTGAGCCAAGATTGCACCGTTGCACTCCAGCTTGGGCAACAAGAGCAAAACTATGTCTCAAAAAAAAAAGAAAAGAAGGAAATTAAGTAAAATCCCTTTATAATATATGCTCATTGCTGATGTAATGATTAATATGGCATATTATTATATGAGAAGCAATGTAGCATAACACGGAAGAATGTGGATTGAGTTATTGAGTTAGGCTGCTTGGGCTGAAATGCCAGCTCTGTCACAGATTGCCTGTGTGACCCTGGGCAAGTTACTTAACCGTTCTGTGCTTCAGTTGGCTCATATTTAAATGGAAATAATAATAGTACCTATCTTACAGAGTTATCATATCATGGAAGGGACTTAAAAATTGTGTGCATGTCACTATAAAACACTAATATAGTAAATGTTGAATGAGTATTAGCTATTTTTTATTATGAATTTTGTCATGCCAGAGAGTAAATGACATTGCTAAAAACTTAACCATAAACAAAATACTTTGATGACGAGTTTAGTCTGTAAGGATATCACTGTGTTGTTATGTAAGCTAGATGATACTTGGGTACTGTTTAGTGTTTAAAATTTCCATTTGTATTCATTCTTGTTTTGCACAGTAGGATTATAGGAATTCTATTTTAAGAATATCAACATACAGGAATTTGTTGGTTTAGTTATTCAATATATTTGTACCTAGCAAACCCAATATATCAAAATCTAGATGTGGGAAACTTAAATTAGAAGTTGATTTTAAAAAAACCCTCTAAAACAGTGATTCTCAATGGGGGTATGAGAGTGATCTTGCCTCTTAAGGGACATTTGGTAATGTCTGGTGACATTTTGTCATGGGGTGCAGGGGAGGGGGTTGCTACTGGCATCTCGTGGGTAGAAGCCAGAAATGCTGTGCGTCCTACCATGCACAGGACAGCCACGCTCCCCAACAAACAACTATCAGGCCCAAATGTCAGTAGTGCCAAGACTGAGAAACCCCGACTTAGAAATAGAAATCAATTTACCGTGAATTGTTTTTAGTAGAAAAGATCCCTTAGAGTACAAAAAAATACAGGTTGATGCTTGCAGTAAATATCATTGTAGTGATCTATTGGAAATGGTATGAGGGTGTTTCCAAACAATGCCAGGCAGTACTTTCTACCAAAGCTGTGCTGTGAGGTATAGCAAAGTCTATTAAATGGCAAGTCCAGTGTTAGAAGTTTGTTAATTAATTCTCACCCATGAAAGCAGCTATTAGGATATCATTGTTTAGATGTAAATGTTCTTCACCCAAACGAACTTCACCAAAATGTTCTTAAGTTGCTATGGCAGTATATTTGAGGAGTTATGTTTTAATTTGCTTCAGGGGAGAACTGGAAGACCATGGTATTTCGTCTGAGATCATATTCTAAATCAGGGTTTCCCAACCTCACACTCTTGACATTTTAGACTGAATAATTCTTTTTGGGGGGTGGGGAGGGTGTTTCTTTTGTGCATTCTAGGATACTTAACAGCATACCTGGTATCTACCCACTAGATGCCAGTGGTACATTCCTTCTGGACTCCCGATTAATTATCCCAAGTGGGACAATTTAAAAAAAAATTGACATTGTCACACGTTCCTGGCAGGTGGGGATGAGCAAAATTGCCCCCAGTGGAGATCCACTGTTCTAGAATAATTTGTATGAGGACACTGCTTTCTCAGGGGTGTTCCGGTGGTCTAAACAGAGACTGAGAGTTAACAGAGTGACATCAGAAAGGAAAAACAACAACAAAAAATCAGGAGTGCTTTTCAGCTGTGAATCAGAATGGCAGTTGGAGGGTATCTCAGAATACAGGATGGGGAAGCAGATGGTAACTAACAGGGACAGAAAATGGTTTATAGCTGCTCTGAGGCAGGGGCGGAAATAGAGAAATCGTGGGGGAAGGAAGACCCTCAGACTTACCTGAAAGCTAGATTTTCAATTACGTCTCTTAATGAAATGTCAGCTTGTAAGGGCAGAGCTGACAAGTATGAAAGAGTAATGGTTCTGTGAAATAATAGGGTAGAGGGAGGTGGTTTGCTGATTAAGTTGCTCATTACCTGGAGGCAATGAAGAAAATCAGTCAATGAATTATTGCAGTCAAATATAACTTCCATTTTTTCAGAAGCCAAACAACCAAAGCCATCTAAGACAACCACATTTGTTTTTTATGACTTACAATGACAATTCGTGTTTATCAATGAGTTAAATGAAGTAAAGTGTAATGCAATGAGTTAATAGATATAAAACACTTTGAAAAGTACCTGTCCTGTGATAAGCCTTCAATAAACATTAGTTATCAATAGCTGTTGAAATGATGACTATGAATAATCATACTCAATATAGTTTTAGTTTTAAATTATTTTATTCTAATTCTTTGAAATTTGGTAATTATTTTATGATATATATGCTACTGTACATGTTGACTTCCAGATAACCGGAATGTTAAATTAAGCAGAATATCCCATTTACCAACTGTTCTGAGTAAACCACGGTTTTTTTTTTTTTTTTTTTTTTTTTGAGATGGAGTCTTGCTCTGTTGCCCAGGCTGGAGTGCAGTGGCATGACCTTGGCTCACTGCAACCTCTGCCTCCTGGGTTCAAGTGATTCCCCTCCCTCAGCCCCCTGAGTAGCTGGAATTAGAGGTGCCTGCCACCACGCCTGGCTGATTTTTGTATTTTTAGTAGAGATGGGGTTTTGCCACGTTGGCCAGGCTGGTCTTGAACTCCTAACCTTAGGTGATCTGCCTGCCTCGGCCTCCCAAAGTTCTGGGATTACAGGTGTGAGCCACTGCGCTTGGCCCAGTTTACCATTAATATAATCTGCTGCATACGAAGGCTTGATATTTACAACCAGGCAGTTCACACTACCGATCAGTAGACTAGTAGATTATATGTTCAGAGTTTAGGGTTTAAACTGAAGTCTTGCTTATTTATTTGATGGGCATGAACCTTATTTCTGGCTTTGAAGTGTATCACTGAAGAGGGGTAAAAACATATCTAGTAGCAGCCATTTTTCAGGATTAAAGTACAGTTTATCAAAATTTACCCAATCAACTCCCATTTTATTTAGCTATGATAAATGTTCCATGCTCTTACAGCCAGAAAGTATCTGATTATTAACTCAAGTAAACTTGAATTCATTTGCTGCAGCCAAACTGCTGCTCTGGGATAGGATGTGACCAAAGTTTGTACTTTATTTTAACCTCTAGGGATTGGAGAGAAAGGACCAGTGGGATGATGAGAAGTCTTGGATTCTGGAGGCCATTTTAGCCATTTATTCATTATTATGTGACTTTGGGCAAGTCTTGTGATCTTTTTGAAGTTCCGTTTCATATCCATTACAAATGAATAACAGTTGTCACGCCACACAGAGTTATGGTAACAGTGAACTAATTTCGAAGACACTGTGAAAAACACAAAGCTCACTGACTTGGTCTACCTGTTTCTAGTTTCTGCTTCCTCCATTTCATTCTTCACATTGCTATGGCGGTCTTTCCCAAATGTGGATTTGAACATCATTCCCTTTTAAAATTCCTTAACAATAGTCCAAAAATTTTGGCACTGTCTCCAAGAGCCTGTTGGGTCTGATATCCTTTCTTGCCTCACAGGTGCTTACTAGCGCTCGTACTGGCCACACTGGCCATCCAGTGTTTAAAATGCTCTAAGCCAGTTCCTGTATGCCTGGCTTTGCAAACTCTCCTGTCCTGCAGTACCTGTCTACCTAACCAGAAACCTGGCCTGGTGCTCTCTCCCTTCAGTGGAGGCCGTAAGGTCTTCCTTTTTGCTAATACTATGTCTGGAATATGTCTCCATTAGAGGAAAAAATTTTAAACTGTTGAAATACTTTTCCCCTTCTTCTCCTTCTAGAATAACAGGTTTTTAAAGACAGGACCTGATACTTATATATCCTTGAATGTCTAATGTCAAACAGTACCTGACATGTAGTAGGTATTTGATGACTATTAAGTGAATGAGTCAGTAATTGAAAACAGATGGTTCACACAGAAGTAGAAAGAGGCGTTAGTTGTCCAGGTGATTTGGAAGGGAGCAGTAATGCATAGTGGGTGGTTATGTTGGATGGAGGAGTGAGTATTCTATAGCAGCTTTGAGCAAAAACTAATCTTAGTTATTTAGAATCTTGAGTGTAGGAGAAATTTATTTTCCTTTTTATTTATTTATTAAAAAAAAAAATTTTTTTTTTGAGACGGAGTCTCGCTGTGTCACCCAGACAGGAGAGCAGTGGTGCAATCTCGGCTCACTGCAACCTCTGCCTCCTGGATTCAAGCGATTCTCCAGCCTCAGCCTCCTGAGTAGCTGGGATTACAGCCATGCGCCATGACGTCTGGCTAATTTTTGTATTTTTAGTAGAGACTGGGTTTCACCATATTGGTCAGGCTGGTCTCGAACTCCTGACCTCGTGATCTGCCTGCCTTGGCCCCCCAAAGTGCTGGGATTACAGGCATGAGCCACCACACCCAACTTATTTTCCTTTTTATTTATGAGTAACAAATTTGGGATAACAAACATGACCAGAAAAAGTATAGTAAGAACAACAATAATGTAATAATGGGCCACATTTGTGGAATGCTTATGTACCAGTACTATTCTAAGTGCCTTGTATACTTTAACCCAGTTAATTCTCACAACAACCCCATGAGGTAAGTATTACGACCACCTTCTATTTACAGATGAAGAAACTTGGGCTCTGGGAAGGTAAGTAGCCTTCCTATGCCCTAGCACCGGTGGCCTTTTCGTTACATTTTAGCACCTCACAGGAGTGGACCAAGACACTGTTTTTCAACCTTTTGAGCCTATTGTTTATACTTGAGGGCTATAAACTTAAAAAATAATTGTCATTTTAATAGAATTTTTTAGAGGGGGACTCAGTAATTTTTTTTTTTTTTTTTTTTTGAGGTGGTTTCTCACTCTGTCATCTACGCTGGAGTGCAATGGCACGATCTCAGCTCACTGCAACCTCTGCCTCCTGGGTTCAAATGATTCTCCTTCAGCTTCCTGAGTAGCTGGGACTACAGGTGTGTGCCACCACGCCCAGCTAATTTGTGTATTTTTAGTAGAGATGGAGTTTCACCATGTTGGCCAGGCTGGTCTTGAACTCCTGACCTCAGGTGATCTGCCCATCTTGGCCTCCCAAAGTGATGGGAATACAGGTGTGAGTCACTGCGCCCACGTGGAATCAGTGATATTTGAATAATTGATACTTAATATTTTTAGCTTTGAGATTTTTTATTTTAGATTGAAATATTTCTATTTTTTATAGAAAAACAAATGAAAACTAAAGGAAATTTCCCATCTCTTTAGAATTAACCTTAATTCCTTTTAATTGAGTATTTATTACTCTGTATGAAGGAAAAAACATTTTGAAATGCTTTTCATAAATCTGTCTCTTGCTTATGTGTAGTGGATGGGGCATCCACGGCTCTATTTGAGGGTCAGTATTTTGAATCAGATACATTTGGATTCTTTATAAACATGGGTAGGTTCATTTAGCTGTGCACCATTTAAAGTCATATTGAATTAAACATTGTTTTTTATTTTATTTTTATTTTTGAGACAGAGTCTCATTTAGTGGCCCAGGCTGGAGCAGCGTGATCTTGGCTCACTGCAGCCTCCGCCCCTGGGTTCAAGCAGTCTCCTGCCTCGGCCTCCCGAGTAGCTGGGATTACAGGCATGCACCACCACGCCTGGCTAATTTTTGTATTTATAGTAGAGACTGGGTTTCACCATGTTGACCAGGCTAGTCTCGAACTCCTGACCTCAAGTGATCCACCCGTCTCCACCTCCTAAAGTGTTGGGATTACAGGCATGAGCCACCTCGCCTGGCCAAGCATTGTTTTTTAAAGGACCCACTCATGTAAATACAATTAGAGACAGCAGGAGCCTTTTCATATTTGTGTTGTTTCAAGTAGATTTTAATTGTAGTTGCAATTTGGCATTGATTTGACATTTGATATTTGAAATGCCTTTCATCCGTCGTATACTCTCAGGAGCATAAAGTGGGGCTGGTTTTGTTCCCAGTTGTGATGAGTAAGCTGTGGGGCTTACTCATGAGTAATACTCTGTGGAGATATGCTCTACATTAGTATTCACTTCTCACTTTCTTGCCTCAGCCCAGGTTATTTATAGGGATGTTAGGAAAACGTTCTGAAAACAGTGATGTTAAACAAAGTTAGAGGACTTTTAACACTTAGTATGCATTGTGACCCTCTAAAAGAGAGGCATGGTATACGTCCTTTTCCAAATGTATGTGGCCACCGAATAGGTTTTTTTTTTGGGTGGGGGGGTGGTATACCAATTTATGTTTCCAGGTGTTCTAAGGAACACAATTTGGGACACAAAAAAAAAGACATCATGTGTTGTACAATAAAGTATTATATTTAGATTGCTGTTTTGAAGAGTCAGAAAATTCTTCCTCTGATTGTTATTAAAGAAGGTGACCTACAAAAGTATTGGAGAATTGGGTTAAGTTTGACAAAAGAACTGTTTTTAATTAAATTCAAATGTTAATTATTCTAGGTAAGTCTCAATAAAAAAGGAATTATAAAGATGAGTTCAGTTTTCCACAAGCCACTGCACTCCAGCCTGGGCCGCAGAACAAGATCCTGTCTCAAAACAGAAAACAAAAAGCAAAACAAAACTCTTAAGTATGATTATATTACGTATCAAACCCTGTAAACTAAAAGAGCTCTTTCCTGGTGAGACTGTCATGCCTTTTTTTAAAAAAATAAATCAGGTTAAGCTGTTTTCAGGTTTGCACTCTTGGAACCATCTGGAATTTGTTTGTTTGTTTGTTTGTTTTTCGAAGAACAGAATTTTTTTTGTTTTTTTAAAGTAAAATTCTAACATTACAAAATTATAGGAGACACTTGTGGAAGTATTCATTAGAATTAGTCTAGAATTATCAAATTAGGGCAGGGAAATCTAAAAAACTTTTGGGTATGGGTGTGGTATATGTCTGTGAGTCTGTATGAAAAATAAAATAGAAAGTGTACTGATGGATGATTCCATGCTGCAGTAGGCAGACTAATGTGTCATTCCCTTTCCCTCCCCTCAAGATGTTTACATCCTAATCCCCAGAGCCGTGTGTTATTACATGGCAAAGAGTTAAGGTTGCTAATCAGCTGACCTGGAGAGGAGATGATGATCCTGGGTTATTTGGATGAGTCCAGTGTAATCACTGGGGCTTTTAGAAGTGGAATAGCGAGGCAGAAGACAAGGTCCGAGTGATGTTATGTGATGAGGAACTCAACCTCCTGTTGAAGATGGAGGAAGGGGCCCCAAGGCAAGTGATGCAGGCAGCCTCTGGAAGCTGGAAAAGGCAAGAAAACAGATTTTTCCCCTAGAACCTCCAGAAAAAAAACACAGCGCTGCCAACACCTTGATTTTAGCTCAGAGAGACCCATTTTGTACTCTGACCTCCAGAACTGCAAGATAACAAATTTGTGTTATCTTAAGCCATGAAGTTTGTGCTAATTTGTTACAGCAGCTGTGGGAAACACATGTCTACTGAAATGTGTTTAGATGGTCTACTTGTGTTTGAAGACTATCTGCCTGTGTAGGCAATATTTTCTAGTGCAGATTTTTAATTCTTGCAGAAGGTATACATTTAGAATATGTACTTAATATATATTCTATTCAATGATGGTCTGCTCACTGTTCCTGGAAACAGCTGAAAAAGTAGAATAGGGAGGTAACTACGTGAACAAAAATAGTAGTTAAAAATGCGTTATGTTGCTTTTATAGGAAATGAAATCCTTAATAAAATTCAGTTCAGGCATTTGGGATTCTGAATCACTTCATGACTGTGATTTGTAGAGTTCCCTTCATTCGCTCTTGTGACATTATTTTGAAAAATTTCTCTTCCTGAATTGAAAAATGCAATAAACTCTGTTCTCGTGTCCAGGGATGGTACATCTTCCTGTGGGAAATTCCACTGTCTATCCCGTAGCCCTTTGACATTCCTCTTAAAAGTAACTGGGTCTGGCTTCGATGGGCACTGTTCTATGGTTGTAGATAATGTGGTCTTTCTACCTGTAAGTTGTTTCCAGGCCACTGGTAGAGAAAGGCACACAGAGAGAGTAATTGTAGATCAGTATGGTAGTATAGTAAAATAAATAATGCATAGATGTTATGGAACACCCCAGGGATCCCAGCTACCCCTGCCAAATGTTGTTTCAGAATATCAAATGCTAATTCAGATTTTAAACATTCTATTGCTGTGGGCTCCATTACAAGTTCTAAAGCATAAATTCCAACTCTATGCCTGATACCTGTTAAGACAACTACATATTTTTGTAGTCCATGGATAGTACATGAATCACTTTGTCATGTACCTATCAGTGAAAGATGAAATATTTGGTGATAAATACAGCTTATTCAAGAGGAACATTTTTCAAATGCACATAAGAGAGAATAGTTGTTTTTCATTTGCCATTTCAAAATTTTTAGTGTTTAATTCAGAGTTTTTTGGAAATAGGTTATTGATTGATGTTATAGTCTAATGATTTTTGTTATTTCCCATTCTTATCATTTTCTAATTGGAATTAATTAAACTCTTGGTTCTTTCTTATGTGTTTTTTTTTCAAGGCAGGGTGTTGCTCTGTCACCCGGGCTGGAGTACAGTGGCATGATCACAGCTTACTGAAGCCTCAACCTCCTGGGCTCAAGCAATCCTCCTGCCTCAGCCTCCCGAGTATTTAGGACTAGAGATTTGTGCCCCGACGCCTGGCTAGTTTTTCACTTTTTATAGAGATGGGGTCTTGTTATGTTGACCAGGGTGGTCTCAAACTCTTGGCCCCAAGTGATCCTCCCACCTCAGCCTACCAAAGTGCTGGGATTACAGGCATAAGCCACTATGCCTGGCCTCTTATGTATTTTTAAAAGCAGTTAGGTGACTGAGGTAGTACAATTTAGATTTAGAATTAGGTGACTAATGCTAGGCTAACACATTCAATTCATCATCCCAATCACAGTTATTATAAGACTTTAGCTTCACTGACAGTTTTGGCATACTGTGTAAAATAGATTTACAAAGATAGGTTTTATTATCTACAATAGTTTCCTATAAAATTGATGGTGCACTGTGGCCAATTTTTAAAAAAGCTACTGACCTAAAGTCATTTGCTGCTGTTGTGTGCCTTTCTGTATCTCCCTTTCTAGGGGGGTAAGGAATGGTTAAATGAGATTAGCATGGGCTTTGATGATCTCATTAATTACTTAGTTTATGTATTCTGATCTTTCTTGCTCTTTTTTTTTTTTCTTTAAATCAGGCTCCCTCAAATTTTTCTTCATTATAACATTCCATGTATTTTGCTTTTCACTGCTGTGGAATGGTAGTGTTATGGTGACCAGGAAAACCTTGATATGTAGACACGACAACTGTGATGAAAAGCAGAATGCTTTTGATTTATGAATTTGCAACTGAATTATAAATGTCAAGTGACTGTGAAAGACAAACCAAGTGGGAGTTTAAATTAATTTCAGAAACAAAATATACTCTTTTATCTATAGCGTGATTTGCATTGTCTGGGGGGTTCTTCATTCACTTACCAAAGGTACTTATCCACCTACCTCTTTCATTCATATTAAGTGCACTAAACAAAAGAGACAAACTATGAGTCACAACATTTGGTTGTTCTGATGTCACGACATTAAGTAGAATAATGGCATTAGTCAGAATATTGTTTCTCCTAGAAGTGGTTATCAGAAGTGTGTTGCTATATATATAATAGCTTTATTCATTGTCTCTTCTGTTGTGTTTAAGGGGGCTGTCAGCAACATGGCAGCCACTGCTTGATCATCTTCCCTTATCTGCCAGAGGAACAGGTGTCTCTTCCTCTTTCTAAGGGTAACATGTCTCTGCTCATCTCTTCTGTTTTCTTGTCGTTGGTGGGTCATATCATCCTGCAACTTCAATCTCTCCACTGGATTCTGCTCTTTAAGCTCTGCAAGTTAACTATTTTTACTTTTAAGACACACACACTCACCCAACCTACCCTCAACTCTGCTACTCCTTCAAGCTACCATCACTTTTATCACTTTCCTTTTATAACCAATCCTTGAAAAATAGTGTAGGCTCATCCACATTTCCTCAGACTGACTCACTTCCTTTAACATTGCAGTCACCTTTCTGTCTTGATGAAACTGCAGTCTTGACAGTCTCCAGACTCTCTTAGTCACTAAATCCATTGGCCTTTTACCCAGTTTACCCTCCTTTACATCTGTGCTTTTAACCCTCTTGCACACAGCATGATTCTTGAAATGACTTCCCTTCCTCATGTCCCTAGCGTTCTATCTAAGGTGTTTTGTGAGGTCTGCCTTTTCTCTGGTGGTGATCCTCTTTCCGTCTCGTGACTTTAGGGGTCACCATCTTGCTGATAACTCCCAAACAATTGCCTCCAGCCCTCACTTGTGCTGGAGCTCTGGTTCCACAAATCCAGCTGACTTTTCCTACCTGTGAAGTTGGCCAGCATTCAAACCTAATATGTCTGAAGCCGAAGCAGGTCATACTACCTTCCTTTTCAAATCCTCTTCTCCTTTCATGATGCTTTGCTTTGGTCATGTCCCTGTCATCCCTCTGTTGCCCAGGGTTAAATCTCAGGGTCAGCTGGTCATTAACTGGCACTAACCTTGTCTTGGTAATACCTTTTGAATTCATCAATGCAGAGCTTTGCTCTCTTTACTCCCAGGCATGTGGTAATTGGTCTCTCTCTGTCTGAGCTGGTCTCCCTCTTTTTAGTCTCTCTTCTTTCCCAACTGCTGTTGGATTACTCTGCTTAAAGTATAAAACCCTTGGGCACCCTGTTACAGAATGAGACTCGATGTCCCTTAGGCTGGCTTTCTAGGCCCCCAGGGAATCTGGCCCCAATTTTCCATTCCAGCCTCATGTTTGACTTCCCCTCTTCAATACTCTGCTCTAGCTAGGTGAAGCCACATTAGGCAAATCCTGATGGCTCAGTCTTCAAGATCTCCCTCATCTTATTACATCTGAGCACCTACCCAAGCCAAGCTGTCATAATCTCCTGCATTACTGCAGTAGTCTTGTTCCTGGTTACCCCTGCAGCTACTGTTATCCCCTGGAGCCAGTTTTCCATATAGTAGACAGAGACATTTTTTAAAGATAGAAATTAGAGGTCGGTGGTGGTGGTTCACGCCTGTAATCCCAGCACTTTGGGAGGCCGAGGCAGGCAGATCACCTGAGGTCAGGAGTTCGAGACCAGCCTGGCCAACATGGCAAAACCCCGTCTCTACTAAAAATACAAAAATTAGCCAGGCATGGTGGCGCGAGCCTGTAATCCCAGCTACTTGGGAGGCTAAGGCAGGAGAATCACTTGAACCCAGGAGGTGGAGGTTGCAGTGAGCCAAGATCGCACCATTGCACTCCAGCCTGGACCACAGAGCAAGACTCCATTTCAAAAAAAAAAAAAATAGGAAATTAGATCATGGCCTTCTAGAAATAGGCAATATGCCATTTCCTCTGTTTATAGCTCTCTACTGGCTTCTTCCTTACACTTAGAACAAAATCATATTTATGACCACAAGGCCATACAGGATCTGTCTCAGTGGTTCTCAGTGGGATGTACTGCCTGCTTCCTGTCCCTCATAGGAGTGTTTAGAAATTAGTGGAGCTTCTAAATTGTTACAAGGACAGTACTGTTGGCATTTAGTGCCACAAGGGCCATGATGCTAAATACAACAAGACCACAGTATTCTGCCCCAAATGTCAATGGTGCCTTTAAGGAGAAACATTCATTCTTACCTGTACTTATCTTTCCAGCAACATCTCTTACCTCTTTGATTCACGTATTTTCTTCCAGCTACACTGGCCTTCTAGCTGTTCTTAAATATGCCCAACTGTTCTGCCCCAGGGTTTTTGCCTGTGCTTTTTTGGCTCCCTTCCTTAGGATCACCTCTTCCACACTTGAATCCAGTCTCTGCTCACATATCACATTCTTATTGATTACCTATCTCCACCCACTGTGCTCTTACCCTGGTTTATTTTTATTTGCGCTTATCACAACCTGAAATTAACTTCTATAATTATTTGTTGATATGCTTGCCCATCACCCCATTAGAAAGTAAGCTCCTTTAGATATTTGAACATGGAAAGAAGGACATAATTTTTAAAAAAGAAAGTAAGCTCCAAGCAATCAGTGACTGTCTGTCTTATTCATGGTGTGTCGTGGTGTATCCCCCACATCTGGGACCATATGTTCAGTAAACATTCGTTGTCTGAATGAGTGAGCGGATGTCTCTTCCCTGCCTGCCTCATGCTCTGGTTTCCCTCTCTTTTCTTAACTATCCATAGTGTACTTTATTTGCATCTCTAATTCCTACCCATCCTTTTAGGGCCATTTTAGCCACCACCCCTTTCACATTGCCTTCTCTGATCTTGCCAGTGCCTCAGAACTCTCATAGAATGTGATGTGTATTTCTTATTATATGTGCTGCATTTTGTGGAGAGGTGTGGTGGCTTATATTTCTATCTTCCCTTCTGATCCATGCTTAGTGGCCATTGCATGTTACTATCCCTACATGTTGAGTGCAGCACCTTGCACTTGATGAGGGTCTGTTACCTGTCAATGGAATGAATAGATGTTCTTTTATATCTTCCTGGCAGAAAGGCCCCAGGAAGGTCCAGGGTCAGTGCCTTAAAGTGAGTCTGCGTGTTGGAGGACTGATGCCACTTGGGAAGGCAGAGGAAGTTGGAGGCAATGTCACATGTGTTTCCCGCCTTGTGAAGAGCTGCAGCTGGGCAAACCACGAGGGGTGCCACATGGTGCCTCATAAAAATCCATGCGAGGACAGGGGTGCTGTCCACACAGGCATTTATAGCCGCCCATTTGGCTTCATAGACAGCTGAGAACTTGCCATTTTAGAACTGAGTTTTCTTAGCTGAACTCATGTATTGGAAGTGTCGTTGGGAGCAGGAAGGAATAAACATGTTCCATTAAAGTTAAAGTGTCACAAAATAGAGAGTTGTTAACATAAGTTCTTTCTCAGTTTTAGTTGTAAAATGCATTTTAGAAGGTGAAAGATTAACAAGGGAAGCAATAAACTGACTGAAATTTGTCCTCAGATTACTATTCCACTTTTATTGAAGGAGACTTTGTTATTATTTTGTTACAGTATTTATCTTAACAATGTTATTAATTTGGAATGAAATTCTATTATCTTAAATTCCTCTTAGGAAGTTGTCAAAATATACAGAACAGTTAATGATTTATATATATATATAAATATGTATAAAAATATATATATAAAATACATATATATGTATTTTTTAGACCGAGTCTCAGCTCTGTCACCCAGGCTGGAGTGTAGTGGTGCAATCTCAGTTCACTGCAACCTCCACCTCCCAGGTTCAAGCAGTTCTCCTGCGTCAGCCTCCCAAGTAGCTGTGACTACAGGTGTCTGCTACCATGCCTGGCTAATTTTTTGTATTTTTAGTAGAGACGGGGTTTCACCATGTTGGCCAGGCTGATCTCCAACTCCCGATCTCAAGTGATCTACCTGCCTCGGCCTCCCAAAGTGCTAGGATTACAGGCGTAAGCCACCATGACCAGCCTATTGATTTATAATTTAAGAGCATATTATAATTGTCACATTGCTGATTTTCTATTGCAGTATCTTTGCTTTGAGCAGAAGATAAGCCTACATTTAAGAAAACCCAAAAAGGTGGTTTGAATGTATATTATTATTACATAGTAGACACCTACACTTGATAATGTATAGATGTTCAAGGAAAAACTATTAGTAGTGTTTTTTTGGGATGGATGAGGGGAACGAAGACTTACTTTGAGAAGTTTGTATTACATAGTCTATTATTACTTTAGTCTATCCAGTTAAGCAAAAAGGTTATACTTTAGCTTAGCAGTTCACTGTTTGTACTGTGTAACGATTTTGGATCTTTACATAGCCTGCTAATAAAAGGCTATCAGAGTTGTAGAATTCAGATATTACGTAAGTGATGAATTTTAAAATTCAGGGCAAATTTTATGGGGTAAAAGATGAAGTGTTTTGTCATCTAGGATTTAGCAGTTAACTTTTTTTTATTATCAGACATAAAATATGTTGCCTTTATTTTATAGATTACAAGGTATGTTATAAGGAGCATAGTGTTTATATGTTAAAATGAAGTGCTATCATAAAGAACGTTTTAGCCTAATGCATGTCTTTGATTGAACTTTCTTTTCCAATGTTAATGTTTTCAAACTTTTCTCGGAACTGAGTTGTTGGTGTAACTGATTATGGTATATCTTATGTTATACACTATTTTTCTTTCATAGGGATCAGACCCAGCAAGTTGAGTAATTTTAAGAGTTTTATTTTTGTGGAAACTAGGTCTTAAAAGTACTTCCAACCCCATGTCATCTGGAAGAGGACTCAGCTGGTTGATCGTCTATCACAGTTTGTTGGAGAGACCTATTTTTTTTTTACATTCAGATGCTTCTCAGAGTTCTGTTTATAAACATTGTCAGGAGCAGAGAGTGTTAGGGATCTTCCACTTGAAAGAAAAATGACAAAAAGAATAAAATCACTACTTGACTTGCCTGCGGTTTTGTGTTCAGCCTTTCGTCTTAATGCTATTGAGGATTACTCTTGCTCACTAGAGAGCACAGAATGATGTTGTGTCAGCAAATCGAAAACAGTATAAAATGCTATGTGCGCCTCTCATTTCTGATTAACTACTTGAGACCTTTTCACATTAAAGTTTAGTTGTGTTCAACTCTTTCGACACGAGAGTTCAAAGACCATGTACTTTTAACTAAACCAGAATTGTTTGTCTGCTAAACTTCTGCCTTGAAGGCAAATTTAACCTGTGCCTGATCTTTAATCTCATTAATTTTAACAAAAATCATGACCTCTTCAATGACTTTGTTTTTGGAAATTATAAATACTAACCTAATACAATGTATGAATTTTTAGATTTTTACTCCGGATTGCATTTCCATGTAATTTCACATTCCTGTGTACATTACACACCAGTGAATAGTAACAGATTGTTAGTATGTTCAAGCTTTGTGTTGCATGGTGGTAACTATAGAGTTTGCGGGTCAGTTGTTTGACAGAGGAATCCAGTACAGTGAAAGCTAATCCCATTGGAGCTGGGTGCCCAGGTGCCCAGACTGCTGGAAGTGGGGCAGGATTGGGAATTGCTAAAATCTCTCCGAAGGCCAGGCAGGGGTTGCTCTCATGGAAGAAAGCAAGTGTTCCCCACCCACAACACCTTCCCCACTCCCTAGTCCACACTTGCCAAAATATGCACTCTAAATGTACTAGAAAAAGGAAAATTTATCCTGTGGAGGAGAGGATCAAACAGAAGTTCATTCGGTTCTTTCATTTTTGACCGAGGAAAGCTAGCGTGAATGTTTAATCACAGAACTTGCGAAGGAACATGTATTTAAAATGAAATTTATTCTTCTTCAATCTTCATGTGAAGTGTCAGCTAGCTGTGGACACCACTTGACATTTTTTTTCCAGTTATGATTAAAAGAAGTTCATAGAAAAGAAGGAAATACATGTGAATTTAAATTTCATTATTAAAGCAGTCAAAATTATGCACATTTTATAACAAAACTATTCCTTGCATTAGTTACTCTTTTCTAAGTTACCTATAGACAATGAAAAATGAGGCATGTTGGTAGACAGATGATTCACTTTGACTGATTGGAAACAATTTTGGTATTTCTTTGCAGCAAAACCCACATTTCTGCTTTCTCTTTTCTTTTTTTCTCTCTTCTGTCTTTCCTGTAATTTAGAGTACCACACGCTAGTTTGTACTGATCGCCTGGAAGTTGATTGCTAATAACAAACTGTCTATCCAAGTATCATTTTAGTCATTTGAGACAAAATAAAAATCTAGGAATAAAAAGCATGACATTTAAGTGAATAACGATTGCATACAGGGCGACATGTAAATAATTGATTTTCTAATAATTAATGAGAGAAAGTAGTAGAGGGATAAAAATGAAGAAGTATTCTCACCTACAAAATTTATAAACCCCTGGTTTGAACAGCAAGAATGCATGAATACAGTTCTTGAGTTTGAGTTCTTTGAGTAATTAGAGCAGCTGTCTACTGGCCCTCTGCCTGCAAATAGGCCTGAAGGAAATACAAAACAGTAGACAAGGAAGAACAAACACAAGCTGCTCCTTATACACCATCCCTCAAATATTTGGTTAGAGATCTCAGAGGAGAGTACATTAGTTTTGGGGGTTTTTGGTTTTTTTTGTAAGCGAATAATCTCTGATAGCTTTGAAATAGTTTCTTTTAGGAGGAAAAACCTGAAAATAAAGTAATGACTCCTTTATTGGAAGTAAGGTGTTGTCATGGGTGAATATATACCTAACTGGAGTTTGTTACGCCAAATACCAGAGCCCTTTTTAAATTTCTGTAATTTTTATTAAATACTTTCTTGAATACATCAAGTATTCCTTATATTGATTGAACAGAAACGATTTGGCATAAATTAACCCTCTCCTGATGATTTAGGGTTGCCAGTATGTATACTCATTATTGCACCTTGTCTTAATACAGACTCTGGGGTTTTCTCTGTCTTCTGTAAAGGTCAGTTGTTCCTTCTTCCACTGTTCTTATGCTTGCGTCTATCAGCTCCTCATTGTAATTTTTTTGTGAGTTGGGAAATCAGATAGTTAAGCTTACTGTGAATTCTCTGTTATGTAAGAAAGGGTTATTAAGGAGTTTGAGTCTGGTAACTTTTTGGGAAGTTGTATTTGGAGGGAGGAATCATGATTCTTTGCATATTTTAGAGAGCAAAGTCTGTTAAGAAGTCTGACTGCTAAATACTGTAAATTATTTATTGAATATATTGAAGGTACCTTGAATGAATCATTGACTCCTAATTACTTAAAGCAAAATTTTACTCCTGGATTACTTTTACTTAACATTTTTTATTCTTAAATGCTTCTTTCCATTAATGAATCAGTTAATTCATGTATTTATTGAGTATGATGCTACCTAGTTTGCATACCTGTATATGTATTTCAGCACTAGCTTTCACCAGCTATAAAAAGGCAGTAATGCTGCTCTAATTCTTAAATTAGTCTTTGGCTGTATCTGCATTTTAGATTGAGATGGTGGTGTTCACTTTTGGTCCCTGGTCTGCAGCTGCCCTTCCCTGTGAGTGACTGAATCTTATCCCCAGGCTCTCCTGGCTCCAGGGAAAGGGTAAAAGGAGTTTTTGCACCAGGCCAGTGTTTTGCTTTTGTTTTGGGGGCAAATATATATATACTATATATAAAATATATAATATATTTATATTATATATATTATATAACATGTATTATATTCTATATTCTATAATATATATTTATATTCTATATTCTATATTCTATAATATATATATTCTATATTCTATATATTATATAATATATATTTATATTCTATATTCTATAATCTGTATTCTATATTCTATATTCTATATTTATATTATATATTATATATTATATATTTATATTCTATATTATATATAAACATATTCTATATTATAGACAGAATATGTTTATATTATATTATATATTATATTATATTTACATATATTACACATATCATTAACATATATTGATATATGTATAATCAATATATAATAATATATATTACACACTTGCATACATATACATTTAAGATAAAAATGACTATATCAAACTCAGTTCTGATGCAAACCCTGGCTACTGCTTATTCCCCATAGGGATAATAGCATTCACATTTAAATTAATTTCTTGCTGGAAGTTCAATCTAAAAGAATATTATTTGTGTTGTGATGATTTGGAAAACCATAGGAATGTTCTCAGGGAAATTGAAGAGACCCAGTGGCTTAGATCAATGAAGCTGGAAAACATTTTTTCCCTCATTAAACTTTTTTTTGTTTTTTGGTAAAATGTGCATAAGACTTAACATTTTAAAGTATACGGTTCTGTGGCATTAAGTACATTCACATTGTTGAGCGACCATCACTAGCCAGAATCCATCTATAGAGTTTTTTTAGCTTCCCCAGCTAAAACTCTGTATCCATTAAACAGTAACTCCCTATTCCCTTCTCCCAGGCCAATGTTTTATTCCTCATATCTGATGCTCAGCTAGCCAGGACCTTGTAGTCCTTTGCCTTATTCCTTTGTCCAGAACCCCTGGTTTAGTAACTTGTCTTGTACACCTTTCAGGTTTAGGCTTTTCTTTCTGTCTCTAGTACTTCCTATTCTTTCAGTTACCCGAGTTCCAGACTCGTGTCCTGGGCCCTTTTGCCAACTGACTTTCCTTGATTTTGTCTCCCGTTACCTGCCTTGATTTCCTGTTTCTCTGACCTGGTGACACACATTTCTGATGGTGACAGCTTTGTTGGACCAGTTCTCTGTTGCCCAGTGACAAGCTTTGGTGTTCTGCTCGTTGGCTTCTAGATTTCTTCCCAGGTCCGTCCGCTCTTCCCACAATTGCCTTTACCTCTGGGTCAGGTCTAGTGCTAGTCCTGTCAAGCCAACCCAGCTCAGGGTGTTGAACCAAGCCTTGTCTGACTATATAAGAAATAGCAAGAAAATTTTAAATTTCAAACTCACTTTTTTTTTTTTTTTTTTGAGACAGGGTCTCACTTTGTCACCCAGCTGGAGTGCAATAGCATGGTCTTGGCTCACTGAAGCCTCAACCTCCTGGGCTCAAGCGATCTTCTCACCTCAGCTCCCCAAGTAGCTGGGACTACAGACATGTACCACCACACCTGGCTGGTTTTTTTTTTTTTTTTTGTAATTTTTGTAGAGATGGGGTTTCGCCATGTTGCTCAGGCTGGTCTCAAACTCCTGAGCTCAAGTGATCCGCCTGCCTCGGCCTCCCAAAGTGCTAGGATTAAAGGCATGAGCCACTGCGCCTAGCCCAAACTCACTTTTTAAAAATGGAAGACCATGGGAAGTGTACTGCATGAGGTACTAGATAGTATTTTGCTTTATTATAAGTTATAATGTTGAAAAATGAAATATCAAATTGTCAAAAATATAAATAGAAGGAAAAATACTGAAGACAATTAACTAGCTTTCTAAAAATTATTTTTGAATTAGTGATTTTTGAGTGAGATGGGGGTCTCACTTCATCACCTAGGCTGGTCTCAAACCACTGGGCTCAACTGATTTTTCCACCTCAGCTTCCCATAGTTCTCGGACTATAGAGGTGAGCAACCATTCCTGGCGGAGAAAGCATTTCTTATTTCTGAACAGACATTTATGTGCTCCATGGTAGTAAATGCATAGATTTTATTTATCCTCACAACAACAATAAAAGGAGCAAGAACAGTTATGGAAAATTTTAGCCAGAAAATATATCTCAAAATCTTCTAGAAAAAAATTAAAAATAGCTGAATATCTTTAATTTAGGTCTCATGAAGACAAATAATGAAAATTTTTAAATGCTTAAACTTCATAATTTACAATTATAATTTCTAAAACATTATAATTTCCAATTTTTTCGAAGCTTTTTCAGAATATAGACTTTTATTTTTATTTCTTTATTTCTTTTTTTCCAAATGTGTTATAACAAACTAAGAATATGGACTTCTAAAGATTCAATAGTAATATTTTGCCTGCCTTAAACTACTGATACAAATATAGCTAACATATATCACAGATACTACATTACCTGACTATTAGGCTGGGCATGGTGGCTCATGCCTATAATCCCACCACTTTGGGAGGCCAAGGTGGGCAGATCTCTTGAGCTCAGGAGTTCAAGACCAGCCTGGGCAACAGGACAAAACCTTGTCTCTACAAAAAATACAAAAATTAACCAGGCATGGTGGTGTGTGCCAGTGGTCCCAGCCGCTTGGGGGGTTGAGGCAGCAGGATTGTTTGAGCTCAGGAGGTTGAGGCTGCAGTGAGCCATGATTGCACCACTGCACCCCAGCCTGTGCGATGAAGTGAGACCCTTCACGCTTCACACACACAGGAAGTTACAAACAAGCAAACGAAAAAAAAAACAAAAAATACATTACTTGACTATTAGAAAACAAATTAGTATCCCACATATTTATAGATAATAAATCTGTGAATTTGATGTTTCTGAGAGAAATATAATGAAACTTCAATAATAAACAAAACTAAGGGAAGTGAAGAGACAATCTGTATAGGTCTATATTTATTAAAGAGATTTAATCAGTAATTAATAGCCTTCCAAAACAAATCCCCAGGCCCAGATGTGATGAATTCTACCAAACACTGAAGGAAGAAATTATACCAACTCTCTACAGTCTCTTTCAGAAGATAGATGCAGAGGGAATACTTTGTAACTTACTGTATGAGGCCAGCATTAACCTAATACCAAAACCAGATAAAGACATTACAAGAAAAGGAACTGCAATATCTGTCATGAACATAGGTGTATAAGTCTTACCAAAATATTGTCAAATCAAATGCAACAATGTATAAAAGAATTATACACAATGACCAAATGGAATTTATCCTAAGTATGCAAGGCTGGTTCAGTATTGAAAAATCAATTAATGTAATCCATCACAGCAACAAACTAAAGAAGAAAAACTATATGGTCATACCAGTAGATGCAGAATTTGACCAAATTCAACACCCATTCTTGATAAAAACTGGCAGTAAACTAGCAATAGAGGGGACTACCTCAACTTGATAAGAAAAAAAATTTACCCCAAATCCTACAGATAACAACATACTTAATGGAGAAAAGAGAAGCTTTCTCATTAAGGTAAGGAACAAGACAAGGATGTCCCCTCTCACCACTTTTTTTCAACATTATACAGGAAGTCCTAGCTAATGTTATAAGACAAAGAAAAGAAAAGGTATAAAGATTGGGAAGGAAGAAATAAAAATGTCTGTTTACAGAGGACATGATAATATACGTAGAAAATCCAAAAGAATTGACAACAAAACTCCTGAAAGTTTTTTTAGTCCTTATTAGTCAATTAGCAAGGTTGAAGGATACAAGGTTAATACACAAAAGCCAATCACTTTTCTATATGGCATCAACAAATGAAACTAGAAGTTAAAAACACATTGCCATTTACATTAGCACCTAAAAGAATGAATACTTATATATATATACACATATATATGGACCTATATACTTATAGCTATAAAGCTAACAAAACATGCAATATCTGTGCAAGGAAAACTACAAAAATCCGATGAAAGAAATAAAAAACAAATGAGAGATAATCCACATTCATGGATAGGAAGGCTCAATATTGTCAAGATGTCAGTTTTTTTCCCAACTTGATCTATAGATTCAACACAATCCCAATCAAAATCCAAACAAGTTGTTTTGTGGATGTTTTAGTCCATTTTTGCATCACTATAAAGGAATATCTGAGGCTGGGTAATTTATAAAGAAAAAAAGGTTTAATTGGCTCACAGTCCTGCAGGCTGTACTGGAAGCATGGTGCCGGCATCTGCCTGGCTTCTGGTGAGGCCTCAGGGAGCTTTTACTCATGGCAGACAATGAAGTGGGAGCAGGTACCTCACATGGCAAGAGCAGAAGCAAGAGAGTGAGGGAGGAGGTGCCACACACTTTTAAACAGCCAGATCTCGTGAGAGCTCACTCATTATTGCAAGGACAGTACCAAGCTACTCATAAGAGGTGCGCCCCCATGACCCAAACACTTCCCTCGAGGCCCCACCTCCAACATTGAGGATTACATTTCAACATGAGATTTGGAGGGGACAGACATCCAAACTATATCAGTGTATATTGACAAACTGATTCTGAAGTTTATATGAAGAGGCAAAAGCCCCATAATAGCCTACACAATATTGAAGGAGAAAAACAAAGAGGACTCACACCATCCAACTTCAAGACTTACTGTAAAGCTACAGCAATCAAGCCAGTGTGGTGTTGGTGAAAGAAAGACAAACCAGATTAATGAACTAGATTAGAGAGCCCAGAAATAGACTCACATAAATATAGTCAAGTGACCTTTTGTCAAAGGAGCAAAAATAATAGAATGGAGAAAAGACAGTGTTTTCAACAAATGGCTGCTGGAGTAACTGGACATTCAAATGCAAACAATGAATCTAGAAACAGACGTTATACTCTTCACAAAAATTAATTCAAAATGGACCACAGATCTAAATGTAAAACACAAAACTATGAAACTCCAAGAAGAGAAAATCTGGATGAACTTAGATTTGGTGGTGACATTTTAGATGCATTCTAAAGGCACAGTATATGAAAGAAACATTCGATAAGCTGAAATTCATTAAAGTTAAAAACTCTGCTCTGCAAAAGACACTGTCAAGAGAATATGAGGCAAGTTACAGACTAGGAGAAAATATTTGTGAAAGATATATCTGATAAAAGACTGTTAGCTAAAATGTACAATGTACAAAGAACTGTTAAAACTCAATAGTAAGAAAATGAACCATTGGATTGAAAAATGGGCAAAAGACCTGAACAGACACTTCACCAAAGTAGATATACATATGGCATATGAAAAGATGCTTCACACACATGTCATTAGGGAATGCAGATTAAAGTGAGCTACCACCAGGTACCTATTAGAATGACAGAAATCCAGAACACTGACAACACTAAATGCTGGTGAGAATGTGGATCAACAGGAATTCTCATTCATTGCAGGTGGAAATGCAGAATGGTACAGTCACTTTGGAAGACAATTTGGCAGTCTCTTACAAAACGAAACATACTCTTACTATATGATCTAGTGCATTGCTTGGTGTTTGCCTAAGTTAGTCGAAAACTTATGTCTTTACAAAAACCTGCACATGGATATTTATAACAGCTTTACTCATAACTGCCAAAACTTGGAAGCAACCAAAATGTCCTTTGAACTATATTACATTCTGGAAAAAGCAAAACTATGAGACAGTAAAAAGATCAGTGGTTGCCAGAAGTTAAGGGGCAGGGAGAATGAGTAAGTTGAGCACGCAGGATTTTTTTGAACACTGAAATTATGCTGTATGGTTCTGTAATGGTGGATACATGTGATTAAACATTTTTCCAAAACCATGGCATAGAACACCAAGAGGGAACCCTGATATAAACTGTGGACTTAGGTTGATGATGCTTGTCAATGTAGGTTCACTGATTGTAAGAAATGTACCCCTTTGGTTAGGGATATTGATTGTAGGAGAGGCTGTGCTTGTCTGTGTTTAGGAGTATATGGGAACTCTCTGTACTTCCTGCTCAGTTTTGCTGTGAACCTAAAACTGCTGTAAAAGAGTCTTTTTAAAAGGGAAAAAAATGGAAGGAAATTATGAAAAGGGAAAAAACATATAGATACTTGCTTAAATATTAAAAAGTCCTGGGATTATTGTGTCATTCTCTTGTATCAAGCCAGAAAGTTTTACTTTTTCTTTGTAATTGATTAAATATTTCAGAGAATCTTTTAGAAATTAGAAAATAGTCCAGGCGCGGTGGCTCACGCCTGTAATCCTGGCATTTTGGGAGGCTGAGGCAGGCAGATCACCTGAGGTCGGGAGATTAAGACCAGCCTGACCAACATGGAGAAACCCTGTCTCTACTAAAAATACAAAATCAGCTGGGCATGGTGGCACATGCTTGTAATCCCAGCTACTTGGGAGGCTGAGGCAGGAGAATCGCTTGAACCCGGGAGGCGGGGGTTGCAGTGAGCTGATATCGTGCCATTGCACTCCAGCCTGGGCAATAAGAGCAAAACTCTGTCTCAAAAAAAAAAAAAAAAAAAAAAAAGAAAAGAAAAGAAAAAAAAATTAGAAAACAAGATCTTATAGAAACCTTTATTACTTCCAACATTATTAACAAAAAACTAAGTAATGGAATGGCAGGTGAAATGATTAGTTACATTTGGGAAAAAACATGTAACAGTGACTTTTGCAATTTTTCTGATATTTTCATTACATTGAAAAGCCCCCTCTCCAAGAGATGGTGTCAGGAGTGCAGTTATCCAGATGGTGACTTGGGATGGAGTCAGTGTGATGTGCCAGTTTGATTGGCATCTGACAGATTCTCTGACATATACTGAAATAAAACTTGAGAATATTTTCATCCATAAACCACACACATACATTCACACATCTGTATCTAGGCTTTAATTGTTCATAACACTTCCCCCCTTTTAATTATGAAAAATGCTCTAGAAGCACGCAGGCCTTCATTTGAATTGTACTAAGTACAGTTTAGACTCGTCCCTTATTCATAGTAGACAAGTGCTATTGCGATAACCTGCTTATTCTCAGTTCTCCAGGGAGAGGTGGTAGCTTGGCGTTCTTTGATTTAGTTTCTTCTTCTTTTTTTTTTTTTTTTTTTGAGACGGAGTCTCGCTCTGTTGCCCAGGCTGGAGTACAGTGGCCCAATCTCAGCTCACTACAAGCTCCGCCTCCCGGGTTCATGCCATTCTCCTGCCTCAGCCTCCCAAGTAGCTGGGGCTACAGGCGTCTGCCACCACGCCCAGCTAATTCTTTATATTTTTAGTAGAGACAGGGTTTCACTGTGTTAGCCAGGATGGTCTCGATCTCCTGAACTCATGATCTGCCCGCCTTGGCCTCCCAAAGTGCTGGGATTACAGGCATGAGCCACCGTGCTCAACACCGTGCCCGGCTAGTTTCTTCTTTGGAGAATGGGTCATAATACTAAATCCTGCTCACCAAAGGTCAGTAGAGATATTTTATGGGATTTTGGGTTTAAGGATATAAGTGTTTTGTCTTTTGTCCTTATTTGCATTGTTCTATAAAAATAAATATGTTTTGAGGAAGTGAGGTTTTTTGAGAGCATTAAAGCTGCATCACAAAAATTAAGTAATAATTATGCTAAATTATGCATGTGTTAAAAGTGAAACCTTAGACAAGCTAAATTGTGTAAAGAACAATTTGCAAATCGGGAAGTCCCTGAGCCAGAATAGGTTGAGAGAGACTCCGGCTCTGTGCATGGTTGAAGGTTTGTGGACAGAGAGAGGAAAGTGATGTACAGAAAATGGAACTGAGGTACAGAAACAACTGTCTTCATTATAGCTTGATGTTTTGAACCTTATTTGAATATGATATTGGAACAGCCTTTAATTGGCTGAAACTCAGTGATTGACACAAGGGTAGTTTACAGTCTTTTTACACATCCAGTCAGGTCACAGTCGACTATGCATGGAGACACTTTTAGGCAGAACCTAAAATATGTAAGGAGGCCACTTTAGGCTAAACTTAATTTAACATGTTATTATGAAAAGAAAATATTTTGCATACATAATTTACATAAATGTAATTCTATTTTAGTAGGGTTTTATTTAATTTTAAAAGAGGCTTACACCACTTTTGGAAGTGATAGATTAAAATCTGCATAATGTTTCACTGTAATTTATAGAATTAGCATTTACTCAGATTTTTCAATCATTCTACAAATAATCATAGGTTAAAGCATATCTGGAGTATGAGCCAAGTAGTCATATAAGGTGTTTTGTCTTCATGTGAATTAGAAGGTAAAGTTCAGTTTTCAAATGCAAATAATTCTTCATTATAAGATGATGCAAATATGTAAGGGAAATGAATATTGAAAGGAGAGTAGGAGGGAAGGGCAAGAGGAGAGAAGGGTAAAATAGCAGAAAGACTCCAGATGGAGTTGAGGAGGAGATGCATTAGTGAGAGAGGAAGGCAGGAAAGGACCTATCAGAATAGAGGTTTGAGAACTAATAAAATGGCGTGTAGAGTCCAGGCATGGTGCCTCATGCCTGTGGTGCCACCATTTTGGGAGGCCAAGACAGGCATATTGCTTGAGCTCAGGAGTTTGAGACCAGCCTGGGCAACATGGCGAACCCCATCTCTACAAAAAAACACAAATACAAAAATTAACTGGGTGTGGTGATGCGTGCCTGTAGTCCCAGCTACTTGGGTGACTAGGGAGAGAGGATCGCTTGAGCCTGAGAGGTCAAGGCTGCAGTGAGCCGTGATTGTGTCATTGCACTCCAGCCTGGGCAACAGAGTGAGACCCTGTCTCCAAAAATAAAAGAAAGGGCATGAAGAAAAAGCAGTTAACATTTATTGCATGGCATGAATTGCACCAACACTTTCCGGTACATTACAGTGTTATCTATCTTCTTATCTTCATTTTACAGATAAGCAAACTTGAGTATATTTATGTCACAGTGTGAGTTAATGGTGGGACCAGGGTTTGAACTTATATTGTTTACTTTTCTAATAGTGCTTACTGACTCTCACCATGAGCTAATGTTGATACTGAAAATACTGCAATTACAAGCAAGATATGGTCCCTGTCCTCACTCTGTTATTCCAGTAGGGAAGGTGGACTGTTAACTATTTAATTACAGCCCACGAGGATAGGTGCTGTAGGATGAGGAATGTAGTAGGAGAGTTCCCGGGGGACGATACCTTAAACTGACTTGGCATCAG
Organism: Homo sapiens; assembly: GCF_000001405.40. Lineage (NCBI taxonomy): Eukaryota > Metazoa > Chordata > Mammalia > Primates > Hominidae > Homo > Homo sapiens. The sequence goes on along the minus strand of NC_000004.12, from coordinate 169,209,394 downwards.
GGAAAGCATCCCGGATGAAGTGGATCCTTATCTGAGAACTGAAGGACAAGTTGGCTGAAAGGACACTCTTTTTCTATAACTTGCTGCCTCATTTTTTTTTTTTTTTCGGACAGGGTCTTGTTCTGTCACTCAGGCTGGAGTGCAGTGGCATGATCTCAGCTCACTGCAACCTCCGCCTCCTGGGTTCAAGCGATTCTCCTGCCTCATCCTCCTGAGTAGCTGGGATCACAGGTGCGTGCCACCGTGTCTGGCTGATTTTTGTATTTTTAGTAGAGATGGGGTTTCACCATGTTGGCCAGGCTGGTCTCGAACTTCTGACCTCAAGTGATCACCTTCCTCAGCCTCCCAAAGTGCTGGGATTACAGGCGTGAGCCACCACGCCCTGTCCTACTGCCTCATTTTTTATTTTGTTTGGTGTGTTTTTCATCTTTTGTCTCATTTTCTTTCTTTTCTTTTTTTTCTTTTTTTCAGTCCCTTGCTTATTTTTTTAGTCACAGTAACTATCTTGAGAAAAGTTCTCAAATCTTTATTCATGCCCAGGGGTTTCTGCGTAGGCCCACTCCTACTTCTTGGCTTTCCCTTGAATTACAAAGGACTTGAAATGAATGTTGGGTAGCTTTCCAGGAGCTGGACCTGAATGAAGGAGGCAGAGAGATAAGGCAAGCCTGATGCAGCTTCAGACTAGATGTTTGATGCCAAGCCTGATGCAGCTTCAGACTAGATGTTTGATGCCTGATTCAAAACTCAGTGTGTGTCATCTCCTCTTCTCCTTGGGGCACTAAGACAGAGTGAAATTGGTATAACTAAGATGACTAATTGCCTTTTAGATTATATGTTCTTAATTTAGTAATTAGGAATGAAAACAATTATTTATTATTATATCATACACATACACTCATATTTTTAAGAAACATTTGTGTCTGTCCTACTAAAAAGAAGTATAATTTTATCACAGTAGGACTTAATTTTCATCTTTTCTCCCCTACCCATTGCTGCTTCCTTTGCCTATTACAAGACTTTCTTTAGGCATATGATTAAAAGTGAGAGGGAAAATGAGGGCACAATGTGTTCCAGTGGGCAACAAAAGGATGAATGAAATTCCTATAGAAGATAAAGTGGGTGGAAGGGCAGAGGTCATTTAAACTCTGGACAGAAACGGCTATTACTTGGGGTCAGGCAGTGGGGGTGGGGATGAAGGAGGGTTAGTGAAGGAATGTGGTTTCCTTTTAGGAAAAAAAAAAAAAACTTGAGGACTTAAATAAGCAATTCTGGGTTCAATCTTTACGTTTCCACGTATGCTTTTATTTTAGTATGTTTCATGTTACCTAGTGCATAGCATCCTACCCCCAGATGTGGAAGCCTGGCAAAGTAGAGTCTATGCTCATTCAATTTTGTTTTGGTTCCCATCCCCCTCATCCCAGGACCCTGCTTCTCTCTTTGGTGCAGGATCCCCCCACCCCTACTGACACCCCCCATGGTGTCATTAGGCCTGTGATCTGAGTCCAGCTCTGTGGGGAGAGGTTTGCTTCTGTGAGGACCCTTTAGAAAGTGGCACCTGTATAAACAACTGTCTCTTGTCCTCTGCTGAGTCTTGGCTTTTGACATAGTAGACAAGGAGTTAAGAAAAAGGGAGCTTTCTAAACAAGTGTCTTACGTAGATGTAGATTGACTGGGACTGGCCCAGCCATCACATTCTAGAGTTGGGTTTATCTTCATAGCAAAGCTCGAAGCATCCAGAACCTGGACTGCCTCAAGAATGAGAAAGACCACTGCAGAGCTGACCACATACTATGGACAGAATTCTAGTCTTGGCAGTTCTTCTTAGGGTATTGTTGATTCAGAGGCCAGAGTGTAATCCTAAAAGGTTTTGGTATATGACTTGTTTTAAAATGTAGGAATTTTGGTTTAGCAAATGGTATAATATCCAGAAATTAGATCTCATTTCTCTTTAAAATTACTTATTTATTTGAGACAGGGTCTCACTCAGTCACCTAGACTGGAGCACAGTGGCACGATCATGGCTCACTGTAACCTTAAACTCTTGGGCTCAAGTGACCCTCTTGCCTTAGCTTCCCAAGTAACTAGGAGTACAGGAGCATGCCACCATGCCTGACTAATTCTTTTATTTTTTGTAGAGGTGGCGTCTTTTGGCCAGGCTCTTATTATCCCAGCCTGTTGGGAGGCTGAGGCAGGAGGATTGCTTGAGCTTAGGAGTTTGAGACCAGCCTGCGCAACCTAGCAAAACCTTGTCTCTGCTTTAGAGAAAAAAGTTAGCCAGGCATGGTAGCACCCACTTGTAGCCCCGCTATTTGGGAGGCTGAGGTGGGAGGATAGCTTGAGCCTGGGAGATCAAGGCTGCAGTGAGCTACAATCATGCTATTGCACTCCAGCCTGGGTGACGAGTGAAACCCTGTCTCAAAAAAAAAAGAGAAATGGGGTCTTACTATGTTGTTCATGCCAGTATTGAACTCTTGGCTTCAAGTGATCCCAGTTCTGCCTCCCAAAGTGCTAGAATTACAGGCATGAGCCACTGAACCTGGCCTCTTTCTTTTTATAATAGATAATTCTCTATTCATTTTGTCATTGACCTTATTGGTTCTTTATTTCCCACTGGTAAAATGAATGCAACGCTACATGTCATTTTCTTATGTCTCCCATGGCTTGTGTGTTTTCCTCTGTGCACCCTATAAAGGTTAGACCTTTGATGCACCCAAGGTATCCTGTTAGCTTGGGGCAGGGATTCTCTGTATAATTTATCTTTGTAGCAGCAGTGATGAACACTGCACATAATAAGCACTTGTCCCAAATGTTTCTTGACTTCACTTATTTAAAGTGAATCCCTTGATGGACTTTTTTTGTTTTTATATAATTTTTAAAAATTTTTTATGGAGACGGAGTCTCACCATGTTGCATAGGCTGGTTTCAAACTCCTGGCTTCAAGCCATCCTCCCACCTTGGCTTCCCAAAGTACTGGAATTATGGGTGTGAACCACCCCCCTTCCCCCAGCCCCTTGAATGGATATTAGACTCTAGGGCAGTGCTGGCAAACTCCTAGGTGGGCGTGGGTCACTAAATGATTGCAAAGGGGGATGAATCCAGTGGGACTTCAAATATCCATTTTAGATTGAATCATGTGTGGCATGCTAAGATATCATTTTCAAATATTTAGAAGTGCTGTCATTTATAGCAGTGAAGATTCCATAGGTTTTATCATATTTTCCTAATGTTCTCTTGAGAGTTGTGATATGCAAGAGATGCTCTTTAGCACCACTGTTCTAAAATCCTTGAAATTATTGATCTTGAAAGAGACTTTTCTTTGTCACTAATGTTTGCATTTGCTGTGTTCCCCAGTTTTATCACTATGTATTCCATTTAAAACTATCAGTTAAAAATATGAATATATTGTTTTTGTGATGTTAGCAGTGAAGGAGAGAACCAGTTGTAAAAGGCCCAAAATGTAAATGTCCCCAATGAGCCAAAAATTGCTTTTTTCATAGGCTATTTTTGCCAAGGATTTGAAATCTCCTTTGGATACATGTTTGTTTTCTCAAGTCAGGATATGGGTTTTGTACATGTCTATATCTGTGGTTGAGAAATTCTTTAAATATTCCTGGGGTCTCTTTTGCTTTCCTTGAGTCAGAAAAATTTCATTGTGTTGGTATGGTACGTTGGTAAATTTCAAGAAAGGGAAAGAGAAATTTATTAGTCCTGCTAACGTCATTCATTGGGCTCCTTCCAGAGTGAAAAAATATGCTGAAGATTTTCTGACAGGTGCGTATTTGTCAACACTTTAATGAGAGCAAATGGGAAAAAAGAACCCAAGAAGGATATGCTCAGTGCTGCACTGTGCTCTGGAGTTCAGGGCAGGCAGTATGTTGACATGCCTGGAAATTGGCCTGCAGTTTTTGGTGATTTGATCTTATTTTTACAAAATCAGTTATTAATATAAAAGAGATAGCACTTGGGAGAGTTGCCATGCTTATTACTACCTTATCAGTGGGATTACAAAAATATAAATTAGTTTTTATGATAGAAATCTGACAAGTCATTTCTGTTTCTCCAAAGACATACACATGTGGTGTTAATTTTGACCTGATTCATAGGTCCTCTGATACCCTAACACACAAAAAGCATATGCAAAAAAGCTAGACTTATTGGCATTAACTTTCTTCCAGCTCTTGCCAACAAAGAAATACTATGTACAAAATCTGAATCTGGTTTCAAAACAAATGTCAGAATTTTAAAACACTGGATTTACTGGAACATAAATAGTTCATTTAATGAAGCTATTTCCCTTCACTCCCTTGTTACTCTGTCAGCACATCAGGTAACTCCACTGCATGTTGCTAGTAAATTTCCCTTTTAATGTATGATTCCTCCTTTTCCTTAGTTTACTAATGACTGATTGACCCAGAAAAAGAAACTTCAGTCCTCTCGTGAAGCCTTTTTAAAAATCAGCAAGCAGCTTCTTAATATTAGAATTTTTTTTTTCAAATGTCAGAAACAAGATAAAATATGAGCTCAGACTCTTCAAAAGGAGAAGGTGGCCGGGGCTCAGTGGCTCACGCCTGTAATCCCAATGCTTTGGGAGGCCGAGGCGGGTGGATCACGAGGTCAGGAGATCGAGACCATCTTGGCCAAAGTGGTGAAACCCCGTCTCTACTAAAATACAAAAAATTAGCCGGGCGTGGTAGTGCATGCCTGTAGTCCCAGCTACTCAGGGGGCTGAGGTAGGTGAATCACTCAAACCCAGGAGGCAGAGATTGCAGTGAGCCAAGATCACGCCACTGCACTCCAGCCTGGCGACAAAATGAGACTCCGTCTCAAAAAAAAAAAAAAAAAAAGAGAAGGTAATATATGTGATAACCAGGTAAGAGTTAGTGTAATTTCTGTAAACTAATTGTGTATTGAATACTCTACTTCATTACTTCATGCTGTTTCTAATATATGTGGAGTGTTAAACTTGGTTTAAGTTTTTTGTTTGAGTGTTGGGAGAAAGAGACATTATTATAAAAATATGTTGTTTTGATTTTGAGGGAGATAAAACCTTTGACAGAGAATAGGATGATTGAATGAAATGAGGTGCTGGAAATTCATTGAATTAGTTTGATTAAAAGAAGATGCACACCTGAAACGTAAACTACAGTACTCGGAACCTTTGGGAAGCACCTGAGGAACAGTGCTGCAGTCTTTAGAAAGTAACTCTGTTTTCATCATATTCTCTGTGGGATTTGTTTGTTTTGGTTTACCTCATCTCATTTGATAATCCACCAGGAAGTTTTACTTACCCTTGAGTTCTTTTTCCTCAAAGTTTAAATGAGGTTAAAATGAGTTAGAGTTAGAGGGAGTGAAGAGAGACGACTGGTATTTTTTGAATGCCTTCGATGTGCCAAGATTATGCCAGGCGCTTTCTTCATAGTAGTCCTGTGGGATAAAAAGTTTATTCCCGTTTTGTAAAAAGTAATTGCTGAAGGTCACATAGCTAATTAGTAGTGCAACCAGACTTTAAAACCCTATCTGTTTAGTACCAGTGTCTGCGTTATTTTCTGTAATGTGCTTCTAAATACATAATTTTGTAGAATCACAGATCTCTAGTATCTTGTAGGGAGTATGGAAGAGAAGATAAGAAAACTACGGAGATTATTCAGTCATTCGTTTCACAGTTATTTTTGTGTACCAGATACTGTTCTAGGTATAAGTGTATCTTCAACCAAACAAGCAAAACAGCTTACATTCTTTTCTATCATTTAAATATTCCATACACTTACAGAAGGAAATTCTTGTTTCTGGTAGGGATTGCAGAGCAATTAGAACAGAATTCCAGGATTTTTTTTTTTTTTTCTTGAGACAGGGTCTGGCTCTGTTGCCCAGGCTGGAGTGCAATGGTGCCATCTCAGCTCACTGCAACCTCTGCCTCCCAGGCTCAAACCATCCTCCCACTTCAGCCTTCCAAGTAGCTGGGATTACAGGCGCACACCACCGTGCCTGGCTAATTTTTGTATTTTTGGTAGAGGTGGGGTTTCACCATGTTGCCCAGGCTGGTCTGGAACTCCTGGATTCAAGCGATCCACCAATCTCAGCCTCCCAAAGTGCTGGGATTACAGGCATAAGCCACCGTGCTTGGCCAGTTCTGGGATATTTTTATTTGCTCTTTCAACTACAAAGAGCAAGATGCTTTGAGTTATGAGTTGATACTCTGTGATACACTTTAGCAGCTATGTGAATGTGTGGCTTACTAAATAACAGCATGTTCTTAAGTGTTTTCTGTGAGACGTTTGGTCAAATAATTTTGGAAAATGCTTGTTTAGCATTTTCTTAACAATAAACAGGTTTCTTTGCTGCAGAACTTCTCAGAGCCCTTCCATGCTTACCATAGACCTTTTTTTCTCCAAGAGCTGTCTATCCCAAATAGTGTTCAGGAGGATATACATTGCTATCTAGATACAGAATGCTATGTCTTCTTCCTTTAGATATATACATTTTAAATTGTTTTCCTGCTCAGAAAGCACACAATTGCCAGTTTTTTAAAGTTTCTTTTATTGAAGACCACCTCAACATTTATAATGGTAAATTTATTAAGCTTTACTTTAGGTACAAAGTTTAAGTATCTGATGACAACAACATATCTAAGGGATTCAAAGGGGTTAGGTTTTCTTTTTGTCATAAGCTATTTCTCCACTTTTCTTGAAGTTGCTAGGTAAAATTATTGTGTTATTTCTGTAGAAATAGGGAGGCAGGCTTGGAATTAACTGATGCTTTGGTTTCTGAAGGTAGGTATTTACTACCCTTGTGTTTTCAGAGGTTCAGACAATTGTCACTGTGTTATTAACCCAAATACTAATTATAAGCTAGCTGTAAGCTGAAGGTTTTTATTCATTATACATTGTCCTTTAAAAGGAACCACATCCCCTCCTTCAGATGAGATGGTAAATTGAAACAGTGCTGCCCAGCCTGGACTTCATTTCTCATCCACAGAGGCTCACTGTTTGAGGCTTTAAAATTTGTACTCTATTTGCCTTGATATGTGGGCACAAGAGAAAAATAGAGAGGGCTGAGAGTCAAGGTTGACCTCATACCAAGAACTAGCCTCCTACGGAGGGAGGTAAACATTAAACTGAAGCATCAGGATAAAGAAACAGTTTATGTTAGGGCCAAAGCACTAACACTATTCCTTGTCTTCCCGGCACCAAGAACACGAAGTAGGCCCTTAATAAATATTTGCTGAATAAGTACTTCCATTGCAACTCAGTATCTATATCCTGAGGTCAGAGATAACTGTAAATTTGGGGGAGTGAGATTTTTTTTTTTTAAGCTGACAGCATTGTCTCTCATTTAATTCTCACAACATTATGAGATACTTTTTCATTTTGCAGATGGGTAAAGGGAAACTTGAGAACATTAGATACTGTGTCCAAAGACTCCTCTCTCATAGCTGTCAGAGCTGGGGTGTGAACCCAAGTTCACTGACTCCTGGTACAGGTCCTTGCAGTTTGGACCAAGTATCCTGTGCTACTAGGTTTCTCTACTTGCCTCTGTAGCGACGACAGATGGGTTTTCTGTGTTAAGACCTCATCCCCAGGATTTTTAATAGTAAATCTTTGACTTACATTGGAAAAAATAAAATCAACATATGATTTCAACTGGGAAATCAGAGCCTCAGGAGAAGTCAATAGTGTTTTCTCTGTGACTTCACAGGAAGTTACCATGGAAATGATTATGGTATTATGAATACAAAATTATAACTTTGACTGGGAAATAAGCTGCCTAAAGAGACAAAATGCTAAGGAATAGCAAAGTTGTTGTTATGAAAGTGGCTTTTAGATTTGAGATGAACACACTTAGCAACATGAAGTCTAAATGCCTGGTCTCCTTTAGCATTCCTGAAACATCAGTGTTAAATTATTCTTTTAACTCTCCCTGGTTTTGTTACTACTTTCAGAACTTGTTGAAAGTAAAATAATTCCCATGTGTGCCTATGTGTTTTTAGTTTGGCAAATATTGTTTTTTACAGATCCTCCCTGCCCTAGCCCCGCTCTAATCCCTTCTTCAAAGTATTCCCAGTGGAGATAAATTGTTTCCTGGTTTTGCATCAACAAATTCCCTGCAGAATAAGTATTCGTCAATTGTTAAAGCCAGCTCTGGCAGTAGATGGAGAGGCCGTGGTGTTTTTCTGATAGAAACTTTAATTCCAAATTTCATTGTTCCTGCTACTTTTCACTAAATTTAATCCTTTTAAAGATGTTAATTTTAAAAATATTGATCGTATATTTTAAATTTTATCATAGAAAAGGTTTTTTTCAAATTGCCAGTAATCAGAAATGGTGACAATACTGTATTATTGTTTGCCATCTTAATTTCTTTATATTTGGAATCCTGTTGTGTTTTTAAAATTTATTTAACTGACATTGTGTCTGACTGGCTCGAGAGCACACTGAAGACTTCTGTTCTCTTACTGCTGTCATTTTACTTTGAAAGGGCCAAGTATTCTAGACAGGGACCTCATAGCTGTTCTGACCCATTAAGCTCTAGAAACTTACCAGTTTACTCATCTCAGTTGGGATGGACTAATTATTCTGGAATCTGATATACCTGTCTCACCAGACTACTCTGGTATCTAAAGTATCTTCCTAATCTGTGATTGGGAAGAGAAGAGTGAATAGCCGTGGAACTTTCTGTTAAGTAGAAAGATTTTTAAATGGTAAAGGGAGCACGTAGTTGAACTGTTCACAAATATATGTGCCAGTGTATCACATAGTAATACATATGATACATATGAAAGATTATGTAAGGTATATGTAAGTTATGAAACTTGTTTTTTTCCTCACATTATGTTTCTGATTCATCCCTGTTGTGAGCTGTGGTTCATTCTTACTGAAGTAAATACTTCTTTTTTCTGAAGTAAATATTTATTTTCTAGTGTTTACTTTGACTCATGGGTTATTTAGAAATGCTTTAAAATTTTCTAACTGTGGAGATTTTATTTTTATATAATTGATTTTTAACTTAATTGCATTGTGATTAACGGGCATGGTCTATATAATACCTATTGTTGGAACTCCATTGAGACTGGTTTTGTGGCTTAACATATAAACAGGTTTTGGAAATATGTATGTGAAAACAGTGTGTACTTTTATTTGGCATTACTACACATGTCCTCTGCATCAAACATATTTTAGAATCTCTGACTATATGATGGGTTCATTAATTTCTTCTGTGTTTTTATTAAATATTGCTCTATACATATTTGAGGCTATTTTAATAGATATTTAAATATATGGAATTAGTATACTTTCCTGTTAAATTTACCGTTGTGTAGGTACTCTCTTTATTCCTTTTTTTTGGATGGAGTCCATTTTAAAATGATACTGATGTAGTACATAACTTTATTTAGGTTCATATTTGCCTGGAATATTTTCTCATGATGTCGATCTTTTATGTCTTTATGTTTTAGGTGTGCCTCTTATAAAGAGCATACTGCTTCATTTTGTTATTGTTTTAAAATACATTATAATATCTAATTTTTAACTGGTAGATTAATTTACATGTGTCGTGCTTGCTGAATGTTTGATGTTGTTACTGTCACCTTACCTTAATATTTTATTTATATTTGTCACACCTTTTTATCCATTTCGCTTTCTCTTTTATTGTCTTTCTTTTTAAATTGTTTGAATTTTGTTTGTTTTCTTATTCCCAGTGGATTGGAAGCTGTGACAGAACCTCCTAGCTGCTCTCAAAAATGTATTAGTCTCCTCTGTTATTTATTTATTTTTTTTTTTTTGCGCATTCACTAAGCCACATTTTCCAGGACCATTTGCTGTTATACATACTGTGTGACTGAGATCTAACCAGTGGGATGTGAACAGAAGTGACTTTTACCATGTTGGGGCCAAGGCTTTTAGGGAGTGCTTGGACCTCATCCATGCCCCTTTTCACTTCTGCTCTCTGGATGCACAAGATTATAAGACCCTAATGGTTGGTGAAGCCACAAGATGGTAAGAACCCGAGTCTTTGAACGTCTGTGTAGAGGAAAACCACCTGCCAACCAAACATTAGACTGTTATGAGAATGATGTGTTAAGCCACTGAAATCTGGGGGTTTGTAACAGCAGCTAATGTTTTTCTAAACGTAGAAATTGTACACTGTTTTTATTAGTTTATGGGTACCTTTGAAATTGTCCATGCATACCCAGCAGTCTAAACCTGATATTAAATGCCTCCCAAATACCATGAGGATCTTCAAATACAACTCCAGTTGCTTCTCTCCTACTTTACATGCTGCCCTTTTAAAACCCTAGACTTTATTATTGTATTATTGATTGTTTAGGTTTGCCACTATTTTACCAATTTATTTGCTTCCTTTTCCTTCTTACAACTCAGACCTGCTTTCTAGAAGTATTGTCCTTAAAGTATTCCTTTAGAAGCTCCAGTGGGCAAAATCCTGCTGGTAATAAATCCTCTCAGTTTTTATCTTTCTACACAGGTCATTATTTTTCTCTTGTTCTTGTTTTAAGTCTAGACTGATGTATTTTCTCTCAGCACTTTAAAGATATTTCCACAAACCATTGGCCTCTATTGTTTCCGTTGAAGTCTGTTTTCAGCCTAATTGTTATTTCTTTGTTAGATTCTCTTTTTTCTCTTGTAAAGTCTTCTCTTTGTCTTTGATGTTCTGCAATTTTATGATAATATGTCTAGGTGTAATTTCTTTTTATTTATTCTCTTTAGTAATCGTTTTGCTTAATATACTTATGTATACATGTGTAAAGATTTATACAAATTAGATGCTCTAAAAAAGTTCATTTGATGTATTTCCATAGAGAATGCATTATTTCTAATAATGTAAATATGTTTCAAAATATACAAATCAGGATGCATGTATTAATACATATATACTATATTTAGCATAATATAAAAAGCAAAAACAAGTATATGTATTTTGTGGACATTCACAAATGTGTATATTTTAAAGTATACATTTATATTGACTAGTCCTATGGAAAATTACAGCATATTAAGCATGAAGAATCTGCTGATTTAACACTCTATTTGTAGACTGTTTGCAGTACAGAAGGAGAACACTAATATTAATATAACTGGGGATGTTAAAAGTATTCATTGTGCCAGTATGCTAAGAATTAGGCCTTCATTTGTGGTTTAAAGTGTTGAAAGCCACAGTAACCTGAAAACCAATTTGTGATTATGGAAAGCAAATGAAGATGGAGACAGAGGACCTTGTTTCAGATGTTTCCATAAGGCAATTTGCCTTTTTCTCCAACTCACAAATATTGCCAGAAAGCCTGGAAAATCTCATTAGATGCAATAATTTGGACCAATTGATTTTTCTTAAAGCACAATAGTATTATGAAGCCTTTACATTTCTACATTTAAAGGAGAACATTCTAATTTTGAGGGGTCACTTTGTATTTGGCAGTCTGAGCAAGTGTATGAACCACAGTTTTCTTATACAGCAAAGAAAACAGTTGAAACTTTGTGTATTTTATCTTGATCAGAGTCTTATTATAATCTGGAGTCCACTTTTAGTAGTATTTTAAAGGGATATAATATAATATTATTCTAACCAAAAAGCGCTGAAGAAATTTCATCATTTATTAGTTGTAGTAGTATCAGGTCTTTGAATTTGTGATTTTATAAAAAAAAGTGTCAGTAAGTTTATACTTATGAAAGGGTTATTACATCATTCTGTACACAATTTGTTTTATAAGACATATAACAACAAACACAATTATTCTAAGGTGGGCTTTTTTTTTTTTTTTGAGACAGAGTCTTGCTTTTGTCGCCCAGGCTGGAGTACAGTGGCGCAATCTTGGCTCACTGTAACGTCTGCCTCCTGGGTTCAAGCGATTCTCCTGCCTCAGCCTCCTGAGTAGCTGGGATTACAGGGGCACCACCACGACTGGCTAATTTTTGTGTTTTTAGTAGAGACGGGGTTTCACAATGTTGGCCAGGCTGGTTTTTGAACTCCTGACCTCAGGTGATCCACCTGCCCTGGCCTTCCAAAGTGCTGGGATTACAGTCGTAAGCCTCTGCGCCCTGCTGGGTGGGCTTTTTTATAAGTAAAAATAAAAGTTATAGAATTGGCTGGGCGTGGTGCCTCATGTCTATAATCCTAGCACTTTGGGTGGCTGAGGCACGTGGATCACCTGAGGTCAGGAGCTCAAGAGCGGACTAGCCAACATGGTGAAACCCCATCTTTACTAAAAATACAAAAATTAGACATGGTAGCAGGCACCTGTAATCCCAGCTACTCGGGAGGCTGAGGCAGGATAATTGCTTGAACCCAGGAGGTGGAAGTTGTAGTGAGCTGAGATAGTGCCACTGCTCTCCAGCCTGGATGAAAGAGTGAGACAATGTCTCAAAAAATAATAATAATAAATTAAAGTAATAGAATTAAGGATGACCTTTTCTGTTACTTTTTTGAGTGCTTTTTTATTCATTATTTTTTAAATAGGCAAAACTAATTAACAGACTTAAAAATAGAGATTAACATGTCTTATTGGATAAAACTAAAGCAATAATAGACCTACTTCATAGATTAAGTTATAGGGTTTAAGGTGATATAGTAAAGGAACAGCTTATTAAAATGAAACATAGGGCCAGGAGCTTTCTGTAATGGTAGAGCAAGTAATTTGGATTAACATTCCTGATGAAGGAGACTAGAAAAGCAAGATAAAGTATAAAAAAGTCTGCTTGGAGGCATTGGAGAGGTTATAACATAGTAAAGAATTATGGGTCCAAAATTGGGAAGAAAGGAAGTCCAGCTTCTAATTTTCTCATGCCCTGAAATTAGATTAAGGTGATTCTACAGTACTAGTCCCACAAGATCTGGCGGGAACAAGTTTAAATTCCCTGGAAGAATATGTTAATAATATCCTAGTTCTCAAATTACTTCTACTAACAGTTTTGCAAAAGCAGTAGCACACCATAAAAAATATAGTACATCGTTACCTAACATTGTCTATAGGTTCTCAGAAACTGATTTTAAGTGAAATGACACATATAGCAGGTCCTTGAATAACATTGTTTTGTTCAATGTGTTTCATTGTAATGTTGATAAGAAAAAATTGGCTTAATTTTATGGTGTTTTACTTAAAGCCACAGTTTCCAAGAACCTGTTGATGATGTTAAGTGAGGACTTACTGTAAACACACACTTGAAGTAGGAAGAAAATATCAGCAAAAACTAGGGAAACAATAGCAATAGAAAAAAATACATTAAAGCTTCATAGATTGGCATTATAGAAATAGACTTTATAATTATTGTGTTCGCTGGGCGTGGTGGCTCACTCCTGTAATCTCAACACTTTGGGAGGCCAAAGGTGAGTGGGTCACCTGAGGTCAGGAGTTCTAGACCAGCCTGGCCAACATGGCAAAAACCTGTCTCTACTAAAAATATAAAAATTACCTGGTCATAATGGTGCACACCTGTAAACTGAACTGGGGAGGTGGAGGTTGCAGTGAGCCGAGATTGCACCACTGCACTCCAGCCTGGGCAACAAAGTGAGACTCTGTCTAAAAAAAATTAAAAGAATAAAAATAAAATAATTGTGCTTACTGTTTTCAAGCAAAGACAAAAATTCAAGAGAACTTGTGAGTATAAAAGACAACAGTGCAAATTCTAGAACTGCACATTATTATAACCAAAATAAACAACTCACTACATAGGTTTATAACAAATCAGATACAACTAAAGAAAAGATTAACACACTGAAAAAGAGCTGAAAGAAAATATGTAAAAGAAAATATGGAGAAGAAAAGGACTGGAAAATATAGAAGAAAGGTTAAGAGACCTAAAGGATATGGTACGAGATTTCTAAATACTTGTAAATGGAATCTCAGAAGTAGATGAGCACTAAAGTGGAGCACCGCAGTATTTGAATAGAAAATGGCTGGGAACTTTGTAACACTGATAAATAACTTCTATTTACAAACTCAAGAAATCCTGTGAACTCCAAGAATGATAAATAAAAAAGAAACTCATACCTAGACATATCACTGTAATGCTAATAAAAGCAGAAACAAAGATAAAATCTTGAAAGCAACCAGAGTGGGGGGAAAAAGACAAATTTTCCTAGGAGGTATAATTATAACCAGTAGTAGTAGCTGACTTCTTAGAAGAAACAGTAGCCAGCAGAAGGCAATGGAACAACATCTTTAATATCTAGAAAGTAAATAGTTGTCAACCTGGAGTTCTATACCCAACAACCATATTCTTCAAGTATGAGAGTGAAATAAAGACATTTTCAGCCAAACTGGAAAATTTTGATACCAACAAACAGACTTTAGCTAAAGGAAATGTTAAAGTATGTTATTTAGGCAGGATAAAAATTATCTCAGATGAAAGATCAAAAATGCAACTATAAATGTGACTGTGTGGAAAAATCTAAATACCTAATGACCATACAAAACAACATCAATGTCTTCTTGGGTTTTAAAATATATGTATGAGAGTTAAAACATATGATAAATAGTCTTTTGAAAAGGTGCTCAATGTCATTTGTTACAGATGAGAGACAAAACCACTATACCCACAAAGTGTGGCAGAGATGTGAGGCAGCAGGATCATGCAGCTGGTAGGGAACATGCATTGATACAATCACTTTGGGAGACTGGTACAACAGTTTATGAAATGCATACCCTATGATCTAGCAGTTTCACTCCTTAGAATACACTTAACAGAAATGCAAACAACAGACACATTCAAGAACATTCATAATAGCATCATTCATAATAACTAACACCTGGAAAGAGCTCAAGTGTTCACCAAGATTAGATGGATAAAATGTTTTATATTTGTATAGTGGAATAGTATGCTTCAATGAAAAGTAATAAACTGACACACGTAATCATATGGATAAATTTCACAAATATAATATAGATCAAAAGAAGCCAGACACAAAAGAATACAGCCTGCATGATCCATTTAAATAACATTTTAAAAGGCAAAACAAAACCAGAGTGTCTAAGGATGCATACTTAGGCAAAAGCCATGATTGTGGTTGCATTTTGGGAAAGGGAGAGGGTAGTTACTAGTAAGGTCATAAGGCACACTTCTAGGTTCTGGCAAACTCTGTGTCTTGTCCTGGTGGTTGTTCCATGAGTGTTTCCCTTTGTGACAAATACTTGAACTGCACATCTTGGTTTTGTGCAGTTTTATATGCTTTATTTTATAGTACAAAAAGCCTAAAACAGACACTCATGCAATTTTAGTACTGTCTAGAAAAATTTTTAGATGACGACTACCTGAACTTCATACACTCTGAGTATGTGTCTCTGTCTCTGTTTTCTAAAAAAAATGTTGGGATGTTCTCTTGGTAGTTTTCCAGCATATTTCATGCTGACTACGAAGGTAGTAGGCTAGCCCCTTTTTACAAGTCTGGCACAAACATGAAAAAAAGACTCTATCCTTGAGATTGTCTTAGTACAGCTGAGAAAAGACTTTACCAAATATCTAAGGAGGGAAAAAGCAGGAAAAGAATACCAGTAACAGTAACAAAGAAACATAAACCTGAAACAGTCCCTTTTGTTCAGATTTTGAAGTTAACAGCTAATTTATTCCCAAGGCTCGTAGACTCTATCTGTTTTCATCACTGAGTGTTAACTTCTAAATAGAAAACTCATATTCAGTTGCAGTTCCCAGGCTGAGGGACCTTTCCTTCAGGTGACTGGCAGAGCTATGTGGTGAGACCTTACCTCCTTATTATACATAGTGAGTGATGTGTTCCCTGACAGGACCTGCACTGTAATAATTACTCAGCCATTACAATAAGCCGTAGCATCCTTAGTAACGGGGTAAATGTCTATTTATTTGTCCTAGAGGGAACAATTTTGGAATGACAGTTTTAACTTGCAGACTTAATATCTGTATATACTGAAGTAAAACATAACAGCCCTGGAATAGCTGCAGGCACTTATTTATGTTTAAAAGAATAAATATCCCCCAAATAACTCTCTGGGGGTGGAGTCCTTGTGCATTGTCTGTTGGAAGCTAACACATCTGCAGCTTTTCTGCTGAAAGTTAAAATTTAAACCTAAACTTACCTGGGGGAAGGAGGAGAAAAGGAAAAGGAGCTAACATTCATTCATTCATTCACTATTTCCATAGGTTATTGGGGAATGGATGGTGTTTGGTTACATAAGTGAGTTCTTTAGTGGTGATTTGTGAGATTTTGGACACCCATCACTTGGGCAGTATGCACTGAGCTCTATTTGTGGTCTATTATCCCTCACTCCCTTCCCACTCTTTCCCCCTGAGTCCCCAAAGTCCATTGTGTCATTCTTATGCCTTTGAATCCTCATAGCTTAGCTCCCACTTATAAGTGAGAACATACAATGTTTGGTTTTTCATTCCTGAGTTACTTCACTTAGAATAATAGTATCCAGTCTCATCCAGGTTGCTGCAAATGCCATTAATTTATTCCTTTTTATGGCTGAGTAGTATTCCATCATATATATATATATCACATATATATGATATATATATAAAAGAAACATATCACATATATATGATATATATATCACATCTATATGATATATATATCACATCTATATGATATATATATCACATATATATCATATATATATAAAAGAAACATATATGTATATATATATGAAACAGCTTCTTTATCCATTTGTTGATGGCTATTTGGGTTGGTTTCACGTTTTTGCAATTGCGAATTGTGCTGCTGTAAACGTGTGTTCAAGTATCTTTTTCATATAATGACTTCTTTTCCTTTGGGTAGATACCCAGTAGTGGGATTGCTGGATCAAATGGTAATTCTACTTTTAGTTCTTTAAGGAATCTCCACGCTGTTTTCCATAGTGGTTGTACTAGTTTACATTCCCATCAGCAGTGTAGAAGTGTTCCTTGTTCACTGCAGCCATGCCAGCATCTACTATTTTTTGATTTTTTGATTGTGGCCATTCTTGCAGGAATAAGGTGGTATCGCATTATGGTTTTCATTTGCATTTCCCTGATCATTAGTGATGTTCAGCATTTTTTTCATATGTTTGTTGGCCATTTGTATATCTTCTTTTGCGAACTGTCTATTCATGTTTGCATTTCCCTGATCATTAGTGATGTTCAGCATTTTTTTCATATGTTTGTTGGCCATTTGTATATCTTCTTTTGCGAACTGTCTATTCATGTCCTGAGCCCACTTTTTGATGAGATTGTTTTTTTCTTGTTGATTTGTTTGAGTTCATTGTAGATTCTGGATATTAGTCCTTTGTCAGATGTATAGACTGTGAAGATTTTCTCCCACTCTGTGGGTTGTCTGTTTACTCTGCTGACTGTTTCTTTTGCTGTGCAAAAGCTCTTTAGTATAATTAAGTCCCAGCTATTTAATCTTTGTTTTTATGGTATTTGCTTTTGGGTTCTTGGTCATGAAATCCTTGCCTAAGCCAATGTCTAGAAGGGTTTTTTTTCCAGTGTTATCTTCAAGAATTTTTATAGTTTCACATCTTAGATTTAAGTCCTTAATCCATCTTGAGTTGATTTGTGTATAAGGTGAGAGGTGAGGATCCATTTTCATTCTCCTACCTGTGGCCAGCCAATTATCACAGCACCATTTGTTGAAAAAGGCTTTTCTCCCCCACTTTGTTTTTGTTTGCCTTGTCGAAGATCAGTTGGCTATAAGGATTTGGGTTTATTTCTGGGTTCTCTATTCTGTTCCATTGGTCTATGTGGCTATTTTTATACCAGTACCATGCTATTGTGGTGACTATGGCTTTAGTATAGTTTGAAGTCAGGTAATGTGATGCCTCCAGATTTGTTCTTTTTGCTTAGTCTTGCTTTGGCTTTATTGGTTCTTTTTTGGTTCCACATGAATTATAGAATTGTTTTTTCTAATTCCTCAAAGAATAATGATGGTATTTTGATGGGGATTGCATTGAATTTGTAGATTGCTTTTGGCTGTATGGTCATTTTCACAATATTGATTCTACTCAGTCATGAGCATGGGATGTGTTTCCATTTGTTTGTGTCATCTATGATTTCTTTTAGCAGCGTTTTGTAGTTTCCCTGGTAGAGGTCTTTCACTTCCTTGGTTAGGTATATTCCTAAGGTTTTTTTTTTTTTTTTTGCAGCTATTGTAAAAGGGATTGAGTTCTTGATTTGATTATCAGCTGGGTCGCTGTTGGTATATAGAAGAGCTACTGATCTGCGTACATTAATTTTGTATGTTGAAGAGGAGTGGTGACGGTGGGCATCCTTGTCTTGTTCCAGTTCTCAGAGGGAATTATTTCAACTTTTCCCCATTTAGTATTATGTTGGCTGTGGGTTTGTCATAGATGGCTTTTATTACATTGAGGTATGTCCCTTGTAAGGCAATTTTGCCCAGAGTTTTAATCGTAAAGGGATGCTGGATTTTGTCGAATGCTTTTTCTGCATCTATTGAGATGATGATGTGATTTTTGTTTTTAATTCTGTTTATGTGGTGTATCACATTTATTGACTTGTGTGTGTTAAACCATACCTGCATCCCTTTTATGAAACCCACTTGATCATGGTGGATTATCTTCTTGATATGTTGTTGGATTTGGTTAGCTAGTCCTTTGTTAAGGATTTTAGCATCTGTGTTCATCAGGGATATTGGTCTGTAGTTTTCTTTTTTGGTTATATCCTTTCCTGGTTTTGGTATTAGGGTGATGCTGGCTTCATAGAATGATTTAGGGAGGGTTCCCTCTTTCTCTGTCTTGCGGAATAGTGTCAATAGGACTGGGATCAATTCTTCTTTGAATGTCTGGTAGAATTCTGCTGTGAATCCATCTGGTACTGGACTTTTTTTTTTTTGGTAATTTTAAAATGACCATTTCAGTCTCTCTGCTTGTTATTTGTCTGTTCAGGGTATCTAATTCTTCCTGATTAAGCTAGGAGGGTTGTATCTCTCTAGAAATTTATCCATCTCCTCTAGGTTTTCTAGTTTATGCATGTAAAGGTGTTCATAGTAACCTCGAATGATCTTTTGTATTTCTGTGTTGTCAGTTGTAATGTCTCTCGTTTTGTTTCTTATTGAGCTTATTTGGATTTTCTCTCTTCTTTTCTTTGTTAATCTTGCTAATGGTCTATCAATTTGATTTATCTTTTCAAAGAACCAGCTTTTTGTTTCATTTATCTTTTGTATTTTTTGTTTGTTTCAATTTCATTTGCTTCTGCTCTGATCTTGGTTATTTCCTTTCTTTTGCTGGGTTCAGGTTTGGTTTGTTCTTGTTTCTCCGGTTCCTTGAGGTGTGACCTTAGAATGTCTGTGCTGTTTCAGACTTTTTGATGTAGGCGTTTAGGGCTATGAACTTTCCTCTTGGCACTGCCTTTTGCTGTGTCCCATAGGTTTTGATAGTTTGTGTCACTATTGTCACTCAGTTAGAATAATTTTTAAATTTTCATCTTGATTTCATTTTTGACCCAATGATTCAGGAGCAGGTTATTTAATTTCCATGTATTTGCATGGTTTTGAAGGTTCCTTTTGGAGTTGATTTCCAGTTTTATTCCACTGTGGTCTGAGAGAGTGCTTGATATAATTTCATTTGAAAAGGAGGTAACATTTATTGAGTGTAGTAGACTTGAGTAGCATTAGGTGCTTTTCATACTTGATCTCCCTTCAGCCTTACAACCCTTGAATGAAGAAATTAAACTTTGGGGATTCGAGCAACTTGCCCAAGAGCACGCAGCTAACCAGCAGTGGGTCAGAAATAGGAGCCCACGCCTGCCTGGTCCCAAAGCTTGTCTTTTCCTATGCACCCAACTTTCTCTAACAGCATAGGCCACCACTGGTTTTATTTTTAACCTGTGGTATTGCACTGATAGCCGTGGCAACAGAAACTTTATGATTTGAAAGATCTGTAGAGGAGTCCTGGGGAGAGGAAAGCAACAGTGTACCTGCTTTCTTTTCACATGTAGTTCTTTCCTGCCCTGGCATGGATCTTGTTCTGGCTTTTCACCTCCAGAGCTGTGATGAGGAGTAAGAAAACTCATGCTAACCTACCATGACTTCTGCCAGTCTTGGCCCCATGTGGGACTGGTCAAAATAGAATACCAGATATTTTTTAAAAAGTGTTTTAATGGGACTAAAATAACAGCAAAATGTCAGCACGAGGTGCTGCCTGCTTTATGACATAGTTGACTAATTGCAGATAGTTTTTTCTGAATTTAAGTGTTTTGGGAAATGGTATTGTGTTTGCTTATTGTGGTAAATATTCACTTTTGCATCAACGGAAATAGAATTGTGAGAACCACAATGTGCTTCATTTTAGACATTTACAAAAGCTTCTACTTGAACTGACAAGAATCTCTTCAGAATAACTATTTAAGCCCAAACTATCTTTTTTCTACAAGAATGAGACAGTTAAATTGTATCCCTGGAAGTTTTCATTTTCTTTTTTTCTTCTTGTTGTTTTTTGCTTTTGCACTATATTTATCTTTTTGAAGAGGTTGAGGTAACTACATAATTCCATTGAAAAAGTCAGTTACAAGTGGTACATTGATAAACTATTTTCTTAGTGACGCAACCACCAAAATATTATAGAAGAGAAGAGCATGTGTTTAACACTCCTTGCTGAAAGCTTGAAGCACACGCACCAAATTGATAGAGGGAGTATGGAAGAAATTATTTTGCCAATTTTGGCCACTTCTGCATAAAGCTTTTCATTTAGAATTTATTGAACTGCCGTATACAGGTTGAAATTGTTACATAAGCCAGAAAGCTTTAAAGATTTTGAGTGTGTCGATGTTTTTACATGTGGGCTTTTTTCCTGTCAGATTTTCAGTGAATTACAACGATCACAAGTACATTTTCATTAGCTTTTATACTGTAAATAAGGGGAGGGTTTCAGAAATAATTAGAGAAAAGCAGTGTATCGTTTCTTAATGGTTATAGTATTAGAGTAACAAGCTGTATACAGGGCCTTTCGGTTTTACAGTTAGGTTTTGCTTCAACCTTCCAGCAGTCCAGGGTGCACAGAGCTGCCTGGATTTGTGGACACTATTGTTTACAGTGAGAGTGATGAAGGAAATGTAAAGATTGTGTGGTTGTTAGTATGAAGTAGGAATTTGCACTAGTACTATGTATCTTTGCTGCATTAGTATTTCACTTTAAGAATGAATGGGCCACGGGAAAGTTGTTTTTCACCAATCATGCCTTTTGGTCAAAGATTCTGTATGAGTTTCCTAGGGGTGCTGTAACAAATTACCAAAAACTTTGTAGATTAAAACAACAGAAATTTATTCTCTCTCAGTTCTGGAGGCTGGAAGTCTGAAATCAAGGTGTTAGCAGGGCCATGCACTCTCTGAAGGCTCTAGGAAGAATCCCTTCTTCTTTCTTCCTAGTTTTCGGTGGTTGCCAGCAGTCCTTGGCATTCCTAGGCTTGTGCCTGCATCATTTCGTCTGCCTCTCACCACCCAGCCTTCTTCACTCTGATGTCTCTGTGTTTTCACATGGCCTTCATCAGGCATTGGATTTAGGGTCCACACAAATCCAGCATGACCTCATTTTAACTTTGCGGATTCCATCTGCGAAGACCCTAGACCCTATTTCTAATAAGGCTGCATTCTGAGGTACCAGCTAGATATGAATTTGCAGGGGGATGGACAACGTGTTGTTCAACCCAACACAAACAATATCCTCCCTGTTTGTTCCAAAGCACACTTACTTCCTTTTACTGGTAACTTTTTACATCTGACATTAGCTTGCTGAACTAATTTATAGATTGCAGTTGCCTGGTCAGATAATTTGTCTTTAATCAGACTTTTATTACTTTGTTGTTATTGGAGATTATTCTAGTGAAAAAGGGAATAAGCTTAAAAAGTTGCTTGTCAACTACACACACACACACACACACACACACACACACACACACACACACACACACAGAAATTCGTTGTAAAGAAAATATACTGTAGTCTGGGTGTGATGGCTCATGCCTGTAATCCCAGCACTTTGGGAGACTGAGTCAGGATTGCTTGAGCCCAAGAGTTTGAGACTAGCTTGGGTAATATAGAGACCCCATCTCCACAAAAAGTTAAAAAATTAGCCAAGCATGGTGACGTGCATCTTAGTCTCAGCTACTCAGAAGGCTTGAGATGGGAGGATCACTTGAGCCTGGGAGGCTGCAATGAGCCAAGATTACACCACTGCGCTCTAGCCTGGGTGACACGGTGAGACCCTGTTTCAATCAGTCAGCACATACATACATATATACGTGTGTACACTATATAAGCAAGCTAATTTAAATCTTTTAACCAGAAACTAGGAAAAGAGTTGCAGGTTGCTCTAATAATTTAAGAGTTAGCAAAAAGAGTATTTTTGTGTAAAATAGAAGCCTTGAGGTTTTAAAGAGAATCTTTTCTTTTTTTCTTTTTCATTTTTTTTTTTTTGCGATGGAGCCTCGCTCTGTCCCCAGGCTGGAGTGCAGTGGTGCCATCTTCGCTCACTGCAAGCCCCGCCTCCTGGCTTCGCACCATTCTCCTGCCTCAGCCTCCCAAGTAGCTGGGACCACAGTCACCCGCCACCACGCCCCGCTAATTTTTTTTTTTTTTGTATTTTTAGTAGAGATGGGGTTTCACCGTGTTAGCCAGGATGGTCTCGATCTCCTGACCTCGTGATCCGCCTGCCTCAGCCTCCCAAAGTGCTGGGATTACAGGCATGAGCCACCACGCCCGGATCTTAATATGACTTGTAATGGGGATGGTGCTATAAACTGAACTTAAAGGAGAGATTCCTTATTGATATGATGGGAATCTCTCCTTTAAGTTCAGTTTATTTTCTTGACTTTTAATAGTCAAAATGTTTGTATCTGTAGAAATTTTATTGCTAACATTGGTATTTTCTAAAACAACATAAGTCAACTTAAAGGGTCCTTTTATAATAGTGTAATTCTATTTTTTGCACCTGAAGGAACAGGATGTTTTATAATGGAATCAGAAAGAAAATAGGGGATTTGATAGAAATAAGTGTTTTATAGTTAGTCTCTGAGAAATAATACCAGTTTTATAAAGTGGGATACCTATACTGCCCAAATAAATTCGTTTTTTTTTTAACTTTTAAGTTCATGGGTACATGTGCAGTATGTGCGGGTTACATAGGTAAACATGTGTCATGGGGTTTGTTATACAGATTATTTCATTGCCCCCAAAATTTGTTAACAATAAGTCCAGGCATTTTCCAGCTACCACTCTCCTTAAAGCTACCATACTCTCTATTTAGAAAATAGGGCAGTCATCGCTCTTGCTGGAGAAGTTATCATTCCTTTACTTGCACTAATTTTTCTATATAACCTGCAGATCTTTAAATCTTTCATCTAGGTGACACTCTTTCCTTACTAGTCAAATAAAATGACTCCAGTCCCCATCACATGTATTTTGGGAGGTCTACTGTCCTAAGTGTTTCTGAGGATTCCTGGGGAGGAAGCAGGCGGTGGAGAGTGTATGGGTGAAGGTATGTGCGAATAAGCTTATGACAGGCACTTTTCTGGTCTCTAGTCTTGGAATCCTGCCTCCCCATTTGATTCTTGATTACGCTGTGTAGTTCTCTCCACCCATGATTGCTGCCCCCTCTCGGATCTCATTGCCTCAAGCAGAGAAAATTTCCCTCTCCTTCATTTCTCAAAGCTTTATTTACCCAAAGCTGTTATTAGCACAGACTCTTCTGAAGACTGGGGAGTAAAGGAGGTGGAATTAGAACATAGTTCAAGTTCCTATGGGTCTGAAAACCTCCTCAGGCTTGTGGCTGTGACTGTAGTCAGCTTATCTCCCTCCACTCCCAACCTGAAACTACACCCACTTTCTCGGTACCCTAGGCCTTCACCTTTCTTTATCTCACTTTCCTATCCATGCCAGCTTTGTGGGTGTAGCAGTTAGTTATCCCTTTTCAACAACTAAAATACTTCCTTAAAAGAAAAGAATAATGCTCCCTGTGAGTAATGTTTTGTGGGTTTTTTGTTTGTTTGTTTGTTTTGTTTTTTCTGGGCAGCTAAAGAGATCAGCTCAGACTGCAGCTCACTTGCAAAATTTTAGAATTCTTCCCTTTTCCTTGCTATGTCTAGTATTCATCAATTGTGTGAGGCTTGTAGCGGCAGGCTATCACTGCCTCCCACCGCTGTTTCTCTCTTGGCTGTTCTCCCTGCATTCAGGTGTGGGATCCCAGATTGCAGAGGCCGTATCTGCCTTGTTCATTCATTTTATCCTCAATGTTTAGCACAGTGCTTGGCATGTGGTAGGGACCTAATAAATATTTGTGGGATGATTGAACAAAATGAAAGAACAACAGTTTTTAGGTAACTATCTTAATATATAGGGAAGGAAATCTTGACACTCCTATTAAACCTTGTCCTTTTCCACTGGAAACTCCATTCTAGGAAGCAGATAACCCCTGATCACACTTGCAGGACGTCTGGAATGAGGAGGCTTTTATCCTCGTGGTCCTGTAACTTCACTATTTGAAAACTAAGGTGAGGGACCTAGAGTTGGAATCAGGAAATAAAACCGTTTATCTCACAGACAATCCCTTGCAAGTGTAATCTTGCCCACTGCTGTCTGTTTTCTACTGCTTAGTCCAGTTTAGGTTTAGGTGATGCTAATCAAGATATGATTTAGATTGTACACCCTAGAGTGCAGACTTTGTTTTGGCATATTCTATTCTTAGCCAGTGTGCAAAAAATAAATAAATAAATACCCCAAAACAAAACTTTCTTACCTCAGATAATTAGGAAGTCAGGAATCTTTTCTCTACCAGCCTTCCTCATCCTGTGATTGGCATCTCCTTTTTAGTGGCTCATAGTTAATTAGTGGTCTCCGTGGATTGAATTTAAAGGTCCTTAGGTTTAGCTCTCTTCAGAATACTATTACATTGTTAAATTTGGCTCAAAAGGAAAGGAATAGCTATCCTCCTGTGAGACTCAGGGAAGTGAAGGAGCTTGCAATGAAGTGAAGCCACCTGGATGCAAGCCCGGGTCTGACTGACTTCACAGCCCATGTTGGTTACATGTGCTTCATGGCCCTGCCATCTGGCTTTCTAGAATCTTCAAGTGTGGAAGCTGAGATCTATTTGGATGTGTGCACGTGTGATGTGCTCTGGTATTGCTGATAAAGCTAAAAACACCTTAAAATTTAGAGGTGAAAAAGCACATTGGCCAAAGCAGTCAGTAGATAATTTCTTCTGAAAATGCAGACATCCCGCAAGAGATCTCCTGCCGTACCAAATGGATTTCAGAAGTAGGGGATGTCGGTTCACAGTAAGCCTGCCGGTGGGAGTGCCCTGAGGTCTGGTACCTTCAGAGCAGTCCATGCATTCATGTGAGTGAATTTGCATTAGTCCTCAAAGATTGTTTGTGAACACCTTCCAGCCTCCTTACTGCTACATCCCAGGTAACAGATTTAGGCAAAAGAATGACATAAGCTATTACTGCTTTAAAAAACAAACAAAACTTCCTGTTAGCCCTGCTCATGGAGACAGTCTGTCAGCTTTATCTTTGTAGTCTCATAAACTTCATGATTTTATAGAAATAAAAAGTCTCTTTCCTACATTTCTAGTATTTTAGCAAAGGCTTCCAACAAGCAGTCGTGTCCTAACACATTTGCTTCTTGTTGACTTTTTTTTTCCAGTTTTTTTTGTTCTGTTTTGTTTTGTTTTTTTTTTTTTAAAGAGACAGCATCTCACTCTGTTGCTCAGGCTGCAGTGCGGTGGCACAGCCATAGCTCACTGTAGCATGGAACTCCTAGGCTCAAGCAGTCCTCCCACCACAGTCCCTCAAGTAGCTGAGACTACAGTTGTACACCACCACACCCAGCTAATTAAAAAAAAATTGTTTTGGCTGGGCATGGTGGCTCACGTCTGTAATCCCAGCACTTTGGGAAGCTGAGGCAGGTGGATCACCTGAGGTTAGGAGTTCGAGACCAGCCTGGCCAACATGGTGAAACCCTGTCTCTACTAAAAATACAAAAATTAGCTGGGCATGGTGGCAAGTGCTTGTAATCCCAGCTACTCGGGAGGCTGAGCCAGGAGAATCACTTGAACCCGGGAGGCGGAGGTTGCAGTGAGCCAGGATCACGCCATTGAACTCCAGCCTGGGGACAAGAGCGAGACTTTGTCTGAGACGAAGTCTTGCTCTGTTGCCCAGGCTAGAGGGCAGTGATGCAATCTCGGCTCTTTGCAACCTCTGCCTCCTGGGTTCAAGCAATCTCCCAGCCTCAGCCTCCCTAGTAGTTGAGATTACAGGTGCCTTCCACCATGCCTGGCTAATTTTTGTAGTAGAGATGGAGTTTCGCCATGTTGGCGAGGCTGGTCTCGAACTCCTGACCTCAGGTGATCCTCCCACCTTAGACTCCCAAACTGCTGGGATTACAGGCATGAACCACCATGCCCGCACCCCGCCCCAACTCCCTGCCCTGCTATGTTGCTCAGCCGGGTCTCAAACCCCTAGCCTCAAGCAGTCCTTCCACTTCAGTCTTCCTTTAGTAGTTTTGGGAAGTCTTCAACTTCAGTAGTTTTGGCAAAACTAAAACTACTAAAAACCACCTTTCTCCTTTTTTTTTTGGTTGGAAGAAAGCAGTTCTTTACCTACTAACTTATCTATTTTGTGGTGTAATCTCTTCAAGGAAACAGAGTAAATTATTCTCATATCTGGATAGTCAGTGTATCGTTCTTTACACTTGAACACTTTGCCTCCTGTAAGTTTTCTTGCAATAAAGCCTGCTATGAAGAGAGGGAAGAAAGGAGAGGGGAATCATTAACAGTGAAACCAGCCATATTTCCCGTAAGCCTTTTATAAGTCATATTAGAGCAAGGTTGGATCTGAAATCCCCAAATTAGTCTGTGATAGAGACTAATAAAATGTCTCTTTTACTTTAGTCTGTAGAAGTTGGTTTATGTTACCTTAGTTTCTATACCCTCAAAACCTTCATCATAATATTTGTAAGAAGTTTTAAATTTTCTAGGCAATTAAGAAATTAAGAATGCTTTGAAAAGAAAAAATATATTGGCATTCTTAATTATATATGTGCTGAAACACATGAATTGTATTACACTCTGTTATCATGCACAAGCAACTGCTCAGTGATTTTTGGGTCACCCTCCTTTGTGAGTGTATTTTACCTGATTCGCATATAAAAGTCAGCTATTTTTAGCAAATCAGTTGCAGTAATGTATTATCTTTTCATTTATAGAGTAAAACACAAATAACTTTAAAATTATTAATTTGATTGCATTGAATCAAGGATATGTGGTCTAAGTATGGCAACTGCATATTTGGATTTTCTGGAATAGTCCCCATTTCAAATATTCTATTCCATTCTTCCACTTAAGTCACAAAATCTCCATTTATTTCTGCAACAAAAATTGAGTGCCTACTATGTGCTGGGCATAGCTCCAGACCCTGAAGATACAGCAGTAAATAAAACAAATATGGTTTCTCTCTTCATTTCGGTGGGAGAGACAAATAAAAACTCAAAGAGGTGTCTAATAGAATATCATATGTTAGATGGATATGTGATGGACTGTAAGGACTATGAAGAGAAATAAAGCAGGATAAGGGGATTTACATAGTGGTGGGCACATAAATAACAGAACATTTTTGTCAGGCCAGTATCCACTCTTCTCTGGCATCATAATCTTAGAAGAGTTCCAAAGGAGTAAAGGAGATAATGGATTTTAACAATTGGGCAAGATAAGGAATTAAATTGACATGAATGTATTAATTATCCACATAAAGTAGATGAAGGAGTGTTGGGAGGATTTTTACACACTCAGGTATCATCATCATGATGCCTCAGATTTTGGGGACCTGAAAGATTTTATTAACCTTCAGGAGTGAGGACTTAAAAGGCTTTCCCAGGGCTGGCGCGGTGGCTCACGCCTGTAATCCTAGCACTTTGGGAGGCTGAGGCGGGTGGATCATGAGGTCAGGAGATCGAGACCATCCTGGCCAACATGGTGAAACCCCGTCTCTACAAAAAATACAAAAATTAGCTGGGTATGGTGGCATGAGCCTGTAGTCCCAGCTAGTCAGGAGGCTGAGGCAGGAGAATCGCTTGAACCTGGAAGGCGGAGGTTGCAGTGAATTGAGGTGGCACCACTGCACTCCAGCCTGGGCAACAGAGCAAGACTCTGTCTCAAAAAAAAAAAAAAAAAAAAAAAGGCTTTCCCAAGGTGAGTGTTGGCTAAAAGAATTTTGGGTATGAGACATCAGATTAGGAGGAATGAGAAGCTGAGGTACCAAATAAGGGAGGAGAAAAACAGGATAAATTACACAGAAAGGCTATTATTTTCAGCACGGCTCACTGTATAGTATGTCTAAGAACATTCGAATTTTATATGTGGTTTTTCTGTGTCTGGGTTAGGCTACATTTCAGATTTCATCTATTTTACTAAGAAAAGAATACAGCATCCTCTGGTCCCTAGAGCGAATTTGTGAGTAAAGAGAAAAGAAAGGGTTGCTGGCAGGTGAAACCCTTCAAACCCTTCGTCCGGCTAGTGCTGAGAATGCTAATAGGTGCTCAAGATTTCTAAGGATATTTAACAATATTTTCTTATTTGTTTATGTTAGAGTTAAAAAGCCTAAAGAATAAGTGTCTAAAAGTGGTGGGTTTACTTTTTTTGTTGTTTATATTGAAGTTTATGAAGTTGAAGAATAAGTGAGTTTGTTTCAAGTACACAGTAATCTGATATAAATATAATTTTTTTTAACGATTTCACAGTGTCTATGAAGTGCTTTTACTGAATATTATTTACTTAAGTAGGCAACAACCAAAGACCAAACCAATTAAATAAAAACAAAAAACAAGCGGGTAGGGGAACCCCAAGAACCCAAATGCTGGATAGGCCATACTCCCCTTGTTTACTCTGCGTTAGTCTGCATACTAAACGGCCATCTCTTTTCTTTCCGCACTTTTGCTTTGAAGACCAGCACAGATGTAGCTGGTGAGGGGCAATTCACTAGAGTAGTTAAAATTCCTCCGGTTGTGGCAGTGTGTTAAGCTACAGTGTTATTATTGTAACTGGCTAATTATGTAATGTCAACAATTCAATGAGGTGGAGGATCAGTATTTATACAAGCGGGACTTGGAACACGAGTCCTCAGACTCTCCGGTTTGGGTGCATTTTTCTGTACAGGTTTTCAGTTTAACTCTTCTTTTCTTTTCTATACCTCTTTATTCTTCGTGGGTAATCCCTTTTCAAGTTGGGACATACTGTATTAGAAATTGGAAAGGAAAGAATCAGTTAAAGCCTGGGTTGCGTTTTGCTGCATTTGTTTCTTTAGCCTTTGCTGTCACGCAGATGGTCTGGCTTTGGCTGTTCAGCACTGGAACTACAAGTTTTTTCTTTTGTTTCTGCTTACGTCCCCATGCAGTGGATGTGGCCAAAGTTTATGCAGGTTTCTTTAGCATTACATCTAAGATGTTTGATATATTCACACCTTCCTCCAAGAAAGCTTGTTGCAGAATGGAAATCTAAGGGATTTGCGTTCACACCATCCACCATGATTACCAAGGCTTCTGGTATGACTTAGTGGGTGGAATATGTCTTAGGAAAAAAAATACATAATTCTGACAAGATGCTTTTTGAAAAGTCCAACCAGCTGTTTCAAGTAGAGCACTGCAAAATTTATTCAAAGTAAATTTTGTTTCACTTGGAAGCAAATGTAGTTCAAAGAATGAGCTAAAATAAACAGTGAAATTGAACTTACTCAAAGTTTGCGCAGTGTTGTCTTTGCGTGGGGCTCTCAGGAGCCTTCTTTTCTGTTTTCAAGCTGTGCACCATTCTACTGAAGTTATCCGTATATAACCTGAAGAGAGTGGGAAGTTCTTCAGAGAGGTATGATACAAGGCTATGTCTGTTGCTGGTATTGGTTACTATGTCTGGTATTGAACCTCAGACTGGCCAAAGGATGAGAATTTTGGATATTGGTTCATATGGTTGTATTAGTTTTCTCTTGCTGCTGTAACAGATTACAACAAATTCAATGGCTTAAAACTACAAAGTAATTTTATTAACTTATACTTTTGTAGGTCAGAAGTCTAACACAGGTCTCCCTGGGCCAAAATCAAGGTGTAGGCAGGGCTATGTTACTTTTTGGTGGCTCTAAGGACAAAATGTTTCCTTATTTACATTTTTATGTAGAAGAAATATCCTTTGGCTTGTGGTCCTCTCCTTTTGTCTTCAAAGCCAGCAAAGTTGCATCTCTGTGACCATTCTCCCTTAGTCATGTTACCCTCTGACTCTCAACCCATCTGGGATAGTTCCCTGATTTAATTGCCCTTGTGATTACAGTAAGCCCACCTGGATAAGCCAGGATAATCTTTCCATCTGTAAAATCCCTTTTGCCATGTAAGGCAACAGATTCATGGGGTTCAGGGATTGGGGTGTGGTCTACTTTGGGGGCCATTATTATGCCTAGCACACATGGGTAGGGTCTACTATGCAATGTATTTTTCCCTGGACTTCCAGCATTTGGCAGGAGTTTTACATTTGTATTAAGCTATCAGTGAAAAATAAGTAACTTGATATTACCTAAAACTCTTCCATACTACAAAGTAATTTTCAAGAGTACAACCCATTTTGGGGGAGAGCAGTTTGTGTTGATCTGGATCTAATGGATTGTGCATCTAAGAATGGGAAAAGACTGAGACATTAGGGAATAGCAAAGAAACACAAATTTATTGCATACATGGTCTAGGCCTGATTGGACTGGTTTTACATTCAGGAGAGAAAGGCCTAAATCCCATAAATTTTGGCACCTCAGATCCCAGTTTATACCTCATCTAACCTGTTTTGGGGCAGTGCATTTGCATTTTCATCACCTTCAGACTCCTCTTGCCCCCACAGTATGTCAGAACCAAAGTACCTGTGTTCCAGAGCCCTGTCCACCCAGGTCTGGGCCCAAGTCTTGGCTTTGCTGCTAACCAGCTGTGTGACTTTTGGGCATTGAATGTACTTCCTCGTCCTGATGTGAGGAAGCTGGGCTAAATAATTCTTAAGGTTTTTTAGCCCCAAATCCCTGTGATTCTGTGCCTCAAAACATAACAATGCTTATTTTTTTAAATAAGCATAGTTGCTTATTTTTTTAAATAAGCATAGTTGCTTATTTTTTTAAATAAGCATAGTTGCTTATTTAAAAAAAAATTTTTTTTTTTTGTTTATTTGTTTACTTTTTTGAGACAGAGTCTCACTCTGTCTCCCAGGCTGGAGCATGCTGGCGCAATCTCGGCTCACTGCAAACTCCACCTCCTGGGTTCAAGCGATTCTTCTGCCTCAGCCTCTTGAGTAGTTGGGGTTACAGGTGCCCACCACCATGCCCAGCTAATTTTTGTATTTTTAGTAGAGACAGGGTTTCACCATGTTGGCCAGGCTCGTCTCAAACTCCTCACCCCAAACGATCCACTCACCTCAGACTTCCAAAGGCATGAGCCACCGTGCCCAACCAAAAAAAGTTCTTTTTTACTCTCAAGGATCTTGCCTGAGAGAACCAAGGCCTTTAACTATCACATATATGAGATGCATATATATGTGTATGTATAACGTGAGCATATATATATATATTATATACATACACATATGTAAGGTTTTCATTCAAATATAAGGAAACTATATCTGTTACCTACATATAAGATCTTTCCTCTATCTTTTAACCTCTAAACTTTATGGAAACTTGTTTACATATATGTAAGCAACTTGAAAGCATTATAGATATTTAAACACATTTGAATGGTTTATTTTAAATTAGTAGATCAGACAGTTAACACATAGTTGAAATGTGCCTAATTATAAAACTAACATCTAACATAGTTCTTTTAGACTAATTCTTTCAGTGATGTGGACATACAGAATTGATTACGAATGTTCTTTCATGTGTATTTAATATATTTTTATTGCATTTACAAATTTATTGTGTGCTCATTAAAGTCAGTGTGGGGATAATTTCAATGCTTACTTTTATAATAGCTCTTTGTTTCTGTTCTTGCAAGTATTGGCCTTTGCTTATTTGTCTTCTTATTTAATTAGAGAATGAAAAATGTCCCCTTTGGTACAAGTGGGTGATTATAAAGATTCTCTAGTGTACAAGCTGAGGAAGTCTTTAGAAAAATGATCTATGTTTTCTGAAAAATTTGAAATTGAAGGGCAGAAAGATAAGCAAAACCATAATGACAGGTATTCTTCTGTTTACCAGGCAGCTGTGTGTGCAGGGTTGACACAGGATGCCATACCATCCCTTATTTGCTTTGTAATAATTGAATTACATATAAGTGCTGTACTTAAAGATGGCTTATTATCCATCAAATATAAGTAACCAACAGTGCTTTGAAGAGTTGTAGGCTGGGGGAGGTGGCTTACATCTGTAATCCCAGCACCAAAATCCCAGCCTCCTAAAGAATGCCAAGGTAGGAGGATCACTGGAGGCCAGGAGTTCAAGACCAACCCGGGCAACATAGCGAAACCCTGTCTTTACAACAACAACAACAACAACAACAGAAATTAACCAGGCACGGTAACATGCACCTTTAATCCTAGCTACCATGCCCAGCACAAGTGGTTTTAATCAAGGAACTATATAAATTGGCCAGGTACAGTGGCTCATGCCTGTATCCCAGCACTTTGGGAGGCTGAGGCGGGTGGATTGCCTGAGGCAGGGAGTTCGAGACCAGCCTAGCCAACATGTAAAACCCTGTCTCTACTAAAAATATGAAAAATTAGCCAGGCATGGTGGTGCATGCCTGTAATCTCAGCTACTTGGGAGGCTGAGGCAGGAGAATCGCTTGAACGTGGGAAACTGAGGTTGCAGTGAGCCAAGATTAGGCCAGTGCACTCCAACCTGGGTGACAGAGTGAGACTCTGTCTCAAAAAAAACCAAACAAAACCCTCAACATTTATGTTCATCTTAGTAAATATTAATATTGGTTTTGTTCAGTTAAAATTAATATTTGTTTTGTTCGGTTAAAATTGATCACCCATGAAAATATTCTAAAATCATATTTCTGTTATTGAACATGTAAGGTAGCTAGCATGACTTACAGGTTTGTGTCACTGGCAAATTAAATATGCCCTAATGTACCGTCATTCAAATTATTGATGAAAATGCTAGATATTCCAAAGGATGGACAGTCCCAGAGCTTGGGGGGCACATGACAGATCCATCCAGGCTGCTCCCCATTGACTTGTTTATTCCTTTCACCAATGTCTTAGGGATCTTGGGCTGCTAGGACAAAATACCTGACTGGGGAGTATAAACAACAGAGATTTATTTCTCACAGTTCTGGACGCTGGAAAGTCCAAGCTCAAGGAGCTGGCAGAATCTGTTCTTGGTGAAGGTTCTCATCCTGGCTTGCCACCTTCTTACTGTGTGCTCCATGGCCTTTCCTTGGTATGTGCATGTGGACAGAAAGGAAGAGAAAGGAATCTCTCTTGTGTCTTTTCTTACAAAGGCAGCAATCCCATCATGGGACCTCCACCCCATGACCTCATCCCCTGTGGTTCCACTCTCATACTAACCAAACCTAATTACCTTCCAAAGGTCCCACCTCCAAATACTCTCGCACTGGTTAGGGTTTCAATTTATGAATTGGGGGATGGGGGGAGAGGGAAGATACAAATAGTGCAAAATGCATTAAGTGTGTACAACTTGCCTCAGGTATGGATATAGGCCTGTGATTCTCTGTTGAACAAGACAGTTTTTTTAGAGCTTATGGTCTAGTGGTTTTGGGTGGGTCGGTGCCTAGTCATGATAAATGTCATGAAGAAAACGAGCAGGGTAGAAAGTTCAGGGTGAGGAAGTTGTGTTGGGTGCTGGTTGGGTTGAGGCTATTGTGGGATAATCAGGGAAGCCTTCTGAGATGACATTAGAGCAGAGACCTGAATGATGATTAGGAATAAGCCTGTAAAGAATATTCTAAGCAGAAGGAAAAGTAAGAGAAGGATCCTGAGGCAGGGAAGAGCCTGGAGTGGTCAAGAAGCAACAACAAGGCCAGTGTAGCAGGAGTAGGATGTAGGGATGGGAGAAGAATTGGAGAGGGAGCCAGAGAGGTTAGCCGGGACCAGATGATAGAAAGCCTTGGGAGCCACAGGAAGGAGTTTGTATTTCAAGTGGGAGGGAAAGCCGTTCTGAGGTTAACAGGCAAGACTGTGGATAATAGGTGCTAGGGTGTTAATAGTGGCAATACAGATGGTGTTGATCTGGCTTGGGCTGGTAGCAGTAGAAATTGTCAGAAGTGGACTGACTGGGGGTTGTTCTGAAGTCAAAGCTGGCAGACTTGCTGATGCATTAAGTGGATGTGCAATGTGAAAGAATGGGAACGGAGGCATCATGGTGAAGCCCAGTCTTTTGGCCCAAGCAACGAGGTGAACAGTGGGCTATTTACCAACATTGGGGAAAACTGGTAGAGGATCAGATTTTCATGGGGGTAGGTGGAAACCAAGAGGTCTGTTTTGGACACGTTGATTTGTGGATGCCTATTAGATATTCAACAGGAGATGTGAAGTAGGCCCTTGGTGCGCAGGGGAGAGGTTATAGCTGAGGTTAGATCTGGGAGACATCGTTGTGTAGATCCACAGTTCTTAGCGCTTCATATGAGAGTCACTAAGGAGCTTTTCAAAATCCGTATGCTTCTGACCCAGCCCCAGAGATTTTTATTTAATTGGTTTGGGGTGGGGCTTTAGAAAACTTTAAAAGAAGAAGAAAAAATGACTCCCTAGTTGATCCTAATATGCAGTCAGGGTTGAGAATGGCTTGTGTAAATGGTTTTAAAAGAAGGAAATAGATGAGATCATCTTGGGAGTAAATTTAGTTAGAAAAGAGCAAATGTCAGAAGATGGAGCAATTGAGAAAGAAAAACACCCAAAGGAGATTGGGAAGGAGATTGATACTGGATTCCCCTTTTACTCAAAGTGTGGCTCCCTGGGCAGCATCAGTATCACCTGAGACTGTTAGAAATGCAGTCTCTCTTGCCCCACCCAGAGGTACTGAATCAGACTATGTATGCATTTAACAGGAAGTCCAGGTGATTCGTGCCCTCATTAAAGCTTGAAAAGCACCAGTTTTGGCCTGGCATGATGGCTCACGCCAATAATCCCTGCACTTTGGGAGGCTGAGGCGGGAGGATTGCTTGAGTCTTAAGAATTTGAGAGCAGCCTAGGCAACATAGAGAGACCCTACCCCTACAAAACATACAAAAATTAGCCAGGTATGCTGGTACGTGCCTGTAGTCACAGCTTTCGAGGGGCTGAAGAGAGAGGATCACTTCAGCCCGGAGGTCGGGGCTGCAGTGAGCCATGATTGCGCCACTGCACTCTAGCCTGGGTGACAGAGTGAGACCCTGTCTCAAGAAAAGCATTGGTTTTTATTGTGTTATCAGGATGGGGCTGCTTCAGGTATGAATTCAGTCACCATATATATATATATATAACTCAGGAAATTACAATTGAAGAACTAGCATTAGCCGTATCCTTAAAGTCAGGTATTTGGTAGTGGTGGTGTGTGGGTAGGGTGATCTTATTTTTCTAAAAGACTTGGTGAGAAAGAGGGTAATAGCCATATTCTTTTAAACATTTAAAAATCTTGTCTCTGATTAATGAAGTTTTCATAACCAAGGTTCTAAGACATGGCCAACTTGCTACCCCTCCTCTTTAAAAGTAGCTTATTAAAAAAAAAGGTAGCTTGTAAATGGTTAGATAGTGGTTTCCACATATTTCACAAGCTCAGTAAGCTAACCCCTCTCAAATTAAGGGAAGGTATTTAGGCTTTTATTGTTTTCTCCAGAGCTAACATGTGTAACCCTCCAGACCCCAGGATCTACAGCGCCTCAGGATCACCAGCTCCTCAGACACAAACACTTAAGGTGAAATCATACTAATTGAATCACAAGGTCTTGCAGAAGCAGGGAGCATGATTGTAGTGACAATTTATATCTTGTTTTTCATTTCCTCAATCACTGGACTTACTGTGTTCTTTTGCTACTTTTTTTTTTTTAATCCCAGAAAAAACTTAGCACAGCAAGCTTGTATTTATTATAAGACATACAGTCTGAATAACAAGGGGGCACGGTGGGAGTTTTACTAATGTCATATTAATATTTTGTTAAGGTGCCTGAGTCAATTATTTGGTGCAACTGAATATCTTAATCAGGAATGGTCAGGAGCAAGTAGGAGTGGGATTAGGTGGATGAGCAGGGACAATAGTAAGGGTCCATCTAGATTTGCTTCTTTTCTTTTAAAAGTTGATCTACTATGTGGTTGGCGAAGAAAAATACAGAAGGCTTCAATTGCATTTATAATGCTTTATTTCTCAAGTCAGTTTGTGGATACAGTGGATTATCTTTTTTATTATTACTCCTCTTTGTATATCTTAATTATTTAGTAAACAAGATACTCTATTTATAGCAAGTGTATTAGAATTTCACACACTTTTTCTTACACATTTTAGTTTTAGAGTAATATCTGTTCATGATAGAAAATACATAACCTCAAAGAAGATTCTAAAATAGAGAGCAAGAGTGTCCCTCTCTCTTCTCTCCTACCCTAGTCCTGCTTTCCAGGGGTAAGTGCTATTACTGTTTTCTATTCTTTAGTTCTACTGGTTACCATTACATCCCACCTTCTTCGCTTGCTTTGTTCTAGCCGCGCTGGCAGCCAATTGGTGGGTCTTTCTCTCCCAGCCCAAATGTCAGTCAAATGTCAGTCTCCTCTGGCAACACCCTCACCCCTGCCAGCCAACAATACCTTAGCAACCATCTAGGCATCCCTCAATCTGATCAAGTTGACACCTAATGTGAACCATAATAGTTGACCCCTTGTCAACTTAGCCCCATACACATCTCCTTAAATCATACTTAATCTCCAAATAAAAACAATAAGGTCATAATTACACCTAACATAATACAACTATATTTTGTACAACTGAAAATGCCCTAATCCTTAACCTAAATGCTATTATATAAAGTTAATGACATTTAAATGCTGATATGAAGTCAATAAATCTCATGTTACATGATAAAGGAAGAAGAAAGGAAGTAAAACGAAGATATTTTCTGAGTACAGGTATATCCATGTACGGGCATATTCTTAAAATAAGGAGGAATTACTCATGATAGTACAGTCCTCCTTTCTGTAACTGGACACATGGTTTTAGCCAGTATTGATAACTGCCTTCTTCTACTACTCATTCTGTATTCCCTTTGCCTTCAGCAAGCAACTGAGCTGGTCGTGGCTTTTTACCTGGTGGGGTGACCCAAGCCTTCAATAATATGTTTTCAGCTCTTGCTTTCTTAGGCTCATACAGTATCAATTTCAGAGTGGAAAATTTAGAGTACTTCTACCTCCCACCTTCCTTTAAGCCTAACTCTTGGTTTTAGTTCAGTGTATTGTTATTTTGATATTGTCAGAGTTTATAACATTCTATTCTGTAGCTGTAATTAATTCCCCAAGTCCCATAAAAATAGCATTTGCAGTATTATGATTATATAAACATGATTCACTGCAGTGCGGATGGAGAAGAAGCAGATATAACCTTTCACCAGACCCTGCCCCACCTCTAGATCCAGTGGATCTTTTTAAAATTTCATTTTCTTCATCTCTTCTAGATCATATTGAGCCATCCACATTTCTTGTATCACATTTCATTTCTCTAGGAGTCTTCTGTGGTTTTTTGTGAGGGGAATATTGTAGGCTGGGAGATACTTCCTTGCATAATTGTTATAGTTTTCACTTGAAAGGCACAGGTAATAAAGTTTCTGAGATTTGGGGTGTTCAAAAATAATCAGTATTTTGTTCAGACACATATTTAACAGTTTAGCTGGCCAAGTTCTTCTAAATCATGCTCCCTTAGAAATGTAAAGCCTTTTTTCTGCTGTCTACTTTTCTCCTATATTACTATCAATAAGTCATATTCTACTTACATTCCACCTCTGACCCAAATCTTTTAGAATTTTTCACTTATCTTTGGAGTTTTGAATTGTAATGAGATGTGCCTGAATACGGTCTGTTTCCCCCTCATTAATCTGCTTAGCACTTAATGAGACTGTTCTGAGATCTTGGGTGTGTTAAAAGAGAAACAAACTCAACATAATTTAATTGAGCAAAGAACAATTCAGTTCCCCCAACCATAATAGGTTCAGAGCAACTCTGGTGCTGCTGTGTGGTCAGAGAGGATTCATGGACCGAAATCCTCTCTGATTCACAGAAAACAGAAGTGAGGTACAGAAACAACCTGATTGGTTACACCGTGGTGTTTGCCTCATTTGAACCCAGTTTGAACAATTGGCTGCCTGCGATTGGCCAGAACTCTGATTCCTGCAAGAGTAGGTTACAGTTTGTTTACAAATCTGGTTAGGTTATACTTCACTATGTGTGGAGAAACCTTTAGGTCAAACTTAAATATAAGGAAGTAGCTTTAGCCTAAAATTAAGTTTAAAGACAAGTGTTTTTAGTTCAGGAAAATTTCCTTCAATTACTGTATTTATTTTACAGTTCTCCTTATTGTCACTTTCTTCTTTGTAACACTCACTTTAGATAAATATTAGATCTTTTTAGAGCTGTTTTCCGTATCTCTGAACCCTTGTGTCATTTTTCAGCTCTTCTTTTCCAGATGAGACACATGCTCTGATGGTAAAAGTTGTATTTCAGACAGATCAGACAGATTAGATCAGACAGGTGATCTGATGATAAAAGTTGTATTTCAGGAAGATGAATCTGGCAGATCTATATAGGATGGAATGAAGGAAGAAGTAGCAGAAAAGTAGTCATCTAATGAGCTGATTCTTTGCTGTGTGTTGCGCCCCCAGGATATGAAGATGAATGAGCTCCAGCCCTGCCCTCACATAGCTCACAGCCTGGTGAACATGTAAAATTAGTTGCTTTGCCTAAAAAAAATTTAGTTAAACAATTTTCAAAAAGCATATGTTTTAATATATTGGCAAGATGTTTAAAAATAGTAATTTAGTCTGTTGCCATGACCAAAAGTATTCCGATTATTAATTTTCTCATCTTAAATTTTTCGTTAGTAGGAATACAGCTAGCATGATCTGTTACCTTCTTATGCAGTATACACGAAATGCTTAACAAAAGTAGTCTCAGGTGCACGCATGGGCTCTTGCTTGATTTTCTTTGCTATTTATTTAATCACCTAGAAACAGAAAAAAATGTGTCATTTTAATATAAATGGTTCATTTTGGTTGAAAACACCTGTAATTCATATTCTACTATTTATTTATTTAGAACAAAATAACATTTGGGTCTGGGCTTGCTGCAACTGGCTTAGTAAACCATTTCCCTTTAAGTTGCTCTCATTTCTTATTTTTGGTGATCAGTATATTTGAATTGGAAGACTTTTTTTTTTTTTAAGGAAGCCTCAATAAAACTGCCCATTAATCTATCTATTGATAAAATTGTTCATTGCAAATGGATATTACTTTTTCCAGTAGCATTTCTTGCACAGTCGAATAATGGAGAAATTAGAGCATAAAGGCAATTAGGATCTTCTAGTAACACTCATTTTAGTACCACAGAATATTTACAAAGTATTTTTAAAGCCTCATTTCCAATGGACCGAGCTATTCAGGAGGCTACGACAGGAGGATTGCTTGAGCCCAGGAGGTCGAGGCTTCAGTGAGCCCTGATCACACCACTGCATTCCAGCCTGGTTGACAGAGTAAGACCCTGTCTCAAAAGAAAAAGTGAAAAATAACAGTAAATTTTGATTAAATAAAAAATTTTTAAGTGGTCCAAAGATCTTCCTTCCTTCTCTCACCTTTAAACAAAACCAGTTTTCCATGGATGTCTGAGTTTTTATTTTTTTATTTTTTTTTATTTTTTGAAACAGTGTCTTGCTGTGTTGCCCAGGCTGGAGTGCAGTGGTGCAGTCTCAGCTCACTGCAACCTCCGCCTCCTGGGTTCAAGTGATTGTCCTGCCTCAGCCTCCCAAGTAGCTGGGACTACAGGTATGCACCACCACACCTGGCTAACTTTTTAATTTTTAGTAGAGACAGGGTTTTGCCATGTTGGCCAGGCTGGTCTTGAACTCCTGACCTCATATGATCCGCCTGCCTCAGCCTCCCAAAGTGCTGGGATTACAGGTGTGAGCTGCTGCACCCAGTCTCTTGTTATTTTTTTAATGAAAAGACTTAATTATGTTTTAAAGACTTTGAGCCTACCCTATAGGGTTCACAGGATTGGTTCTATATCCTTGTAATAAGTTTATTTCAAAGTAAGAAGATATTTTCCTGAAGTAATTGTTTAATCCTTACTATATAAACTTCACATTTAATTGACTAGAAGAATGCTCCTTTGAAGAACAGTAACAGTAATATGCACATATTATGTATTACTCTCAACAGCAAAAATAAGAAGATAAAAGGCAGCTTGGTTTGACCACAGCTGAGCTTGTTTCTGCTTTTCCTAATGACATTGTAGAAGGTCATGACAGACTTTGGAGTATTGAAGCTGGCTTGATTTGATTTCTGTAGGCGAATTCATATTCTCATTTCATTTTCTTTCCAAATGTCTCCTCCCTGCTCACTCTCTCATACCTCATCACTATCATTATTATTGAGATTCCACCCCTAAGAAACAAAGGACAAAATCATCAAGAATAAACTTTTTCTCTCAGATGATTTGATTGCCAAAGAAATCATAGATTACTAGAGATCATCAGTCATAGTCTGTCCCTTTGCCTTTGGGCAGAACCAAACGTGAGACTGTTCATTTTTTCAAAGTCTCCAGTGAAAGATATCATAATCCACTGCAATATTTAACAACCCTCTCTGTCAGGAAATTCCTTTATCCAACTTAAATAATGCATGCATGAGTTTAAGCCTGTATTTTTTTATTCAGCGAGTTCCAATCAGACTTACTCTCTTTGTGTAAGACCTTTTCATGGTATTTGAAGACTTATTCTAGAATAATACTGCTGTACTAATACATCTCAGTTTCTACAGCTTTTCTGTCAATATTTTCCAACACTTTTATCATCTTTATCTCTCTCTACTGAATATGCCAAACTTCTCTGTTCCTTTTGTTTATGGGAT
Source organism: Homo sapiens (assembly GCF_000001405.40). Classification (NCBI taxonomy): domain Eukaryota; kingdom Metazoa; phylum Chordata; class Mammalia; order Primates; family Hominidae; genus Homo; species Homo sapiens. The sequence goes on along the minus strand of NC_000004.12, from coordinate 169,168,385 downwards.
TCAGAATGTATCCTGGACATCTAGTGAGAGACTGACTGGTGCTAATAAGGTCAGATTCTAGGAGTGACAGTACATTATGTACAATCATTTCTGTTCTGTAATTTCCTTTTGGAAAAGTAGACATCTTTATGTGCATTAATCTCCATACCTCTGAATTTCAGATTTCTTTTCTCATTTTGCCATTCTCTTGAAAGCCAGTGTGGCTTGTTACTCATTGTGATACTTTTGCTTTTGTTTTTGTTTTTAGAGGTGAGGTCTCACTCTGTTGCCCAGGCTGGACTGCAGTGACACAATCATAGCTCATTGCAACCTGGAGTTCCTGGGCTCAAGTGATCCTTCTACCTTAGCCTCCTGAGTAGCTGGGACTATAGGCCTGTCCCACCATGCCCAGCTAATTTATTTTTAATTTTATTTAGAGACAGGGACTCACTATTTTGTCTAGGCTGATCTTGAACTCCCAGCCTCAAGATATCCTACCACCTTGGCCTTCCAGTGTTACCTTAATATCCTTTGGTATTGAGGTAAAATTTGTATGTGTGAATTACAGTTCTTAAGTGTACGATCTAGTAGGTTTTGATACCTTTCTACACCAGGATAACTAACACCTCCGTCAAGATACAGAATATATTTATAGTCTCAGAAATTTCCCTCACACCCTCTTTCACTCATTTGCCCACCTCCTATGGGCAACTACTGTGATTTTTACCACAAGAGATTCGTTTCACCTGTTTTTGAATATTTTATAAATGTAATCATATAGTATTTTTTTTTACTCACATGTGTCAGTAATTCATTTTTTGAAATAGTTAAACAGGATTCCATTTATTCCCATGTTGATGGACATCTGGATTGTTTTCAGTGTTTGGTATTATAAATAGTGCTGTGATGTGCATTTTTGTACAAATCTGGGTGTGGATGTATGTTTTCGTTTATCTTGGGTTAATACCTAAGAGGGGTAGATTGAAGAGTAAATGTACATATAACTTTATAAGAATTTTTCAATCAGTATTAGACCCCCACTAGCAATCTATGTAAATTCTAGTTGCTCCACATTTTTTAGAAAATTTTCTGTTGTCAGTCTTTAAATTTTAATCATTCTAATGAACGCATTATAATATATCATTTTGGTTTTATTTTGCAGTTGCCTGATGGTGTTGAGTGCCCTTCCATGGCTATACAAACATCTTCTTTTCAAGATGTGTATTCACATCTTTTGCTTGTTTTTATTTTTTAATGTTATCAGTTACTTAATTAGGTTCTTAAGAAATTTAGAGCACCACTTTGTGAGGTTAAATTTTATTTGTCAGGGCAAACACAGATTATAGGTAGCCCTGGAGCTGAGGAATGGCTTTGATTTTTGTTAAAATTTGAGTCCACAGCTTTCTGATCAACCTTGCACTGGTCATTTCTCTTTTTCCGTGTCGAAGATATCACCTTCTTGATATCTGGGCTTCTGCAGCTGCCTCTTCTTGAAGTAAGCAACAGTAAGATGTTTTGAGATTTTTACATTGCAGATACCAATTTTGGTTGAGGTGGCAATGACAAATTTCTGGTGTGTTCTTCTAGAGGAACTCAATTGAGGACCAGAGGTCCAGTCAAAGTAACGAGCCGGTAGCCAGCTGCTTCGGGAAAACCATTCTCTTGCCTCTGTGACACCTAGAGAGGATGATCAGAATGGTCCCTGGGGTGATGCTGGCTCGCAGTTTGTCACATGCTGACTGAAGGTTTTTGCTGTGGCTCAGCAGCTTTTGAGACACATCTTCAGTAGGATAATATCTAGGCATTTTGTGAAGTTTAACCACCTAGGTTACCACCATTCTTCTCACCACCAACTGGTTTTGTAACAGTTGCAAGAACTTTCTCCTTTTTCTTTTCAACCTTGGATTTATTGGCTGAGTACTTCCTCTTGTACATGGCACTTCTGGAATATATAGCAGATGAGGAATATCTGCCAATTCCTCTAATAAGGATAGGATTTTGGCCACAGTGGAGCTTCCCCTTCTTGGGGCTTTTAGCCTTGAAGTTACCCGTTTTCACCTTACCACCAGCATCAGCCTTCGTGGCTTCGGGTTCCTTCTCTTTAGTATCCAGCTTCTCAATTTTTTCACCACCATCTGGCAAGATGGGAAAGAACTTTTGCCTGTTTTTAAATCAAATTGTTGGTTAGTAGGAGTCATTTTAATTCTGGATTTGAGTCCTTTATTATATATATATATATTTCCCAATCTGTGGTTTACATTTTTATTTTCTTCATGTGTCTTTTGTTGTTGAACCTAATTTTTCAATTTCAATACAGTCAAATTTGTCAACTTATGGTTAATTTAGGCTTTTTTCCCCTCCCTACACATCACTAAGGTAATTTCTTGTTTCCCCTATAAAACTTACAGTTTTAGCTTTTACATTTGAGTCTGGGATTCATCTTAAATTAATTTTTGTGTATAGTGTGAGGTAGGGGCTCAAGATTCATCCCCATCTATTCCCCATGGGCTTCTAATTGTTCTGAAATCATCTTTTGAAAAGACTTTATTTTTCTCAGTTGAATTGCCTTGACGCTTTTGTCTAGTTGTTTATATGTGTGTAGGTTTATTTCAATATTGCTTTAATTCTGAAACTATGAACTATCTTTTACATTTAACCTTATGTTTAAATTATATGAGCATCCTCTCTCCAAGGTGTTAATGTAAACACTGGACAAAACTAAAAATAGGCAATTGAATTTCACTGAGGCCTTACCTGACTCCCCCCCCCGCCTTTTTTTCTCTGAGACAGAGTCTTGCTCTGTCACCTAGGCTGGAGTGCAGTGGCACAATATTGGACTACAGGCACGTGCCACCATACCTTGCTAGTTTTTTGTTTTTTTAGTTTTTTAAGAGATGGGGTTTCACCAGATCACCCAGACTAGTTGTGAACCCCTGGCTTCAATTGATCTGCCTGCCTTAGCCTCCCAAAGTGCTGGGTTTGCAGGCATGAGCCACTGCATGTGGCTGTTACCCAACCTCTTTAATACTAAAACATGTTCTCAACACACCCCTCTCCCTTTGTGTTTCTGAATCTCCCTACTTTCCTGGATTTCTGTAGGATTAGATAAGATGCAAGCAGAATTCCTGGTACATGATCATTCCTCCCTATTTAGCTCTACACCCCAGGGTCAGGTTGGAGGCCTAGGGCAGGGCAGTGGCAAGAGAAGGGCAGATTCTTTGCCAGGAATCTGTTTTTCAAATAGGTAGAAACTTGACCTTTTCCCAGGAAATAGTCCCCATCCTGTGATGAGTCTTCAAGATGGTAACTCAAGTTACTGCAGAGAATCTTCCCAGTAAATATTCCTGCTCTCTGCAAAATACTATTGTAATTATTAAACATGTGATGAAACAGAAAACTAATATTCAAGGCAATGAGTGACACAAACTTCTTGCATTTTACTTGAGTGACTGCATTCTCAATAGCTATCTTCACTTGGAGAAATTCATAAAATTTGTTTTCTTTAATGATTTATCTGTCAGTTGGGTACTAAGGCCATCCAAGAGAAATGCCATATCAACTGCATGACTGTTTCCTCCTAACCACCAAATGAGTTTATAAGGAAAATATTTATTTGCTGTAGTTTGCTGCATAATTTGTTTCACATTTTTCAAATGCCAGCCATTTGCTTAGTATAAGACACTCAACTGCCCACTTCCAGAACGGACTATGTTTTAGTTCCAGTGTCTAGAACACAGTGAAGTTGATACCAATTTGCAGTGCCTGCTCATGTTTCCCCAGGTTTTTCTGTAGCACCTTAGCATGCCCCAGGTTTCCCAGCAGCCTAGGAAATGGTAATAAAAATGTCTCCTTCAGTATTTCTGTACCTCCCATGTCTCAGAATCAAGTGCCCACCACCTGCTGTGTACTTGGGAGGACAGTTTCAAAAAGATGGATTAGCAGTCTACCATTCATGAGGAGTTCCCAGAGACACATAAATATGTGTTTGTATATATTTTGCAATTTGTGTAAAACTGTTGAGCCTGTCAGTAGAATCATCTTTTTAGTTGCTTTTCCTTTAGATGTGTTCTTTTTCCACTTAACCTATCCACACCTTACCACTCAGTCCACTAGAGATAACTTTTGTTCTTTCATTAATTTATTCAGCAAGAAGTTTTTCACAGACACTGAGGTAGGTACTCATGATACAAAGATGCATAACACATAGTCCCAGGTCTCCAGGAGGTTACAGTCTAGCAGGAAGAAATAGGTTATAAACTGAGTAAGATAAGGGCCATGATAACAGTATTCATAAGGCACTCTAGGTGTACATAAAAAGAGCAGCACCTTCTCTAGACTTGGGTAGAGGAAGGTTGGGAGAAGCTTCCCCAAGGAGGCAATGCCTGGGCTGGGTCCTGATGGACAAGTAGTGGCTGTCACATCTGGGAAATAGAGACTGTCCTATTGACCCACACAAGAATCAGATCATTGATCTTGGCCTTATTTACACCTGATTCCAAACAACAAAAGCAGTCATCCTAGACAGACATAAAAATCCAAGTGAAAGAAATGCAGCATAATTATCAGGCACGTGATACATATACAAGGTGGGGAGGTGGAGGGAGAAATGGACTGTTCTCGATGAATTTTGGTGGAGGAGAGATGGCATGTATGAAGTTGGAGGTGATGACAGCAGACTGGTTTGCTTGCTGAGGGTGGAAAATATGAGGTGGAACAGACAATCCAAATGGAGGGCCATAAAACTCATGATTTAGACCATTAATGTGATTTAAGAGGTAATTGGGAACTGTCTCCAGATTGTAAAGACATAGGTGATGTGGACAAAACCGTGTTTCAGGAATTATCCTTGTTACTGTGGTTATAGTTTGCTGGTTTTCGTCCTACCTCTCTAGTTTCCTGTATCTCTCTTTTTTCTGCCTCCTAAATATAGGTATTTACTAAGCAATGCCCCTTAGCCCACTTTTCCTGCAACATTGCCTTTTAAACATGCTCCTGAGTGCTGCCTCAGGTTCTCCTGTACTTGTAGGAGAGGAAAATCCAGGAGGTGGGACAAATGTATTTCAGTTTGTTTTCTGTATTTTAGTTTCTAGAAAAAAACATTTAATGAAGAGTCTAATAGCATTTTTTCGTTTTGAAATTTGGAAAACTGTTGTTCATTTTTTTTTTTTTCTGGGTGTTTGAATATACTCTTGACTTCAGCTAAATTCATTATGCAAATGATTAATGATGAGAGTACAGCCCAGGGAAATTGGTAAGAAAGCTACTTTATCTACTTTCCTTTATCTCTAGTTTGTTTTTTTTTTTCTCTCCCTCTACCTTGCCCCCGAAACCATTAATGCCCCCCGCAAAACAGCAAGGCTGCTGGAGACTATAATTGACTGATTGCTGTTTGGTCAAGAGCTGAGTTAGACACTCCATTAGCGATGGTGGATTGGATTGCAGGAGCTGGGTAAGGAGAGGATGGAGGGTGTGGAGCCCACAGATGAGCGTGAGCAGGGCAGCAGACAGCACAGAGTGTGTGCTGAGGAGCCACCAAGCGCTAAAAAAGCCCAAAGGCTGGCCTTGGTCAGCCCACATTCTTGAGCTGGTATGGAACTGGAACCAGGTCTGGAATAAGGAGGGGGGCTGGCTGGCTGCAGAGTCTACTTCTGGAGAAAGCTGGAGAAAATGAGCATGCAAGAAAAGGGGACACTGGGATAGTAGAATAAAGGCAAAAAGAAGACATGTGAATGAAGAAACAACGTTTTGTCTTAATTTCTGTTTATTTGCAGCTGCCATCCTCAAAGTGCTGGTAGTTTTGATTAAAGTTAGTATGATTAGAAAATTTTATGTAGTGAATTTGGGGTAGGTGGGAGGTAGAAGATTAAGAAAATGATTGTCAGATAAAAATTCCCCAGCACAGTGCTTTCCAGAAATAAATGTTAAAGGAAAGAACAAATGAAAGATGGACTATTGTGGAATTATGGGATTCTCAGTCCCTTCTGATGTTACTTTGGAAAAATAAAACCTTTAATATTCGTCTTGGCCGTCATTGAAGTTGAAACATTAGTAGTGATGGCCAAATCATATTTGAGTGATTATCTGATGTAGATATCTTGAGAACAATACTTAGGAGTTATTAACTGTTAAAGAATCAATATTTTCATGAAATACTGTTATTATATCTTGACAGATATTTTACTTTGTAGGGAAAAGCCAACATGTTTTTTGTTGTACAAAAGACATTCTATTTTTTTTTACTTTTTTTTCTGAGACGGAGTCTCACTCTATTGCCCAGGCTGGAGTGCAGTGGCGCCATCTTGGCTCACTGCAACCTCTGCCTACTGCCTCAGCCTCGCAAGTAGTTGGGACTGTAGGCGCACCACCACCGTGCTAATTTTTGTACTTTTTATAGAGATGAGTTTTGCCATGTCATCCAGGCTGGTCTTGAACTCCCTAGACTTAAGTGATCCGCCTGTCTCAGCCTCCCAAAGTGCTGGGATTACAGGTGTGAGCTACCGTGCCTGACCCAAAAGATATTTTTAAAAAATTGTTTCTTCCACCCATTTTTCTACTTCTTACTCTGTGTGGTACTTTCTATTACTATGATTTCTTTGTGCCTCAGTTCTTTCTGGAAAGTTTCTGAAAGTCAAGTTAAAATCAGCCAGCATTGATGCCAATTTAGATATAACTGAGTTATTAAATTATACACATTTTATAGCTGTTCCCACTACAAGAGTGTCTTCTAGATTTTCTTTTTAGGAGGTCACTGAATCTTTTTTACTTTATGGAGCAGTAAGAAATGCATGAAGGAATTTGAATTTAGAGAGGCTGTCTTGCACGTACATCTGGGCATTGGCATTTAGAGTCTATAAAATAAATTGGCAGTGAATGTTTTATTTACCTGTTAGAATCTCAGCTAGTTCATCAAGTAGCATTTTGCCAGATGTATTGGAATACCGCTGATGGTATGGAAATGGAAGTCGAAAGCATTTAATCAAAAATATTTATAGGCAGATCACATGAGGATTTTAATATCTTAAAAGACAACCTGTATGTATGATTTGGAAACAAAAATTATTTGAAATGTAAAGCTGGCCCACTATCATACTTATTTTTTTAAATGAACAATATAGTAGATGTTTATCAAAATGTTTTTAGATGCAGAATTACTGTAACAGTTTGCCTGTCTAAATTGCCAAGCTTTTTGATAAAGCTGGCAGTGTGAATGACAAGCCGCAAACCCAAGGTTAGACTGCAGAGTCGGTTTCTCTTTGGCTTTCTCTCCTTTTAAGCATCCCTTTCATGTGTAGCCAAGTGAAAGTCTCCAAGTGAAATGTAAGCTCTGTGGATCCTTGGGGGCCTTGGCCTGATGAGAGGATACAGAAGAAAAGCAGCAGTTTGGAAAGCCTGCAGAAGGCTTGGAGGGCAGAGGGCCCAGTGATGACATGACTCTCAGACCTTTCGAAGGAGATGAATGAGAGGGCAGTGCCTCCATGGGCTCCAGACATATTTTATCCACAGAGTAGTCCTAGGCTATCAAACCAATTGTTTTGGCTTTATCTTTCAGATGTTGCAAAAGGAAAATGTGTTCTTTTATTGCTTTTCCAAGTCGTTTAACCGTTTATCCTTAATCATCTGCAGTCTGTGTGGGAATAAGTCTTTCAAAGATCACTGAACTTTGCTTGATTTAAAATCAGAGTAGAATTCATTTTATTTAATGTGGGAAGCCTTCTTTTTAGAAACTTGACCCAAACTGGCTTTCTAGCCTCATAGAATTTAATTGAAAAAGAATACCATAGAAAAACACAGCCAGATGCACAAATGTTTGTTCATGGGTTAGATTGTCATAAGCTTTATGATTCTTTGTGGTTATTGATCATTGAAACAATTTTAGCAGTCAAGACTTAGCAAGTTGGGGTGAATTAATGAATTTTCAGTTGCATCACGGAAATGTAACCCTAGGCTAACCATAATGTATATCACTGTTATCATAGTAAGCTTTCTCCTTGCCACTGGTCTATTTAGAATCCTTGATGATTTTAGGAACATGTAATAGATTTGTTTTGTGGAAAAGTTAATAAGTCCATTAGGCCACTGGTGTGTGGAAGTGATCTGTAAAGAAATAAATTCCTTCAGTTCCCACATCAGCATATCACAAAAAACCATATTGTGGGTCATTTGGAATTTTACAGATCTCTTCAAGGAGCAGTTCAGAATGGTTTCTAAGAGTGCTAAATCTGTATCTTGGTGCATGGGTTTGGCTGGCATGGATTTGGACAGAGTGGGCCAAACAGAGCTAATTGAGGTAGGGAAAAAAACAGGCCATAATGGTGAATAGAGTTATTTGTCACCGAGTTTGTAATGGGATTTTCAATTAATTCATGCAGGCTTCCAATGCCTTACATTAGCCCTGTCAAGATGAACTACAGCCACATCTAAAATGCCATCCCCTATTAAACGGTACATGTCAGTGAATTTGTAATTTCTTCTGTTCAACCAGAAGATGAATGGATTCTACTCAGAAAACAAATGTGTGCTTCAGAAATGCACATTTCAAAATCCTGAACACTTCCTAGGAGGAACATTCTTTGCATTGTTATACAGTGAATATGTATTAAAAATGTAATTGCTATGTGAATTCATCTAAAAGGGAAAGCATCCAGCTGTGGAGAGACAAATGCATTGTCAGGTGCCCCATTTCACTGGTAAAGAGGCTTTTTACACTGGGTAATGATGACGATGATGACAATGATGATGGTTCACACATGTAGCATGTACTGCCTGCTGGGTCATTTAAGGTGTGGCTTATATATATGAATTCACTAAATCCTCACAACAGCCCAAATGAAGAAAGAGGCACAGCGAGTTAACCTGCCCCAAATCACAGAGCTAGTAAATGGGATTCACACCCTGCAATCTGGCTCTGGAGTTTGTGCTTCCAGCCAGTACCCTATACTGCCTGATCAGAGTCTCTTTAGCTATTGTACAAGAGATTTAGTATAGTACTTGCCAGTTCTCTCTCTTTCTCTCTCTCTATCTCTCTCTCTCTGTCGATTGCTGTGTTTTACTATTATTTCCTCAAACCTATTTTTGGAAATGTTGTTAAGCTGTGATAACTAGCCTTGAAGAAATACATAATATAGTGGAGAATATAATGAGGCATCTGTGAGGGTAGAGAAAAATTAGAATTCTTCTTTCCCCAGAGTTGGACACTAATGTAATGTGACCAGAGTACACAGCGTTGTGAATGACCAGAGTTCTTGGTGGGCATTTCCTTTCTGGGCACAGCAGAATTGCTTACAAGATTAGGTCAAGGCAGAGTAGCAGAAGTGACGCCATTGGAGGCCAGATCTTAAGACAGAGTCTGAAAGTCAGAGGTCACAGGAGGGTGTCATTACTCTGGAAGGCTCAACCCCTGTCTTCCCAGGACATTGGCCTCTCAGGGAAGTTCTAATTAACCAACTACAACATCACATGGACTAAGCCAAGGCAAGATGATTGCCAATAGCATTTTGAGAGCAATAATTAATATTCCTAAACAAATGTTTAGCAAAACAAATTTGGCTTATAGGTAGTCCAGACTCTAAGTCTCTAAGTAGAAACCAAACTAATTTTTGAAAATTGTGTTATGAAGTTCTGTTGCCATCAAGGGTATAAAACTTTGATCCACTTTTTACAGGTCGGGGGGCAGACAATGATATAAGTAATGCTAACTATATTGCTCTACTTCATTGGAAATATTAAACTTAAAAAATATTCAACTAGTTGAGGCCTGTGCTTTGCACATAGCTCTCTGCCTGCCTGCCCACTTCACGTCCATTTTCCACACTACTGCCAGACTGATCTGTCCGGCACATAGGACCTAAGTCTGTTTGTGCATTAAACATGGAAATGACTTACCATTACCAGAAGAACGCAGCAATAAAAACTCTTTCATATGTTATACAAGACCCTCAATAAACTGGCCTCTGCCTACCTCTCCTTTATGTTCCGTAATTCTTATCCAGGAATACTGCATTCTTTATGCTCCCCAGTCCCGCTGCACATGTGACTTCTTACCTCCAGGTCTTTGCTGGTGCTGACCCCTCTGCCTGGAATGCCCTTACTGTTCTCTTTCATTCATTCACTCCAACCTTGACAACTAATTCCTGTGCATCCTTTAAGACTTGGCTCATGTGTCACTTCCTCCAGGAAGTGTTTCATTTTCCTACTCACCAAACACGAGAGACCTATGTTTTTTGTCCCCATAAATGGTGTGCATATCTTTATCATTACATTTATTACACTGTATTGTAGTTATTACTAATATCCTTTAAGAAAAGAACTGTCTTATTCTTCTTTAAGTCATCAGCACTTGCACATTGCGTGGTAAAAAGTAAAAGCTTGCACTGGGTGCGATGGCTCATGCCTATAATCCCAGCACTTTGGGAGGCCAAGGTGGGTGGATCATTTGAGGTCAGGAGTTTGAGACCAGCCTGGCCAACATGGCGAGACCCCATTTTGTAAAAATACAAAAATGAGCCAGACATAGTGGTGCTTGCCTGCAATCCCAGCTACTTGGGAGGCTGAAGCGTTAAAATCACTCAACCCAGGAGGCAGAGGTTGCAGTGAGCCGAGATTGCACCACTGCACTCCAGCCTGGGCAACAGAGCAAGACTCCGTCTTAAAAAAAAAAAAGAAAAAAAAAGTAAAAGCTTGATAAATGTTTTCTGGAAGAGTGAATAAATAAATAAAGACTCCAAAAGCAGGAGCCCTGTAATCTTGTTCAGGGAATTATTATAGACATGTTGGATTTGCCACTTATCTCCTGAATCAACGATATGCAACAGCGCTCAGAGAGGCCAAAGATCTTAAAGTGACAACTGATGCTCAAGATTGGGCACCCCCAATGCCGTTGAAAAGTATCATATTAATCAGTTGATGATTAAATTGCACTGGGGTTTATGTACACAATTTTAAACTTGTCATTTAAAACAGTAATGCAATGCAGGAACATTAAATTCCTCATCTCTTAGCTTATCAGCCTAACAATGTGCTCTCTTCCAGGAAAGAGCAAAGTTGAATGATCTTAGGCTGTAAAAGACCACGTGTCTATACACTTACAGATTATAAACTTGGGGATGGCAGGTACTGTGACTGTTCACTCACTGCTGTATCCAGGAGTAGACCCTCATTAAATACTCATTGAGCTCATGAAAGAGTAAGACCTACTGCCCACATTAAAAGCAATATCAGGAAGAGATTTGCCTAAAAGCCGAACTCTGATTTTTATCAACCAAGCTTAAAAGCAGTTTAGTAAATTAATAAATTTGGTTTAAATTTTTCCCCTCAGTATCTATCATTTCTCCTCAGTGTTTATCATTTATCCTGATGAATAAAGTAGTTAATGTAGGAAGTTAAGCTTGTTTTTTATGAGTTCTTGAGAGGCAGACCTGGCAGTCATGCTTTCATATACTGATAACCTCAAAGAAAGAAGGCAAAACACCCACCAAGTTAAACTTAAGAATAGAAGCCTAAATCATGGCTGGTGCATGGGTGTCGTACTGTTCTTATGTCACTATGGACAATTGTTTTGTGTTTTCTATTTATTGGTAACACATATATATTGTTTTTGTGTGAGATTTTCTTCAAGGGTTACAGTGTGGTTTTGACTTTGACTTTAAAACAATGACAACGCAGTTGTATTTTCAGAGACATTTTAAGACCATTATTTTATTAAAATTCATCCCTCTTTTTTTTTTAAAGGGTATACCTCAGTTACCATGTGCCAAAGCATTATACAACTATGAAGGAAAAGAGCCTGGAGACCTTAAATTCAGCAAAGGTGACATCATCATTTTGCGAAGACAAGTGGATGAAAATTGGTACCATGGGGAAGTCAATGGAATCCATGGCTTTTTCCCCACCAACTTTGTGCAGATTATTAAACCGTTACCTCAGCCCCCACCTCAGTGCAAAGCACTTTATGACTTTGAAGTGAAAGACAAGGAAGCAGACAAAGATTGCCTTCCATTTGCAAAGGTAAAGGTAGAATGTGCTTGTTTTCTGTTTGCCAGCTCTACCTCTGTACCCAGATACATAGAAATATAGCTCGTGTTGCCTTTTGCAAAAAAAAATACAAGTTTTGTGTGAACTACTCACTATGCTTCTGAAAATGCCTAGAAGCAGTCTTTAAGTCACAAGGAAGGTAATTTTATGCACAGACTTCTTATATGAAAGATTATCTTGGTTGATGCTCTATGTGGTATCATTTTCATATTTAGAGTCTGAATTTATTTCTAAGCCACTTTAAAGGGTGTATGCACCACTCAGGGATTTTAAAGTACTGAATTATGAATAACAAAATGAAATGTCATTACTTTCATATTTTATATGTAAAATTCTTTGCCTAAAAGCATACAGGAATATATCTGCCGAATTGATAAAATGGTTTGGAGTTTTAAGCAGAATTTTGTGATTTTTGTGGAGAAAAGCGGTAGGATGTACATTTGAGTAGGCATTTGGTTTATTTTCAGAAAATGAGGAGCATCTGAGAATCAATCTAAAACAAACTCAGGAGGCTAGGGTAGGTATCATTTGAGGTTGCAATTTGTAGATCTTAAGAGTTAGCAGCCAGCTCCCTTGCATAGGAGTTCATAGCTTTGTAACAGTTGGAAAGGACACCAGGTGGGCTGGTAGCTACCGTTTAATTCATGAAAACATTTAATCCATGTACTAAAGATATGTCATAGCATTTTTATTCATGTACTCTTTAAAACATGAGTCTCTTTATTGAAAAGGAAAATTAAATGACAAGCTTAATGGTACAGCTTAATGATCAGGTAGATTAATGATTTGCTGTTTCTTCAGGATGATGTTCTGACTGTGATCCGAAGAGTGGATGAAAACTGGGCTGAAGGAATGCTGGCAGACAAAATAGGAATATTTCCAATTTCATATGTTGAGGTAAATTAATCTGTAGAAACTTGAACTGTGTTAATATTCAGCTTACTAAATAAATCTTAATTATGCAATTTGAGTATTAAGAAGTCCTCACAACAAAAAGCACCAGGAATGCCCTGTTACAGATCACTGGACAGATCAGGAAGAATTCCTCCATCCTATCCAACAATTATTGAAGACAGTGAGATACTTGAAACTCTTTACTTTTTCTCCCTGCTAAAAGCATTCCTGTGTCTTGTTAAATGTCACTGTATGCTTATTGTCAGTCACCTACACTATTTCCTGTTTATTCCATTTGCTGGCTTTGGTGGGAGTAGAAAGTTGATAAAGTTCTTAAGTAAGATGGAGAAAAGTTTATTTGTTTATTTTTTACTTACTTCTTTGGTTACTTGCTGCATCAGCAGAACCAGAATAGTGATATGCAAAGTAGGGCTTCAATAAATATTTGTTAAATAAGTCAATGAATCTTCCTCCATCCCATCCCAGCAACTACTTAGCCCCCTTTCCCTTTTTAAATCAGCTTTGCTTGGAAAGCTTGTGGCCAAGCTTGACATAGTAAAGTCTTTTTAGAGAGTATGTGTAGTCACATAGTTGTATTACTTTAAAGAATAATACAAGCTGAACATAAAGGAGTTACAATTCATAGTAGATTTTCATTACATCATATATCATAAACTAAATGTCCTTTGGGAATAAGAATTTCTTGCTGAAAATAAAATCGAAGGCATTTTCAAAGAAGGAAGCGTGGCCCAGACAACCATTCAAGGTTAGTTGAGGCCATGGAAGGCTTCTGGTAAGAAGTGAGGTCTTAGTAGATATCTGTGTGATGGATAAATAAGGGTTAACTAAGAGACATGGAAAAGGTATATTTTATGGCAGGACATCCAGACAGGGAGACCAGCGTGTTCAAAAGCCAAAAAGTAAGAGAGAGCACAAGATTATTTGGGGAATTGAAAGTAATCTGGTTGTTTAAAATATCAAAGCACGGATCTTAAGCATGTAAAACTGAAAAACCACTGTCACTTATTTTGCAGTCTTTTTATCTGAGGCATTTGTTTTGGCATGATCTTGAAAACTAAAATGACAAACTGTATCATTGTAGCCAGCACTCAATTTCCTCCATAGAGAGTGAGATTGCCAACGTTTTCATAAAAAATCAATTTGACTACTGTATATCCATGGGAAAGTAATTCAAACCATGTATGAGTCTTGAATTTTATCCATACTCTTCAGATGTTCCTGTTTATTGAAATATTTTTTTCCTCCTTTGAAAGCAAACAACAGAAAAAAACCAAACAACCCTTAACTCACAGGCAGTCCTTCCTGTACATTATGTATATATTCTAACTGTGGGTAATGGGAAACTACAAGCACTTCCAAGCATTTGAATAGTTACACTGAAGAGCATGGGTAAGCACAGGATTAGTAATGAAAGCCTGTCTTTACTTTTTAGGTATTATCAATATTACATGCTGATACTTGGTTTGTGATGCATGAAAAGGGTTTACTATATTTTTGTTATTGGGCGAGTATAGAATTGTGCAGATAGGCATAAAAGATCCACCCATGGCAAATCCAGAGTCACTTCAAGTCACTTGACTCATCAGGATTATTTACTCTGACTTAAGTTGGAAAGATAAACTTCTGCCCAAGTAGAAAGTATTTTCATTCTGCTTCTTTTCTTTCAAATGAGCATTTTCCTCACTTGAACCAGAATCTTGCCATTTGAGATGTGGTAAACAAGCTGTCTATCTTTAGGAGCCTATGAACATTTCTTTGATGTCAAGCCATCAGATTGAACTTCCTGGTAGGGAGCAGAGCATCTAGGGATTAGTGACACCTAGTTTAGCCCTTAGGGGAATAAAGTGGAGGCAGACTTCAATTGCAACCTACTGAAATTCAACTATTTCAGTAATGTCGATTGTCTTACAGGGCATTCTTAGCTGTGGTAAAGCAAACTATAGGAATAAAAACTGGGGCTTTTTCTTAAGTAATGGTCTTTCTCTAGCTCTGTAAACCTATTCATATTTGCCCCACTTCAGGGGCCAGACAATCCCAGTATAAAAACAGGCTGCATCACAAAAATTGGTAAATAATTCTCTTATATCTTATAAATAGACATTTAAGTCTCCATCAGTGTTAGGTATTTTGCTTTTTTTGTACAGTCCTGCCAAAAACTGTTATCTCCTAGAAGTTTGGAGAAGATTGAATGAGATGATGTATCTCCAAGGGTCTGACACCACTATGTCTTATGCATAGTGGTTTGGAGCTCAGATTAGACTATCACGCAGAGGGTACCAGAGCATGGTAATAATCAAATAAAAGAACCTAACTACCATGTGTAATGAGAGAAGCTGAAACTCCCCCTCGACTCCTGCTGGCCGACTTAGGTAATGGATATGCCCAAGGAACTCTCCTAGGGCAGAAAGTCTGCACGGGATGGGCCTTGGGGTAGGATTGTGGACCTGTAGTAGAATCTCTGGGTCAGAGGTTCAGATGTGGAGCTGTGGAATTAGGAGGGAAGGTAAACTGTAAGGAGCTGAGCACTGGAGGTGGGTAAAGAGAGGATTGAGGTGGTGAGAAATGCTACCGGAATAGTTTGCCCTCTCTTCCTGTCCTCAACTATCCTTTTCTTCCTCAACATCATGTGACTGTGGACTGTGATCTCCACGTGCACTGGAGTAAGGTGATAAAATAGCGATGGTGGTACAGTGACTTGCAAACAAATCTCCTTTTTTATTTTTTGAGATAGAGTTTCGCTCTTGTTGCGCAGGCTGGAGTGCAATGGCACAATCTTGGCTCACTACAACCTCTGCCTTCCGGGTTCAAGCAATTCTCTTGCGTCAGCCTCCCAAGTAGCTGGGATTACAGACATGCACCACCACGTCCGGCTAATTTTGTGTTTTTAGTAGAGACGGGGTTTCACCATGTTGGTCAGGCTGGTCTCGAACTCCTGACCTTAGGTGATCCGCCTGCCTCTGCCTCCCAAAGTGCTGGGATTACAAGCGTGAGCCACCGCACCCAGCCACATCTCCTTTTAATAATGCAAAACACTTTGCTTATTAAAGTAGAACACAAAATTTTTCAAGGCTTGAATGGAGGAGAGTCTGGTTGGGAGAAGTGAGTAGGGGAAAGAATGGCTATATAAATGGCCCTGGATTCTTTGCCTTGGAGTCCTTGTTGAGCTCTTAAGATAAGGGTAAGGGTTCTCTTGCTTTGATCACATTCACCCTTCCCCTCCGGAGATTCTTTCAGACCTCTCTTTGGTTGAGCCTTAGAGGTTATGGGTTCTATTCAATTTAGACAGGCCCTTTCTTCACTTGTGTAAGCTGGAAAATAGTAAAGGTTAAAAGCAGTTCTTGAAGACACCATGCCATGATATGTATAAAAGGGTATATTTTTTAAGGACTGAATACAGTTTTAAAAAAACAGATTTTTAATCTGCTTCTTTGTTCAAAAACACTAGTTTTCTGTAAAATAGAAGGAAAGATTTTTAACCCTATTAATTTGGAGCTGACTCATTCATTCAAGTTTGGATGACATGATTCTTAAGCAAGCAAAAAATATGAATGAAATAAGTGCTGAATATGGAATTTTGGATGCTTCCCAAACATAATTGTGTATTGTAGGCTTACGGTGAACTATAAATTTTTATTAAGTTTCTCATTTTATTTTGATTCCTAGTCATTTGTTTGAAATATCGCCCACTCAGTTTTTCAACACCAAAAAAGTTATTTAGCAACTTGCTCCTCTGCTATAGATGATAAAAGGTAATGTGCAGAAGGCCTGAAGTTGGAGTGGCCTCATAGACAACTATTCTTACTCAGTAGTTACTGCTAGAAACAAGGGCTACATTTCTCATTTGTTTAGATCTCGTGTCAGCTGTCACTTCCTCTGACAGACTTTCTCTCACCTCATCTAAGGGAGTGCCTCCTCTTCACTTGCTGTACCCCAAACACATACTGGTGCCATAGTGGGAGAAAGCTTGGACTCTGGAGCCAGATGGCCAGGATTCCAATCTTGACTCTACTACTAATTATCTAAGTGACTATGGGCCTGGCTCTTCATTTGTAAAATAATAAGTTCCAGTGATACTTAAGAATAGTGCCTGGTACCAGCAAGAGCAATGTCAGTGATGGCTGTGATTATTATCACCATTGTTATTATTATCCCTAGAAATTATTAACCCTTTTTTCTCTCTGTGAGTATTTCCAGTTATTTGTTGATGTAGTTACTAGCTGACCCCTCACCCTCCATTTCCCCATTAGAATTCAAACTCCCAAGGGCCGGTTCCGCAGGGTCTTTGCACAGCGCCTGTAGTACGCTTTCAATAAATATTGGTTGAATGAATGAGCAACCTATGAACTTTTATAATGAAAGGTTCTAAACTCAAAACAAACATGTTTGTAGATTTTGCCAACTTCTACATTTTTCAGCTAATTCTCCCATCATTCACTGCCTATGTGTATATCTTATCATTGGTTTATCTTGGTGTTACGTCAGGATGTTACATTCTTCAGACCAGCTGGTCTATGTGACCTTAATGCAAGCTTTTTTCCTGTTTTTTTAAAAACTAGGCTATTTGATTGTACCTAGTTTAGAATTTTCCCAAATTAATGGTAGCAATACTCTATGGCTTAGATCTTGTAATCTCTACTGGTTATTTATTTCTTAAATACAGTTGTCCCTCAGTATCCACAGGGCGTTGGTTTCAGGATTCCTCACAGTTTCCAAATCTGCGGATGCTCAAGTCCCTCACATAAAATGGCGTACTGCAGTCAGTCCTCCATTCCTCGGACATGGGGCCCTAAGATGCATGTAGAGGGCCAGCTTTGTAGAGAAGACCCCCCTGGGGGTAGCGTAGGTCAAAGGATATAAAATTTTAGTTATGTAGGAGGAGTAAGTTCAAGAGTTCTATAGGGTGACTATAGTTAATAACAGTATATTATTGTATTCTTGAAAAATGCTGAGAGTGGATTTTTAAGTGTTCTCACCACAAAAAATGATACCTATCTGAGGTAATACGTATGTTAATTAGCTCAATTTAGCCATTCCACAGTGTATACATATTTTAAAACATCATCTTATACATGATAAAGATATACAATTTTGTCAATTTAAAAAATAAAATGTTAAGAAGAAAAGACTCACTGATTCTTTCTGAGATGAATTTTCACCTATTTGCAATTTCTCCTTTGACTTACTTTGAGCTGAGGTAGGACAGACTTATTGTCAAGGATCCTCACTTTTAAAATAAGTTTATTGACGTAAGTTACATACAATAAACTACACATATTTAAAGTGTACAATTTGGAGTAATTAGTTGTATTCACTTTCTAGAATCAACCATAGACAAATCATGGGAGACATTTCTCTGGCTATGGATAGAGTGTGTTATCAGCCTTAACAATGGGAAATCAAAGGGCTCAGGGAGCACAAGTGGCCTTAAAGGTGGGGGTGCTAGCTTCCTCTTCTAGGGAATGAGAGAATTGGAAGGTAATGTCTGTGTTCCAAAGAATAAGAAGTAGAAGTGTAGGTACATAGTTTGAAGTTGCCAAGGTGACCCCTGGAGGAGCTAAGAATAACAATGCTAACTTTATTTTTTAACTAAAAGCCTTTCCTCTTGAGAATAATGATAGCAGAAGGGCACAATAATAACCTTTGATCTAATAATCAAAGAGTTGATTGAACTATATAAAAAGATAGCATCATTTATACTTTTGGATATATTTTTTCCTTTAGATGTATTATTTTCCTTTAAAAATTAAAAAGTTAAATCAATGTTTATAAAAGAAATTTAGGGAGATTGTGGGTAAGTTGGGAAGAGGGAATTACTGTGTTGCTTAGCATCCAAATTTCCCTTTCAAACCTGAAGTAAATAAATTTTTGTAAGTGAAATTTAAAGACATTGTTGAGAAGTCAGTAAGGGAGAATTACTCGTTGCTTAGCACCATACTTTCATCTGTAATTCTGACTGAATACATTGGATCTGCCTTTGAGTAGCTTTTTTTTCTTTAAGCACTGTAGACTATGTCCCATGGTGTAGGTTTTCATATCTTCTGAATGCTATCCACTTGATACAAGTAATTATTGCTTTTCCTTCTGCCAGAACAATAGAAGGAAAAGGAAAAATGAGCACTGGCTCCTGAAGTTCTAAAGGCAAAAGCAGGTCTCCTCTGAGCTCCAGGAACGGCTGTTTAATAAATATGGCTAAAGACTCAATCTAAAAAGGAGTTGTTTAGGTAAGGATTTAGGGTAGTTTATGCTCCATCTATTATTCAGAGGCTTCTTTCTAATTTAAGAGTTTCTTTTTGCTTTCCATCAGGAAAACATTGAGAGAGCTGAGATTGTAAAGATCGGTTAATGTTTATGGAGTTCCCACTTCACGAATGGACAGTTTCCAGTACTCTAGGTAGTTTCATAGAACATAAAAACGCAGATTTCCTGCATAGCCATAATCAGAGGCCTAGGCTAATCACCAAATGGTATCTAAGGTCCACAATGACTCCCTAAAGAATCGCCAAGTTCTTTAACCTGGCCATATTTTGCTACATGTACCCAGGGCCCTAGTTAAGTTTACTGATAATTCCTGGAAAACATACCCTGGAACTGCTCTCTTTACAGCTCATCAGGGATATTTCTTTGTCTGTATAGAAAGCTCACCTTCAGGGTCCAAATAAATACTATCATTCCTCATGAAGCCTTTCTTCCCTAATTTTCGTATGCAACAAAACAAATTCTATGAAACAGAACCAAAAAAAACCCCCTCTCCTTGCTTTGAACTTCTACAGTACCCCGTTTGTACCATTCTTACTTGCCTGGAACATGCTAAGTGTATAATTAGGTTTGTTGATGATTTATTATTTTCCTGTGTTTCTTAGAGCCATATCTTATGTAAAGGATATTTTTAATGATTTTATTTCTACAATATAATCATGTTCCAGAACGTTTGGAAAGGAAATGAATAATCCTAAGTCTCATCGTGTATAATTTTGGTAAATATCCTTCCATTCTTTTTCCTTATGCTTTAATGATATTACACACATGATTTTGCCTCTCGCCATATAATTGTAGTACTACTAAACATCAGTTTTTATGACTGTCTAATAAACACTCTAGTAGCTAACCTATAATTTAATTATTTTTACCATTTTGTAGACAAATGTCTTGCTCAGGGGGACACAGAGCCAGGAATCGAGAAAGGAATCGTGGCCTCCACTCTGCAGTTCATCGCTTCCCTAGACTTCTGCCCTGCCCTAGTCTCAGAGCACATTCAATAACTAGCATTCCTAATGGTTGGGCAGAATCACTATTATTATCCAACTTTGCTTAAAAAGTGTATAGGGCATTTTAATGTTTCATAACAAATTATGAAACATTTCATTTTCTCACACCTAAAAGGTTAATTTTCAGAAATGAGTCACTACTCAACAATTTTAAATATCTGAGGTTGCCTTTTTATGAGAAAAATCACAAACTAATTAAAACCATGATATTTTAATGTCTTTTCAACTTTTTATTTTTATTATTTAAATATTTTATTATTGCTATATACACACTAAATTTTTCCAGTAACTAAAGCTTTAATAAGCAGAATAGATTCATTTTAATTAATCAAATGTTAAGTCATGTCTTATATCGTGTAAAAAAGACTGAATGAATATTCTATACTGGTCCAGCATGTGTGTGCATGTGTGGCATATAAATGACTTGAACAGGAGCATCTTTATTACATCAATGGGGAACAGGCTTCTCTAGAATGAAATGGAATGTTTTAGGAAAGTATTTTTCCTAAGTGTTATAAAACAACATTGCTTTTTAAAATAAAGTTTAGTGATAATGTACCTATTAGGCTTCACATATTTGTGGGGCGAAAATTCCTCCATATGTTGAGAGGAAGGAAGATCTCAAACAAACGTGCAAAGTCCTGATGGTCAATATCCTTGGTACAGTATTCTCTTTCTGTGCCAGATTCTTTCTTGGCGATCACCATTCCCCCACCCTGCCCCCATGCACATCCACACGTGCTTTAAGTATCCAGGGTAGGGGAAATACTTGTTCACTGATTTATTAGCTGATTACACATCACTGTGGAATTTCTGTCAGTGTGTCATTTCACATTGACAAATTTTCACTTAGAATTAATGACAATTCCATGTTCATAACCTCCTGAGATACATGTATATTTCTTTTATAGTATCCCTACATCTGGTAATCAGGTTGTAGAAAATAAAATTTGTCATTGGAATGATACTTTTGGCTAACAGACATTTCTGATTTATGGTGTGCATTCAGTGAACAAATATGTAATGGAAACATATATATAAAACTTCATGTATTGTCAGAACCAGTAAACACAGTGAAGTGAACTGAGACCAATTTAAAAATTATCCATTGGTCTCTCTCCCCAGCACCATGAATAGACTGTACATCTGTTGCTCCAAAAGTAATAGGTATTTGTACCTCTTTATACTTAATTTTCAGGGTTGAACTTTTAAATTTGTATGCACATTCACTGTTCACAGTTGGGAAGGGTTTTTCTTCCTTTGCGGTTGCTGTCTTCTCTGCCTAGGCCTTTCATCCTCCAGGAACTTGGTCACATCTATTATATCTTTACTGTTTTGCATGTCAGTTATTCCCTTTCCCCTGGCTATCCTTTAATATAGGAAAATGATCAGCTTTTTACGCTCCCCAAAAGCCTATTCCTTGACTACACTCCCCTCAAATTATGATTCTACCTTTTTTCTTACTTCTGCTAAACTTCTCAAGAGAATCGCTTACCCCTGCTCTCTGCCTCTGCTTTCTTACTCCCTGCAGTTAGTGTTAGCCTCTGGTCACTCCAGTCTCTGAAATTTTCCTCCTGTTTGCTACGAACTGACTTTTCTTAGCTCTTGTTTTTGTCATTTTGTCCTCTCAATAACATCTACCACTATTCTTTTTTAAAAATATATTTTTTAGGCCGGGTGGTGGCTCACACCTGTAATCCCAGCACTTTGGGAGGCTGAGGCAGGTGGATCACAAGTTCAGGAGTTCGAGACCAGCCTGACCAACATGGTGAAACCCTGTCTCTACTAAAAATACAAAAATAAGCTGGGCGTGGTGGCATGCGCCTGTAATACCAGCTACTCAGGAGGCTGAGGCAGGAGAATTGCTTGAACCCAGGAGGCAGAGGTTGCAGCAAGCTGAGATAGCGCCACTGCACTGCAGCCTGGGCTACAGAGCGAGACTTGGTCTCAAAAAAAAAAAAAAAGTATATATATAAAACATATAATATATAGATTTTATAATATTTTATATAGAATATATAATATATAGATATATAATATTTTATATAGAATATATAGATATATAATATATAGAATATATAGAATATATAACATTTTATATAGAATATATAGAATATATAATATTTTATATAGAATATATAATATTTTATATAGAATATATAGAATATGTAATATTTTATATAGAATATATAGAATATGTAATATTTTATATAGAATAATATATAGAATATGTAATATTTTATATAGAATAATATATAGAATATGTAATATTTTATATAGAATAATATATAGAATATGTAATATTTTATATAGAATAATATATAGAATACATATTTTATATAGAATAATATATAGAATACATATTTTATATAGAATAATATATAGAATATATATTTTATATAGAATAATATATAGAATATATAATATTTTATATATTTTATATAGTTTTTAGACCAGGCGGTGGCTCACACCTGTAATCCCAGCACTTTGGGAGGCTGAGGCAGGTGGATCACGAGGTCAGGAGTTCGAGACCAGCCTGACCAACATTATTATATATGTATGTATATATAATTATTATATATAATATATATAATATGACCATTATTATATATGATATATAATATATATATATTTTTACAGATTCGGGGGGTACATGTGCTGGTTTATTACATTGGTATTACATGCATATTGGTGAGGTTTGGGCTTTTAATGTACCTATCACTCACATGGTGAACATCGTACCCAATAGGTAAATTTTCAACCTTCACCTGCCTCTCATCTTCCCACTTTTGGCATCCTCAGTGTCTGTTATTTCCATCTTTAAGTCCACTTATAAGTGGGAAAATGCAGTATTTGATTTTCTGTTTCTGAGTGATTTCACTTAGGATAATGACCTCCAGCTCCATCCATGTTGCTGCAAAAGACATTATTTCTCTCTTTTTTATGGCTGCATAATATCCTTTGTTGCATTTATATCACATTTTCTTTATCCAGTAGACCGTTGATGGACACTCAGGTTGATTTCGTGACTTTGCTATTGTGAATAGTGCTGCAATAAACGTACAAGTACAGGTTTCTTTTTAGTAAAATGATTTCTTTTCCTTTGGGTATATACCCAGTAGTGGAATTGCTGGGTTAAGTACACTATTCTTAATCTCTCTGAAACTCTTTGCCTTTTTCATTTCTGGGTCGTTGGTTGGATGGTTGGCCTGGGAAACTTTGCAAGGTCTTCTTGTGGATTCTGAGATTCTGAGGGCCTTTTGCTTTTCCTCTTACCCCTACTATTTTCTTCTCTATTATTTCTTCCCTAAATCAGAGATCACCAACTAGTACGATCCCCATGACTTTTATGCTTGACTTAGAGTGGTTTTTAAAAATTAGTTGTTAAGATGTAAACTCAGGAGGTTTTACATAAGCTTTCCTTAAAAAAAAAAATCAGTTGACCCTGCCAAGTAGTTGCCCATTGAAAGAAAGCAGACAGTCCCCAGTTGACCATAGTTCACTATAGTGTGCCTGCCATTCTCTGTTGGTCTCTATCTGGCCTTCTTCATTCATTGACCTCAACTGCCCAAGCTATGCAGACACGTGAATTTGTGCCTCCTATCCTTAATCCATCATGCTGTTTCTTAGGTTTTCTTTTATCATGAGTCAGAAAAGATGTGTCTCTGTTTCCCTATTTCCCTCATTTAGTACTGTGCCTGGCTTTTAACAGTCACTCAAAAAACATTTGGGTGAGTAAAAGGCTCCATTAGGTTTGATTCTGGTCACTGAATACCTGAGGACCCTATTCCCAACACAGAAGTCTTTGCCTATTGAATATTTTGAATGGGATATTTTTGTTTGGGTTGAGAATAGGTATTGTACTTTACCTAGGCATAAAATTTTACAGATCATTAAGTCTTGCTTCATGTTACAAATGAGAAATGGGAGGCATACCCAAGGTCAAATGACTTGCCCAAGTCAACAAAGCAAGTTAATGGCAAGCTGGGACTCTGAATAGTAAGAATAACTCATGTTCATATAGCACTTTACATGTTACAGAGCACTTTAACCCATGCCCATTTCTACCTGGGGTGTGTAAAATTGATGTTACCTTCCCATTTTGTACAGCTAGGGAAACCAAAACCATGGAATTTATGTGGTCCACCCAAGATTACTGAACCAGTGAGGACAAAGACCTAACTCTAACCTAAACCTTTCGGTGTGAAGTTCAGGGCTTTTCCTGTGGTTTTCTCTGACAGTCCCTTTTTCAGCTACCTCAGCTAAAATTCTTTTTAGGCTTTTAATGACATGTACCCTCTTTTTATACCTTACATTTCAAAGTCAGAAACCTGAACAAGAAAATTCTAGTTTATTTTGTTTTTAACAGCTAGGGCCAACAGAAGTGAAGATAATGAAAATAAGTGAAGAGCTACGTAACTGATGTTTCACCTTCCTAACCTAGTGCAGCCAGGTAGTTAACTTTGAAAATCCTTTTCCCTTGGCAGGATGTAGTGAGGCTTGTATTAGGAGTCCGTGTTCCTCCCTGTCCTACTGCTTAAATGAGTAACCCTTGTAGTTGCTGCCAGTGCACTGCTTCAGGACCCAGGAGGCGTCAGAAATGTGGGCCATAGGGAGTCAGGGGAGTCATTTCAGTCTTCTTTTCTCTGTTCAGCAAATTCTTTGTGCTTAATGAGCCTCGGGAGCACAGCCACCCTGTGTTGCAGCTTCTTTCCCTACAGGAGCTATGGAGAGTCTAGAGCTGTGCCATCCAATGCACATGTCGCTGTTGAGCAACTTGCAGCGAGACTCGTCCAAACTGAGTGGGATGGAAGCACTCCGTTCGCACCGGGTTTCAAAGACATAGTACAAAAAAAGAATGTACCCATCTCAGTACTTTTTTACATGGATTACATGTTGAAGTGATCATAGTGTAGATACATTGGGCTAAATAAAATGTATTATTAAAATGAGTTTTACCTATTTCTTTCTGTCTTTTAAAATGTGGCTACCAAAAAATCTAAATTCCAAGTGTGGCTCATATTATATTTCAGTTGCATAGTGTTGGGCTAGAGGCAGCACTTCCTTCCCTTGATAGTTCTAAGAGACAAACATTTTTATTCATTCAACAAATATTTACAGAGACCTTAATGGAGCTGTTACCTGAGGGAGGCTTTCATATCAATTTTAAAAGACTCTTGAGTAATCCCTTCAGTCTCTTAGTTATTCCTCTTCTGTGGGTAAGTCTTGCATTATAAATGAAGTTTGAGCTTGCTTTTATATTTAGGTCATCCAAAAACAAAAACCTTATTACCTAAATTGTAGGGAAGAATAGGAGACAAATGGGAATACCAGTTTCTCATTGCCATTATGGACCATTTTGCAAAGGACTATAATGTGAGGCAAAATATTTTCATGTCTGCTGAGAGGATGTAAATGGGCATGAATTTCCATTCCATAGCATTTCATTCATTCCCTGATATTCTTCAAAGTGACTGACTTATCTGGGGAAGGAACATTGGACTTAGTGATGCAGTAGAATGTTGAAGTGCTACATTTAAAACATGGCATTTCAAACCAGTGAGGAAAAGATGGACTGTTATTTAAATGATGATAGGACAACTGCTGAGTCATGTGGAAAAACAAAGTGCTAAATGCTTTCCCGACCTTATTCTTTATGCAAAACCAGATGGGCATATGGTTCACAGACGGAGATGTAAAAAGAAAGAATGAAAAGAAGGAAACATTTTAAAAAGTAGGAAAAAATGTAGGTTTCTTATTTAAAACAATTGTGGAATGAAAAGGTTTTTAAAGCATGATGTTAAATCAAGATGCAATAGTGGAAAAAAACTGATAAATAACAAATTAGAACATTATTTTTAATTTAATAGACATAAATATATACACACATATATACATATAAGTTAAAGAGCACTTTACATAATATAAAAAGAGTATTTATGGCCAGGCGCAATCGCTCACGCCTGTAATGCCAGCACTGTGGGAGGCCGAGGCAGGCAGATCATCTGAGGTCAGGAGTTTGAGGCCAGCCTGACCAGTATGGTGAAACCCCATCTCTACTAAAAAAATTGCAAATTAAGGCCAGGTGCAGTGGCTCACACCTGTAATCCCAGCACTTTGGGAGGCCGAGGCAGGTGGATCACAAGCTCAGGAGATTGAGATCATCCTGGCTAACACGGTGAAACCCTGTCTATACTAAAAAAATACAAAAACAAAATTAGCCAGGTGTAGTGGCAGGCACCTGTAGTCCCAGCTATTCAGGAGGCTGAGGCCGGAGAATGACGTGAACCTGGGAGGCAGAACTTGCAGTGAGCCGACATCACGCCACTGCACTCCAGCCTGGGCAACAGAGCGAGACTCCATCTCAAAAAAAAAAAAAAAAAAGCAAAAATTAGGCGGGCCATGGTGGCACTTGCCTATAATCTCTGCTACTCAGGAGGCTGAGGCAGGAGAATCACTTGAATCGGGGAGGCAGAGGTTGCACTGAGCTGAGATTGTGCCACTGCACTCTAGCCTCAATGACAGAGGGAGACCCTGTCTCCAAAAAAAAAAAAAAAGTATTTATATCAGTCTATAAGAAAAATACTAACAATCCAATAGAAATATGGATAGAGTATGGAAATAAGCAAATCCTAAAAAAAGAAAATAGATGCTTAATCTCATTAATAAATAGAAATACAAGTTAAAACAATATAATACACCTTGTTACTTCAAAAAACGATTTTTAAACTTACACTTTGATCTAGCAAATTCTACTTTTAGGAGTTTACCCTATGGATATGCTTGTACGAGCCTGCCAAGACATAGTAAATGGCAACGTCTCTATAAAATGGAATACCATGCTATCAGCCTATCCCTATTGATATGCAAAGATGTTCATGAAATATTATTTCATGAGAGAATAGAATGGATTGCTTGGTTTTATTTGTATTAAAAATCAATAAAGTAGATACATGTATAACAACATCTACATAGAAAATGAAGGATATGTTTTAAATTGTTAAATGGAAATCCATCTGGGAAGTGGGTTGGGAAGAGACAGATGTGGGGAACTGGCTGAGGCCTTTTACTTTTTACTTCATAATGTTCTATACCAAGGGTGTCCAATCTTTTGGCTTCCCTGGATCACATTGGAAGAAGAATTGTCCTGGGCCACACATAAAATACACTAACACTATCAATAGCTGATGAGCTTAAAAAAAAAAAAAAAAGAAAAGAAAAAACAAAACCTCAAAAAAAATCTCATAATGTTTTAAGAAAGTTTACAAATTTGTGTTGGGCTACATGTAGAGGACCGTGGGTTGGACAAGCTTGCTCTAGTGGGTTGTGAATTAAAATAATTACTTCTCAGATCTACTGTTTGTATCCTGTAGTGCTCAGAAGCTACAGACTGATTCATCTGTAAAGCTTCCTATAAAATAGTAACTATTCAACTTAGTTCTTATTAAAAAATTTTTTCTCTTTAAAATATTGTAAGTCCCGCCTTTTAAAAAAGGCTATATTCTCTCTAGCAAAGAGGGCAACCATACACACAAAAAAGTTTATTTTAATATTTCTTAAGCTGCCTTGTTGTTTTTATTAATATTATTTTTGTCAGTATTTCATCTCATATTTATTTATACTTCTGATAACTCTCAAAAACACATTCTTTCTACATTTTAGACTTTTTTCCAAAAAGGGGCATAAGAATTTTAAGAGTAATGAATAGAATCCCTGCTTTTATCTCCAGTATACTGAATTTTACCTTATATCCAACCTAAGTCTTATCAAAGCTCCTTACCAAATGCTTGGAAGAAGGTATTTTAGGATACAAATTTATTTTGCAGGTGATGAGTGTACTCCTAACATTAAAGGTCATAGTTAGATAAATGTCACAGAAAGCTCACACTACTGAGCTCAAACATTCATACATGAATTTTATCAAAATTCTACTAAAAGCTATCAGATTCTTGGTTTCCTATTGTTACCAAAGGTTGCTATACTTACAGCAAAAGCTGCTTTATGTTTCTGCCTGATTTACTTAATGCCTCTACCAAATAGTCTTAACTTTATGATTTTCTCTGGAACTGATACAGGAAGCAAGGAGCAGTGTTTTTTAATACTAATATGTGCTGCTTCAGAAGAAATCTCAAGTAATTTTAAAGTATGACAGCATCTTGCTAACAAATATTACTGTCCATGCATAAAAATCAAATGCAGAAAAAATATGCTAGGCTATTTAGAGGAATAGAAATCAAATAGAAAAATGAAACTTGTCCATTTAAAGTGAGATTATGCATTATACATGTGGAGAGCTAAAAGAGACCTAAAAATCATTGGCTCCAACTTACTTTATAGATTAGGAAGCTGTGAACAATAGAGGTAAGATGGCTCCCTTAAGGCCCCAAAGTTAGGTAATGGCTGTGCTAGGACTAGAACTGTGGTCTTCTACTTGCCAGTTGGCTTGTTACACCACTCCAGGATGTGTCTACCTGCATACACATGATTCTGCATAAATTTTTCCAAGCATCCAACCCTATGGTCCAGCAGTTCTACTCCTGGACATGTACCCAATATCCAGATGGGAGCTTATGTCCACCAAAAGACACATAACTAGATTATTCACAGCAGCATTGTTCTTAATAGCCACTGTCTATTGGAAGGAAGGAAGACAGGAAAGGAGGAAAGAAAACCCACATGTTAATCAGCAGTAGAATGGATAGATAAATTATAGTGTATTTACACAATAGAATATTACACAGCAATTTAAAAGAAAGAACTACTGACTCATGGAGCAATATGGATAAATCTCAAAAAGCATATTGTTGAGCAAAAGTAGCTAGACATAAGAAATTATGGAAAGCACTGTGTTATTTTTATGCCTGTTTGTAAGGTCCTTAAGGGCAGAGATCATTTCTCTGCATTTGTAGATCTTTAACACCAAGCACATTATTCAGCACATAATTGGTGCTCAGAGTCCAGGCACAGTGGCTCACGCCTGTAATCCCAGCACTTTGAAAGGCTGAGACAGGAGGATCGCTTGAGCTCAGAAGTTCGACACCAGCTAGATATCATAATGAGACCTCATTGCTACTAAAATTAGCTGGGTGTGGTGTTGCATACCTATAGTCCCAACTACTCAGGAGGTTGAGGCAAGAGGATTGCTTGAGCCCAGGAGTTCGAGGCTGCACTGAGCAATGAATGTGCCACTGCACTTCAGCCAGGGCAACAGAGTGAGACCTTTCCCCCCAGTCCCCCCAAAAATAGATGCTCAATGTGTATTTATTTTAATGGAGAATATATGATATGAAGAAAGACACAAAGGAAGCACCCAGTATTGTTCTGTTGAGAAAGCAGCAGGAAATATTGGGAACAATATTTTAATCCTCAGATGTTTATACCAGAGCACAGCATATGGAAACCTGAAATACTAACACAATGTTGAATATATAACTGACACTTGGCCAGCCAGGTATGATCATGATGAGACTATAGTAATTTTTCAGAACCTTTCAAAACAAGCACCACTAATGGAGTCTATTGTTTGACCCCAGAATTAATCTAAACATGATATCAACTAGATTTGATAGTTTCCTCTATTCATATTTTTTGCCTCAATGAGAAGAAAGTCTTCTCAACTCCCTCCTCTACTTCTTACTCACTGGGACAGGAGTGCTGAGTTGATCAGTCAGTTTCCAGCACACTGATTAGGTTTGCACTTTCAAAGATTTGTTTCTAGGTGTCTAAATAAGCTTATGGTGGAAGAAGACATTCTCTGGCTCCTTTTTCTCCAGCATTGCCAGGTGTGCTGGCCCTTCATTTCATGAGGATGTTGTGTTTGGGATGGAGGAGATGAAGTAGCTTTTCAATCTGCTTTGTTTCCAGGCTCCTTACACCCAACCTGTGCAGGAAAGAGGACCCTACCCCTCCATGGTTCACTGCAGTTTATTAGAGCTCTACAGTGAGGTTCAGGCCACTCCCACTATAATATAAAGCATTACTTTGCTTCATTTGGGCTTTTTATTCTCAAGGTGGGATAGCTAGACCAAGAAAGGATTTGTAAATTCTGGATCTCCTGGCCAATTGCCTTGAAAATGCTTGTAATAGGGCCACCCTCAACTAGAACCTCATTTTCATCCCTAAACACATATCGGAAGAAGTCTTTATGATCTTTCTCCCGCCATTGGTACTTCAGGCATTGACAGGTGTTATTCTGGCGTTACTGCCTATTATTTCTGAATGATTATCATGTGGAGAAACTTCTTAAAGTCTGAAGAAGAGATATGGTCATGTTTGATAAAGATTTATCTTACTAATTATAGATGAGACAAGCCACCTGAATTTGAGTCCCCAAGGAGCCTTAGGAACAAATTGTCAGTCAATTTGCAATCATCTGTAGAAGCAGTGACTGCTGAGCTCCAGTTAACATGGCTTTGTGAGGAAGCGGTTGTTCCAAAGCAAGTTCATTTCATAAAATATTGACTGAGAGAGTTTCCATTCTTCTAGTAGAGTGATCTTATCAACAGGATGAGAAGACATAGCCTGAACAATTTAAGTGGGAAAAATAGTACATGATATTATTTTATATAAAGACATTTGTGAAGTGCCCAATGTGTAATGCCGAGATGGAAAAATCACTGTTTTCCTTAATATTATATTTAAGTTACCTTTTAAAAGTTTATTATTTTGCATCTCAATTTTTTTTGAGAGGTTGAGCTATGTTTCCATTACTGTAATATCTGGGAAAGTTATATGCAGCTTATTGTCACTGAAGCTTTCCAGAAATGTTTTATTTTACCCTAGGGAAAACAAAAGGCTTGTGTTCTTTCCTTTCTTGCTGATAATATCAGTGGAGTGCACAGATTTTGACCCCTGGTACTCTTAATTTACACTGGGGCTTTTCAGATAGATGAAGTTAACTTGCCAATAGGACTTGAATTTCATGTCTTACCCTGTTATGATTTAAAGTACGTGCACATAGGATGATAGCTGATACAATGACATGACAAAAAACATATTAAGAGTTTCTGCCAGCTTTTTGTGAGGTTCTCCCAGAATACAGAAAGAAAGGCAGGAGGTAAATATACATGGAAGCACATGAGTTCATTTTGAATGGTTTTATTCTTTGTCTTCTTGCTCATTTTTACCAAACCCAGAAGTTGCCCCTTCATTGTTCAGTTGTGCTTTGAGCAAATACCCAACCATTATTGTGCAACAGGGTGTCACGAAAAGGGTGATAAATACACCATTTTGATTGCTCTTCTCGAAATTTCACAGTGAGCTGAAATAAATTTTCATTTGTTATTGGCAAGTTTTAAAATCAGACATTATGGAAATTCTTAAGAAAATTGTCTTTTACTCTTTCAGTCTTGCAATGGAATTGTTTATTCTTGATTTAATATCTACCTGTGATATAGATACAATGAAGTCCCAATATTGAGAGAAGAGATATCTCACATGGGAAAAACAGACACTGCATAGGCAAACTTTAAAGTAGTGACTTTAAATTTTGGATGAAATCATGTTGGAAATAAACCTCAGGGAATTCTTAGGAATTGTTTAACCTTCTTGTGTTGGTTTGTTGGTTGCTTTTGCAGTTTAACTCGGCTGCTAAGCAGCTGATAGAATGGGATAAGCCTCCTGTGCCAGGAGTTGATGCTGGAGAATGTTCCTCGGCAGCAGCCCAGAGCAGCACTGCCCCAAAGCACTCCGACACCAAGAAGAACACCAAAAAGCGGCACTCCTTCACTTCCCTCACTATGGCCAACAAGTCCTCCCAGGCATCCCAGAACCGCCACTCCATGGAGATCAGCCCCCCTGTCCTCATCAGCTCCAGCAACCCCACTGCTGCTGCACGGATCAGCGAGCTGTCTGGGCTCTCCTGCAGTGCCCCTTCTCAGGTAAATCCTCAAACAAGTGTTATATAAAAAGAGCTCACCCACAAAAGGATCAACTTACAAACATGTTTGCTCACTGGCTGACAAACATTGCTTATTTTGAACTTCTGAAGATAGTAACTTTTCTGGGAAGCAAAACCTGTCTTCATTTTGTAAGTGGAAAAATGGAGAAGGGAAAGCTAACTTGAGTGTATCAACCCAGAACTAACTACTCTGTCATTTTCAAAGGAAAGATCAGAACTTACAAGATGAGTTATATAATACTTACCAGTTTCACCAAGCAATCACTCAGCCTTACAGAACTTTCTCACAGTACTGCTTTGGGAGATCTTGCCAACTAAAACTTTATCTCCACCCAGATTTAAGATGCCATGGTCCAAACTCGTGACGTTTGTAGTTGCTTGTATCTATGTAACTTACCTTAATATGTAGGCTTCCCAGAATTATAGAGAAGAGAAAAAGAGCAAGGACAGAAAGAAGCATTTAATTTAAATTAGAAATTGACCTCACACTTTCTAAGTTCATTAGTTCATTACAACTTTGGACTGGTATGTAAAAAATAGCCACGCGTTATTCTTAGGTTTATAAAAATACATGGGATGACTGGGGCATTCATTCAATCATTCATTCATTCATTTGGCAGACATTTATTGAGCACTTTACTATTAGACCCTTCTAGGCACTGTGTATACCATGATATCTAAAATATAGCAATTTGCTGTGTTAGGCTTTAATTCTGCACTACAAAAAGAACCTAATTATAACCCTGCCCAAGCCACGGGGCTGCTATCATTATCCACTTAGGTGATGGCTGTATTTTGTTCAACTTAAAGGTCAAAGAATCTAGTTCAAAGCTGCCTGTCACAAGCAGAAGGAATTTCTTTCAAGTCTCATGTTTCATCTTGAAAATTCATGCAGATTTTACATTCTGCTCCACCATATAGCTATGGTGGTTTTTTTTTCTTTAAACATTAAAATGAAATTATGTCCCCTTAAAGAAAAAGAAAGAAATACCAGTCCTGGTCCTCAAAAAGTTTACATTCTAGTAAGTGCCTATTTTGGACCACAGAATGAAAATGTAAAATACAGTTTTTGATATCCCTTGCCATTTTTTTCTCAGCCTCATGTTTGTTTGTTTGTTTGTTTTTAATAGAGATGGGGTCTCACCTTGTTGCCCAGGCTGGTAACAAGCTCTTGGCCTCAAGTGAACATCCTACCTGGGCCTCCCAAAGTGGTGGGATTACAAGTATGAGCCACAGCCTCAGCCTCATTTATTTGACCCTGCTCCTTTAGATTTATACTGCGTGTTTCAAGTTAAATGCATTCACTTTCTGAATGGGATTGTGGGATTGTTGTTTTGTGGCATTTTTAGGTGGTAGGGCCATGAAACTCTTATTGAGAAATAAAGACACGCACAACGCACAACTAGAACATGAGTGCAGTGAAGGCAAGGGTCTTTGTTTTGTACACTGATTATATTCTAAGTGGCAGACATAAGACATGCAGAAAGCACTCAACATGTATTTGTTGG
Organism: Homo sapiens; assembly: GCF_000001405.40. Lineage (NCBI taxonomy): Eukaryota > Metazoa > Chordata > Mammalia > Primates > Hominidae > Homo > Homo sapiens. Next base: position 169,134,789 of record NC_000004.12, on the reverse strand, counting down.
ATGAATGAGTCACTTGAAAAATGGGTAGAGAGGGGAACCATGTCATTTTACATTTAACTAATCATATCCGTGTGAGAAAAAGACATGGATCATAGATCAGAGTAGGAAGGGCAAAGTGAGGTTAATCCAGAAAGGTTCAGAACTAAAGATTTTTGAGTAAGGTTCTGAAGGAGGGAGCTAGTGAAGATGGCCACTCACTAACAGAAAATGGAATCATTTTGATTCTGTGCTTTTTATCTTGGGACCTAGCAACATTTGCACAATGATGTTGTCTTGAAATAAAAGACAAGCTTCTGCCAAGAATAGTGACAGCTCAGAATGGGAATAGCTTTAAGAGAGTGGACAATAATCTTTTGGCATTAGAGAAAATGAAAAGAGAAAAGAAGATATACTGAGCATTTTCATCTTTTGCAGAGAGCTCAGCATTCAGGTGTGAGCATGCCTGACGTTACCACACCAGAGCTGGGAATGAAGACTATAAAAGTAGAGCTATTTTTGTTTTGGTTCAAGTAGCTTAGGAAACAAGGCTCTTTCTGTGTTCCATTAAAAGTTTCCCCTTCAACCATTCCACCCCTCCTTCCATATTCCAGTTTGTTCTGTTTTCAGTGGCAGAGTGTTGCCTCAGGGAGAAGTTATTTCTAGAAGAGGCTGGGAGGTGTTTGAAGTGCTGCCTGGTTTCTCCAGCCGAGGTTTACAGAAAACACTACTTATCTAGGGCACTGTGTACATTGGAGGGCACCCCAGGCCACAATAGAGCATTGAGCATGTGTAGCATTTGTGACGTGCAAAAACTCTTCCAACCATGGAGATCAGTGCGTATGGGGAAATGGCTCATGTAAGACCATTTAAAACAGGACTCTCCTTTTCCCCTGCCCAGCAAAGAGCCTGGCTGTAGATTTAACTGAGACCCATTGCTAAATCTGTTCCCTGCTATTGACCTGATTGCTGTCTTCCTTTTCCTTACACATGTTAACCTTTGCCTACAATTTCCTTTCCTTTTCTTTTCTTTTTTTTTGAGATGGAGTCTCACTCTGTCACCAAGGCTAGAGTGCAGTGGCACTGTCTGCTCACTGCAACCTCCGTCTCCTGGGTTCAAGCAATTCTCCTGCCTCAGCCTCCCAAGTAGCTGGGATTACAGGCGCCACCACCACACCCGGCTAGTTTTTATATTTTTAGTAGAGATGGGGTTTCACCATGTTGGCCAGGCTGGTCTCGAACTCCTGACCTCAGGTGATCCACCTACTTCAGCCTCCCCAAGTGCTGGGATTACAGGTGTGAGCCACCACGCACAGCCTCTTTTTTTTTTCTTTTTTTGAGATGGAGTTTTGCTGTTGTCTCCCAGGCTGGAGTGCAGTGGCACAATCTTGGCTCACTGCAACCTTCGCCTCCCAGGTTCAAGCAATTCTCCTGCCTCAGCCTCCTGAGTAGCTGGGATTACAGGTGTGTGCCACCACACCCGTCTAATTTTTGTAGTTTTTTAGTATAGTTAGGATTAAGTTTGGCTGAATTGATTAGAAAATTGAAAGTAAGGGGCTTAAAAATGTTAGTATTCATTTTTATCTCATCCCAATGAAATCTAGATATAGGCAGTTGGATGCTGGCATAATAGCACCACAAAGTTATTAGGGACCTCGGCACCTTCCAGCTCATGTCTACACCATATAAGTGGGTCCTTATGCCCTGGTTTCTATATGGCAATTAGAGATGTCACTGTCACGTCCAAATTGCTGGCAGCTGGAAGGTGAAAGGGACAAGTTGGAAGCCAAAGGGCTTGCTTGCTATTATATTTAGTGACTATTGAGTGATGGCTGAACTTTCAAATACATAAATTGAAAGATTACTTATAGGCAGTGCTTTCCAGGTGGGTCGCCAGATCAGATAGATGTTCATGAGTGTCTGTGACTGTGACATGAGTGTCTGTAAAAGCACATGGTGGTACAAGCAGCCAAGATGTTTTGTCTCCTCCTCTGACCACACTTAGGATATTTTTTGGCCTCCAGAGGAGTGATTCATAATATTCAGTGTTTCTATGGCATCTTTGTATTCAGTGGCCTCAGGGAAAGCAATAAACCCCCACCCCCACCTCCTTTTTGCTTACCCCAACTCTTCCCCACCTTACTTAGCCTTTCTTGCAGAGGAGACAACTAATTTTTGCAGTTCCATGAGAAAAGGGTAAGCCCAGCAGAAACTCAGGTTGTCCCTATTCAGGGCATTTATTCTAGACATACTCACCCTTCAGACTGGTTTACTTCTACTTTTTGTCCTTCTGCGTTTAGTCATTCTTTGGTGACTTTGTCTCTTCCTTTGCTGCAGTGCTAGGAAAGCCCTGTATTGAAGGGGTACTTGCAGGATTCTCCATGTCAGTGCTTCCCTGAAGTGCCTGTGATGGCAGACACCTTAGGTAGCCTCTGGTCCACCTGCTCACAGGGGCCTAGAGACATGAAGGGACTTATCCCAAAACCATGAGGTCATTAACAGCTAATTATTCTGTCTCCCACTCTGGGCTTTTAGAGAAATGTCAATCAATAATGATATCTTTCTCAGATATGTATAGGGTCAGGCCCAGGAAGTTGTATTTTGGTAAGTTTTTTTCTGCCCCAAGGGTTCCTTGATAATAATGTCTGTTACCAGTGGAGGGTGTCCATGTACTTCGCGTTTTGAACAAAGAATTGGACAAAACACACAAAGCAAGGAAAGAATGAAGCAACAAAAGCAGAGATTTGTTAAAAATGAAAGTACACGCCAGTGTGGGAGCAGCCCGAGCAGCGGCTCAAGGGCCCTGGATACCGAGTCTTCTCAGGCCCAAATACCCTCTAGAGGTTTCCCATTGGACACTTGGTATTCACCACCTGTAAATGAAGTGCTGGCCCACAATCAGTAGTTGGGGAAAGCAACCAATCAGAGGCTAAAGTGAAGTTAACAGAGTTGCACTTCTATGCAAACAAAGACTTGGCCCACAATCAATGGTTGAGGACAGCAACCAATCAGAGGCTGAAGTGAAGTTACAAAGTTATACTCCTATGCAAATGGCTGATTGGTTACAGAAAGCAACCAGTCAGAGGTACTTTCAGTTTCCCACCTGCGGTTCAGAAAAGGTGGGGGTTTGCAAAGTTGCCTTTGGTCCATTTGTTACTTAGGCGTGGAAAGTTAAGGTTTTCTTTTCAGTTTAGTTCTGGGAAGTCAGCGTGAAACAGCCTTAGGTTCCCTGCCTTCAGACCCTATTCTCCTGCCTCATGTCCACTTTGAAACCAGTGTGCTTCCCGTTAGAAATAGGTTGGAAATAGACTTTGGTTCACAGGAAAAATAGAAAATGAGGGTTTGGAGTTCAAGACCAGCCTGCTCAACATAGTGAGACTCTGTCTAATAAGAAGTGTGACATAGTGAGTCCCTGTCTAATAAAAAATAATGAGGAGAAGAAGAAAAGGAAGAAACTGGGTTTGGGGAGAAACTCTTTTTAGTGCCACCCCCTGGATCTACTTAGTTTCAAACTTTAGTTCAATCAATATATAGACTAATAGATACAGATGAATTTTAAAAGATTGCAGATTCCATGTATAGCATAGATTTATTTGTGAAAATAAATTACATGCCATGATGCTGATTATGCCTGGCTTTGGTCGGGCCTACCCCAGTGGGAAACTGAAAGTTTCCATTAGGTCCTCTGGGAACTAACCTCTGAGCTTTTCTTTGTCCTGACAATCTTTCTTTCAATGTGTGGGAACTGAGAAAACTATGTTTGGGATTACATTTTTATTATAAAACCTAGCATTTTGGGTGGGTTATTGTTTTCTTAGGGAGGCAGGTACCAGCCAACCACATTGCTTCTATTCACACTGGAGGGGAAGAAACACTTCCATTTGTGCAGGAACCCATCCCCCTACTTCTGTAGCTTCTAGTAACACCACTGCATTCTGCAGTTGGACCTGCTATGCAACCTGAGTGAAATTGATCGAGTAACTTAACACAGGCAATGAAATGACCTGAATAACTCAATTTCTTTCTAGTAAATTAATCTTGGGTTGTATCATGGATAAGACACCTTTGAAAACAACTAATTTGGCTTGACATTGTTCCTTTAAAGATTTTATAAGTAATTGCCCGCTCTAAGCATGTCTAGGCAGCTGCATTTTAATTATGCATCCCCACCGAAAGGTAGAAGTCATGAAAAATGATCCTGAAAATAGCAAAATACCTGAAGAATTTCACATAGATTTAACGTATTGATAGACAGGTGAGTGTTCAGCCACTACCCACCTTAACAGGATCTTCAGGGAAATTGTTAGGAGGCTAGTTGAGCACCAGGCTGTCCATTGGAAGGCCAGTTTGATTCATGGTGGCGTACCAAATGAGGCAATGTGTTACCGTGAAAGCCAATGGCAGTTGAATTCTGTAGGTAAGACACTGTTGTGACCAGTATTTATCACATCACTCCCCAGCATCTAGTAAAATGCCTGGTTCAAATTAGGTCACTGGTAAATTTGGGTTGAGCAGACTAAAAGGGATTCTACCTTCCCCAAATAACAGAAAGTACAGATTTTTTTTTTTAATGTGACTTGCCTTTCTAAGGTTTAGCCAGTATATTCTGTTGTATTAAACATAGTCTTCTTTTTAATAACTTTTCTTTTCTCGGCAGGTTCATATAAGTACCACCGGGTTAATTGTGACCCCGCCCCCAAGCAGCCCAGTGACAACTGGCCCCTCGTTTACTTTCCCATCAGATGTTCCCTACCAAGCTGCCCTTGGAGTGAGTATAGTTTCTCCCATTTTTATTTCTCTTTTAGGTCTTTAGTCATGTTAATCTGGCACACTCCACCTCCTAACACCTGCAGCGTATGTTCATACTTGTTAGGTGAGGTGGGTATCTATCTTTCATCTATTATCTCTGTTAATCTTAACAAAACATTAGAAAGTCCCTTGCCTGCATCCTGCAAAATTTTTAACAGTGAGGATCAGTGGCCTGAAGCTATTAGAAGAACTCAAAAATACATTTAATTTTCATTAAAGTTCAACCTGATTTTCTGAAGCTTAACCTTTATTTCTTTTGAGTTTCTAGATCCTGCTTATTTCTTATAAGGACACATTTATGAAAATACTAAGGAAGCAGGTCCTGAAGGTGAATGGTTTACTTTGAGTCACATGACAGATCCGATACCAAATCTCTACATTAAAGATTCATTATTTAATTTCTTGTCTTGTGTCCATATGGTCTGTAGCTGTGGCTGTTTAAAGGCACCTTCAGTCTTGGAAGGCCCCCTTAGATTATGTTGATTTCCCTTCTGAAAACATGACATCCTACAGATAGAGTCTAAACGGCTAATTGCTTAAAAACATCCAAATGGGAAAATAATAGGGAGAATTAGGGTAGCCAGGAGATACAGATACAAAGAAGAGGGCCATTCTGGAAAGAAAATTAAAAGGGAAGCAACAAGCAAATGCAACCTTCGGTAGTAGAGAAAGACTGTTGTTTAAGACCTTGTTTCATAAAATTATAAGCAAGGAACTAGCAGTTGTGAGACATCTCTCATCCAGGCCAAAGCTTTGGCTTATATTTTCTATTTGCTCCAGTGCTGAGTTGAATTACGATAGAAAAGATCATTAAATTAGATTGCCCTAGTACCTACACCAATTGCATCACCCTGCCTGCCCACAGTCGTAAGTTGTGCTGTTTGCAGAGAATGCCATTGGTGTGTCCTGATGATGGGGGTGCAGGCCTGTGGTGAAACAGTCAGGGTTTGAAGCCCAGCTCTGCCATTTATTTGTTATATGACCATGGAAAAGGTACTCTGCCTCTTTAAGCCTCAGTAACCCTAGCCATAAAATAAGTATCTACTTCACAGAGTTAGATCATAGAAAGGGATGAACATTATTGATCTCCTTTTTGGGCTCGGTTGAGGGCTGTTGCAAGTTGGGCCTGGTTTACTTTGTTACAGTTTTCTTTGCTGTCTGTACCAGGAATAGGGAGGCTTCTAAGCAGCTGGTTTGTTTTTAGGTTGTGGGTTTTATACATGTTGTAAAGATTTTATTTCCCTCTGCTAGAGTGCTTAGGACCAGATTTGTAGCCCCTCCAGCAAAGACTCCACAACATAATTAGTCAAAATGTTGGCTCCGGCTAGTTTTATTGTTCTTATTTTCCATTTGCCTTGTTTTTCCTATTTGTTATTTATTTTGTCTTGATACATCTATAAATAATTGAAAACTGATTTAGAAACAAGGTGGGATATAAATAAATGTAGAGTTATTACCTAGCTTGACTTAGGCTTTTGAAAACATTTTAGAGTTAAGCATGTTCTTGTATTTAAATGGAAGCTAATAATGTTGTAGCTAGAGGTTAAAGGTGTTTTTTGTTTGTTTGTTTTATTTTCGTTTTTAATGTTTCCTGAACAGTTACAACTTTCTTGATAGTACAGCTGCTTGGCGAAGGAGAAGATGCCTGGATTCATCTGGGGAGAAGATGAATTTCAGTTAACTTTTAGTGAAATTTGGTTTCCCTGAGATTCTATTAGCCCTGGATATTTGACCAGAGCCAACTTCCTTAACCATCATGACCTCTCATCTCCAGGGGAGACTCTCTCCTTTCCTTCCCACTCACAGTACACATACACAATGAGTTGATATTTTCATTTCCAGATGAGTGCCTTGCATGATAAAATTCTAACTTGATTTCTTAAGGGAAAGAAAAGGACTTAACTTTTCAGATAATAGAAAATTTAATTATAGGTTAAGCATCTCAAATCTGAAATCCAAAATGCTCCCAAATCTGAAACATTTTGAGTGCAAACATGAAGCTCAAAGGAAGTGCTCATTGGAGCATTTCGGATTTCAGATTTTTGGATTTGGGATGCTTAACTGGTGAAGTAAATATTTTAAAATCTAAAAAAATTCAAAATCCGAAACACTTCTGGTCACAAGCATTTGGATAAGGGATATTCAACCTGTAGTGGGAAAAGACATAAGGCTGGCTTAATTTTAGCTCTTGTGGGCTGAAAATTATACAATGTAGTAAATGGCCAGTTACTCTTACCTGGAGGCTCACTCTGAGGCAAATCAATGGGACAGGTCACAAGAGAACATGGATATACAAAAATTAATTTACATTCAGCCATTTTATTTTAGGATTATATAAGAAAACCTGCATGTTAAGCAAGAGGAAGGTTGATTAAACAGTATGTCTACTGTGCCAATTTCATTTAATGAAAAACTAATTATAAACAAACCTGTCTGTCATCCCAGGAGATGTCTAGATCTCAGAGTGCCTGGTAGGTTGGCAGAAATGTTTTAGATTTAATATGTCAGGTTTAAGTGGAAAATCTCAGTAGCAGGAGCCCTCTGCATCTTATATTAATTGTGTCAAGCATTCTATTTAAAATTTGAATTGGTTCCGAAGACTGTGAGTACTATTAACAGCAATGGCACACAGCTTGGTAGAAAAGAAGGCAGGCTTTTCATGGTATAGATTTATAGGCAATAAATGCCACCAGTAGAATAAAAAATGAAAATTATTTCCAATGCTTTTTTTCATGAATTGAGATTTTTAAATCTTTTATGCAGAACGAAGTTATAAACATTGTCCCATACATTTCACATGTAACAGTTAAAATTTTAAATATCCAACATTATGAGCAATACTGGTATTACATGTATCTAATTCAGACATCAAACTATTAATAGTAGTGATTTTTTAAAAATCTCTTTGTAGGGGAGGAGGTTGAAGATCTTAGTCTCGTATCTTCTGCATAATGGCAGAAGGCCTTTTAAAACAAGTGATGAATAATCCCCGATCCTCTGGACCAGCCAAGAGGTGGTTAACTGCAAGGTATTATAAGGTAGTCAGGTCAATAAAGGTAAATACCACTCATGGCCAATTTATAAACAGATTGCATTCCAAATTTTAAAATTTTAGTCTGGGTGTGATGGCCCATGCCTATAATCCCAGCACTTTGGGAGCCTGAGGTAGGAGGATCACTTGAGGCCAGGAGTTCGAGACCAGCATGGGCAACATAGAAAGACCCTGTCTCTACAAAAAAAAAATTTTTTTTTAATTAGCTGGGCATGGTGGTGCATGCCTGTAGTCCCAGCTACTCGGGAGGCTGAGGCAGGAGGATCACTTGAGCCCAGGAGGTTGAGACTGCAGTAAACCATGATTGTGCCACTGCACTCCAGCCAGGACTAGATGCTGTTCCTAAAAAAAACAAAAATAAAAATAATAAAAATTTTATACACATACATGTTTGTATGTGTGTATTTAAACAAAGTTGAATGTCAGATTCTCAGAATAGCCAATATGTAGCCATGGTGGAGGCTAAGCAGAACTTACTGTTGTTGGTGGGTTCAGGGAATTGGAAGTAGAGGATGAGGCTGCCAACCTTGCTAGTTTGAAAGTTAGAAGTAGAGCCTTTGGAATTGGCAGGAGATCTAAAAATCAGGGTGAAGAGTAGGATATGGTCAGAACTTTCATAGCAGCAACAGGAAAGGATTCTAGCATCTCGGGAACTGAGACCTCTTATTCCATACCATATTGTTCTAAGAAGGGGATAGAAGCACATAGTGTATTTTCATTCATGAAATGCTCATTGAGGATCTGTTATCTTCTAGCTGCAAAGCTAGGTGCCACCAATACAAAGACGGGTGAGACAGTCCCTGACTTCACAATCTCATTAATCATAACAATAGCTTCTATTTATTGAGCTTCTGCTGTGTTCCAGGGCACTGGGAAAGACAATTTACATAAACTATTTCTAATTATTAACTCCATCTCTCAGGTTGGTATAGTGAAACATAGAGACCTTATGGAATTTACAGAGTCACTTAACTGATATACATATCTCTCTTGTTTCTTGTAGATCAAATGTGGAACAAAAAATTTATAATTTATGCATGTAGATGGTAATGCTGCTGAACTTGGTAACACTGTTGACCAATTTCAACAGGCATCTCCATGTAGTAGCTTGAACCATTCCCTCATCAACCAGTATTCATGCATCTGAGTTCAGTACACACAAGGACTGTTCAGACATGTTGATATGTAGGGTTGAAAGTGGGCTGAATGGAAATCAGACATTTAGAAAGAAATAGTGGTAGATTAGAGAATATTAATAATATTTGCCCAAGGGACCCAGAAAGGCTTAGTCTATCTTGCCAGTCACTTTTCTACCCTGGGAGTGTGTGAGGGAGATACACACGTAAGAGACAATTAGAAAGGAAATGAACCCTTTATTTTCAGTTGAACTTGTGTCCAAAGCTCCAATGCAAAGCACTTTACTGGCAAGCTGGCCTGTAGCCCTTGGCCCAAGTTTGAGACGTACTGGACTACTTCCCCTCTCTTTAGCCAGATCCTAAGATCCAATCACTACCTGGGCGGGTTGCATGAAAGGGCAAGCAGAGGGGAGAGTGCCAGAAGGGAGAAGTTTCACACCCATATACTTGAACTTTTCACTCACAGTGTCACTAGCATTGTCACCTGCCAGTGTTCTGAAATGCTGCCCACTCAGAGAGAAGACACTTCTTCCCTGGGTGCTCACTCTAGCAAGGGAAGGAAGTCGAGGACTGCCCCAAGAGGCTGAGCCAGGGTTGGAATCTATGTTTTTTTTTGACCCCAAAGGCCATGCTCCTTCAGTGATGTAACACTGTCTCTTCTTTCAAGATCACTGGGTCAGGAGAAGAGAACCTGGACATGGCAAAATATGACCATTTCCCATTAGCACACCATTCTTAAGTCCTAGTTTTGGTGAGCAGAATATTGTTAACAAAATGTGAATTTTGTGTCATTTTCTAGAAGGTCCATAGCTGTTTTTTGCCTGTAGTAGAGAGTGTATACTTGGCCTCTGGTGCCTGGGCTGGCCTGGACTATGAAATAATAAGCAGGACTCCAGGTCACCTCCGGGTGAATGAAAGGCTACGTGTGGTTTTACTCTGTGGAAATTTCAGGTCTTGCAGGACAGCAAACTGCCTGAAGCACAATACACAGTGGATTACCTTTTGAACTTCCACATCACCAGATTATTTTGGTTTAGGTTGTTTATAAAGCAACCCACAAAATTTCCTAGTCTGTCACAGCTCTGGAGTCACCAGAACCCTATCATTTCACCAACCCCACAGGGGCAAGCAACATCTAGGAATCTGATTTTAATCAGAGTTTCTTGATCTTCATCTGTTTGCTCACATACACACAAATTTACACATGCAAACATGCATGCACTGGGAAAAGATCTGCCCAATTGTATTAAACCATTTATGTTTCAGCCACAGAAAGTGAGAGAGAACTCTTTTCTGTCAGGAAGAACCTTTGGGATCTTTCAGAATATCCTCTTTGATGCCATATCTTAATGTCTAACTCTCACTGTTTGCAAAAGTAATGTACATGAAACATTTAACTTAGTGTATTTTGTGACAAGAAGTGATTTTATATTTTATTACAAAATTTTATTTATATTACAAAAGATGACATGTTTTTATCAGGTGCATAGATGATTTTTGTCCTTTTCTTTTTAGGTCAAATTAGTACAGCCTCTGTTTTAATAAAGTTAAGCTATAATAGATGATTTTAATTTCTGTTTGAGCACATGCCATTAGTTTTCTGCCTTTCCACAGCCACACTGTTTTGAGATTGAGCTTAGAAAGATTTAAATGGAAATCAGTGAAGTGGTAATTTTACAGTTTCTCCATATATTACTCTATATACAGTGTAGACCGATTATCTCACCTGTCAAACTGCTGATGCATTATTATCCATGAACTGTCCAGGTCACATTTGCTGTGACCAGGATTATCTTTATCTCTGCTTTGTCACTGGAAAGAAGCCTAACAGGATAAATGCTTGCCCTTCTCCTGGTTAAAGGTTTTGGAGGCTCTAAGCCTCAGTACATGCAAATTCCAGAGCTATAACAATTTTTTTTTTTTTTGAGACGGAGTCTTGCTCTGTCACCCAGGTTGGAGTGCAGTGGCGCAATCTTGGCTCACTGCAAGCTCCGCCTCCCGGGTTCACGCCATTCTCCTGCCTCAGCCTCCCGAGTAGCTGGGACTACTGGCACCCGCCATCACACCCGGCTAATTTTTTTGTATTTTTAGTAGAGATGGGGTTTCACCGTGTTAGCCAAAATGGTCTCGATCTCCTGACCTCGTGATCCGCCCGCCTCAGCCTCCCAAAGTGCTGGGATTACAGGCGTGAGCCACTGCGCCTGCGAGCTATAACAAATCTTAATGGTGCCATATTTTGAATTGAGAATGTGAGCCACATTTTCCTGACGTTCCAACTTTTTGAGCTAACCTCTGCCTTCTCCTGGTTTGCACTTTGTAAGTGGCTCTGCACCTCATTTGTTTCTGCACTAAATGTTCTGCAACCACTTTAGCTACAGTGTGGGAAAAATCTTTATTGAAAGTCGCTTTAGCAAAAAATTAAACATAATGCATCGAATAGTTACAGCGTGCGTCTAGAAATTTGAAATTTTTTTCCACTCAGTTCGTTATGTTTCTGGAACTATGTATGTCTATATTAACAGCCAGATGTATTATAGTGAATGGTGATGAAATTCAAATTTTTATTCCAAAAAACAGAAATAAGATGACTGGTATAAGCTCTGTTTAGAAATCATTGGATCTTTATTTTGTTAATATGCTGACATATAGAAGCCATTTACACTTAACTAGGTAAATTCTTTAGTCTTCTTATTTCTCCTTTGACTTAGTTTTTACATCTAGTTGTTCAAAGATCTGGAGAGGACGAGGTAGCGGTTCAGGCAGTCTTTGTGTGCCTGTTTTCCCAAGAGTTTCAGTATACAGACCCTAAAGAATTATCTGGGTTTATAGATCAGAAGGTAACAATTGCTCCATTGATTTTCAAAAGGCATGGAATCCTGTAGGCAGAACCCCATTAGGCTGTGCCCATAAAGGAACCAGCAGCTTTTCACTGGTGTACTTGTTAAAGATTACCAGCCTCGATAGTACCAAATTTCAAAAGCTGGCAAAGTTAAGAAAAGAATAAGCAAAAGTAGCAACAATGGTCCAGTGACTGTGGCTTACTATTGTTTGGGCTTTTTGTAGACCAGGCATCAAAGGAAATTTTCTTCTGAAGGAATGATTTGAGATATAGTACAGCTACATTGTGTGTTGTGTTTAAGTTTCAGATTACAGAAACAATCACAAATTAATTCCTAGCAAGCAGCATGACATGGCTACCCGCCTCGAAAGGCATTTGGATCCTTGTCCAAGTCCATACTTTAAAATGCTATTAATCTTAAGATTACATGCAATTGTTTCATTTTTTTTCTTTCCCTCCTCCCAAGGGTGATTACTTACCTGCTTGCTGAAAAGGTTGCTTTGGCTTTAATATTTTAAAGGAGAACAAGAGATGAATTTGTAGAAGCAGGCTTTCATATCAGTTAGCCTGCTGATTCTGCCCTGTGTGGATTCCATTAAAGTCTTGTTCTATGGATTTATAATTCTTTTTCTCTCCCACCTTCCATAGGAAGATGTAAATCAGTATTTTGTTCCCTTTTTTCCCTTTCTCTTTATGTTTTTCCTATACTAGACTTTGAATCCTCCTCTTCCACCACCCCCTCTCCTGGCTGCCACTGTCCTTGCCTCCACACCACCAGGCGCCACCGCCGCTGCTGCTGCTGCTGGAATGGGACCGAGGCCCATGGCAGGATCCACTGACCAGATTGCACATTTACGGCCGCAGACTCGCCCCAGTGTGTAAGTGAGCGTGTCGTCTGTTACTGCTTATGTGTTCATTTAAACGAAGTCCAAACCTCAGAGGTCAAGAAACACCTTTCTGACATGAGCTGATGACAGCGTTATGGCTCACCAAGCGGTCTGTGTCCTGCAAACTTCTACCTGGTCATGCATGTAACTAGGGAACTGCTGAAAGAAAATCAGTCTGATACATGAGCTTGCCAGAATATTATATGGGTATGAAACTGCCTCTTTTGTACAACTCCTGTTTGAACTTTTTATCTTTATTTTCATTTCTTGCATAAGAATACTAGTGACAGAAAGGTATTCTTCACAAATCATATCTAGGTCTAGTTGCAGTGTGAATGTAAAAAGCTTAAGTCCTCAGCAATGAGTATCCAGAAAAGTTTATCCTGTTGAGAGTTTATTTATGGCAGAATACAGCCAGGTCTTCGTGGATCCTGCATTGTGTAATTTTATACACCAACTGTTTAGAGCACTGGTAAGAACTATAGGTTAATGTTGCCTGCCTGGTTACCATGTGTTCGTGGGCACAGTCACCTTGCATCTTGGGGTTGTCTTGTACGTTTTGTGATCTGGACTTTGTTCTCCCTTGATTTTTTCAAATTCAGTCTTTTTCCCTAGAACTGAGCATAAAAAGCAGGTGTAGCTCAAGCCTCTAGGTTCAGCTTGTGTGTAGAAGCCAGCGTGTTGTGCTTCCCAGTGGGATTTCATACCATATGTTCTCATTTGGGGCTACTTCTCAAGCCTAACAAGTGCCATTTGAAGAACTCAGTTTTCCCAGTGGGTACATAATCTCTGGTAGCAAGTTAGGCACTCTTGGAAACTGCATTAATTCTTTCACACTATGCAAATACTATTTGGTGGGATAGTAACTTCCATACTGGGAGGAACAGGTTCTTAATCAGGAGGGCCTCTGCCTACTTTTAAAATGTAGACAGCAAAACCTCTTTCAATGGAGAATTGTCAGTGCTACTTATAGATTAAAGGATTATACTTTCAGTTTACATTTGTACAAAATGTTCAACACTTTGTACCAAGGAAGAATTTTGAGCATCTTGGGATTTGTCTGTTACTCAACCTGAAATCAAATATTATTTTCTATTCTAGGTATGTTGCTATATATCCATACACTCCTCGGAAAGAGGATGAACTAGAGCTGAGAAAAGGGGAGATGTTTTTAGTGTTTGAGCGCTGCCAGGATGGCTGGTTCAAAGGGACATCCATGCATACCAGCAAGATAGGGGTTTTCCCTGGCAATTATGTGGCACCAGTCACAAGGTATGGTTTTGAATACATTGTTTACTATGTTCTAAACAGAGAAGCTTTGTTCTTTTCCATGGTTTTCAGCCTATCCAGATTCCTTTCACATTATAATTGCCTGTTACATAGCCAAGGTTTTAAAAATCCATGTCTACATCTGCTAAAATCCCTTCTAACTCTAAAATTTTTAGCTTATTTTCACATGGATATATGTGAAATTATAGGTTTCTACCAGTAAATGTACTGGGTTTTAAGTTATTTGCTTTAATGGGAGAAGGTTCAACAACACCATTTTCAGTATTTTTCTACTAGAAAAGGCATAGTGTTGATACAAAGAAAAGCTATATTATTAATACTTATGTGTTTATATAATGCGTACTATATGCCAGGCAGGCAGATTTATAAATGCATTACACTGATTAACCTTACTTCTTAGTTGCTGTTACATTGAGGCACAGAGATATCATACAGCTTGTCTGAGATCACATAGTGAAGAAGTGCTCAAACTCAAACCCTGGTGATCTAGATTTATATTTATTTCATTAACTTGGTAATTACCTCTGAATTCTGACAATGAATTCTATAATATAGTCAGAAATAAAAATTTTAAGTATAGCATAGATCCTTCTCAACTGAGGGCAGTTTTGCTCCCCAGGGAACATTTGACAATATCCAGAAATATTTTTGATTGTCACGACTAGAGGTTAGGGGTGCTACTGGCTTTAGTGGATAGAGGCTAAGAGTGAAACATCCTATGCATAGGACAGCCTCCCACAAAAAATAATCATAATCTGGCCTAAAATGTCACTGAGGTTGAGAAACCCTGTTATAGAGTGACAGGAGCTTTAGATATGCAAAATTTTATATATTTTATGTAAAGATAGTTCAGCTTTTGGTCACTGAGGAAAGAAGCCTTGGAAACAGTTAAATGACCTGTAATGAAATCAACACTGAGGGAGCCCTAGTTTTTGACCACCGGCCGTTTAATATACAGTCCAGGTCTAACTGCATTAAATCTTTCCTCAAACCGCCTGATTTTAAACAAATAGCTTAATGAACTGACATGTTTGTCAGCTGTTGGCCTTGATTTATAGGTTGGCCAGCAGCCTAATCAAATGAAAATCACTGTTGTTGCAGATGGTGACAGAATGTTAACTTTAATTTGACTTGCAAATTTTTAATCAATATAAACATTCTTTTCTATGTATGTTAAAATCTACATTCAGAATCCATCCCATCCAGAAAATGACAGATAGAACCTCCCTGGTGCAAAATAATGATAATAATGGATAAGAGAAATGCAACAAAGAACAAAAAAATAAAGTTAATGAAGGAAAACATTTTTATAAAAATTTTTTTGTCAAACATCTTTATCAAAAACCAATTATTAGAAGTCTCTCTGCTTGTATAGCCGGGTGCAGTGGCTCACGCCTGTAATCCCAGCACTTCAGGAGGCCAAGGTGGGCAGATCACTTGAGGTCAGGAGTTGATCACTTGAGGCCTGACCAACATGGTGAAACCCCATCTCTACTAAAAAAAAAAAAAAAAAAAAAAAAAATACAAAAATTAGCCAGGCATGGTGGCACGTGCCTGTAGACCCAGCTACTTTGGAGGTTGAGGCAGGATAATCACTTGAACCTGGGAGGCGGAGGCTGCAGTGAGCCGAGATCATGCCACTGCACTCCAGCCTGGGCGGCAGAGCAAGACTCCATCCTAAGGAAAAAAAAAATCTATCTGTTTGTTTAACTCTAGAGGAATATGTGCTTACAGTAAATTCTGTCATTCATGGTAAATAATAAGGATGTTCAAGCTAATGAAGTGTTTTCTTAGTAGAAAGTTACTATATACAGAATTGTTATCATTTAAATGAATTTGGAATATGGAAAAAAACACATTACACAAAACTATACTGAACTTAATTACATTCAGTGAGTAAATAGATGTTTAGAGTTGGCTGTAACCCTGAGCATGTGCAAATACAGGATGAATACAGGAGAGTTATTTCACACTGGCCCTGCTTTCAAGGAACTTACCAAGTCAGCAGTATTTGATAAAGAATTTATTTAAAAAATAATACACCAGCTAGGCGCGTTGGCTCAAACCTGTAATCCCAGCACTTTGGGAGGCTGAGGCGGGTGGATCACCTGAGGTCAGGAGTTCGAGACCAGCCTGGCCAACATGGTGAAACCCCACCTCTACTAAAAATACAAAAAAGTAGCCGGGCATGGTGGCGCGTGCCTGTACTCCCAGCTACTCGGGAGGCTTAGACAGGAGAATCACTTGAACCTGAGAGGCAGAGGGGTGAGCTGAGATCGCACCACTCCACTCCAGCCTGGGCAACAGTGAGACTCTGTCTCAAAAAAAATACTACTACTACTAATAATAATATACCACATTTTGTAATCAAGGGCCAAAGCATAAACAATTGTGGAGTTTAGAAACAGAATGAAAGAAGAAATCCACATGAAACAATAGAATCATAAGATCTTAAACCTGAATCTGAGGCAAGGCTTCTTGAACTGACAGTGTTCATGCTGGATCTTGAAACATAAATGAGATTACAATATGTCAAGAGAAGACGGAGAGGACTTTCCACTAGTGCGTGTATGTGTGTGCATGCATGTACATGGGCACATGTGTGATGTGGAGCTGGAGGCAAGTAGGAAGCCAGGAAACAGGAGCAAAGATATGGAAATGGGGATATTGTCAGGGAATGATCCTAGCTTGTTCTGTAGATGAAGGGGGAGAATCCAGGGCCTTGAAAGTCAGTGGAGATATTTGGTCTTGTTATGGAAAGCTGAATGCAATAACTGTATATTCTTGAGCAGAGTATGACGTGTGGTTTCTGGTGACTCAGAATATATTTCAAGACCTTTCTCTGTCTCAGCCATCATTACGTTGAATTTTCTATTCTTAAACTTTATAAAAATAATTCCATTCATTTTTTAAAATGTTCTATGTTTAAAGCTCTGAGTCATTTTTCTTGCATTTAATTGTTCTTTCTGTCATTTTGCTGATGGACTGGGCTTTCCATCTATGTTTGTGTCTTGGCAGGGCGGTGACAAATGCTTCCCAAGCTAAAGTCCCTATGTCTACAGCTGGCCAGACAAGTCGGGGAGTGACCATGGTCAGTCCTTCCACGGCAGGAGGGCCTGCCCAGAAGCTCCAGGGAAATGGCGTGGCTGGGAGTCCCAGTGTTGTCCCCGCAGCTGTGGTATCAGCAGCTCACATCCAGACAAGTCCTCAGGCTAAGGTCTTGTTGCACATGACGGGGCAAATGACAGTCAACCAGGCCCGCAATGCTGTGAGGACAGGTAAGGAGGAACCCAGGCCAGAACATATCAGGATAAAGGGCTTACCTGCCTAATAGTAGATCTTTTATGACAGATGTTGAGAAATGTAGATGTAATTTTAATAATGAACAACATTAGGCAAAGTCTACTCAGTGGCACCTTGTATCTGCTTATTTGGGCTAAGCGTGCCCTGCGTATTACTTCAAGCCTGATGGATAGATCTAAAGTCTGAAAGAAATTAGGCTGATCCTAAGAATGTCAATAGTACTTGAAATTTTGACTTCTATAGTTGAGATCATATGATCTCAAATCTCACTACTACCATCCATGTGACATTGCGTGATACTCTACTAACGGGTGTGCTGATCATTTCTGATTAACTTAAGCACAAGTCTACCTTGGACCCTATGGGATCTTAAACAGCTTTCTTAGTTCTGTAGCACTGAAAACCTTCCCAAGAGTCTTGGGTAACTAATGGGATGAGGGGTAAACTAAAGGCTTGTGAACTCTATCAGAAAAACAGAAAAAAGGAAAATGATTCATAAGAAAAGGGAATGAATAATAGGAAAAGGACTAGAGGGAGACATCGCTTGACACTGTAGAATACCATCAAGAACTGGCTCAGTGTCTCTAACACTGTGGAGAGGCTGTCTCCTAAGTAAAGGGACTTGGGTCAAAACTGAGCTTCCAGGCACTCAGTAGACTCAAGGGCTGACCTGGAAGGACAATAGATAGTGTCTGGGGATCCAGCTAAGATTAAGTGCTTTTAGGCCACCGTCCATCCCATCTTTATTGTAATAAATACAATAGCAGCCTTTCATCATGGTCTGATGCAGTGAAATGACTCATGTTTTGGTGAGCAGCATCTATTAGATAGTTGAATTTTGCTGTGTTCCCTCTTCCCATCTACTAGTTGCAGCGCACAACCAGGAACGCCCCACGGCAGCAGTGACACCCATCCAGGTACAGAATGCCGCCGGCCTCAGCCCTGCATCTGTGGGCCTGTCCCATCACTCGCTGGCCTCCCCACAACCTGCGCCTCTGATGCCAGGCTCAGCCACGCACACTGCTGCCATCAGTATCAGTCGAGCCAGTGCCCCTCTGGCCTGTGCAGCAGCTGCTCCACTGACTTCCCCAAGCATCACCAGTGCTTCTCTGGAGGCTGAGCCCAGTGGCCGGATAGTGACCGTTCTCCCTGGACTCCCCACATCTCCTGACAGTGCTTCATCAGCTTGTGGGAACAGTTCAGCAACCAAACCAGACAAGGATAGCAAAGTAAGACCATACTTACTTACTGTTTCTCTGCTTTACTTACTTCCCTGTTTTTCTTCTTATGTTGTGTCTGTCATTTTTAGCTAATGAGAGGACTCACTGTTCAACAAACCCTCAGGTGCTCCCTACGTGTGAGTCACTATGCCAGGTGCTAGGAGTAGAGTGGGGAAGAAACGCAGGCACCACCCCATCCTCTTATCTAGAGCTCATGTTTCTCTGTGTTTAAACGCCCACTACTTGCCAGACTCAGTGCTGCATGTTAGAGGGACCACAGTGAATGAGACTTAGTCACTCCTCCTTGTGCAGCTTACAGTCTCGTGGAGGAATTTCCTTTTCCCTTTAGTTACTCATTCTTTCATCATTTTGCTGTCCTCAAGTCTTCCTGCTCAGTGAGTCTTGCTTGATAAGAGTTCTGTTAAAAATATATATGTGTGAGGGGGATGAAACTGTTGATCAAAAGTGTTACTTATGGATTTATTTTATCTACAACAGTGGTCCCCAACCTTCTGGGCACCTGGGCACCATGGACCAGTTTCGTTGAAGACAGATTTTCCATGGACCCAGGGGTGGTGGCGGGGAAATGGTTTCAGAATGATTCAAGCTCATTACATTAACTGTGCACTTTATTTCTATTATTATTACAGTGTACTATATAATGAAATCATTATAGAACTCACCATAATGTAGAATTAGTGGGAGCCCTGAGTTTGTTTTCTTGCAACTAGATGGTCCCACCTGGGCATGATGGCAGACAGTGACAGATCCTCAGGCATTAGATTCTCATAAGGAGTGTGCAACCTACATCCCTCGCATGTGCAGTTCACAATAGGGTTCATGCTCCTATGAGAATCTAATGCCCCTGCTGATCTGACAGGAGGCGGAGCTCAGGCAGTAATGCAAGTGATGGGGAGCGGCTGTAAATACAGATGAAGCCTCACTCACTCACCTGCAGCTCACCTCCTGCTGTGCGGCCTGGTTCCTCACAGGCCACAGGCTAGTACTGGTCCATGGCCCAGTACATCTGACCTTAAGCAGCATGGTTCCTTGAGAGGTAAGACTTGAAATATAAGGAAACATTATTTTCTAAATCCATAGTTTTTGGGGTTTTTTTTAATGTCTCATTTGGGGCTGAATTTTAAAGAAAATATAAATGGAAAGTTATATTGGAAAGAATAACCGATGGTTGGGTTTAGAGACAGGTGATTGGAGGCAAGAGAAATTGAGAGTTGTTAAATGTAAAAAGAAAAAGAAGAGATGGTAACGGATCTGGATAATTTTATTGTCATTATTACTTTTTCCTCAATATTTTACACATTTCCCCTGAAGTTCTATACCAGTTCTGGGAAGTTTGAGGGCGATCATAGACTTTTAGCCACCTGGTTAAGTGGTAATGTATGTCGTTCTATTTAAATGGTTAAGGGAGCCTGTAAACAGCAGTTTATAAGGAAATAAACTTTATGGCCTACTAAAAAGTTAATATTTAATTGTTCGGTTAACATGAGAGTTTTTGAAAAAGATTGATATTTGTTCAGTGTTTATAATTAACTACATTAAACTTGCACTCAAGCCAACATGTTCAACTTTGTTAATATATTTATAAATAATTATTTTTATGGTTTAGATTTTAAGGCTTGATGACAATGTGTCTCAGAGCCCTTGCCACTGATAAGAACAGGGACTCTTCAGCTGGGCCCTTCCAATGTAGAATTCACTAAATCTCTAAGGCTTGAAAGGTACTTGTGATAGACAGAATAGTGACTCCCCAAGGATGTCCACCTCCTGATCCCTGGAACTTTTAAAGATGTTTCATTACATGGCCAAAAGGACCTTGCAGGTTTTATTAAATTAATAGCCTTTTGACAAGGTGGTTAGCCTGAATTATCCAGGTGGGCCCAGTGTAAACTCAAGGATGTTCTTAAAAGGGAGGCAGGAAGCTTAGGGCCAGAGAAGGAGACGTGATGGTGAAGCAGAGGTAGGAATGATAGGGAAATGAGACCACAGGTCAAGGAATACAGGAAGCCTCTAGAATCTGGAAAAGACAAGGGAACAGATTCTTCCCCAGTGGCCTCCAGAAGGAACCAGCCCTGCCACACCTTGATTTTAGGACCCGATTTTTACCACAAAGTTTGAGTTAACCTGTTACGGCACCATCTAGTACAGGTCCTTACTGGTCATCCTGTGGAGCACCCATCCCTGACAAATGACCATGGCTTCTGCCTAGGTGCGTGCCCCATTGACCAAGCAGTGCCCTAGCCCAAGACTGCCCTGTGCCATCTTCAGACAGCTGTAACTCAACTCAACCTTCCAACCGTTGTTCTTTATTTTGAGGGCCCACATAGAAAATGCAGATCTCCTTTCTACATGGTGCCCTGAGGTATTTGCAGGTGTGTCCCCTTGTGTCTTTTCTCTAATGCTATACCCTTGAAGTTTTCTTTTCCTATTCCTCATATCACAGATTTCAAATTTTCCCTTATTAAATCTCCTACCTCATTTAGTGTTCCAAGTCCACTAAAGAGACTTCTGGTTGATATAAATTTAGTAATTCCATGATTGTTGTCACTTAATCATGAATCTTCATGACTAGAGTGTCTTTAGTATACATTTCTCCATCACATCTACAAGGATGTCCTGGGAGAACTCACCAGATGCCACATTGAGATTCACCTGCCTTTTACATCATCCTCCCATCCACAGAGTTCTCCCCATTGCTCCATCATTTCTGCTGTGACTTATTGTTAGCGAGTGTCTCCTGGAAGAGTTTTATTTCCCTTTCTAAATGTTCATAAATCTTTTGTTTAATACTGTTTTAGAATTTCCCAGATGGTCTGCAAAGTGCTTTGGTGTCATGTGTTTGAAAATTGGGGCCGGGCGCGGTGGCTTACACCTGTAATCCCAGCACTTTGGGAGGCCAAAGCTGGTGTATCACCTGAGGTCAGGAGTTGAGACCAGCCTGGCCAACATAGTGAAACCCTGTCTCTACTAAAAATACAAAAATTAGCTGGGTGTGGTGGCACATGCCTGTAATCCCAGCTACTCAGGAGGCTGAAGCTGGAGAATCACTTGAACCAGGGAGTCGGAGGTTGCAGTGAGCCGAGATCACACCACTGCACTCCAGCCTGGGCAACAGAGTGAGACTCTGTCTCAGGGGGGAAAAAAAAAAGAAAACTGGGACTTGCACATGCCTTTCCTTGCCTGTTCAGTTGACCCTCATCCCAGATTCACCAGATTATCAAAGGTTATTGGTTGCATTTCTTCTGCTATTTTTCTCTGTACCCTGGAGTGAATTCAGCCTGTTAAGAGTAATCATTTGATCTCTAAATCCCAACTCTTCACTCATTTCCCTCTCGTCAAAGTTTGTTCTTCCCCTCCAGTCTGAAGATTATCCTTCCCTTTCTTCTTGCCATCCAAGAACCACCATCCTCCACAGCGGGTCTGTGTCTTTCTTGTTCTTCTTGTTTCAAACATAACTTTAAAAGAGCTCTTACAAAATTTTTTTTTGTCTTTAGCATTTTTGCAAGTTTAAGCTCATTCTGATCTTTAAGCCTTCTTGAATTGCTATGGGCCACGTTATGTTCTTTGTTATGGGCTCTTCTCTTGATCTTTTTGTACGTGCCCTTTAAAAATTTGAGCCATTAGGCTGCTCCCTGGGAGATCACATCAGTACCTTTAGATGCCTCTATGTTTTCATCTGCAGGGATGATTTGCAATTGTATGGTTAGAATTTCATTTTTGAGAGCCTTCCTATTCCTCTTGAAGCATCTTCCCTTTTGGGTTTCAGGTCATGCATATATTTTCTTTGAACATTTAAAAATCAGTTCTTTTAAACTATGAAGTTCAAACCTGACTATCATCAGCCTCTTTTTCCATGCTTTATTCCAAGTTCTCAATATTTCTGCTTCATCAGCAGAGCATCTCCACCCGTCTGGTTTCTGCCCTCCCTCTAGTTGATCAGAATTGGATCCAAAGTTGCAGTTTGCTCAACTTTCTGTGAGATTAAACTATCAGCAAGGAAAAAGTGTATTAGAGATCCTAGTTTCAGTTGAGACTTACAGCAGATATCTAGGTATTTGATAACGCCCTCATTATTTCTATCTTTCCTCGTCATTTTGTGAGCATCATCATCCATTTACTTAAACCTACCAGCAGTCCATGGTACATCTCCCACATGATAGCGTGTCTATTGCCCCCTCCTTTTCTCTGTACCCAGCTGCTCTGCAGTGGGTTACTGCTGCTGTTCCACAGAGAAATATAATTTTGTAATGTACAGATGGGACTGTCGCAGCTTCTCTTCTAACCGGCTACTCCTTTGAACAGTATTTTATTTGGAAGTCCTGTTGTGCAAAGTCTCAGGGATCTCTAGACATTGCATTTTTGTCCTTGTGTTAAAATCTCTAGCTAACTTTGGTGTCTGCACTCCGTGGTTTGATAAACAGGCATCTGAAACTCTATGTTTCATCTCAATTCTTTCCTGTTTGAAATCCTAGACCTTTTCTACCATTGTTATTCTTCCTTCTATGAGATCCCTAATGTTTTCCACCGTCATCAGTATAACAACTTTATCTGGACATACTGCTAACTTCATATTCAGTTCAAAGTCTTCATTATTTGATCAACTAATCTCCAGGAAAATGTGTCTCCAAATCTTTGGGAGATACTTATGTATATGTATATATGTTTTATTGTGTTTTGTTGTTATAAAAAGATTAAGGCTGGGCACAGTGGCTCACACCTATAATCCCAAAAGTTTGGGAGACCAGGGTGGGCAGATCACTTGAGGCCAGAAGTACAAGATCACCCTCAGCAACTTAGCAAAACCCTATCTCTACCAAAAAAAAAAAAATTATTTTTAATTAGCTGGGCATGGTGGTATGTGCCTGTAGTCCTAGCTACTTGGGAGGCTGAGGTGGGAGGATGGCTTGAGCCCAGGAGGTCAAGGCTACAGTGAGCTATGTTAATGCCACTGCACTCCAGCCTGGGTGACAGAACTAGATCACCCAGGTTGGAGTGCAGTGGTGTGATCTCGACTCACTGCAGCCTCTACCTCCTGGGTTCAAGTAATCCTCCCACCTCAGCCTCCCAAGTAGTGGGACTACAGGCATGCACCACCATACCCAGCTAACTTTTGTGTTTTTAGTAGAGACAGGGTTTCACCATGTTGGTGGTCCTGAACTCCTGGCCTCAAGTGATCCCCCTGCCTCGGCCTCCCAAAGTGCTGGGATTATAGGCATGAGCCACTGCGCCTGGTCTGAAAAAAAAATTTTTGATTAGTACAATTGTGTAATTGTTCTTAAGTTCTCTAAGTTCTAACCCTTGCTTTAGAAAAAGAGGAGGAACCACCTCTGATGCTGGTATCGACCCAAGTGCTTCCATTTTCTACGCATAACTTCAGAATCTCTAGAGGTGCTTTGTAAGTCTCGCCTGACATTGACATTAATTCCATATGAGTCAGCAGAAGTGGGTGTTGGTCAACATGCACTCTGCCATATCCTAGATCCATTCCTAAAAGCCAGCATTCCTACAGGTGGGCCACATAAGGTCAACATTTAGTGTCTCAAATCCCCCGCCCCCAAATTCCCAATGACTCTCCCTTAAGGAGTCAACCACAGATTTTCTTCAGTGTTTTAGGACCTTTCCTATTGTTCTTTTATTCATTTATTTATTTGCTTATTTTAAGAGATAGGGTCTTATCATGTTGCCCAAGCTAGCCTTGAACTCCTGGACTCAAGCAATCCTTCCACCTCAGCCTCCCAAGCACCTGGGACTACAGGTTCACACCACGGCACCTGGCTTATTATTCTTGATTTTCTTAAGCAGAGGTCCTATCTGGTTTTTAAATATTCATTTTATTTTCTGAACATTTTTCTTGAAGTCTCTACTGATCATTTTCTTTCTTTCTTCTTTTATTTTATTATTATTTTTTTAAACGAGGTCTCACTCTGTCACCCAGGCTGGAGTGCAGTGGTGCAATCATACCTCACTGCAGCCTGAACTCCTGGTCTTAAGTGATCCTCCCAGCTGGGACTAAAGGCATGAGCCACCATACCTAGGTAATTTTTTTTTGGTAGAGATGGGGTCTTGCTATGTTGCCCAGGCTGCTCTCAACTCCTGGGCTCAAGCAATCCTGCCGCCTTGGCCTCCCAAAGTGCTGGGATTACAGGTGTAAGCCACTGTGCCCGGCCTCTAACGTTCATTTTCTTTGTTCAAATGATTTTTCTTCCTCCTCCCAGGTGGTTTTTTTTTTTTTTGTATTGTTTTGTTTTGCTACAGGGTATCCCTCTATCACCCAGGCTGGAGTGCAGTGGCATGGTCATAGCTCACTGCAACTTCAACCTCCAGGCTCAAGCAACCCTCCCTCCCACCTCAGGCTCCGGAGTAGATGGGACCACAGGCATGCACCACCACACCTGGCTAATTTTTTTATTTTTGTAGAGACAGGGTTTCCCTATGTTGCCCAGGCTGGTCTTGAACTCCTGGGCTCAAGTGATCCTCCTGCCTCAGCCTCCCAAAGTGCTAGAATTACAGGTGTGAGCCACTGTGCCCAGCCTGAATGTAGTCTTTATTAATTCATTTAGTTTTCATTTCTGCTGTTGGTTTTTGAAAAAATAATGGTGCTCATAGATGCTAAGTGTCTGAGTTTGCAAAATGATCTCTCTCAAGTGGAACATTCTTCTGCTAACATAGAAAAAATCAGAATATGCCATTGAAAGCATGGTTCCTTGGAACTAGGACAGCATCTTTTCTGTATTACCACCTCCCACCCCTTACCCCTTGTGCCCTGCCATGATTCCTAATCCTCTGCCTTCTGTTCTGTGGGTAGTCAGCATCAGTTGATGATGATAAGACATCCCTTAGAAGTCATTAAAGCAAGCTGTATTTAATGTGTTTAATCATTTTAGATGAATTAAGTCATCTTTCTTCTTAATCACTTTAGAGGCTGTTCCCTGAGTGCCGTTGAGTTATCTGATATTTTACTGAGTGCTCAGAACTGAGCTTTTAAGAAACAGCTTTAGCTGTGGCTTGCTGAGATTGTAATTTATCAATGGACTTGATGTTCTCACTGGACCTTTGGGGGTCCGTGGACTAGTGTGTGCTTTCTTACATCATGGCAAGAATAGCTGGAAGTTGCAGCTGACTGCTACCTTAGAAGTGGAAGCTACTGGACATTATTCTTTTGCATGTCATCTCTTGGCCTTCCAGACCTCAGGCTGTCTACAATAAGTACAGAGCAGCAGTGGCAGGTGTTTAGTCAGACCACTTCATTGACTATAGGCTTTATTGAAAGGCTCATTGAAAGGCTTTATTGCCTCTGGATCTGGGGAATCCAACATATCCTTTATTTCCTTAGGCCTGGCACTAGCTATATTTTTCCTTCCTTCCACTGGTTTCATCCTCTTCCAGTATTTTCTCAGCCTCTAAGCTTTAGTAGGTGTAGGGCCCTGCACTAGGCACTGGGTGAGATAGAGAGGTATATACAGCACTGCCACTGCACTTATGCAGGCAGTCCAAGTTTGTGAGGACATTCATTAGAATGCACACAGTAGCCCCACGGAAAATGTGGCATTGAATGAGTGAAGCGAAAGCGCATAAGATCAGCTGAGGACAGGCTATAAAGAGAAATGCAAAAGGATCTTCCTCTACCCGGGAGAGTTGCAGGGTGGTGGGGATCAGCTGGCTCTGCTCATCTATAGCCCAGGTCAAGCAAGTACAGAAATGACCTTAGCACCCACTCCCACCCTCTCTTCCCATTTCTAGCCCATAGGTTCACATGTCCTTGAGCAGCGTTAGGTAACTGGGGACTATGGTGCACTGTCCCTGGGATGCTTCCTCATAGTCTGATAAATGTTGCTTTTGTCTCCTTTTTTCTGCCATACTGTCTCTAATGGAACAATGTTGTTAGGGATTTAGATTCATTTTCCCAAGGAGTTTTTACTGAGCCTAAGCTATTATTCCCAAGAAAAATTCCTCAGCAGGTCCCTTATAATTTCTGTTTCCCTGTTAGTGGGCCTTAATAATTCCAATTTGCCTACAGAATTTTCTAAAGAAATAGTTCTCTATGAAGTGTTTCATTTTCAAGCAGTGCTTCCATTCAGAGAACTTAATGATGTAGTTGACATCTTGGTAAAACAATTTAAAAGGATCATGTTAAGCTTGGTCATCAGAAAGAACATTCACGCTTAAGGTTTCAGAATGAAGGAGCACTCTCTTGACATCTGATTTTCCTAGCAGACCAAAGAGAGAAAGTATCAAGAGACAAAAATTCAAGAGATGGCTTCTGTGGAATTGAAATAGTTGAAAAAACAAACAAACAAACAAACAAAAACACGCTTATTTGTATATTTGCTTGCAAAAAGAGAAATCAACTTGTTTATAAATATACTGAAGCTTTCCTTAAAATGGATGTCTAATCAAGGAGGTACTTGCAAGGGAGATGTGGTTTGACTTCTGTTTTATTGGCTTGTTACATTTAATCAAGGTGGCGACATGTGAGAAGTGGTTTAGCTCTTAACTCTGATCACTGCCTGTAAATGATAAGGCTCACGTCCATGCCTGTGGAATAGAGTGCTGTCAGGTTTACATTTAATTCTGCATAGTCAGCTCTCTTACAGTAATTAGAGATAGGATAGGCAGAAGTTCAGGAAATTAAATCCATAATCTGAAATTTCCATTTTATCCTAAAATATCTACTAATGCTTTTACCAAACCTGGGATGTGAGTTGGGTGAGTTTTATTGTCTTACATCTTTTTTATCGGTTTATCCTACTTCAACGGAATGTCCAAAACCAAACAAAAAAATATATAGCAGAAAGGGAGAAGGAGGAGAAGCAAAAGGTCAGGTTAGCACCACACAAAACTTGGTGGCCAGATTATGAATAACCAGTTATCAACAGAAATAATGTAAAAAGATCAAACCGAACATTGAAACCATAAGGCCCCATATACCTACTATGGACCCACAAAAATTAAAATTAAAAATTAAAAAGTAGTAATGAACTATAGGGCCCTTTAGATTACACCAGCAATAGTACTGTCATTCTCCAACTAAGGCTCATTATTTTTTTTTTCCAGAAAGAAAAAAAGGGTTTGTTGAAGTTGCTTTCTGGCGCCTCCACTAAACGGAAGCCCCGCGTGTCTCCTCCAGCATCGCCCACCCTAGAAGTGGAGCTGGGCAGTGCAGAGCTTCCTCTCCAGGGAGCGGTGGGGCCCGAACTGCCACCAGGAGGTGGCCATGGCAGGGCAGGCTCCTGCCCTGTGGACGGGGACGGACCGGTCACGACTGCAGTGGCAGGAGCAGCCCTGGCCCAGGATGCTTTTCATAGGAAGGCAAGTTCCCTGGACTCCGCAGTTCCCATCGCTCCACCTCCTCGCCAGGCCTGTTCCTCCCTGGGTCCTGTCTTGAATGAGTCTAGACCTGTCGTTTGTGAAAGGTAAGTTCAACTTCGTTCCAGGAAAAAACTAAAAAATGAACAATAGGCTTTAGGCTGGAACATTATTGTGATATTTAAGATGTTTTGCCACATCTTCCTAAATGTTTTGAAACTGAGCTTATGAAAATAAGCACTGAATTTCTTTTCCCACTTGACATGACATACTCTGTTTTCCTTTTTCCTTCCGTGTTTCTTAATGGGTTGGTCCCCAGCCTTCCTTTTCCTTTATTTTCTCTACTCTGCCACGCCTGAATTGTGTCCAGGTAAAAACTGTCAATCACTGGGAAACTGTTCATGGATTTACTTCTTTCTTATTTCTATTCCGTTGCCACTAATTGCTGTCTTTTTTTTTTTTAATTTTTTGCCTTTTTTATTAAAAATTTACATCGTTTCCTGCTAGTTGTGAAGCAACTAGAGCAGGTATGTCCAATCTTTTGGCTTCCCTGGGCCACACTGAAGGAAGAATTGTCTTGGGCCACACTGAAAATATACTCATATGGCCAGGCACGGTGGCTCATGCCTGTAATCCCAGCAACATGGTAAAACCCTGTCTCTACTAAAATACAAAGAAATAGACGTGGTGGCGAGTCCCTGTAATCCCAGCTACTTGGGAAGCTGAGGCAGGAGAATCGCTTGAACCCAGGAGGCAGAGGTTGCAGTGAGTGGAGATCATGCCGCTGCACTCCAGCCTGGGTGACAGAGCAGGACTCCATCTCAAAATAATAATAATAATAATAATAAATATATATACACACACACATATATACTGTTAAAAAATATTTTACATTACATATATATACACACTAACATTAATTATAGCTGATGAGCTAAAAAAAAATTGCAAAAAAAATTCACAATATTTTAAGAAAGTTTATGAATTTTGTGTTGCACTGCATGCCCACGGGTTGGACAAGCTTGAATTAGAGAATTCTGTCAGCTAAGAGAACTCTCTTCTTTTTTTGAGACAGGGTCTTGCTCTGTTGCGCAGGCTTCAGTGCAGTGGTGCAATCACAGCTCACTGAAGCCTCAACATCCTGGGCTCAAGTGATCCTCCCACCTCAGCTTCCTGAGTGGCTGGGACCACAAGCATGTGCCACCATTCCCAGCTAATTTTTTTGTAAAGACGGGGTCTCCCATGTTGCCCAGGCTAGTCTTGAACTCCTGAACTCAAGCCATTCTCCTGCCCCAGCCTCCCAAAATGCTGCGATTACAGGCGTGAGCCACGATGTCTAGCGAAGAACTCTCTTCTTCTTCCTGAGCCAGAAGGGTATGGCTAAGTTCTCAGTCTCAGTTCTGACTCTCCTCCTGACCAAGTGACTTGATTCAGTTACACTCAGAGTAATAAGCCCTGTTTTAGTGATTCCAGCCTTGAATAATTATTACAAAAGGGAGCAGTTCTGTTTGATACCCCACTGGGGTTCTAGGAATGTGTTAGGAAAGAAAATATATTATTTAATGAGACAAATAGCTACCAGGATTATTTAAACTCAACAATGAGGCACTATTCATTACATAGGAAAGCATCATGAAGTATACTCAAAATAGTGGACTCTTTTTATATCTTATATAAATATATAGTATTTGTCTTAAGTGTCATCTGTTTTATTGTTTCTGTAAGCTTCATTTCCTCTGTGCCTGCATTTCATAAATAAAGCAAATTTCTGCTTTGTGGAGGTATTGCTTTTTTGGTAGCATTTTCTATGTTGCCGACTTGAAATCTTACTATAAAGTGTTATGTTTTTAAATGCCTTAAATTCACCTTACCTCTGTATTTCAGATGAAGCCATATGTATATTTGTATCCACCAAAACCTGAGGCCTGCATTCATATTTTTGGCACACTTTTTAACTTAAAAATAAACTGGGAAAAATGGAAAAGAATAAATTTCAAACCTACTTACATTAAGTGCAAAGCTCACAATTTATGATTTTTTTTTTTTTTTTTTGAGATGGGAGTCTCACTCTGTTGCCCAGGCTGGAGTGCAGTGGTGCAATCTTGGCTCACTGCAACCTCCATTTCCCGGGTTCAAGTGATTCTCCTGCCTCTGCTTTCTGAGTAGCTGGGATTGCAGGCACACACCACGCCCGGCTAATTTTTTTGTATTTTCAGTAGAGATGGGGTTTTGCCATCTTGGCCAGGGTGGTCTCGAACTCCTGAGCTCAGGCAATTCACCTGCCTCGGCCTCTCAAAGTGCTGGGATTACAGGCATGAGCCATGGAGCCCAGCCACAATTTATGATATTTATTTTTATAGTGCTGTACAATAATTTTCTATAGTTCTAACCCCCTAAAACCAGTTTTAAAATGAGCCATTACCCTAAAAAAGTGTTCTCTCCCTACAAATGAAATCATTTTATCTTTCCTCTCATCTGTTGTGCTCTTAGTAAAGCTTTGAAATTTTGTCCAGAATTCACTGAATCTCTTACTCTAAGAGTCAACCTTTTTCCTGCTGTATTGGTCTGCTTTCCAGGGATAGCACCTTCTGTCCCTGGAGTTGGTCCAGTTACTTGTTTGCTTTCTCTTGGTCACAAAGCCTCCCTCCCTCCCTCCAGGCATTGATCTGCAGTTTTCCTTCAAGCCCTGAGGGCATCTCTCCTGTGTTCCCTCTCATTTGTGGTATTTGTGTGACTCTTTTGAGTGATGGTTCACTTTGCCCAGACTCTCCCTAGGCACTGGCATGGGCACTGCAGCCTCCCTCCCCCAGTGCATTCCTTTTCAGTTGCCAGATGTCCTCAGTCTCTACGGCTTCTGCATTCCGGTCCCTTCCTCTTAGAGGGGCTCCTTTCTAACAGCAGGCTCCTGCTGTTCAGTTCATCTGAAAAGAAGGAATTGCTAGCTCAGACAGGTGATGGCATTTCAGGGAGCGGGGGATGCACATCAGATAGGGAACATGGAGAATGTAATGACAGGACAGATGGGCCTGGGCATGCTGGAATTCTTTGATAGGTTTTTTTGTATAACCATTTAAATTTTTACAAGTGGGAAAGGGGTCTTTGGAGAAGATTTCTACCCAAGTTTATATTTTTATAATCCATATGTTCAATGGAATATTAAATATAATAGCCAATCTGACCAACTTTCCACAGCCTTTGCTTTCATACAGTGATGGTGATAGTATTTATTTACCTTGGATTCTTAGATCTGTCTCACAGTAAAAATAACAGGAAAAATGTGCGGTAACATATAGGAAAATGTTATATTATTCACTGGGAATGAAAGTTTTTGATTAATTAAAAGCCACCAAGTATAGAATTTAGGGATTACTTGTGTTCATATTTTAAACATTTCAACACAATAAAAAGTGCTCAATGCTGAAAATGAAGGAAAGATTAACTTTTATATCAGTATGATTGAGAAAACATTTCAGAATCTAAGAATAATCCTTGATTTACAATACAAGCATCAACAACTCTTGCCCTGGCAAAATGCAGAAGGAGCCCAGGGTTCCTTTGGTAAAAATTCTACTGACTGGTAGAATTTCACAGAAGTATTTTTCAATTTATATTATTGGGACACTATGAGGTAGGATTCATCTACAGATTATAATGAGAACAAGCATAAAATTTCCTCTCAAACCATGACCCTATCTCATACATCTAAAGTAAAAGAATGTGCCAGGCATGGTGGCTCATGCCTGTAATCCCAGCACTTTGGGAGGCCAAGGTGGGTGGATCACGAGGTCAGGAGTTCAAGACCAGCCTGACCAAGATGGTGAAACCCCATCTCTACTAAAAATACAAAAAAAAAAAAAAAAAAAAAAATAGCCAGGCGCGGTGGCGGGCACCTGTAATCCCAGCTACTCGGGAGGCTGAGGCAGAGAAATGCTTGAACCCGGGAGGTGGAGGTTGCAGTGAGCCACAGTCGCATCACTGCACTCCATCCAGCCTGACAGAGCGAGACTCCATCTCAAAAAAAAAAAAAAAAAAAAAAAAGAATGTGACTGGGGCAGCCGGTGCTGTCAATGGAAAGAAGCAACCACGTGGTATAAAGACTTAAGCAATCTCATAGTAAGAAAGGATGAACCTTGAAGTGTGTTGACAGGTCTTGGTGTCAGCAGAGAGAATTCTCTTAGGAACAAAAGGATTCTTCTGTGTTTGTTAGAGAGACTGAAGAAAACAAGCAAGAAATAGTGCTATATCCTGGAGGCAGAAAATGTATAATTGATGACAGCAGAAACAATAGAACAAATATATTAGGCTCTATTTTAGAGGGATTGAGAAAAAAATAATTAGGAAATTGCAAAGAGAAAGTGGAAAGAAAATATTTCAGAAGGGATGGCAAATAAAAGAAAGTATATGACAGGTTTTTCTTCCAAAGAAAAAAAATATATATATAAAGAGTTCAGGGAGACACAGCAAGTCATCTTTATCTGTGTGTATTTTTAAATGTAGGAATTAAACTGAGAACCACATACCTATAAGCTCATCTCCTAAATTGGGGGAAAAAAAAAAATCTATGTATGATCTTTGATCAGGGATTAAGCTAGAACACTTGGAAACATACAAATTGGATAGAGATAGATTTACAGAAAGGCAGCTGGGCTTAACCAGCATGATTAATTTCTTTGAATCAGTGACAAGGAACCCACTGGGTGAAGCAATGGACGTAATTTACTTGGACTTGGAGCAAGCTACAAAGGGAACTAGTATGGTTATGCCAGTGAAATACTTAATTGAATATTAGATTGCTGTGGCAACTGGTAGAAAGCAGTAAGTGGTTACTCACCCAGGTCAGAGTGATGAACTGAGTGCCTCCCAGAGCAACATGGGAGCCAATTTGGGCTATACCAGGGGCGATTAGAAATGAAAATGTATGAACTACAGAGAACACCAGAGAGGCTAGAAAAATAAAGGAAACAGGAAATGTATACTAATAAAAGATTGTAAATGCCCATTCAGATGGAAGTTAAAATACCATAGCATTGGAAGTCTGTGGAGCTTCTTTATATTGCAAGACTCTGTTTCTTGAATTGTACCTTGGCAGTTATCACCAAAAGTTGAGTTAAGGTCACACAGCCACCAAGAGGCAGAGGCCATTCAGGGACCGGTCTGTGAGCCACTCTGGTCACCCCATAATGCCTCCACAGCGCTTTGTTCAAAGGGAACAAGGGGTGCTTTCCAACCAAGGTGCCAGTCAGCTTTATACATTTTTCCTTTCTTTTTTTTTTTTTTTTGCCTTTTTTTTAAACAAAAAATTTTATTCATTCATATATCTTATTTTTTAAATTGTGGTAAAGTATACATGAAAATTTACTATTTTTTCAAGTGTACAATTCAGTGGCATTGAGTACATTCATGTTGTCATACAACCATTCACTGCTATCCGTTTCTAGAACTTTTTCTCATCCTAAACTGAATCTGTACTCATTAAGCACTAACTCTTCATTCCCCCTCCTCCAGGCCCTGCAACCACCCTTCTACTTTCTCTCCCCGTAAGTGACTTCTGGGCATCTCATAAGTGGAATCATGCAATAGTCTTCCTTCTGTGTGCATGCAGCTTATTTCACTTAGCATAACGTTTGCAAGGTTCATCCCTGTTGTAGCACGTGTCAGAATTTCATTCCTTTTTAAGGAGCTTTGTACATTTTAAAAAACAGTTTTTCTATACAACTAGGCTTTTTCTTTTTGCCACTTGACATGCTTATTAAGAATTAAAGGTACTATGCTAAGTCCTATGAGGCATATAAAGTGAATTTAGCATCATCTCATCCTTCAAGCAGCTTATGGTTTGGTAGAATAAACGAGACGGACACAGATGGTAATAATACATTGTAGACTGTGCTAAGTGCTGTAAGACATATACATGGAGGCCTCTGCGATTTAGTCAAGCATGAAATTGCCTCCAGCCATGGGGCTGGAGATTTCACAGGGGAGAACTGGAGCCAGGCTTTGAGAGAGTGATAGGGTATGGGTGGGAGAGATAGCGTCAAAGGAGACTCCCACTAGAAGGAACTGCATGAGCCAAGGTGTGGCGTGGGGGAAGTAAAGGCCCTGAATAGGGGACATGTTCAGGCTTAGGGGAGTGTTTGGGACTTTTGTGGTGATAGTAGTAGCTACAGCTGTGTAAAAAGAGATTAGGGCCTGATCACCAAGGGCTTCGCATACCAGGCTGAGGATTAACCTTGCTCACAGGCATTGTAAAGCTGTTAATGATTTTTTGGCAGTGGGTAGCTGCAAATAGAGTTGCCACTTAAGAATATTAGTATGTGAGCTCTGCATAGACTGGGTTGGGGACAGGAAGAGACTTGAAGGAGGCCAAGGTGGGTGGATCACCAGGTCAGGAGTTAGAGACCAGCCTGGCCAATATATTGAAACCCTGTCTCTATTGAAAATACAAAAATTAGTCGGGCATGATGGCACACACCTGTAATCCCAGCTACTCAGGAGGCTGAGGCAGGAAAATTGCTTGAACCCAGGAGGCGGAGTTTGTGGTGAGCTGAGATCGTGCCATTGCACTCTAGCCTGGGTGACAAGAGCGAAACTCAGTCTTAAAAAAAAAAGATATTTGACGAGGTGGAAGGTAATGAAGTCATCAACCAGGATAGTGACAGTGACAATGAAGAGGAGTGGATGGGATGCAGATTTTGAAGGTAGATCAGCAGGTCCCATGTAGGTCATGGGAGAGTATTCATTGACCCCTGAGGTTCAGAACTTCCCCAAACCCCTGTTCATATAAAGAAAAGCATAATCCGAGTGAGGCAGAGGGTGGAGCAGCAGATGTAAAGGGCCTCTGCAGCTGTGCCTTACATCTGTTTGTTGGTCTGTAAATGTTCTACTTGGCAAAGCCTTTCAATGCCTGAAATAGTTGGCCAGTTATGCCCAGTATTTGGCCTTACAAATCTGTATTAGAAAACTGCAAACCACCTCACAAGGCTCAAGATCAGGACCTGAGCTGGAAGATTTCTAAGTAGAGTCTATTACTCCTGCACCTGGTAGTCTTCATACGATCAAGACTGTGTCACAGTTTCCATTATGCACATAGTTTCTCATTCCACCCGCCCCCCCAGAGGTTTATAAAACTTAGCAATGAAAATTTGCTCCCACTGGGAACTTGGCAGGAAGAGTATGTTCTTAGCCCAGCAGCAGTTCTAGTTCAAAATTTTTTTTTGACAAAATTGGTTTAGTGCATTTTATAAAATGCATATATTAATCTAATTCACTTCAAGTTTTTCAATAACCATTTTTATTCCATTTCACCTTTAAGGCAGCTCACAGAGAACAAGTAGGGAATATATCTCATGAGAAGTCTACTCTGAATATGTTTTGAGTCACTTGTACATTTTTTCCCAGAATTATAAAGCTTTGCCTTAAATGTTTAACTTGCCCCACATGGCAACTACATCATTGCTTTTTCATGGATTTTTAGCATGTTGACATTAGACTTGAGAAATGTCATCTGGATCCTTCTTTCAGATAAATTCATGATGAAATTATTTGTCTTGCTTTTAAAGGTGTCAGAGAGCTGGGCATAGCGGCTTATGTCTATAATCCCAGCACTTTCTGGGGCTGAGGCTGGAAGATTGCTTGAGCCAAGGAGTTCAAGACCAGCCTGGGCAATATAGTGAGATGCCATCCCTACAAAAAGTAAAAAGATTAACCAGGTTTGGTGGCACACACCTGTAGTCCCAGCCGGAAGGCTGAGGTAGGAAGATCAGTTAAGCCTGGGAGGTCAAGGCTACAGTGAGCTGTGATTGCATCACTGCACACCAGCCTGGGCAACAAAGTAAGACCGTCTCAAAATAAAGATATCAAAGAAGGGATTCCAAAACCCTAACTGTGTTGATCTAAAGTTTGTCAAATCTCATTTTCAGGAAATGAGGCCTGAGTTGTGGCCTGAGTTCGTTTCCTAGTTAGAGATGTCCAGCCACTGACTGGCCCATTCTTCACCTCCTTGAAGTGCCAGGCCTCTGCCTACTCTTGTCTAAGCCATATGATCATAATGGGAGCTAATATTTTCAGGTTGAACTCTTTGTCAGACACCATACGAAGAGCATCATACTTGTTTAACTCATTACAGTCCTATTCTACAGATGAGGAAACAGACTGAGAGCTGAGATAACTGGCCCAAAGTTAAGCTGCTCTAACTGACCTTAAAGACTGTGTCAATCCTTAGGCCAGTGTTTCTCCCGCTGTGTCATGCTTCCTTCCTCATTCCATGCTTGATCAAACCCCAGCCTTGTGGTCTATGAATATTCATGTTTGAATTAGCTGAACCTTTCTCAGATATGATAAGCCAACTTCTGTGCTGTGCTTTTGCTTCAGATCTTGGGTAGTAATTTGGTCCCTGTGCCAAAGGAGCTCAGGTTGTTCAAGCAGCCACTTACCTTTTGCAGAGATGTGTTTTTTTAGTGTAATAGTCTGGGACTCTTGCTGTGGTCTTTCTTAAATGGATTTTGGTTTATATGGAATGGGAATTGGTGAAAGGGGCAGGCTGTAATAGGTTTCAGAAGTTTGGGGACAGTTGTATAGAATTTGTTCTGCCTATCATTTTGAAGCCATAATATTTTTCACTTTCAGTCAGGAGTGGGTCCCACGAGGCTATACACTCATTTTCTGACTTTGAGAACCAAATGAAAGTAGAAACCCAAAATCAACTTTATGACTGACTACTCATTACTTAGCATCAAACAGTGAAAGATGTATTTATTAGATATCTGTTGCCATGTAACCAGTTACGCCCAAAAGTCAGTGGCTTAAAACAATAATAAGCATGTATTATTTCACACTTTCTGTGGGTCACATAATTATGGAACAGCTCATCTGGTTGGTTCTGGCTTAGAGTATTTCTTGAGATTGTAGTCAAGACATCAGCCTGAGCTGATGCTCAACTGGGGCTGGAGGATCCCCTTCTAAGATGGCTTATTCACATCACTTTTTCTGGTTAGTTTAGGCTTTTGGAAAGAGGCCTCAGTGCCTTACCATGTGTTTCCTCTCCATAGAGATGTTGAGTGTCCTCACAACATGGCAGCCAGTTTTCCTGAGTGACCGATCCAAGAGAAAGTAAAGTGGAAGCCATAATGCCTTTTATGATCTAGCCTCAGAAATCACCCACTGTCATTTCTGCAACATTTTATTGGCCACACAGGTCATCCTGTGCATCATAGGAGGAGACTACACAAGAGTGTGAATACCAGGAAGCAAGGATCACTAGGGCCATCTTGGAGGTTGGCTACCATACACCACCATTCTTTTCCCCCCTTTTGTTGAGAAGAGGAGTAATGCAAATAATGCTGGAAAAATAGAGAAAGATAAAAGGATATAGAGTGTAAAACAAGTCACCTCCCTCTCGTTTCCTACAAGCTGTAATTCTGCACAGGAAGGCTAAGGAGCATGGAGGCAGGGGCACAGATAATATTAAACCAACTAAGCTTCTGCCATTTTTAAGCGATAATGACACCTTTCCCACTAACTCCAAATTCTGAGCCAAGGAGAAACAGACCCAAATGTCAGAATAATAGAGATGAGAATGTCAACCTCGTTACTGGTAATGTTGGATTGAACTTGTGGCCATAGCCCTCCCCTCCATGTCTGGACCTTGGGACTACCTTCCCAAGGGATAATCTGGGTATGTGGGGCAGATTACCTTCCTCAGAATTGCTGCCTCGCCCATGTCAAACACCAGTGTAAGGGACGTAGGGACACAGAGACAGACTTCCAGACTCACCTTCCTGACCTCTGTGTGCTTACAACATAGAGGTGGAGCAGAGCCTCCTTAGCCTGTGGGCAGGCGGTTCAGAGAGGACTGAACCCCCCCTGCTCAGCTACTTCTCCCAGTCTCACCAATCAAATAAATTCACTCCTGTTTCCTTGGAGAAGAGGGAGGGATAGAAATGATACCCCTCTCGGGAAATGAAATGAAACTCTCCTTTATGGCCAAGATACAAACACTGGTAGGGAACAAGGATGGCTGTCCTTGTTAAGGTCACTCAGATGAACCAGTCTGGGCCATCAGTAGTGGGTTGACACACATATCCAAATCCAGTCTTTGTTAGTACTAAGTCTCTACTAAACAGAAAATAGCAGTATTTTGAGTTGTTTTACAATCATAAATGAATTAATGTTATTTCCTATT
Organism: Homo sapiens; assembly: GCF_000001405.40. Classification (NCBI taxonomy): domain Eukaryota; kingdom Metazoa; phylum Chordata; class Mammalia; order Primates; family Hominidae; genus Homo; species Homo sapiens. The sequence continues at coordinate 169,096,776 of NC_000004.12, read as the reverse complement.
TATGTTGAAGGTTCGTGCAGACTAACAGTACACCATTTTTTAAAATCACTGCTTTGAATCGCCTTAACCAAAATCTCTTTCTTTTCTAGGCACAGGGTGGTGGTTTCCTATCCTCCTCAGAGTGAGGCAGAACTTGAACTTAAAGAAGGAGATATTGTGTTTGTTCATAAAAAACGAGAGGATGGCTGGTTCAAAGGCACATTACAACGTAATGGGAAAACTGGCCTTTTCCCAGGAAGCTTTGTGGAAAACATATGAGGAGACTGACACTGAAGAAGCTTAAAATCACTTCACACAACAAAGTAGCACAAAGCAGTTTAACAGAAAGAGCACATTTGTGGACTTCCAGATGGTCAGGAGATGAGCAAAGGATTGGTATGTGACTCTGATGCCCCAGCACAGTTACCCCAGCGAGCAGAATGAAGAAGATGTTTGTGTGGGTTTTGTTAGTCTGGATTCGGATGTATAAGGTGTGCCTTGTACTGTCTGATTTACTACACAGAGAAACTTTTTTTTTTTTTTAAGATATATGACTAAAATGGACAATTGTTTACAAGGCTTAACTAATTTATTTGCTTTTTTAAACTTGAACTTTTCGTATAATAGATACGTTCTTTGGATTATGATTTTAAGAAATTATTAATTTATGAAATGATAGGTAAGGAGAAGCTGGATTATCTCCTGTTGAGAGCAAGAGATTCGTTTTGACATAGAGTGAATGCATTTTCCCCTCTCCTCCTCCCTGCTACCATTATATTTTGGGGTTATGTTTTGCTTCTTTAAGATAGAAATCCCAGTTCTCTAATTTGGTTTTCTTCTTTGGGAAACCAAACATACAAATGAATCAGTATCAATTAGGGCCTGGGGTAGAGAGACAGAAACTTGAGAGAAGAGAAGTTAGTGATTCCCTCTCTTTCTAGTTTGGTAGGAATCACCCTGAAGACCTAGTCCTCAATTTAATTGTGTGGGTTTTTAATTTTCCTAGAATGAAGTGACTGAAACAATGAGAAAGAATACAGCACAACCCTTGAACAAAATGTATTTAGAAATATATTTAGTTTTATAGCAGAAGCAGCTCAATTGTTTGGTTGGAAAGTAGGGGAAATTGAAGTTGTAGTCACTGTCTGAGAATGGCTATGAAGCGTCATTTCACATTTTACCCCAACTGACCTGCATGCCCAGGACACAAGTAAAACATTTGTGAGATAGTGGTGGTAAGTGATGCACTCGTGTTAAGTCAAAGGCTATAAGAAACACTGTGAAAAGTTCATATTCATCCATTGTGATTCTTTCCCCACGTCTTGCATGTATTACTGGATTCCCACAGTAATATAGACTGTGCATGGTGTGTATATTTCATTGCGATTTCCTGTTAAGATGAGTTTGTACTCAGAATTGACCAATTCAGGAGGTGTAAAAATAAACAGTGTTCTCTTCTCTACCCCAAAGCCACTACTGACCAAGGTCTCTTCAGTGCACTCGCTCCCTCTCTGGCTAAGGCATGCATTAGCCACTACACAAGTCATTAGTGAAAGTGGTCTTTTATGTCCTCCCAGCAGACAGACATCAAGGATGAGTTAACCAGGAGACTACTCCTGTGACTGTGGAGCTCTGGAAGGCTTGGTGGGAGTGAATTTGCCCACACCTTACAATTGTGGCAGGATCCAGAAGAGCCTGTCTTTTTATATCCATTCCTTGATGTCATTGGCCTCTCCCACCGATTTCATTACGGTGCCACGCAGTCATGGATCTGGGTAGTCCGGAAAACAAAAGGAGGGAAGACAGCCTGGTAATGAATAAGATCCTTACCACAGTTTTCTCATGGGAAATACATAATAAACCCTTTCATCTTTTTTTTTTTCCTTTAAGAATTAAAACTGGGAAATAGAAACATGAACTGAAAAGTCTTGCAATGACAAGAGGTTTCATGGTCTTAAAAAGATACTTTATGTGGTTGAAGATGAAATCATTCCTAAATTAACCTTTTTTTTAAAAAAAAACAATGTATATTATGTTCCTGTGTGTTGAATTTAAAAAAAAAATACTTTACTTGGATATTCATGTAATATATAAAGGTTTGGTGAAATGAACTTTAGTTAGGAAAAAGCTGGCATCAGCTTTCATCTGTGTAAGTTGACACCAATGTGTCATAATATTCTTTATTTTGGGAAATTAGTGTATTTTATAAAAATTTTAAAAAGAAAAAAGACTACTACAGGTTAAGATAATTTTTTTACCTGTCTTTTCTCCATATTTTAAGCTATGTGATTGAAGTACCTCTGTTCATAGTTTCCTGGTATAAAGTTGGTTAAAATTTCATCTGTTAATAGATCATTAGGTAATATAATGTATGGGTTTTCTATTGGTTTTTTGCAGACAGTAGAGGGAGATTTTGTAACAAGGGCTTGTTACACAGTGATATGGTAATGATAAAATTGCGATTTATCACTCCTTTTCATGTTAATAATTTGAGGACTGGATAAAAGGTTTCAAGATTAAAATTTGATGTTCAAACCTTTGTATGTCCCTTGTGTCAGTCCTTAAAATTTTGCTTTTTAAAAAAACAAAACAAAACAAAAAACACGGGACACATTTGACCTAATTTGTACCTCACAAAAATTCTTTGCATACATCTCAAGCGGAAGATGTCTACAGGAATCAATTTGGTGATTATGACACATTTTACCTCTGCAACTAACAAACCTTGTTTATTTCTCCAAGAAGCTTAAAAAGAGTTTGTGGAGTCGCACGAGGTCATGTATGGCACTTGTGTTCCCCTCTTCCTCTTCCAGTTACTAAAATAATCTGGTGAGTGCTAGTTGTCTTAGCCATAGAAGGAAAAGCAGACCTATCAACCAATAGTATGATAACCCGTAAGTCTCAGCATGGCTTGGGGACAAAATCTTTAGATTCACCATGGTTTTAATTTCCCATGAAATGAAAGGCCCATGTAAGTCATGTTAAAAACTATTTTCTTATTAACTTTTGGCTACTGTCAAATGACTTATCAGAATTGAAAATCAGGAATTCTAGGTTGTATTGTAGCTTTTCCAAAAACTATCTCTGTAGCCACCTGGGCAAGTTGATTATTACTTAGTTTCCTCCTTTTGGTGTCCCATCTACCCCACTGGGTGAGGATGAGGAGCAAAGGAGATAATCTCACTGTTTTTGAAAAGTGCTATTTTAATGTGTGGCATTAAGTTTATCTCTGGTTTCAAATATTCATCTCACTCTCTTGGAGTATATGATATAATGCTTTTCAGGGTCTGATTGGTTTTAGAAGGAACAAATTAAGGTGATGTTTCCAACTGCTATGCATTTAACTTTCTGTTCCTATAATAGAACATATTTGCATACCTCCAGAAGAACATTCAATTCTCTGAATATTTCAATCCAGAGCTATAAACAACATTAGAATTCGGCTTTGGAAATTGTGTTTAATAGATGTTTGACTAAGTTTAATAGATGTTTGACTAAGTTTAATAGATGTTTGACTAACAACTCTTTGTGTGTATTCATCAAATTTTTAAAAATGTGTTTTGAATCAAACTATGTCATTATCAATGTCACATCCTATTTAAATTACTTTTTTTCCAGGAAAAATAATTAGCAGCCTACCAAAATCAATAAGATATTTATAAGAGATTAGTCATGTCCAGGCAAAGGGGTGTAGCCCTCGCTAACTCCCTGTGGCTGCAGGCTGTAATGGGGTATGCTGGGGAACTTTGCCCTGTCCATTAGTATCACCAGAGGCAGGAAGGAGCTATTAGAGTGAGTAGTCACCTGCCAATGTGAACAGCGACAGTTTTAAAATACCTTCTCTCAGGTTTACAGATGAACATCCCTTGGATTCCTTTTGTGTTTCCTACTAATAAATTTCTGATTTGGCTACTTTTCCATTTCAGAAACACCACCTGCATCTCACTCAGTGCAAATTCTTACTGTACTATGGCCATCCAGGCTCTGTAACCATGCTGCAGGCACCTGCGAGTGGCATTAATCTTTGAGTCCCATTCAATACTATTATAGAGTCAGACTATTCTAATAAGTCTCCAAAGATAATGGAATTATCCCAGCCAGTAACCAGTGAGCCAGCTGCCACTTCTATTGCCTACACCTTAGATACGAAATTTGGTTCCAAGAGGTCTCTGACCTTGGGGTTGAATCTTTCAAGCTCTGAATCCTTGTGAAAGTACTAGAAGAAGCCATGATAGACTTTGGCATGAGAGGGCATTCCTAAATATGATTCAAAATTTAGAAACTGTAAAAAAAAGAAAACCTTGATAAATTGTACAAAATATCAAAATAGTTACATGACAAAACACCATAATCAAAGTCAAAAGAATAAACAATGAAATAAATCATTTGTAAGTCCTGTAGCAGGCAAAGAGATAATTTCCTTTACATATAAAAAAAAACTTCTACAAATAAGAAAAAAAACCCAAAGTAACACTAACCAAGGATTTGTGACAGAAATTGCCAATTGTCGTGGCCGAGCGCGGTGGCTCAAGCCTGTATTCCCAGCACTTTGGGAGGCCGAGGCGGGTGGATCACAAGGTCAGGAGATCGAGACCATCCTGGCTAACACGGTGAAACCCCGTCTCTACTAAAAATACAAAAAATTAGCCGGGCGTGGTGGCAGGTGCCTGTAGTCCCAGCTGCTCGGGAGGCTGAGGAAGGAGAATGGTGTGAACCTGGGAGGTGGAGCTTGCAGTGAGCCGAGATCGCGCCACTGCACTCCAGCCTGGGAGACAGAGCAAGACTCCGTCTCAAAAAAAAAAAAAAAAAAAAAGAAATTGCCAATTGTCTCTGAATATTTTCATTTTCTTTTTTCTTATTAACTGATATCTGGGCTTTGTGCTTAGTTAAAAAGCTCATTTTTGTCAGGGTGTGGTGGCTCATGCCTGTAATCCCAGCACTTTGGGAGGCCAAGGCAAGCAGATCACCTGAGGTCGGGAGTTTTGAGACCAGCCTGGCCAACCAACATTGTGAAACCCCGTCTCTACTAAAATACAAAAATTAGCCACCTGTGGTGGTGCATGCCTGTAGTCCCAGCTACTTGGGAGGCTGAGGCTCAAGAATCATTTGAACCCGGAGGTGGAGGTTACAGTGAGTAGAGATCGCCCCACTGCACTCCAGCCTGGGCCGCAGAGGCAGACTCAGTCTCGGAAAAACAAAACAAAAAAACTCATTTTCCAGTCTCCCTTAAGGTTAGGTGCAGCCTTGTTACTAAGTTCTTGCTGAGACACAAATGAAAATATCACAGGGAACTTCTGGTAAGGCTTCTTAAAAGGGAGAGGAGGCCAGGCGCAGTGGCTCACGCCTGTAATCTCAGCATTTTGGGAGGCCGAGGCGGGTGGATTGCCTGAGGTCAGGAGTTCAAGACCAGCCTGGCCAACGTGATGAAACCCTGTCTCTACTAAAAATACAAAAATTAGCCAAGCATGGTGGCACACGCCTGTAATCCCCGCTACTCGGGAAGCTGAGGCAGGAGAATCACTTGAACCCGGGAGGCAAAGGTTGTAGTGAGCCAAGATTGCACCACTACGCTCCAGCCTGGGCAAGAAGAGCAAGACTCTGTCTCAAAAAAAAAAAAACTTAAAAAAAAATTTTTTTTTAGTTTTTTTTTTAATAGTTATTGTGAGAACATAGGTGACTGTTGGAAACAGAATGCTTGTTCCCAGGTACTACAAGGAAAAATCAGCATTCAGACAAAAAGTTCTCTCAGCAAGGCAATTTTACTTTCTGCAGAAAGGGTGCTCTTAGCAGATGGAACAATGGCAAGAGCACCCTTTCTAAATAAAAGCAATTTATTGTAGAATTGTAGAAAGTAAATATAGTTTCCTCTTCAAAGTTTCCCTTCTTGTTAAAGGATAATAATAAATCATAAATGTTAGAAATAATTTAAAGACTAACTTCCTCCAAGCCTCCTTGCTTTGTGCTAATAACTCTTTGTTAAGCCCTAGCCTATGTAGCTGTTAGACATGCTCACAAGGCACATAAGACATTCTATGTCTTTGTACCTTAACCAAGATATTTGTGCTAGACATGCTCACAGGCACGTTCCAGCTTGCAGCTTATGCCCCTTCCCTATTTGGCATAAGCAACTTCCTCTTTTCCTTCGTTCTCCCTTGCCTTTACCTATTTAGGACAGTTTTAAATTATTAGCCAGTCAGGTTTTAGTTTAGATTGTGCGGTCTGGCTCCAGCCAGTGGACACAGGACACAGTAGCAGGGACAAGCTGCGTAAGGGATAAAAATTGCTTCCCTCCTTTGTTCAGGTGTGCTCTCGCCATTGTTCCATCTGCGAAGAGCACCCTTTCTGCAGAAAGTAAAATTGTCTCACTGAGAGAACTTTTTGTCTGAATGCTGATTTTTCCTTGCAGTACCAAGGAACAAGCATTCTGTTTCTAAATAAACGTTTTACATATAACAGTGACTTTTAAGATGCAAGAGATGTACTAATTTGTTGGAGAAAGAAGGAAGGAACATGATACCCTAGTAAACTTGAGCCTTCATGCCAGCCTGAACTACTCATCTTTAAATATGATTTATTTGAGAATAAACCTCTTGAGTCCAAGCTACTGTAGTCTTAGCCACCACCAACCTGACTGGTATCAATATAAACTGACAGTTCATTAAAAATATATTTTTTATGTAAATATTATTTCTATATTATTTATATATATATACACTAAAAGATGTTCCACCTAATTCGTAATGTAAATGCAATTAACAACAATGAAATACTTTTTACCTATAAAATGGGAAATTTCTAAAAATTTGAAATGTTGGCTAAATGAGGGACATTCAGTATTTTGCTGATGACAATGTATAGGGAAGGCAATATAGATAGAAAATACCAAAATTACAAGTGTTGTTTACCCATTCTACTTTTAAGAATTTGTTCCAATATACTTATTCATCAAGTGTAAAATGACAGTACCATATTCTTTGCAGTGTTGTTTATAATAGCAAAATATTGGAAACAACCTAAATGTTTACCAATATGGAAATGGTTAAATGGATTATGGTAAATCTATACAGCAGTATACTGCATAACCATAAAAAAGAATGAGGAAATTCTTTATGCATGGGTATGGAAACATCTCTGAGATAGCTAAACAAAAAAGATAAGGTAGAGTGTGCTACCATTTAGTAAAAGGAGGGGAGAGAATATATATACCAATAAACTTCTATATGAATACAATATCTGGAAAGATACACTCGAAAGAAACTGGAATGATGGTTGCATTACCATTGAAGATGGGACCTTGTGCTAACTTAAAGTACATTAAAGTCTCATCAGAAAACAGACACATCAAAGTGAAGTGGCTACATTGTCTGGGGTAAATACCTGGAGTTTGTCTTCTCGCCCCAGGAAAATTAGGACACAGACACTCACGAGGAGTTTAGGAGTGGAGGTTTAATAGACAAGAGAAAGGAAAGCAGCTCTCTAGTGAGAGAGAGGGGACTTCCAAGAGGAAAAAGACCGGCCAGCAGGGGATGTGCTGGATTTTATAGTCAGGTTTGAAGTGGCGGTGTCTGATTTACATAAGGCTCACAGATTGGTTTGCATAGTGTGCATGGAAGGCTGGCCACCCCACCCTAATCTTATTATGCAAATGAACTTTTCCCTTGGCCCGGGGCCATCTTGTCTCCTCTTTACTTTACATGTGGCTGACAAAGAGAAGGGAAGATGGAGCTGCCATCTTGAACATGATTGGCACAACTGCCGGCATCTATGCCTGCAACTAGATTTTACAGGCTGCTCTTTGTTAAAAAATGATTTGGGGCTGTTTTTCATTAAAAATAAAAGCCTCACCCAAGGACTTACCTACCCTCACTGTCTATCTAAGTAATTTCTTCTTAACTCCTGTATCAAAAATAAAGCCCTTGACCTATGGAAGCTGTATATTTGAAGGGAGAGTGAAGAAGGGAGGAGACAAATATTAAAATTGCTTTAGGAAAATGAGATATTTGAAATTAACTTAGAAAACAAGGGATACCCACTTTGGTGAGAATTATTAATTATTTAATGACTGAGTTCAAAAGCAGACAGAAAAATGACATCATTTAGACAGTCATACCGAATTTCTCCTCCTTTAATAAGTATTCAGAACACACTACCTTTAAGGATTCAAGATAGCCCTGAGGTTGCCTTTCCACAAAGGATTAACTTCTACTTCTTTGCCATTTGGGAAATTGAGAACCAACTGACATATTTTATGGTGCAATGGAACCCATGAAAAAGGCCTTACAATATAAATTGGACATGTATCTAAATCAGTAGTAAGATGCTACTGGGGCCTCTGCATGTATTCCCAAGATGCAGAACCCCTGAGAGGCTCCTTCCAATGGTGTGAAGTTCAGGAAAAGTATCAACCAAAGGTGAACCTATGGTACACGCATCCAAACTGGGATCTCATCTGAGGACAAACCTGAAACAAGGCAGGACTTCCACAGGTGGCTGTCACTCCTGTGTCTCCTGGTACAGAAGCTGCCAGAGGGGTTGTCAGCAGTTCTAGTTAAGCACGTTACTTACACGTCCATGGAAACAGACTCAGATCTTCAACACGTAGCTTGGCATCCAGGTATTGGAAGATGAGAGAGTAAGTGCAAGGGTTGTCTGCTTGGCAAATATCAGCTCATAGACCTTGCCCACTCCTGTTGGTTCGTGTGGAACAAAGCAGCCTTCCAGCCTTAATGCCACACCCCCTCAATAGAGCTTCTTCAGGCAGAAGGGTGAATAGAAACAACGAAAAACAAGACTTCTCTCAACAAAGCAGAAAGCAAGTAAGATGTGAAATTCAGAGGGTCCTTGCTGGCACTATGACTATAAGCTTTCTATAGCTCTTTCTGCAGATTCTCAAGTTTAAGAGAATTCAATTATATTTGAAGGTAGAGTCAATGAAGATGCACCATTGAAGGAGACCAATCTGTTGCATTCAGGTGGCCATGAAATCGCAAGGCCTAATTGATAGCTAGAACAGTCTGATGGCTGGGTGCCGTGGCTCATGCCTGTAATCCCAGCACTTTAGGTGGCCGAGGTGGGCGGATCACGAGGTCAGGAGATCGAGACCATCCTGGCTAACATGATGAAACCTGTCTCTACTAAAAATAACAACAATTAGCCGGGCATGGTGGTGCGGGCCTGTAGTCCCAGCTACTCAGGAGGCTGAGGCAGGAGAATCACCTGAACCCAGGAGGTGGAGGTTGCAGTGAGCCGAGATCGCACCACTGCACTCCAGCCTGGGCAACAGAGCAAGACTCTGTCTCAAAAAAAAAAAAAAAAAAAAAAAAATCTGATGACATTTTAAAAATTGAATTTGAATTGCTACATAAATGGGCATTCTGAATACATAAATGTCAGCATAGGAGAACTACTTTATCCATCTTTCCTAGAGCAGTACTATCCAACAGAACTCCTTGGAACAGTGATGGGGATGTTTTAGATCTGTGCTGCCCGATATGGTAGCAACTAGCCACATGTGGCTACTGAACCCTGGAAATGTGGCTGCGGTAACTGAGGAAGTGAATTTTTTTTTTACCAGGAAACCAAAGAAGCCAGGAAGTGAATTTTTATTGGATTTAATTGTAATCAGTTTAAATTATTCTTTATTTGTATTTTTATTTTTTTGGGTGGGGGGATGGTAATGAGGACCCAGGCTGGAGTGCAGTGGCACAATCACAGCTCACTGCAGCCTTGACCTCCCAGGCTCAAGCGATCCTCCCAACTCAGCTTCTCAAGTGGCTGGGACCCCCAGGCATGCCCCAGTGCACCTGGCCCAGTTTAAATTTAAATAGCCATGTAGCTAATGGCTACCATTTTGGACAGTTCCATTTTAGAGAATAAAATACTGTATGTGTGTGTGTGTGTATAGAGACAGGGTCTTGCTATGTTACCAAGGCTGGTTTTGAACTCCCGGCCTCAAGTAATCCTCCAGCCTTGGCCTCCTAAAGTGCTGGAATTACAGGCATGAGCCACCGTGCCTTCCCGAAACTCTATTTTTAAGTGATCACCCACAAAAAGGGAAAAACAAAAACACAGCATTGCAGTACTGTATCCAGCTTCTCATTTGGAGGCACCAGTTTAGAACTTGATTGTGTTAGAAACCCTACCAGATACATGAAAACATCTTAACTTTGAGCAACAGAGATTATTTCCTTAATTTTATTTATTTATTTATTTTTTCTCTTTAAGACAGAGTCTCGCTCTGTCGCCAGGCTGGAGTGCTGTGGCACAATCTTGGCTCACTGCAACCTCCGCCTCCCGGGTTCAAGTAGTTCTCCTGCCTCAGCTTCCCGAGTACCTGGGACTACAGGCGCACACCACAATACCCAGCTAATTTTTGTACTTTTAGTAGAGATGGGGTTTCACCATATTGGCCAGGATGCTCTTGATTTCCTGACCTCGTGATCTGCCCGCCTCAGCCTCCCAAAGTGCTGGGATTACGGGCGTGAGCCACCATGCCTGGCCTACTTATTTTTGATATAGGATTTCTCTGTGTTGCCTAGGCTAGCGTGCGGTGGCACCATCACGGCTCACTGCAGCCTCGAACTCCTGGGCTCAAGCGATCTTCCTGCTTCAGCCACCTGAGTAGCTGGAACTACAGGCATATGTCACTACGCCCCAGGTAACTTTTTGTAGAGACTGGGTCTTGCCATGTTGCCAAGGCTGGTCTCAAACTCCTGGGCTCAAGCAATTCTCCTGCCTTGGCCTCCCAAAGTGCCGGGATTACAGGTGTGAGCATTGCGCCCAGCCAATTTATTTAATTTTGAAGTTACTTTTGCCTTATGTCCTTCAAAAAATAGATGAAGAGAGTGGATTCAGTAAGAGAATTGGGGAATTCTACTGAAACCTTTTGGTTTGGCTGAATGGACTGCTGACTTCCATGCAAGGGCGATCTGCACTTTCCCAAACATCAGGCCTGTCTCTTCCATGCATGTCTCGATTTTAACATTGACCGCGCTTTTTTTTTTTTTTTTTTTTTTTGAAATGGGAGCTTGCTCTGTCGCCCAGGCTGGAGTGCCACTGCATAATCTCGGCTCACTGCAACCTCCACCTCCCAGGTTCAAGCGATTCTCCTGCCTCAGCCTCCCGAGTAGCTGGGACTACTGACGTCTGCCACCACGCCCGACTAATTTTTGTATTTTTAGTAGAAACGGGGTTTTGCCATGTTGCCCAAGCTGGGGGGTCTTGAACTCCAGACCTCAGATGATCCTCCCACCTTGGCTTCCCAAGAGCTGAGATTACAGGCGTGAGCCACCACACCCGGCCTGCCCATGCTCTTTAGTTCACGAAGCGTCACCAGCATGAGCACATGACTCCCAAAATTGTTAGGATGATGATCCGATGATCTGCCTACTGTGAACTTAATGGATATTTTCTCAGCAGGGTGAGATTGGGGTTTATAAAGAAGAAAAATGGCACTCTGGCCCTCTAATTAAACATGAAATGACATCTCTGGAACAAAGGCCATGCTTCTTATTCCCCAACCCCTGTAGCAAGGTCATTCAAGTGAAGGCCAGTGCCTTATCTTTCCAATCACATCTAGTTCATTTCTTTTGCCAGTGAAAATTGAAAGCTTAATGGAATTACCTTCTCCTTTTTTCTAAGCACTCAACGGTGCTGCAAGACATAAAGCAAAAACGTCCTTTTGGGTAAAACCAATTTCCTTATAAATTACATCGCAAAAGCACATTCAACAAACTCCCTAGAGGCAGAAACACAGTAAAGACTGATACCTGCCGCCAGCTCACTCTCTAATATAAGCTAATTCAGCCAGCCCCTGGAGTCATAATTTGTAACTCCTCTTTCTTTTTTTCCTTTCTTACTAAGGTTTAGTAAGAGCTCCTGTTAAAAACAGATTCTAACTGAGAACTGGGGGGTGTGGGTGAGGATCCCATGAGTAAAATCCTTTTTATGTTTTAGATAAACATTAAAAAATAACAGCACCACCAAATCTGTGGATCTTCTGTGCAAAGCAACTGCTGGCTTTAACTCCATATCAAATGAGACCACCTTGTTTGTTGAAACCATCTCTGTACAGTAAATATAGATGGACACAGAGAATAATTTAAGAGACATGGTGCTGAAAAGTGGTTCATGTATTATATGGGCCCCCAGGGTGCTCAAGCAGCCAAGCCCATGAAAAATAGCAACCTGCAAGGACACAATTCCCAGGTAAGGAGTGAAGGATCCTTCCTTCCTTCATTCCTTCCTGGAAAGGAATTGCTGAGCTCCTGCGGGGCTGAGGAGGTGTGAGCTGCCTGCCTCCCCCTGTGGCACAGGCCACCATGGCAATAAGGCAGGCTCCATATATAGCTGGCACTACCCATTCTACTGGGGTAGCAATTGTGGGATTCCTATGATGTGCTGATGGTTGCAGAAATCAAAGTCGGGCTGGAATTTCTACCCTTTAAACCAAAATTCTTCTTTCCTGTGATTTATTTACCCACTGAGACAGATGTGTGGGATTGGCATATTATCAGTCATTCCCTATAATAAAACCGAAGTGAGTGAAGCTTTCAAGAAGAGGGTATCGCAAAGGAAATGCTTCCCATGAGAAAGCTGTAATAATCTCTCCCACCATCTAAATCTACCCAGTGGCTTAGGCCTAAAGAAAATGGCCTCAAAACATTTAAAATCAAAATCTTACCCTATGATCCTAAACTGTTCCTTATGCCAGAGAATGCATTTTTACATTTTCTTCTAAAAAAAAGTCCTATGTTTTGGATTATTTCTTCTATTTCTCCCTTATCTCACCTTCTCCCTGTCTGTCTCCCTATGTCTGCATCTCTGCCGACCCTACCCTCCTCTCTTCCGCTCCCCAGCCCCCAACACTCTCTTCAGTGGTGGTGTTGGTAATGGAGCTGGATGTCCGCTGGAATAGTCCAAGTGTCCTCATCCAGAAATGGTATTCTCAACTACTCCCCATAAATTCCCATCTGAAAAGCATTTTTTTTTTTTTTTTTAAAGAAAGAGTCTCACTCTGTTGCCCAGGCAGCTCACTGCAGCCTTGACCTCCTGGGCTCAACAATCCTCCCACCTCAGCCTCCTGAGTAGCTGGGATGACAGGCACATGCCATCATGCCCCGCTAATTTTTTTTTAAATTTTTTGTAGAGACTTGGTTTTGCCATGTTGCCCTGGGATCAAGCAATCCTTCCACCTTGGCCTCCCAAAGTGCTGGAATTACAGACTTGAGCCACTGCTCCCGGCCATTGTTTTTTTTTGTTTTTGTTTTTGTAGTTTGTTTTGGCCTTTTCTATCTCTTTAGTCTTAGTTGTAACCAAGTCATGATCAGGATTCTGGAATAATAAAAGAGGACATCACAGCTAAATCAGTGTGGGGAAAAGACAAATTATTCCATTTAGATTCAGATTTTTTTTTTTTTTTTTTTTTTGAGAAAGAGTCTCGCTCTGTCACCTAGGCTGGAGTGCAGTGGCGCGATCTCAACTCACTGCAACTCTACCTCCCAGGTTCAAGCGATTCTCCTGCCTCAGCCTCCCAAGCAGCTGGGATTACAGGCATGTACCACCACGCCCAGCTAATTTTTGTATTTTTAGTAGAGACAGGGTTTCACCATGTTGGCCAGGCTGGTTTCGAACTCCTGACCTCAAATGATCCACCCGCATCGACCTCCCAAAGTGCTGGGATTACAGGCGTAAGCCACTGCGCCTGGCTAGATTCACATTCTTAAAGGGCTGAAATATACTTTTTATTTGCCTAAAATTAATATACATGTGTTCTATCCTATTATATTTAAAAACCAATTACAGATTTATTGAGTGAGTTCTCACAATCCATTTTGTGTTTGGCTAATACAGTAAAAGGTATTGTGAGCCGGGTGTGGTGGCTCAGGCCTGTAATCCTAGCACTTTGGGAGCCAAGGCGGGTGGGCCAGTTGAGGTCAGGAGTTCGAGACCAGCCTGGCCAACATGTCAAAACCCCATCTCTACTAAAAAAAAAAAAAGGCCGAGGCGGGGGGATCACGGGGTCAGGAGATCGAGACCATCCTGGCTAACAGGGTGACACCCCATCTCTACTAAAAAATAAATAAATAAATTAGCCGGGCATGGTGGCGGGCGCCTGTAGTCCCAGCTACTCAGGAGGTTGAGGCAGGAGAATGGCGTGAACCCGGGAGGCGGAGCTTGCAGTGAGCCAAGATCGTGCCACTGCATTCCAGCCTGGGAGACAGACCGAGACTCCGTCTCAAAACAAACAAAACAAAACAAAACAAAACAAAACAAAACAAACTAGCCGGGTGTGATGGCGGGTGCCTGTAATCCCAGCTACTCGGGAGGCTGAGACTGGAAAATCACTTGAACCCAAGAGGCAGAGTTTGCAGTGAGCCAAGATCGCGCCACTGCACTCCAGTTTGGGCGACAGACCAAGATTCTGTCCTCCCCCTCCAAAAAAAAAGCCAAGTGGAAGTTTTACCTTGATGTTACTAATGGGTTCTGCATATGGAAGTGACATGGCGGAAAGATTAGATAGGCACTGGTACATGAGACTGGAGTTAGAGAGAGAAGCAGGGCCAGCGGAATCAAGATGAGATCATGAAGCGATCACAAAGAGTTATACCACAGCAGGTGGCAGAGGAGTGGAGAGGAAAGTAAAGCTAGAAGAGATACTAATATTTTAGAAAAAAGAGCCAATAGGAATTGATAGCCAAATGAATACAGCAAATGGAGGAGAAAAAAAAAATTACACCTAAGATTTATAGCAAGATGACTGTGGCAATGGTGGAGACTTTGAAAGGGATGCAGGTGCCGAGCACGTTGGCTCACGCCTGTAATCCCAGCACTTTGGGAGGCCGAGGCAGGTGGATCACGAGGTCAGGAGTTCGAGACCAGCCTGGCCAACATGGTAAAACCCCGCCTCTACTAAAAATACAAAAATTAGCTGGGCGTGGTGGCGGGCACCTGTAGTCCCAGCCACTTGGGAGGCTGAGGCAGGAGAATTGCTTGAACGCAGGAGGTGGAGGTTGCGGTGAGCCGAGATCACACCACTGCACTCCAGCCTGGGCAACAGAGCAAGACTCTGTCAAAAAAAAAAAAAAAAAAAGTGGTGGCAGGCTGGGGTTGGTGGGGAGGGATCCAGAAGTTGTATGGGAAGTGTATTTCCAGGTCAAGGTAGTATGTTTTATTTTGGAAATGTTGAGTTGGAGATGATGACAGGAGTTTAAAATGTAAATGTCTTATAGGCAGCTGAAAATATGAATCTTGAGTTAAAGTAGGGTGACAGAAAAATACCAGTTGGGTGATCTCGAACTCTTTGCCTTAAGGAAAAGGGGTATATGTAGGTGGACAAGCCAGTGACCAATGGCTGTGGTTTGAAAACACAGAGAGTTAACCGCATCATGAAGAGGACTGTCATAGAAGCTTTTTTCTTTTTTTCCTTTGGTAACAGGGTAGGAAGAGAGGATCAGAATAAGTCCTGAAGCTAAGAGAGGAGTTTCCAGAAGTAGAAGTCAACAGTCTCTACTATAGCAGAGAGAAGAACTGAGAAAGAACTTTCTATTTCCCAATCTCTTCTCACATCACCAACAATCCCACTGAATCCCTGAACGGGACGTTACATTTGACATTCTGAGAGATTCTGCTCAAAATGCTTTGGAACCAAACCAAGAAGTTCTTGGCAGCCATCCTGGCCCTTTCCCCTCTTCTGTTAAAAAAAAAAAAAAGAAAGAAAAAGCTATTTTTCTTCAGGAAAAGAATGCAAAGATCTTGTAGACCCAATCAGAGTTAAAATAAAATTTCTGTGTTCTCACTATAATGTGTGCAGTGATGTGTAAATCCTGCTGGCAGATCATATGGGGATTGACATATAAAAAAGGATGTCTTTAAAATCATATAAAAATCTCATTGAACATTGCATGACGTTTGATGGATAAATATGACAATATTTTCCTTACATTGATTTTTCTTGTGCAAAATAAGAGCAGATCATTTCTGAGAATAGTCCCATATCACCTCACCTACTGTGCTGTTCACATAATTGTGTGCGGAGAACTTACACTCCTGGTATGAGTAGCAATTTCGGCAAGTGCTTGCTGCTGTGAATGCTTACAAGCATCTCCATTTGCTATTAGGATTCACATCTTGGCCAGTCATTCCCTCTCTGCGATTTTTTCCATCTCTAATTTTCTCTGCTTCTTATATTACATCTCTCACTCTGGGCACATGGCCACAGAGAGGAAAGAAACACACATTGTTGTTGATTCTGCAGTTCTTGTGATGTCTATTAACTCTGCTGGGGATTTCTCAAGATCATGAACATGGGGTGACTTTTAAAAATGTTTCCTTCCTGACAGGACAAAATGGAGAAGTACCCAGAACTGTGTTTCTGCTTTGCAGCACAAAAACATCCCGGGAGCCAGACAATTCTTTGCTGATCCTCAAAGATAGCAAGTCCAGACCACAGATTTGTGTGTCTCAAATTGCAAAGCATGTTCCTGTGTGTAAACGCTGGGAGACTAAAGCTGGCCTCACAGTGCTGGCTTCACCGTGGGCTGGGAGACCTGGGACGGGCGCGTTATCTGATGTGACTCAAGGTCCGGCCCCCCAACCCCGTGACCCATGCTTGTACATTTCCCACCTGTTCCTTCCGTTCTGGGTTGATCAGTTATCACACACAACCATGAAAAAGAAAGGGACGGTCAGAGCTGCCACAGGGTCGCCACCTATGCAGTGTCAGGCAGCGCGGAGGGTGGGGCTCTCCCATGTGGTCTTGCCGCCAGCTCCGATACCCGGGCCCAGCCCTGCTCCTCTGCTTGTGGGTGACTCAGGCATCCATGAGGAAGCCACAGAGGGAGGCCCACCTGCAGTGTCTCCCTCTCTCTCTTCTGTAATTATTCACGGAGAATACAAAGTGAACGTTTTCTAAGCATTTCTCCAGTTTCTTGCAGTGGTCTTTGAAAGGGGCCAATTAGTCTGGCGTTTCAGATCGGTCAGCTTTGCACTGTTCAATCTTTTCCTGTGTCTGTTGACTTTTACCCCCCTTTTGTGGAGAATGGGGTCGTGCTATGTTGCCCAGGCTGGTCTTGACTTCCTGGGCTCAAGCGATCCTCCTGCCTCTGCCTCCCTAAGTGCTGGGATTACAGGCGTGAGCCACCATCCTGGCTGATTTTCTGTCTGTTGTGATCTTGCTTATTCTTAAAGAAGGGAGTCTGTGCATATCTGATCATGGGGAATTAAGATGTGTCCTTGGCCGGATGCGGTGACTCAAGCCTGTAATCCCAGCACTTTGGGAGGCCGAGGTGGGCGGATCACGAGGTCAAGAGATCGAGACCAGCTGACCAACATGGAGAAAACCCCTCTCTACTAAAAGTACAAAATTAGCTGGGCATGGTGGCACATGCCTGTAATCCCAGCTACTTGGGAGGCTGAGGCGGGTGAGAATCGTTTGAACCCGGGCGACCGAGGTTGTGGTGAGCTGAGATCACGCCATCGCACTCCAGCCTGGGCAACAAAAGCAGAACTCCATCTCAAAAAAAAAAAAAAAAAAAAAAAAAAAAAATGGCGGGGCACAGTGGCTCACGCCTGTAATCCCAGCACTTTGGGAGACCGAGGTGCGGATCATGAGGTCAGGAGTTCGAGATCAGCCTGGCCAACCTGGTGAAACCCCATCTTTACTAAAAATACAAAAATTAGCTAGGCGTGGTGGTGCATCCCTGTAGCTACTTGCGAGGCTGAGGCAGGAGAATTGCTTGAACCTGGGCAGCAGAGGTTGCGGTGAGCTGAGATTGCACCACTGTACTCCAGCCTGGATGCCAGAACAAGACTCCATCTCAAAAAAAAAAAAAGTGTTCTTCTAGAATGGTGTGGATTCTGCTGCCAACCTTAGGGAGAAGGGATGTATTTAGTTTTTTGTTTTTTTTTTTTTGTTTGTTTTTTTTTTTTTTTTTTTTTGAGATGGGTCTCACTCTGGCACCCAGGCTGGAGTGCAGTGGTGTGATCTCGGCTCACTGCAGTCTCTCCCTCCCTGGTTCAAGCAATTCTCTTGCCTCAGTCTCCTGAGTAGCTGGGACCACAGGCGCTCACCACCACGCATGGCTCATTTTTGTATTTTTAGTAGAGACGGGGTTTCACCATATTGGTCAGGCTGGTCTTGAACTCCTGATCTCAGGTGATCCACCCGCCCCGGCCTCCCAAAGTGCTGGGATTACAGAGGTGAGACACCGCGCCCAGCCATATTTAGATTTATTGTCGTTTTCTTTTTTGTTGTTGTTTTCTTGTTTTTTTTTTTTTTTTGAGACAGAGTCTCACTCTGTTGCCCAGGTGGGAGTGCAGTGGCGTGATCTCGGCTCACTGCGAGCTCCGCCTCCCAGGTTCACGCCATTCTCCTGCCTCAGCCTCCCGAGTAGCTGGGACTACAGGCGCCCACCCCCACGCCAGGCTAGTTTTTTGTATTTTTAGTAGAGACGGGGTTTCACCATGTTAGCCAGGATGGTCTCGATCTCCTGACCTCGTGATCCGCCCGCCTCGGCCTTCCAAAGTGCTGGGATTACAGGCATGAGTGACATCTTACAGATAACGATAAGTGCAGGTGGTAAGTTGTTAATACCAAAGGCAACCATATTCTTTGGACCTAACGTTTTCTTGTAGGAATAATTTGATTCATTTTACCGCCAAGGAGCAAGTGTTCAAGAACCTCCTCCCTATAAGGGCAGAAAATTTAGATGTCAGTCTTGCTGAAATGCCCCAGTGCCCTCCTTCTCACGCATCCAAGAGTTTCCTCATAGCTTGGTTGGGTCCAGATGGGCTTGGTCCCATGTCTACATATAATTAGGGTGGAGAGGAGTTGAGGCATACAGCCTGGTGTCAGCAAGTCATGTCCTGAGCCTGGAGCTGGACAAAGCCCAGAACTCACCTAGTGGCCAAGGGCATTCAGGAGAGGCAGTGACTCCTACGGAAGTTGGTCTCAGCATTTGTGCTGCCATCTCTTCCGGTCTAACTGGCCAGAGACATTTAGGTGAAGACCTTTCACATTGCCTTTCTCTCAGTCAAGGAAGAGGTCAGCTAAATTGGTCCAGGAACTTTGAGTCAAACTCCTTCAATTCCTTGTCAGCTCAGGGGTGTAGCGTGGCAGAGAGTCACGGTGGTAGGTGGATAAGGAGTTGGGAGTGTTTGGGTCTTCTCAGTAGAAGGGGCTAGGGTAGGGGTTGCATCTGCCTCTGGATTTTGTTGTTGTGTTGGTGGTGGTTTTTTATTTGTTTGTTTTATAGAGACAGGCTCCCACTATGTTGCCTAGGCTGGTCTCAAACTCCTGGGCTCAAGAGATCCTCCCGCCTTGGCCTCCCAAAGTGCTGGGATTACAGGCATGAGCCACCATGCCGGCCTGCCTCTGAATTTTGTGTCTTCTTTCCCTGCTGTAGCATTTAGGCTAGAACCAAGCCCTTTTGCAGCAGTTCTGGACACAGTGACTGCCTACAACCGGGCTTGGCTGCTGGGACCTCACTCCCTACTAGGCCCAAGCTCAGAGTGTTCTATCTCTTAGGGACCAACTCTTTCATCATAAGTACATTCACCCCAGGGGCATAACCCACCCCAGGAAATAGGACTCAACTCTGTACCACCGCAGAGAACACCGTTCCTTCTGGCTTCTGAGGGAATGATACCTCCTGAACCTGTGGGATGCAGCAGCGCCGCCAGGACCCCGGCTTGGGATGATCTCCCGCTCTGATTATCACCACCCTGTGGACCAAGACCATCCCCCACACCCGCTGTCCAGGGATCTACTCTCCTGGGAACTGAGCAGGTGTCTTCTTAAACCCTGAAAGCCCAAAGTGTCTTGTGAGTTTGCCCCTTTTCTCCAGACAATGTGGATCCTTGACCTACTCCTGCAAGGGAGGGTCCCCTCTTCCACTCTTACCAAGAAGGAGATGACACAAAGTCCATTTCTGGTAGGGTGCTACTTTAAAAGGCACCCGTCACACACATGCCTCAAGCCCATCTGAAATTATCCAGGGTGCTGGCCTTTCTCTACCTATGCAGCTGCCCTCCTGGAAGCCTGGGTTGAGAGAGATGCGACTCGTTCAGCAGCCCGTCTATGCTCAGGGTAAGCCCGAGCACGTCAGCGAAGTCTCCCTGGCATGGGATCCGGCATCCGGGAAGCTAAGAGGCATCAGTGGGGCAAGCTGGGATGGTTCCAATGGCCCATGGCCTCCTCTCAGCTTTACCCCACCTCACCCCAACCAGAGAGATCAGTAGGCTCCTTCTGAGGGTGCCTCCTTTCTCAAAGGCAGGATTCTTCCCTCCAGTGCAATGGATCATGACCTGGCTGGTCCTTCTTTCTCTCTGATCTTGGCCTCAATCTAAGTTTCAGTCAAGTGAATGACATTATCCCTTACCTACTAGGAATTAAATAGGTTTTAAAGTACACACAGACACACACACACTTTGGAATATTTATATCAAAATGTATGTTTTTTAGGCCAGGTGTGGTGGCTCACGCCTGTAATCTCAGCACTTTGGGATGCCAAGGTGGGCAGATTGCTTGAGCCCAGGCATTCAAGACCAGGTTGGGCAACATGGTGAAAACCTGTCTCTGCAAAAAATACAAAATTTAGCCTGGCGTGGTGGCACACACTTATAGTCCTAGCTACTTGGGAGGCTGAGGCAGGAGGATCACTTGAGCCCTGGAGGTTGAGGCTGCAGTGAACCGTGATCGCAGTACTGTACTCCAGCCTGGGCAACAGAGTGAGACCCCATCTCAAAATATATATGTATATATGGTTTTTTAAACCAGGTTTCTTGAGATCATTTCATTGGGAATTTAGAAGAAAAAGAGGCATTCTGGGCGTGATGTATGGAGAATTCTTCTGGAGCGCTTCATGGAACCCAGCCTCTGAAGCAGAAGAAACAACTGAGTTCCACCAAGGAGCCCTGGTCACTTCACGGTGTCTTAACTTCTCCACATCTTGGAGTCACTTAACACTTCCAGGACACCAAACAGTCTAACAACTTAGTTCTCATGAAAGAATGCTGCTGGGTTGAATTGAAAAGCAGGCAGAGTTAGAGAATGTGCCTTCTACAAAGTAGCCATCTCAGAGAGACTTGTTTGAGTGAATAGAAAAATGAAACCTTTAGTTAAAGCAACTGAGTATTGAACATACGCATGCTTTAGAACTAAAAAATAGGCCGGGCACAGTGGCTCATGCCTATAATTCTAGCACTTTGGGAGGCCAAGGCTGGCAGATCACTTGAGCTCAGGAGTTCGAGACCAGCCTGGCCACATGGTGAGGCCCTGTTTCTACTAAAAGTACAAAAATTAGCTGGGCGTGGTGGTGCATGCCTGTAATCCCAGCTACTCAGGAGGCTGAGGCAGAAGAATCGCTTGAACCCTGGAGCTAGAGGTTGCAGTGAGCTGAGATCGCGCCATTACACTCCAGCCTGTTATCCCAGAACTTTGGGAGTTATCCCAGAACTTTGGGGGACAGAGCAAGATTCCGTTTCAAAAAAAATAATTATGATTTTAAGACTTGTGCTTTTTAAAAAACAATTTGGAATAATATTGCAATGCTTTTTTGTTTGTTTGTTTGTTTGTTTTTGAGATGGAGTTTCGCTCTTGTTGCCCAGGCTGGAGTGCAATGGCGCGATCTTGGCTCACCGCAAACTCCGCCTCCAGGTTCAAGTGATTCTCCTGCTTCAGCCTCCTGAGTAACTGGGATTACAGGCATGTGCCACCATGCCCGTCTAATTTTGTATTTTTAGTAGAGACAGGGTTTCTCCATGTTGGTCAGACTGGTCTCAAACTCCTGACCTCAGGTGATTTGCCCACCTCAGCCTCCCAAAGGGCTGGGATTACAGGCGTGAGCCACTGCGCCCGGCCTGCAATCCTTATTTAATTTTAATTTTTTGTGGAGACAAGGTCTCACTATGTGGCTCAGGCTGGTCTTGAAATCCTGGGGCTCAAGCGATCCGCCTGTTTTGACCTCCCAAAGTTCTAGCATAACATGTGTGAGCCACCACATCTGGCCTGCAATGCTTTTTTTGGCCAATTATAAGTTAGCTATATTAAATGAGACTAACAGTGATGTTTAATGATACTAAATAAGACCTGGATAATATAAACCACCTTTTATGTGATCATTAATATTTTTTATGGTAGGCTGTAAGTGTACAGTGACAGAAATGAGGTTCAAAAGCCAAGCAGGTATGCCTGGGATAAGTTATAGCCTTTTGTTAGCTTTATGCCACTAGCATTCATAAGGCACATACTATATTCAAGGACAGCGCTATGGTGTGAGTGTTTGCATCCCTCCAAAATTCACATGTTGAAATCTTCTTTTTTTTTTCTTTTTCTTTCCTTGTTTTTTTTTTTTTTTTTTGGCAGGTAACCTTCTGAGCTAGAGTAGGCTCAGAGACTCCCTCATCTGTTGAAATCGAATCTCCAATGTTTTGCCTTTAAGAGGTGGGGCTGTTGGGTCATGAGGGCAGAACCCTCGTGAATGGGAATAATCCCGCCATAAAAGAGGCCTGAGGGAGTTTGCTTGCCCCTTTCCTCCTTCCACCATGTGAGAATGCAGCAAGAAGGTGCCCTGTATGAAGCAGAGGGCCCTCACCAGGCACCGAATCCGGTGGCACCTTGATGTTGAACTTCTCGGCCTTCAGAACTGTGAGCAATAAAATTCCGCACTTTTTTTCTTTTTGAGATTGAGTCTCGCTCTGTCATCCAGGCTGGAGTGCAGTGGTGCAGTCTCCGACTCACTGCAACCTCCGCCTCCCAGGTTCAAACTATTCTCCTGCTTCAGCCTCCAGATTAGCTGGGATTGCAAACTCCACCTCCCAGGTTCAAACTATTCTCCAGCTTCAGCCTCCAGAGTAGCTGGGATTACAGGCACCTGCCACCACACCCAGCTAATTTCTGTATTTTTAGTAGAGATGGGGTTTCACCATGTTGGCCAGGCTGATCTTGAACTGCTGACCTCAAGTGATCTGCCCACCTCAGGCTCCCAAAGTGCTGGGATTATAGGGGTGAGCCACCGCGCCCGGCCACATTCTGCTTTTTATAAATTACCCAGTCTAAGGTATTTTGTTACAGCAGCCCAAATGGACTAAGACAGTGTATTTAGACTGGAGGGCATGGGGTTTGGGTTTAGATATTTGAAATTGCAGAGAGATGGGCTATGCCTCGCCTTTGTCTGCAGGTCTAGGACAGGTTCTGAGGAATGTCTGTAGTGTCAACTGGACAATGCAATATTCAAACATAACACAGAAAATGGAATTCCTTAACTCTTGCTCTGCTTCTGTCTTCTCAAAAAAGAACATTTTTCAAATCAAAAAGAACAAATCAAACCTATGAGGAGATGGTATGAGAATATTTTCATAGTAAAGAAAATGGAAAGAATTTGTGGAGGTGATTGGGAAATCTTTTGGATGATCTCTAGGAATTATGAAAAATAACCGAGCCACAGAGATGGGAAATACGTAATTCTAATTTTCAAAAAGAAAAAGAAGGTGGGTTCTATGACCTATAGATCAGTAAGCTTGAGATTGATTCTTGGTGAGAGTGTTGAAGAGAATGCTAGAAGGTGGTTTCTGAGCTCTTAGAAACCAGCAGGCAGTGATTATAGTCAGCCCCATGTCACTAAAAGCAAATTGTGTTAGCCTGATTCCATCTCCTTTTCTGATAGGATTACTCCACTGGCAAACTTAGAGATACAAGATGGATATGGTCCCTCTACACTTCAGAAAGGAAACTGACATAGTTGCTTGGGTGCCCTGGGGATAAGGTACAGAGGCAGAGTATCACTCGCAGCTTTTAGGTCACAAAGAACAGAAACAAATTCTAGTGAGTTTAAACAGAAAAGGGATTTTATTCAAGGATATAGGGAAGTTTACCAGCTGTCCAGAAGGGCCAGACAATCAGGCTCAGATATCCTACATCTGATGTGATTTATGGATTTTTGGATGCAGAGCCGCATCCACAATCACAGCCCTGGTCTTTGGAGGGCATGACAGCTTGTCAACATCGGCATGAACACCAAGGTTTGCCCTGCTGACACGGCTAACACTAACCCTGGTGTCCTGAAAAGGGTATAAAGCTGTCCCCATCCTCTGCCAAAACAGAGTCCTTAAAGTCCCAACGTTTTTGCCTCTCCAGCTCCTGAGTCAAAGTTCAGCCCAATGCCTCTGTTTGGTGGAGCCCAGATCATATGCCCACACCTTAGCTATGGAGGGAGCTGGGAAAGCCAGATGCTGACCTGTTTCACTTCTCATGGGAGGAGGTGGTCTCTGCCTTCTGACAGACTCGCAAAGTAGGGAATTCTCCCACGCAGAAAGTGGGGTCAGATGATGAGCTGCCGTAAAGAATGGCTAATGTTGTCCTCACAGGGGTTGAGGGATAGGGTAATTGTGCTGGTTTTTAACGGGTTGAAGGATCATAGCCAAAGCTTGCTAATTAATTGATTCTTTTTAATCCAGAGGACTGGTTTTATTGGAATACCACAGAACTCTGCATTATCGTGCCACATGAGGGTTTTTTGTTGTTGTTGTGTTTTTTTGTTTTTGTTTTTGTTTTATCAGTGGCTTGGCCAAAGACCAAAAATAAACTTGTTGTATTTGCAGGTGACACAGAGAATGAGTGGAATACTAATACATTGAAGGGCAAAATCAAAACCCCAGAAGATCTCTAAAAGTCTGAATGAATCAGCCCATATTACAAGATAAAGTCCATAATGGTAAACGGAAGGCTCTGGTCTTGGTTTACAAAATCCAACCACTCAAATATGTAGTTGCTGGTAAGAAAAAAAGCCATAATTTCATGTGGTTGCCAAGAAAGCTCATTAAATCCTTGGCTGCATTAATAGATGTATGGTATTTCCAACAAAGCCTTCTGCCTCATTCTGCACTGGAGAGACCACAGCTGAGCCCTGTGCCAAGCTATGTGCACCACAGTTTTCAAAGGGCTCGACGAGTTGGAGGCTGTTCAGAGGGGAGCAGCGGGGTGGTAGACACTCTCAGCCCCTTCGTAGAGGAAGAATGATACCACCGCAGGAGCTCGGCCATGAAGAAGGGCCATGGGGGGAGTGATGACATAGTGGTCACCAATTTTCTACAGAGCTTTCACATGGAAGATGGGTACGATTTATCCCACGGGGTGTCAAGGCATGAAATTAGGTACAATTGATGTAAATTATAGGGAATCTTCAGTCTAAGAAAGGGTTTCCACTGGAGCAACCCAAAAGTGGATGAGTCTATGTTGGGAGGGAGCAAGTTACCTCCCTGTCACTGAAGACGTTCAGATTCGAGACTGGATGGCCAGCATCCAGGGGTGCTGTCAAGGGGCCTCAAGCTATGTTTAGTCTAAACGAACTTTCAGCCTTAAGAGTATATTTTTTTTAATGAAAACATAAGGCATTACAAAGGAGAGATGAGCCAGGTGTGGTGGCATATGCCTATGGTCTCAGCTACTCGGGAGGTGAGGTGGGAGGATCTTTTGAGCCTAGAAGATAGAGGTTGCAGTGAGCCATGATTGCACCACTGCCTGGGTGACAGAGTGAGACCCTGTCTCTAATGTTAAAAGAAAAACCACAGAGACGTTTAACTTAACAGAGTTTAATTGAGCAAAAAATTATTTGTGAATAGGGCAGCCCCTGGACCAGAATGGGTTCAGAGAAGCTCCAGCTTAGGCACATGGTGGAGGAAGATTTACGGACAGAAAAAGGAAAGGGATGTACAGGAAACAGAAGCGAGGCACAGAAAGAGCCAGGCTGGTTACTGCTGGATGATTGCCTTGTTTGTTCATGGTTTGAAGAACTGCCCGCCTTTGGCCGGAACTGGGTGATTGACACAAGAGTAGGCAGCCGTGTGTTTACACACCCTGTCAGGTGACAGTGCACTATGCATGAGCACAGCTTTAGGCAGAATGTAAACTATAAGGAGGCAGCATTGGGCTAAACTTAATTTTACACTAAATAAAGTCTAAAAAATTTAAAAGCATTTTTAAAGGTAATAGAAGTTAGCTGTGATGTGCATGTGAACATTTAAACTACATTTTTCGTTTTTTTTTTAAAAAGGAAGTTTTGTGGCCATGGGGATGCTGACAAAGATTGCTTGGGATGCACACAAGGCAGCGGCGAAGCCTGAGGGGTGCTGCCAGGCCGGGCTCTCCACTGGCCACGGTAAGAATCTTCCTGGGCCTGTTTGTTTTGGCCTCTGTGAGCATGGGCCACAATCACGGGGAAATGAATTGCTAGGAAGTCAATTCCTCTCTGAAGGAAGGACTCCAAAGAGAGCTGAGGCTGCCGTGTTTTCTGGCCGCCCACACAAGCCAACAAGCTATTCCCTGGGGGCAACCACTAATCTCTAACCAGACAACCGGTAATCTCTTATTCATTCTCCGTTGAATTCTTGGGCTACACTCAATTTATAATAGAACTTAAAGAATGTCCTCATTTTATCTAGAGGGTTTGTAATGCCTTTATTTCGATTCCTCATGAATCATTATAGTCATGGATACCTGTGAACCACAGCTTCCTTGTAGAGAGGGGAGAGGGGAATAAGTGAAATTACTCCGGAGAAAACAAACAAGGACGTTTAGCTCCAGGGCATGTGGAGAGCCACAGTCTGAGTCTCTCACTCGCATACCAGGAGATAAATAATTCAGAGGCCTAACAAAGGGAGGCGGAGTAGTCAAACTGGTTGAACACCTGGTCGGCTGCACCCAGCTAAACAGGGCTGGTGTCTGTGAGGGCTTCCTAATCATTGTGGATGACATTTAAAGACAACACTCATAGCAAATATTGCATTAGAATTTTCTGCTTCCAAGATACCAGTCAGAGTAAGGGTGGGAGAGAAATGAGGGAAAGAACAGATACCCTACTACTTATCAGATTGCCTTAGAGTACACATCATGAAAGTAATTATGATTTTCTTTTTGAGATGGAGTCTTGCTCTGTCTCCCAGGCTGGAGTGCAATGGCATGATCTCAGCTCACTGCAACCTCCATCTCCCAGGTTCAAGTGATTCTCCTGCCTCAGCCTCCTGAGTAGCTGGGACTACAGGCACCCGCCACCACGCTTGCCTAATTTTTGTATTTTTAGTAGAGAAGGGGTTTCATCACGTTGGCCAGGCTAGTCTCAAACTCCTGACCTCAGGTGATCCACCCACCTCAGCCTCCCAAAGTGTTGGGATTAAAGGTGTGAGCCACCACACCTGGCCTAATTATGATTTTTAAGATGACAACAGGGCTATCAATGTTCATGTCTTTGTGTCCTCTATAAGAGATCAATGTATCTCTTGCCTGAATACTTCCCCAGATTAGATTTCTGGAAGCTCAAAGTAGTGCTGATTGCTGTCTGGTCCTGGTCTTGCAATCACACCCCACCAAATGTAGGCAAATTGTCAGTGTACAAGGCTGCCTCTGTGGTGGGAACATTTTGGGAACATAAAAGGGAGGCAGGGATTTCTCTTTTTTTTCGAGACAGAGTCTCACTTTGTCACCCAGGCCGGAGTGCAGTGGCATGATCTCAGCTCACTGCAACCTCCACCTCCCGGGTTCGAGTGATTCTCCTGCCTTAGCCTCCTGAGTAGCTGGGACTATAGGCGCCCACCACCACGCCCAGCTAATTTTTGTATTTTTAATAGAGACGGGGGTTTCACCATGTTGGCCAGGATGGTCTTGATCTCTTGACCTCGTGATCTGCCCACTTTGGCCTCCCAAAGTGTTGGGATTACAGGCATGAGCCACCGCACCCGGCCTGAGGGCAGGTATTTCTAATGTGTAGTGGGTTTCAAGTTTACAGTGACATCTCAGAGCTGCAAAAATGAAACATTATTTCTCTATAACTGTACTCAATTTACTTATGAAGTAGTGGAAAACTCTTCATCTTGGCACTTTAGGATAACTGACACCCTTCTGGTTTCAAAGCTTCTTTAGGGTAATTCCTCAGTCAATCCAGGATTTTAATTCCATCAGGGCCACACTCCCTCATCTCCTCCTCTGGATGAGCCCCAGGTCTGTCCCATGCTTCCTGTTCTCCGGCCCCCCTTGGCCTTGGAGACATCTTGTTGCCTTGGTGGTGCGTGTCAGTCTTGGTCACTGTTGCCTTCACCATTGACCCAGTTTGTCAGCTGCTCTTAGGCAACAAAAGGAGAGGTGGCTGTTCCCTGCCGGCCAGGCCCCGTCACTGCAGTGGCAGTGCTGCTCTGGCCAAGGCTTCATTCTCTGCCACCTTCCTCACCCTCACCAGGCGCTACGGGCTCTTCCCCTGATTTCCCCACACAGGAAGGAAGTAGGGGAGACTCAGGTGGGGCGGTTCTTGGAGGCCCATTTTCAGTCCAGGTCTGCCCTGCCTGCCTTTCCGCTCTGCTTCTCTCCCCTCTCATGTTCTTGTGGTGCTGGAAGCAAGGGTTTTAGAGCAAACAAGGGCCACGTCCCTTCTGCCCTTACCCCTGTACTCTCTGTCCCCTGCCAGTGAAATGTCGGCTAAGGAGGCAGAGCCACCGCCCCCTTGGGAACAAGCACACCTCTGTCTGTATCTCTTACAACTCTTCTCTCCTCCCCCATTTCTGCTCCCCAGTTCCCTGGGTGCTGAGTCAGGAAAGCCTTTATTTCCCCCCCCTCCCCCAGTAAGCTTTTGCAGTGCCAGGAAAGCTATTTTTTTAATGCTTATTAAAAAAATTTTTTTTTCGAGACAGAGTCTCATTCTGTCGCACAGGCTGGAGTGCAGTGACGCAATCTCGGCTCACTGCAACCTCCATCTCCCAGGTTCACGCCATTCTCCTGCCTCAGCCTTCTGAGTAGCTGGGACTACAGGCGCCCGCCACCACGCCCGGCTAATTTTTTTTTGTATTTTTAGTAGAGACGGGGTTTTACCATGTTAGCCAGGATGGTTTCGATCTCCTGACCTCATGATCCTCCCACCTCGGCCTCCCAAAGTGCTGGGATTACAGGCGTGAGCCACCGTGCCCGGCCCCGGCTAATTTTTTTGTATTTTTCGTAGAGACGGGGTTTCACTGTGTTAGACAGGATGGTCTCAATCTCCTGACCTCGTGATCCGCCTACCTTGGCCTCCCAAAGTGCTGGGATTACAGGCATGAGCCACTGCGCCCGGCCAAAAAATTTTTTTTGTTTAAGGAATAGGGTCTTGCTATGCTCAGGCTGGCCTCGATCTCCTGGGCTCAAGCAATCCTCCTGCCTCAGCCTCCTAAGTAGCTGGCAATACAGATGTGTGCCACCATGCCTGGGCAGCAATTTGTATTGCTTTCTTTTATGGTGGAGAAATGACCTTGTGCCATGAGCTGCATCCTTTAGAGCAGGGTGTCCAATCTTTTGGCTTTCCTGGGCCACATTGGAAGAAGAATCGTCTTGGGCCACATATAAAATATGCTAACACTAATGATAGCTAATGAGCTAAAAAAAAAAAAAATTCAAAAAGTCTCATAATGTTTTAAGAAAGTTTATGAATTTGTGTTGGGCTGCATTCAAAGCCATCCTGGCCACAGATTGGACAAGTTGCTTTATCGTAACACCTATAAATGCTATGCTCTGTCCCCCAAGCTTTTACTATCATCTTGCTTATTTATGCCTAGTGTTCCATTATTGGAACGGTAAGCATGTGGGAGTTATTTATATCCTACTGCTCAAGGCATTTCCAAGGTCTGATTTTTCAAATTAAAAAAATTGCCACCTCAGCCATAAATGGGTTAAAACTAAGCCATTTTGAAATTCAGAACAAAACTGCCTCTCTCTCACATGACTAGCTCTTTCAAGCGACTGTGGCTTCAGATATTGTGAATTATCCATCCGCTCAGCACCTCCTGGCTGCTTTGTTCTCGCTGTTTTCACTTTCTCCTGAAGTAATGAATGCCATTGAGCCAATGGGGGCAGAGTCAATAACTTTGAAGAAAAAGAACCTCAGTTTAAAATTTCAAAATATTATTTTTAATTTTTGATAACTTATATGCCTTCACTCCAAATAAATGAAGATCAAAATATGTGAATAAAATTCAAGATGACAGGCCGGGTGTGATGGCTCACATCTGTAATCCCAGCACTTTGGGAGGCTGAGGCAGGCAGATCATGAGGTCAGGAGTTCGAGACTAGCCTGGCCAACATAGTAAAACCCCATTTCTACTAAAAATACAAAAATTAGCCAGAGTGATGGCACATGCCTGTAGTCCCAGCTACTCAGGAGGCTGAGGTGGGAGAATCGCTTGAACTCGGGAGGCAGAGGTTGCAGTGAGCCGAGACCATGCCATTGCACTCCAGCCTGGGTGACAAAAAAAAAAAAATCAAGATGACATCACTCTAGTTTGTCCCAATCCTGGTGTAGCTTGAGTAAGGAAAAGCAGATGCCCTCGTTATAGGTCTAAGTCTCGCACCAAGGTTGCTCATGTTTCTGTTTTTAAACCTTCCACAAAGAAAATCACATGTAGGTCACACTGTCCTCACTAATATCTGGTGGAGCCTCATATCATCTGGATTCCTGTTTTCACCTATAAGAACTGATAGTTTTGTTTGTTTGTTTTTGTTTTTGAGACGGGGTCTTGCTCTGTTGCCTAGGCAGGAGAAGTGCAGTGGTGTGATCATAGTTTACTGCAGCCTTGACCTCCTGGGCTCAGGCGAACCTCCCACCTCAGCATCTTGAGTAGCTGGGACTACAGGCATGCGCCATCATGCCCAGCTAATTTTTTGTATTTTCAGTAGAGACAGGGTTTTGCCATGTTGCCCAGCCTGGTCTTGAGCCCCAGGGCTCAAGGGATCCACCCACCTCAGCCTCCTAAAGTGCGGGGATTACAGGCATGAGCCACCTCATCTGGCAGAACTACTTTTTTTTTTTTTTTGAGATGAAGTTTTGCTCTTGTCGCCCAGGCTGGAGTGCGGTGGCACGATCTCAGTTCATTGCAACCTCCGCCTCCCAGGTTCAAGTGATTCTCCTGTCTCAGCCTCTCGAGTAACTAGGATTACAGGTGTGCACCACCACGCGCCTGGCTAATTTTTGTATTTTTAGTAGAGACGGGGTTTTTGCCATTTTGGCCAGGCTGCTCTCAAACTCCTGACCTCAGATGATCTGCAAGCCTCGGCCTCCCAAAGTGCTGGGATTACCGTGAGCCACTGTGCCTGGCCCAGTGGAAATGATTTTTAATGAGGCAGAGGGAGCAGCGTTTGATTCACACACATTTAGTGTATACTGTTTTCAACAGTTTACCACATGCTGCAGGGGGCAGAGGTGGATCCAGGTTTTGGGAGGCCTGAAGCTTACAGAATCTGGGCGCCCTTTTTAAGTAGAAGAATACAAAGTTATGTAGATAAATAGTTATCACATAATGAGCAAAGAATGTACAGCAAATCACATTATCAAAAGCTAACAAATCACACAAAATCATAAAACTCCAAAAAGTACATAATATTTTATTAACCACTTGCTATACTTTTTTTTTTTTTTTTTTTTTTTGAGACAGAGTCTCACTCTGTTGCCCAGGCTGGAGTGCAGTGGCTCGATCTCGGCTCACTGCAACCTCTGCCTCCCAGGTTCAAGAGATACTCCAGCCTCAGCCTCCTGTAGCTGGGATTACAGGCATGAGCCACTGCGCCTGGCCCACTTGCTATACTTCTATCGTACTCCCCTACCCCTTGTATTTTTTGGCTGTGTATTCTTAGGTGACCTTTTGAGAGAAAACAATTTTATAATTTCATTTTCTCTAAAGAGAATAGAATCATTCAGTTTTTCTTCTAGCATGGTGGATTGCAATGTACTTATACATAGTTTGAAAGTTTTGTTTGGTAATGTCATTTAAAACTTTCTTTTTTTTTTCTTTTTTTTTTTGAGACCGAGTCTCACTCTATTGCCCAGGCTGGAGTGCAGTGGTATGATCTCGGCTCACTGCACCCTCCGCCTCCTGGGTTCCAGTGATTCTCCTGCGTTAGCCTCCCAAGTAGCTGGGATAATATATGTGTGCCACAACACCCGGCTACTTTTTGTACTTTTAGTAGAGATAGGCGTTTCACCATGTTGGCCAAGCTGGTCTCGAACTCCTGAGCTCAGGTGATTGCCCACCTCAGCCTCCCAAAGTGCTGGGATTACAGGTGTGAACCACTGCGCCTGGCCTGTCATTTAAAATTCTATCCAAGGTTGTTGTTAAATTTGGTATAACCTCTATCAAGTTCTCTTGATATACATACAAGCTATAAAATTGGAAAGAATATTCCCCCAGACTGGCTTCTGGCTCCAAACTGTGTTTTATGTTCATGAGACACATACTTGTGGTGCCAGAAGCCACAGCACACATTTATATCATGATGCAAATTTTGGCCTGCACCTTCATGTCCTGATGCCCAGTGAGTTGGCACAGGGAGAGGGCGTTTTCCTGGAAGCCATTCCTACATCAGGATGAGTAGCAATAACTTCAACTATGCACAGACACATCTGCAAATCAGATGACTGTGTTTTACCAAGTCCAACTAAATGTACCCCTAACTCAACTTGCCGTTAGCCAATTCCCCAAAATGCTCACAGCCACTTCTAGGACCCCTAACACAAGTGGCGTTGGAGCAGAATGCAAATGATCTTAATCCCCTAAAATTGCAGTTTCTTACTTATAGAAATTTTATATATAAACACACACACACACGGCTAAGGGTCCTTGTAGGGCCTTGGAAGGAGCCCGTGCAAATGAGGGATTCTGAAGCTTCAACCCCATTAGCTTCACTGCACAGCCATAGCTGATGGGGTGGGAGGATGGATGCTGAGCAAAGCCAGAAATCAGGTTCTTGCTGAGAAGACCAACACAAAAGACCACGATGCCACAGTCCGCAGTCCAGTGACTTGCTGACTGTGTCACTCTGAAGGAGAGATACGGGTGGGATAAATAAAGCCCTGAGTGGCAGCTCAGAAGGAGCCAGGGGGGATTTTCTGCAGGCCCCGGTACCCACAGTTACATCGCCCTCTTGGTACAGCCTCATCATGATGAGTTTCAAGAGAGAATTCAACAACGGCTCTCCTCCCTTAACTGTTTGGATGCTAAAGTGTTGTGATTTTTGTTATTACTGTTTCTAATTCAGATGGCTGATCAAACTCGGTGTTTTCTGATGCATCTGTGAACAAAGATTACACTTAGATAATGTCTAAAATGCAATGCCAGCTGAGTGCAGTGACTCACGCCTGTAATCTCAGCACTTAGGGAGGCCAAGGCAGGAGGATTGCTTGAGCCAAGGAATTTGAGACCAGCCTGAGCCATATTGTGAGGCCCCATCTCCACAAAAAAATTTAAAAATTAGCCTGCAGTCCCAGCTATTTGGGAGGCAGAGGTGGGAGGATCCTTTGAGCCCAGGAGGTCAAGACTGCAGTGAGCCATGATCATGCCACTGCACTCCAGCCTGGGTGATAGAGTGAGATCCTGTCTCAAAAAAATAATAAAATAATAAAACAAAATAAAATAAAATAAAATGCAGTGACACTTCTACCCTCATATGCTGGAGTTTGATGGGGGAGCACATTGATTTAGATGCCGCAAAAGCAGCATTTAGCTGTGGAATTACAGTCGTTACCCATTTGGGTATATTTTACTCTGCCTGGAAGAGTTCATGTGTTTCACGGTTGCTACTAGGTAAGGACGCAGGCCCTGGGAGATCCTGGTTCAACAGTGACTGTCTTATGTAACAGAGTCATTCTCTTTATGACCACCTTAGGAACCGCTAAGGAACATAATAAGAAATACACAGAACTGATTGTGGAACTGCTCTTTCTCCCTGCGATTCAGAGGGGAAAAGATAAAGCCACACAGCCCTGGGGCCTCTTGCTTAAGAACACATCTCAGTTTAACCACCAAGGCCGTTATGATAACAAATGTCAGTATGGAGGTGTGAACATCAGGGGCTATTCAAGGACGCTTCTCTGATCACTGCCATGTCTATCTGCTGTGATCACGACTATTTTATAAACACCCTTCCTACCCAATGCCATCAGAATTTTAGGGACGATGCTTCAGTAATTATCTTTTTTTCCCTCCTTCCTCCCTATTTTCTTTTTCCTCTGAATAGCTGCCAAAGTAACTAGAGTCATATAATTTTAGAGCTGGAAGCTCAGGGAGAGGCTTGGATCCTGATGACCCAAGCATGGGAGGGGCCTGAAAAAATGTCAACAGCGCTCCGTTGTTGATCCCACACATTTACTTAATATGAGCTGGTGCTGGCAGAGGTTTATGTTGGAAAGGCTGCAACTTTCTGTGCCCCACATAAATGAGATAAAACCTGGGGAAAGGAGTGTTGGTTTAAATCAGAAAGGCTCTGGTTTTTATTTGATACTAAACAAATCATGCAGTTTACAAGTCTGTGACACTCTAAGAGTTAACTAGCAGTTTTGTTTTTTTTCTTTTTTTTGAGACGGAGTTTCACTCTTGTTGCCTAGTCTAGAGTGCAATGGCGCAATCTCGGCTCACCGCAACCTCTGCCTCCCAGGTTCAAGCAATTCTCCTACCTCAGCCTCCCGACTAGCTGGGATTACAGGCATGCGCCACCATGCGCAGCTGATTTTTGTATTTTTAATAGAGACAGGGTTTCTCCATATTGGTCAGGCTGGTCTCGAACTCCCGACCTCAGGTGATCCGCCTGCCTCGGCCTCCCAAAGTGCTGGGATTACAGGCGTGAGCCACTGTGCCCGGCCTAATCAGCAGTTTTTAACATGCTACACAGGGTCTGGGAAAGACAGCTGCCAAGTTGGGGGCTTTGAAAATATGAGACATCTGTAAATAATAACCTTTGGGTATTTCACCTGTGTTTGCTTCTTTATATTACTTTTGTGTGTGTGTGTGTGTGTTTTGAGACAGAGTGTCTTGTCACCCAGGCTGGGGTGCAGTGGCGTGATCTCGGCTCACTGCAACCTCCACCTCCTGGGTTCAAGCAATTCTCCTGCCTCAGCCTCCCTCAGGCACTTGCCACAATGCATGGCTAATTTTTGTATTTTTAGTAGAGACGGAGTTTTGCCATGTTGGCCAGGCTGGTCTTGAACTCCTGACCTCAGGTGATCCACCCGCCTCGGCTTCCCAAAGTGCTGGGATTATAGGCGTGAGCCACCATGCCTGGCATATATTACTTTGTTCTAAAATTAATTTAGATCTGGCATCCTCTTTTTGTCCCTCAAATGTTATTTTACCAAAACATATATTATTGGGACAAGAGGCAAATTGCATGGCCAAGTTGAATGACGTTATTCCCCACTCTGACAGCTTTTGTTTTTAACTCTAGAATTTGTACATATGGCTTTGGAAACCTCATCCAACACTAAGTAATGAACATACATGAGGATACTATGTATTTTTCAACCTGCAAGCCCAAGATTTCAAATTCTTTGGTTTATCGCAGAGAACACATCTCTCAAATTGTCTTCAAGGAGCACTGCAGGAGGTACAATCCATTCCCCACTAACCCAGGAAGACTGTCTGAATTTTTTCAGAGGGAAGATGGGTGGGGGAGAAGTGGGGATGGTTAATGGGTACAAAAAAAAAAAATAGAAAGAATGAATAAGACCTAATATTTGATAGCACAACAGGGTGACTATAGTCAATAATAATTTAACTGCACTTTTAAAAATAATGAAAAGAGTATAACTGGATTGTTTATAACATAAAAAATAAATACTTAAGGGGACAGATACCTCGTTTTCCATGAGGTGATTATTATGCATTGCATACCTGTATCCAGAGTATCTCATGCAACCCATAAATATATACACCTACTATGTACCCACAAAAATTAAACATTAAAAAGTTAATCTTTTTAATGTTTAATTTTTTTTTTTGAGACAGGCGTGGTCTTGGCTCACTGCAACCTCTGCCTCCTGGGTTCAAGCAATCCTAGTGCCTCAGCCTCCGGAATAGCTGGGATTACAGGCCTGTGGCACCACGCCCAGCTAATTTCTGTATTTTTAGTGGAGACAGGGTTTTGCTATGTTGGCCAGGCTGAACTCCTGACCTCAGGTGATCTGCCTGCCTTGGCCTCCCAAAGTGCTGAGATTACAGGCATGAGGCACTGTGCCTGGACAGAAAGTTTTTAAAAAAAATTTGTTCAGAGGGAACCCATTTCCTCTTCTGCTACACAGACAGCCAGGCCTGACTTGCACTGTTTCTATCCCCCCACAAAAAAAGCAACAACATCACCGAGAAGATAGTTCTGTTTGTCTTGATGATCAACATAGATCTGTATAGTTGATTTTGTGCCAGCAACAGGCTCCAGTCACAACAACATGAGATTCCAGGCCTTTTTGCCTGCCATGCTGGACACAGACTGGGCCATAGAGAATAGGAGAACCCGTGTGTTCTTCTGAGTTGTCTGTGAAGAAAAATACACGGGGAGAGGGGTAGACGTGAGTTCCTGGAAGAGTGGAGATGTGTGGGGAATTCTCCAGCGTTCCTTAATTAGAAACACGACTCAGTGATGTTCTTTGGAGCCCAAGACCCCAGGAGGCACTGAGTCCAGTGGTCCCAGGAAGCTAAAAATGAGGGCAAGAGTCAGCGTGGCTTTAAAAATCTCTGATCACTCATCCCCCAGAATGAAATCTGGGACTCAAAAGCTCTGATGGAAATGAAGCAGACTTTAGGAGGTCTGGTTTCGGGGGTGCTCCAGGAGCTGAATGTGAAATGTTATTTGTTCCAGAAAGTCCTGGCAACTTGGCGCAGCGAATTTGATCAGCACCATACGTACGACCTGTCTCAGGAACGGTGCCATGTGTGTGACTAGGACTGCAAAGCAGCTTGTGTTCGTGGGGGAAATGACAGGCACAGGAAGGAAAAGCTGAGAACACTGAAACGGTTCCTAATCGTGCAGTGGGGAAAGGAGGGCGACTGCCGCGCAGAGTGGCACGTTGGCTGGAAGAGGGGATTGATCAGCAGTGCTGGCAGGAACAGCATAGGCTTGTCGTGTGATCTAACAGAAGAGGCAGCAATCTGGAGGCGCCCCAGATCAGAGAAGAGACATCAAGCCCCAGGAGAAATGGATTTCCTTTCTCCCCACCCATCAGCTGGGTAGGAAGCCCGAAGGAGCCTTTCATGGAACTATGGGAAGGGCTCCTCTGACGCAGAGGGGATGAACTGGAAGCAAGATGCTGACTGTTTCCAAAGGCTTGACAGTCAGAAGCAGGCAGGCTTCAGCCTATTGAGATACTTTACCCAAGAGGATTTCCGCTTAGGTTCTGTCTTGAAAGAAATATTCGCTCCCAAATTTCCTCCCATCAAGAGTGCTTCTCCCTACAGAAGGCTAAGGCTCACAGGTTGTCCCCAGGGACACATTTCTTTCAAGTAGGATGACTGGTATGTTTAGACTGAAAAGCTGATTTACTGGAAGATTGCTATCACCCCCTGGCCTACCATGTCGTTGGTGTGGCCAGTGTTTATCAGACAGTGGTGTTTCCAGCTTAGGCCTGAATGGAAGAAGAAACTGAAAGAAGAAATAAAAAGAGAGATGCGCCGGGCATGGTGGCTCATGCCTGTAATCCCAGTGCTTTGGGAGGCCGAGGTGGCAGACCACTTGAGGTCAGGAGTTCAAGACCAGCCTGGCCAACATGGTGAAACCCCGTCCCTACTAAAAATACAAAAAATTAGCTGGGTGTGGTGGCGTGTGCCTGTGGTCCCAGCTACTCCGGAGGCTGAGGCAGGAGAATTGCTTGAACCCGGGAGGCGGAGGTTGCAGTGAGCCAAGATTGTACCACTGCACTCCAGCCTGGGCAACAGAGTGATACTCTCTCAAACAAGACAAAACAAACAAAAAAGAGGAGGCTCGGCACGGTGGCTCACGCCTGTAATCCCACCACTTTGGTAGGCTGAGGCTGGCATATCACTTGAGGTTGGGAGTTCGAGACCAGCCTGACCAATATGGAGAAACCCCATCTCTACTAAAAATGCAAAATCAGCCAGGTGTGGTGGCGCATGCCTGTAATCCCAGCTACTCAGAAGGTTGAGGCAGGAGAATCGCTTGAACCCGGGAGGCAGAGGTTGCGGTGAGCCAAGATCACGCCATTTTACTCCAGCCTAGGCAACAAGAGCAAAACTCCATCTCAAAAAAAAAAAAAAAAAAATGGAGAGAGAGATGTTTCTCAGCTTTGGGAAATGCTGACTTTTCCAGCACACCTTTGCTCAGAAAAGCCCTATGATATAAAGTGTCATAGGAACCTTGTCCTTGGAACCAAGCCTAGCCTAGGCTCAGGGACATCATGTGGGAGTGACATAAAGGAGGCTCCTCTGTCACTGTGCTTGGGTTACAAGTAATTCTCGACATGGGAGCATGTTGATTTCTAACCATCGGTGGCGGAGCTGTGACTTCCCAAGCTGGTGGCTGACCTCAAGAGGACTATTATAGACACTGTGGGACCACGGCCTGAGAAAAGAATGGCTACCTCCCTCTCTATCCCATGACCTCTAACGGCCCGGTCACCACCATGGCCTTTTGTTCCTGGAGAGGGACAGGAACTTTGGAAAGTGGGGTCGCTCTATTGCTTCTGCAGGTCATCTTCCCAGACTTGCCTAAGCCTCAGAATCTCAGTCTTCTGCTCTGTTTTGCACGTCTTTTTTGAAAGGTTTTTAAAAATTACAATCTACTGTACAGAAGAAAATAATACACAGAAAATAATTTTAGAAAATAATACAACAGATATCTAAGTATCCACCACCCAGATTGGACAACATATTAACATTTTGCCCCATCTATATCAGATATTATTTATTTTCTTTTTTACTTATTTTTGAGACAGAATCTCGCTCTGTCGCCCAGGCTGGAGCGCAGTGGTGTGATCTCAGCTCACTGCAACCTCTGCCTCCCAGGTTCAAGCGATTCTCCTGCCTCAGCCTCCCGAGTAGCTGGGACTAGTGGTGTGCACCACCATGCCCAGCTAACTTTTGTATTTTTAGTAGAGACAGGGTTTCACCATGTTGGCCAGGATGGTCTCGATCTCTTGATCTCGTGATCCGCCCGCCTCAGCCTTCTACAGTGCTGGGATTACAGGCATGAGCCACCTCGCCCAGCCTATTTTTATTTTTTTTAAGACATGGTCTTGCTCTGTCACCCAGGCTGGAGTGCAGTGGCACGATCTTGGTTCACTGTGGCCTTGACCTTCCAGGTGCAAGCAATCCTCCCATCTCAGCCTCCTGTGTAGCTGGGACTACAGGAGCATACTGCCACACTTGGCTGATTAAAACATTTTTTCTTTCTGCAGAGACAGGGTCTTACCATGTTGCCTAGGCTGGTCTTGAACTCCTGGGCTCAAGTGATTCCCCTGCCTCCGGCTCCCAAAGTAATGGGATTACAGGCATGAGCCAGCATGCCCAGCCTATATCAGATTTTTTTAAAATTGCAGATAGAATTAAAAACTTGCTTATCTATTTTTAGTAGAGGGAAAAACCTAAATAAGTTTAATTCTAGTAAGTTGCTGACTCTACACAACAACTTCCTTTCAGTCTTCAGATAATGGAAACTTTGTGGATTTATGCACAGCACCCAAACCCCAGAGATCTGCCCCAACAGAAAGATTGCCAACAAAATGTTTGTCTTAATACTTGAACAAATTTTTCTCAAACTTACATTGTATATTTTTCTCCACCAGTTTGCTAAATGTCCACAAGGTTAATACCCGCCCAGCCAAATGAAAAGACCACTGGGATCAGGTGCGGTGGCTCACACCTGTTATCTGTTCCAGCTACTTGGGGAGGCTGAGGTGGGAGGATCGCTGTAGCCTGGGAAATCGAGGCCGCAGTGAGCTATGATCAAGCCACTGCACTCCAGCCTGGCCAACAGCGCAAGAGCCTGCTCTAAAAAATCAAAATAAAAAAAAAAAGAGCATTGGGTCTCCAAAGGTAACAGGTGTGAAATACACCTTAGCCTACTCAGAATTTTGCCCCATGAAATAAGTAAGGATTATTAAATATTTCTGGAAACTCAAACAACTCTTTAAACAATGTTCACAATTTTTCAATGTCCACATCAGCCAAACCCACGGAAAGCTAAGCATTAATTCACCTACTGTTGGAGAGGCTAGACTATTTAAGGAATCTCTCCTGAATTCTAGTCCTGAATTTCCAATGCAACTCGTGTCCACTAGAATGTTCTGTGAATGTTTCAAGCTTGAAACGCCTGCAGCCAAACTTGTTTTCTTTCCATCCAATTATATCCTCTTTCCAATGTTCCCCTTTTTTCATTAAAGGCACCACTATTCTTCCAGCCATCCTGATTCACAGCCTCAGAGCTGGCCTCAATTTCCTTGTCTCCTTCGTCTTCCACATCCAATTATTCACTAAATCCTGTTGAATTTTTCTCAAAATATTTCTTGCACCTGTTTACTCCATTCTGCTCCCACTGCCACCTTTCTAATGAAGTATTTTCCACCTGTGTGTTTCGGCTCCTGCAGCAGATTCTGCATCTCCCCTTTCTCCTTTCAATGAATTATCAGTATCAGATTAATCTGCTGAAAGAAGCACTGTGTGCCATCCTGCTCAACATAATTCAGTGATTCCCAGATGGCTTACCAAATAACAGCTTTTAAAAAAATCCAGAACCTTCAGTGATCTTCACGATCTTTATATGTCCACCTTCCTAGACACATCCCACATTAGGAACCCATTGAAACCTCTGCCCCAGGCGCATGGCACTACTGGCTTGCTAATTCTGATTCCTGTTCAAGTATTTCTTTGGCCTAAGTATTCCTTCCCCTCCTTCACTACATGAACCAATCTTCATGGTGCTTAATATGAACCAGATCATCTGGTGGGCCTCTAATACAACAGTGAACAAGACAGAAACAACCCCTGCCTCCATATACTCCTTACAGCCTAGTGGAGAAAACAAAAGATGAACTGGCAGTTGGCATGCCAGGCTGTGCAGGAAGAACTGTGACAAGGAAAGACAAGGCTGAGGTGGGCGGATCACTTGAGGTCAGGAGCTCAAGACCAGCCTGGCCAACATGGTGAAACCCTGTCTCTACAAACAAAAAAAAAAATTAGCTGGTGTGGTGGTGGGCGCCTGTAGTCACAGCTACTCAGTAGGCTGAGGTGGGAGAATCTCTTGAACCCAGGAGGTGGAGATTGCAGTGAGCTGAGATTGTGCCATTGCACTCCAGCCTAGGTGACAGAATGAGACGCTGTCTCAAAAAAAAAAAAAAAAAAGGCCAGGACCCCAGAGCCAGGCATGGGGATTCAGAGCAGGCTTTTCAGAGGAAGGGATACCCAACCAAGTTTTGATCTGTTCTTCATGATGGCTAGTGAGGTGAAGGAGAGGGAGAAGGGTCAGAAAAGAACTCTACAGCAGAGAGAATCATCCTGCTCAGCCCCTATCCAACCTTTAATGCCCACCTCAAATGCCTTCCTTTTTTTTTTTTTTTTTTTTTGAGATGGAGTCTCGCTCTGTCACCCAGGCTGGAGTACAGTGGCACCATCTTGGCTCACTGCAACCTCTGCCTCCTGGGTTCAAGTGATTCTCCTGCCTCAGCCTCCCGAGTAGCTGGGATTACAGGTGCCTACCACCATGCCCGGCTAATTTTTGTATTTTTTAGCACAGACAGGGTTTCACCATATTGGCCAGGCTTGTCTTGAACTCCTGACCTCAGGTGATCCGGCTGCCTTAGCCTCCCAAAGTATTGGGATTACAGGCATGAGCCACTGCGCCCAGCCTCAAATGCCTTCTTGACCAGGCCGGTGGTGTACTGTGAGAACACAGACTTAAAGTCATCCAGAAACAAATCCTAACCCTGCCTCTGCTGCATGCTAGTTGTGTACATGACCACGCAAAATTTGCTCATTCTCAATATGAGTCAATCTCTGAATCTGTAAAAATACTCTTTCTTTTGACAGGGTCTCCCTCGGTTGCTCAGGCTGGTGTGCAGTGGCATGATCACAACTCACTGCAGCCTCGACTTCCTGGGCCCAAGCTATCCTTCCACCTCAGCCTCCTGAGTAGCTAGGACTACAGGCGTGCACCACTATAACCACCTAACTAAAAGACAATTTTTTTGTAAGGGTGGGGTCTCACTATGTTGCCCAGGCTGGTCTCAAACCTCTGGGCTCAAGCGATCTTCCTACCTCAGCCTCCCAAAGTGCTGGGATTACAGGCATGAGCCACTGTGCCCAGCAGAAATACTCTTACATTACAGAGTTTATTCATTAAATAAATATTAAGCACAAGAACCACATACTCTTCTCCGTGATAAGGATACACTTAAGAATAGGATAGAAATCTTGGCTCTTATGGTGCTTACATTCTAGTAAGGAAAAGGTGACAGTAAATAAGATAAATATGTACATTATGGAGTATATTGGAGGGTGATGGATTCTATGGGGAAAATACGTCAGAGAAGAGAGAGAGTAGGGGGGAATTGCAACTTTATTCATTTGTTTATTATTTAACTCATTTATTCAAACAAATAGTATTGAAGGTCTGCTACATGCCACACCCTGTTCTAGGCCCTGGGTGTATAGCAGGGAACAATGGACAATAACCTTTGCCTTTATGGAGCTTACATTCTGATCAGAAAGAGAGATAAGCAAAATAAAAATAGAAAAATATGGAGATGTAGCCGGGCGCAGTGGCTTACGCCTGTAATCCCAGCACTTTGGGAGGCCGAGGCAGGCGGATCACCTGAGGTCAGGAGTTTGAGACCAGCCTGGCCAACATGGTGAAACCCCATCTCTACTAAAAATACAAAAATTAGTCAGGTGTGGTGGCACATGCGTATAATCCCAGCTACTCGGGAGGCTGAGGCAGGAGAATCACTTGAACCCAGCAGGTGGAGATTGCAGTGGGCTGAGATTGTGCCATTGCACTCCAGCCTGGGCAACAGAGCGAGACTCCATCTCAAAAAAAAAAAAAAAAGCCAGGTGTGGTGGCTCACATCTGTAATCCCAGCACTTTGGGAGGCTGAGGTGGGTGGATCACGAGGTCAGGAGTTCAAGATCAGCCTGGTCAACGTGGTGAACCCTGTCTCTACTAAAAATACAAAAATTAGCTGGACGTGGTGGCACGCACCTGTAGTTCCAGCTACTCAGGAGGCCGAGGCAGGAGAATTGTTTGAACCTGGGAGGCGGAGGTTGCAGTGAGCCAAGAAGGCACCATTGCACTCCATCCTGGGTGACAAGGGTGAAACTCCGTCTCAAAAAAAAAAAAAAGAAAAGAAAAAAACATATGGAGATGTTAGTGCAAAATAGAAAGATGGATAGGAAAAATAGTAGATGAGTTCCAACATTCAACAGGGAGGCCAGCTAACCCGACTGAGAAAGCAGTAGTTATGAAAAGGTGTGGCGGGATCTAGGCCAGCCGTGTGAACAAATGGAGGAAGAGAATTCCAGGAACAGCAAGTGCAAAGATGCCACATTGGGACTGCATGGTGTGGGCAGGAGGAGCAAGTGAGGGGAGAGCAGAAAGAGGCAAACAGGGGAGAGCAAGGCAGGTCAGGGCCCTGTGGGTTATTGTAAGGACTTTGGCTTTTACTCGGAGTGACAAGGAAACCTAGTTTGGAGCAGAGGAGTTACCCGATCAGATTTGTATTTTAACATGGTGGCGCTGGGTCAAGAATAGTCAAGAAGAGGGACCAGGGCAGACGCTGGCAGGGCAGCTGGGAGACCACCGCAATCACCCAGACAAGGGGTAAGGAGGGTGTGGACAAGCGTGATGGCAACAGAAGACGGGCAGATGGCAGGGTTCTGGATGTATCTTAAAAGCAGGGCTAACAGGACTTGTGATCAGATACGGGATGCAGAAGAACTAAATTGATTCCATTTTTGGCTTGAGCAACTGGGAGAATGAAATAGCTCTTTACTGAGGCAGGGAAGACTCTGGGAGGAAAAGGTTGGGGGGAACTATCAGGAGTCCAGCTTTTGATGCGTTGAGTTTGCTTTAGGGTGATCCTGCAAAGTTTCACTGCAAAGGGGATAGTTCAGTAAAGACTTGAAGGAAATGAGGAGCAGAACTTGGGAAGATTAAATGAAAGGGTGTTTGAGAGGGCACTTCGCATAGTGCAGTGCCGGCCAGCTCAGGCTCCGTTAATTCCATTCCCTCATCCATAACAAACTTCTTCCGCTCCAGGGGGCAGGGGCTGGGAAGCATCAGTTCATTATTGGAAAATCCTCGCTCTAGTGGGTAGGCTGCACCTTGTGCATTGTAGTTGCCAAACTCTATTTGCTGAATTCACGAGAGAAAGGAATAAGCTATAATCAGTAAAGGAAACTGTTCCAACCAGCTTCCCTTTCTCCTTCCCTTCCAAAGAAGAGGTTTGAGCCAAGATGCTCTTGTGTCCGGGTGAGGGGAATTAGAGGTCTGAATCCTCTGTCTTATGGTGAACACAGCGTGGGGGTTCTCTGAGTGTAGAACCACCTGCAGCCCAATGAGCAGGGATAGTGGTAAAATATGAATTCTTGGACCCTTTCCCAGACCTTCTCATTTTGAGTTGTTAGGGGAGAAACGGGTATCTTTCTGTTACAGACACATGCAGTGCTTCCTTGGAAACTAAAGTTTAAGAACTACTGACACTAGGGAAGATGACCCTTCATTGACATTGCTCCTCGGAGGCAGATCATTTCCAGCCATGATGTGGTAAATTACAGCCGCTCTGCAATTTTATGAATAATGTGTGCTCATCACCTAATCAAACCTCTCCAGTGGAGGTAGAACCTGGCTGGCTCAGATCCCCACTCACATTGTCAGGTGATTGCTTTAGCAAAAGGCCTTCTGCCAAATACCTCTTGGTTGAACTTTGCAGCTTGAGGAGAGAAGTATGCACGAACACATAAATGCCAAATCTCTTATTATTCTGAGTTTTCAAACAATGAATACGATTCCACCCCAC
Source organism: Homo sapiens (assembly GCF_000001405.40). Classification (NCBI taxonomy): domain Eukaryota; kingdom Metazoa; phylum Chordata; class Mammalia; order Primates; family Hominidae; genus Homo; species Homo sapiens. The sequence goes on along the minus strand of NC_000004.12, from coordinate 169,052,008 downwards.
ATTCTTGAGAAAGGGCAGCACACCTATCTCACCCTCAGCTGTGATGAAGCAAGAAACTCAGTTTCTTCACATTGCTCGGTGAGTCTATACCACAAACAGGACTAAAAGTCACATGTTGGCTTTGGGCACCATTTTATCGTGAGCCTTTCATAGCCCATCTTCCAAGGCTATTAAAATATCAGCTCCATGAGGGCAACATTCGTGTTGTTTATTGCTCTCTTCCCAGTGCCTAGAAGAGTGTGTGGCACACAGTAGTCATTCAGTAAACGGCAGAATGAATCCATTCCACTTCCTAAAGTGAAGAGCCAAATCGACACACATTCCCATCTGTGGAGTATCACAGTTTCCTGCAGTTTACTTCCACATACCTCACTCCACCAGTTAACTACCCCCTATATAAATCTGTGCAGTTTTCACTTAAGATATAACTTTCTGGTGACCCCATAAAAAATTGGCAGAAATTCTCAGAAAGGATGATAATGTAATTGGTCTTGTGGGGAATCCATGGAGGGATATATTTCACATTATTCATGTTTCCAGATGGGCTTCAGTCCCCAGTGCAGTCATTCCAGAACCCTTTCTCAGCGTTAAGTTTACTCCGAAAAATATAAATAGTGATTTAGGGCTTGATTGCTCCCACAAAAGGCACCCCTGTTTTGGTGCAGGGTGGGAAGGGGGGCAGAGGAAGAGGCAGCTGGGAAGCTGAGTGAGGGGCCAGGCGCCCGCTGGGTGTGAGCCAGCAGCTGGTCAGAGTATCTCTGGAGGATGAGGGTTTCGCAGGTGGGGGCTGGGGACTAGCTAGAGATGGGATTGTCCGTGGTCAGGCAGTTCAGGAAGCTTTCAGCAGCAATAAAGCTTGGATGTGGGCATGCCAAGCTTGGAGGAGATATGGGTCCATTCCCATCCTTCTGAAAAAACAGTCTTCAAACACCACGGCTAGTGTCCAAGGCTACTTAGCTCAGCTGGTTGGGGTGCTGGGCTACTAAAATTTCACTGTAGCATTTCCTGAATTCTTACTAGGCTCATATATTAACACCTTCAACAAATATTTGTGTGTCAGCCTCTATGCTGAGGGCTGGGGATACAGCTATGAACAAGGCTGTGAACTAAGTACTGTTTCTTTACCAGTGAATTCTTCCATTTCATGGGCCTCTGATTCTGGCCCTAGTCAGATATTTCTCAAATGCCTGACGTTGTTTCCAAAGGGGTACATTCGGAGTAGCTAGATCACAGCAAACGCTTCAAGAGTTCTCAACAATAGGTCAGTGGAACCTTGATATTCTAAGGACATAATGATCTAATTTAGACTGAAAATCATCTAGCCAAACACACACTAGGCATTTAATTCATGTAAGGCTCAATCAGAATGTCAGTATGAACCAGATAGGACAGAGTGTTCATTTGCAGAGAACAATATCCCGGCTTGCCTGGGCGGCTGCAAAGCCTTTAAACTGAAATCCTTGCTTCCACTCTTGCTCTGCACAGCAGCCAAAGAATTTTATCAACCCTCCACCGGCTTCCTGTTGCAATTCGAATAAAATTCCATCTCCTTACCAGGATCTACGCAGCCCTGGAGTCTGGCCCCTGGTTGTATCTCTGGAAGCTGGTCCTGGCCTTGGAGTTGACCTGAAACTCTTTCCCGCCTCATCTTTTCTCGCCTGGCTCCTCATTATGCAGAGCTTTGTTCAAATACAAAGCTCTCCTTCCCAGGGAGGTCCTTCCTGGCCAGTCTTTCTGTAGCAGTTCTGGACCTTCCCCACGGCATCTCTTTATGTCCTTAGCGTATTTCTTATTCTTCATAGTGGGAATATTATAGCAATTTATAGCAATAAATGTTTGTTGAGTGAATTAATATGCATCACACTTACTAAACACCCAAAGGTTTTCTGGGGATGTCTATGACTATTACCAGATGGCCAATGGTTTGCGGCACTTTATTTTTATATTTTTTTACAGCCCACCCATAGGAGATGACAGTACTTTATTTTATTTTATTTTTATTTTAAGAGACAGGGTCTCACTGTGTTATCCAGGCTAGTCTCGAACTCCTGGGCTCAAGCAGTCTTACCTCAGCTGCCCAAAGTGTCACCAGGCTGGAGTGCAGTGGCACGATCTCGGCTCACTGCAACCTCAGTGAGGTGTGAGCCACCACTTTTAAAACGGGCCTGACAGCACTTTTTAAAATCATATTTGAAAACCTGGTACTTGACACAGAGCCCTAGAACCTACTATTAACAAAGTGCTTAATATTGTTGTTGTTGTTGTTAAATTGATTCTAACTAAATTAACACCAGACCAGTGACTGGAAAAATCACATGTGACCAAAGAATCCCATTGATGGTGTCAGACAATGACCCAGGAAGAGGAGTTCATAGCGGCTGCTTGTTTCCTTACTGGAAATGCAGGGTGACAGCAGAACTCAGGGAACATGGTGCTACCCAGTAAAAGAAACAGTGCATAGGCCGGGTGCGGTGGCTCATACCTGTAATCCCAGCTCTTTGGGAGCCCGAGGCGGGCGGATCACCTGAGGTCAGGAGTTCAAGACCAGCCTGGCCAATGTGGTGAAACCCCATCTCTACTAAAATACAAAAATTAGCCGGGCATGATGGCGAGTGCCTGTAATCCCAGCTATTCGGGAGGCTGGAGACTCGCTTGAATCCGGGAGGCGGAGGCTGCAGTGAGCTGAGATCACGCCACTGCACTCCAGCCTGGTGACAGAGCGAGACTCCGTCTCAAAAAAAAAAGAAAGAAAGAAAGAAAGAAACAGTGCATAACAGGGGCAGGGCTGTTTGCAATGTGATGAAAGCATAATGGTGCTGCAGTCCTGGGCCTGATGTCATCTTGAGACTGGATGTTGGTAGGATGGTGCCCTTCTGTAATATGTTTAGTAGCTGCACTTGCTGAATTGACAGCCTCTCTGTTTAAAACTGACAAGGAGAAAATTAAAGTTTCCCCTGCTTTTCATGTCATGCATGAATAACCAATTGCTTGGCAGCTAGTTAAAATTCATATTTCTCTTGTCAGGTTTTTAGAGACTGTGAAGATCAGGTTAATGTAAGCCTTCCCTCCTTTTGCCCTCTTGGCTAACTAGCTAGTTATATTTGCATTTCTTTTTATATAAATCTTTTTTTTTTCCTGTCCCTTTGACAGCACAGTATCAGAGATGGCATATTATCTTCAGATGTGCCATGCTGGAAAGCGTTTGCTCTTATATAAATATAGAGGCAGAAAGAGACTGTCTTTCTTCGCACGTATCCAATCCTTTTAGGTATCCAATCCTTTTAATGACTCCAAGTCAAAGGTTGTTTTTTCTCACCAACAAAAAGGATTTGTCAACTACCAGGAATCTGAGAGTTTTCTAATCCTACTGGGGTGGGAAGTTCTAAACATTGTGACATAGACTTTTCTATTTGTATAGAGTCACTCACAGATCCTACACCATGCAATTGTATCATTGCCTCATGGAAAAGAAGACGCTCTTCAACTTTAACATGTTTTTGACACCTGCTAAACACCTGGTAATGCTAGCTTTCTACTCAGGTCTCTTCTCAGCTCTCTTCTCAGCTCTACAGATTATAAATCTTTAATGCTGACAAAGGAGTTATCCTGCTGCTGCCAGAAAGAAGCTACACAAATTTTGCGATGCTGTGAGGCAAGGCACAAATCTCAGAACTGTGGAAAACAGAGAATCTTTCCCTTCTTCAGTTGTGTCTTCTTGCCACAACTTCCATAGAATCGCAGCTGAGAGTCACTGGCAGCTGTAGCCACATCTTCTCTCCAAATCACAGAGAAATAACTGAGCGGGGAATTAAGAGTTGTCTCTGGGTTGCACAAACAATGTCTCAGGAACACGCTGGCCACCACTCTGTATGAGGAATGAGAACTGGAGCGCAGGATATGAATTTTTCTCACCCTCAAAAAACCCAGGAGAGATACCCTCCTAAGGTTTATAGGAAATTTGTTCCTGACCCAAGGGTCAGAGAATAGCTTACTATGAATTTTAATTGGCTCCCAAGTAATTGCTAATTCATCTCTGACTTTGGCAGGAAAAAAAAATTAAATGTTAAAGAAATGAATTTAGCAGGAAGACTTTTTTCCCTTCTTTTCTTTTCTTTTTTATATGAGCACGGTCCTACAGCTGTTGAAGCCTAACAGAGAAGATGGTAAATAAACATGCAGGGCTAGGGGCGTTCATTTGCAGAACTTTCTGCTTGAAGAGGAGCCTGGAAAACTGCAGGACTCATTTGGGATTACAAATCTTTTTTTTTTTTTTTTTTTTTTTTTTTTTTTGAGACAGGGCCTTACTCTGTCACCCAGGCTGGAGTGCAATGGTGCTATCTCAGCTCACTACAACCTCTGCCTCCCAAGTTCAAGTGATTCTCCCACCTCAGCCTCCTGAGTAGCTGGGATTACAGGCACATGCCACCATGCCCAGCTAGTTTTAGTATTTTTAGTAGAGATGGGGTTCTGCCATGTTGGCCAGGCTGGTCTCGAACTCCTGACTTCAGGTGATCCATCCGCCTCGGTATCCCAAAGTGCTGAGATTACAGGCGTGAGCCACTGCGCCGGGCCTGGATTATAAATCTTTAATGCTGACAAAGGAGTTATCCTGCTACTGCCAGAAAGAAGCTACACAAATTTTGTGATGCTGTGAGGCAAGGCACAGTGGGTGCGAGATGCAGAAGGGACAGGACACAGGAGGGCCTGTCCCCACCATGCAAGTCACATGAAACCAAAACCAACCTAACTTGGGTTTGAGAAACTAAAGTCCCAGGTGTTGGACTCACCTCTTGTCCTTGTGGACTTCAGAGGATCCGTCTTTGTCCCTACCCTTTCCTCTCATTTCCTCCCTCCCCAATTTTTTTCCCTGACATTTCTCTGCTCAAACTCACATTTTCTCTTATTTGATGTCTGCTACATATATAACATACAACATGTTTTAAAATGTATAGTTGAATCATCAAACATTGAGCATTCTTTCTGGGAATTTATGCTGCCTGGCAGATAACGTCCATCTGTTCACTCGCCATTCATTGCCAGTCACCTGTGCCCTTGTCTTTCTCTGTTGTGGAGGCTAAAGAGAGAAATTTTCAACTTCCCCAATTGCCCATGGCTAGGTGGAACCCGAGGAGTCTGGTTCCTGCTTAAATCCCATGTGTGGCTGGGCACGGTGGCTCACGACCGTAATCCCAGCACTTTAGGAGGCCGAGGCGGGAGGATCACCTGAGGTCAGGAGTTTGAGACCAGCCTGGCCAATATGGTGAAACCCTGTCTCTACTAAAAATACAAAAATCAGCTTGGGCGTGGTACGGGCGCCTGTAATCCCAGCTACTCGGGAGGTTGAGGCAGAAGGATCGCTTGAACCCGGGAGGCGGAGCTTTCAGTAAGCCAAGATCGCGCCACTGCACTCCAGCCTGGGTGACAGAACGAGACTCCGTCTCCAACAAACAAAAACAAAAACAAAACAACAACAACAACAAAACCAAACCCATGTGTGATTTTTTTCAGGCCTGACCGACTGCTATTCCAGAGGCATCACCCGTCAGGCCTCACCGGAAGGCTGCACAGCCGGTGCCACCTCAGAGAGTCTCTGGCAAGAGGTCAGCCTCCTCTGGCTGCTCCTGCCCTTTTGTGGATCTGCTTTCCTAGTCCAGGTGCTCTGTTCGGAGGGCTCAGGGACCCTTAAGGGAAGACACCTTTCTTCACTCTGACTCAGTACTTTTACACTCTCAGCTTTTTCCCCTCTCACTACCCAACTCCCCAGCCCCTGGTCCACAACCCTTCAGGAAGCCTTTGGTTAGGGGCCCCCTCAAGAGTGAGATGACCCCCACATCTGTGCTGATCCTCCTGACCCTGAACCGTATGGGTGCATTGTTCCAAGGGGAAAATGAAGCAGGAGAGCTCAGCACTCCCTCCAGTGTTAGCCTCTTGCTTGTACTACTGCAGTGCGGGATTAAAGTCTTCGCTATTACTTCCATTTGTGCTTGTTGTAGCTTCAAGTGGCTACTCTAACACCTGACAGCTCAGCTCCCTTCCAGCTCTACTGAGCTCCTGACAGCGCCATGCGATGCAATTTAATCTAAGAGGAATTCAGCCGCATGGTTATACCGGGGCACGGTGGAGAATAAATGACATTCTGCCTTTGTTCTGCCTAAAATACAGGTGTGATGACTGGAGATGCAGAAGCCATTCCATTATATCAACATAACATGATAAGCCAAGACCCTAAAGATGCTGAGAAAAATGGTCAAAAGAGCTTGGGGTTTTTTTGGTTTTTTTGTTTGTTTGTTTTGTTTTTTTTGAGGCAGTGGTCTCACTGTGTTGCCCAAGCTGGTCTCAAACTCCTGGCCTCAGGCTTCAGCCTCTCAAAACTGCTAGGATTACAAGTGTGAGCCACTGCATGAGACTGGGCTGTTTTTTGTTTGGTTTGGTTTTTTTAGAGACAGGGTCTTGCTCTGTCACCCAGGCTAAAATGTAGGGATGTGATCATAGCTCACTGCAGCCTCAACCTCCTTGGCTCAAGTGATCCTCCCACCTCAGCCTCCCAAGTAGCTGGGAATACAGACATGCACTACCACACCCAGCTAATTAAAAAAACAAAGTTTAGTAGAGACGGAGGTCTCCCTATGTTGCCCAGGCTGGTCTCGAACTCCTCACCTCAAGTAATCCTCCTACCTTGGCCTCCCAAATTGTTGGAATTACAAGCGTGAGCCACCATGCCCAGTACTGTCTGGTTTCTTAATAACATTGTTGAGCCATTGCAATAGCCTTGGGATATTGCTCTTTGTACTTTTTCTTATGCAAGAAAAACAGATTCACAAGTTATTTGATGACTCTCTTCCCATCAAAAGGAAAAGTCTAATTCTTTTTCCCTTGATTATGGATCAGCTTGAGCTTGTTGCTTCTAACAAATGGAAGAGAGCAACATGCTGGAGTGATCACATGGAGGAAGCACAAAGGGATACATGCCCAAGGGGCCCCAGCTGTTCCAGCCCCTAGACATTTGAATCTACTCAGGCACCAAGTAAGCAGGTGAATAGCCTTCAGGTGATTGCGGCCCACTCCCAGCTGAAGCCAAGTGGAGCGCAGATGAGCTTCCCCTGCTGAGCCCTGCCCAAATTGCAGATTTGGAAGCAAAATGAATATTGTTTTAAGCCACAAATTTGTGAGTGTTTTGTTACATAGTATAAGGAGCCAGAACAGCTCTACAGATGTAAATTATAGTCAGATATGTTGCTATTTATAACCAAAGCATTCCTAACTTATAAATGTTTCAACATTAATAAGCAGAAGAAAGTGTAATAATCTTATCAAGGTAATACAAGTTACTTGTTTAATATAACCACCTTCATGGCAAGCCTCAATTTCATAACCTAATCACTTTGAGTACAACTTGGACCTAATGGGTAGCTTTTTTTTTTTTTTTTTTTTTGAGACAGGGTCTTGCTCTGTCACCCAGGATGGAGTACAGTGACACAATCATGGCTCAGCACAGTCTCAAACTCCTGGGCTGAAATGATCCTCCTACCTCAGCATCCTGAGTAGCTGGGACTAAAGGCAGGCCCCACTATGCCCAGCTAATTTATAATTTTTTTTTTTTTCTGTAGAGATGGAGCCTTGCTATGTTGCCCAGGCTGATCTTGAGCTCCTGGGCTCAAGCAGTCCTCCAGCTCAACATCCCCAAGTATTGGGATTATAGGCATGAACCACCACTCTTGGCCTCTGTGTAGCATTTTATAGAAAATATAAAGTTGATATTATAAATTTTATATTAACAGATTTCTATAATTAAAAATCTTGGCTAGATTGTTTTTCCTTTACTCTTTTTTTTTGAGATGGAGTTTCACTCTTGTTGCCCAGGCTGGAGTGCAATGGCACCATCTCGGCTCACTTCAACCTCTGCCTCCCGGGTTCAAGTGATTTTCTTGCCTCAGCCTCCTGAGTAGCTGGGATTACAGGCATGCACCACCACGCCTGGCTAATTTTGTATTTTTAGTAGAGATGGGGTTTCTCCATGTTGGTCAGGCTGGTCTCGAACTCCCAACCTCAGGTGATCCGCCCGCCTCAGCCTCCCAAAGTGCTGGGATTACAGGCATGAGCCACCATGCCTGGCCTCCTCTACTCTTTCATTAGTAGAGTTAATATCCATTCATTGCGCACTTGCTATGTGCTAGGTGCTAAGGACACAATAGTGAACAAGATTAATCACCTGAGATCCTTGTCCTAATGAAGCTTACCTTCTGGGGGGGAAAACATGATAAAAATGCAGACAAGTATGTTAATATAATAATTTCAGATCATAATGTGAAGAAATTAGTGTGGGATATGTGGGGGAGATGGGGAATAGATAGTTTTGCTTTAGTTAAAATGTCAGGGAAGGCATCTCTAAAGAAGAAACATCAGAGATGAGACCTGGATGATGAAGGGAGCCAGCCATGGGAAGTTCTGGGGTAGAAGTGCTTCAGACTAAGGGAATAGCCAGTGCAAAGAGCCTGTAGCCAGAATAAGGTTGGTAGAGTCCAGAACAGAAATTAAAAAAAAGTGGGGACAGAGGGTGGGGTGGGGGAGATGGTACTAAGTGAGAGAAGGGGAGCAGACAGGACCCATATCCCTTAGGTCCTTGTAGGCCATAGTAAAGAATCTGGAAGTTATTTCTGTAAGTGCAATGTTAAAGGTACTGACAGGATATGCTTTGCACTTTTAAAAGATCACACTATGGAGAATGGAGTGCAGAGGGGCAAGAGTTGAAGCAAGGAGACCCATTAGAAGGCTGTGGCAGTAATCAAGAAGAGATGATTACGGCTTGATTACACATTGGCAATGGAGGTGGTGAGGAGCTCTGAGATCTGGGATAAATTGAGACAGAGCTTGAAAGAGAGCTGATAGAAATTGCCAATAGAGTGCTGACGGATTTCCACGTCGACTGGAAAGGCAAATTATTAATTTATGTGAATCTCAATGGTTTTGTCATCATTTGAGTGTACCATCCGGTTGTCCCCTGAGCCTACGTGTATGGTATTTGGAGGATAAATAGAAGGAGCACAAGGATGCAGACACTAAGAGTTTAAAGCTGAAGCCAGGCATGTCCTGTGCATTATTTCAAGCAGGTGTTGTTAATTAATGCCCCTCTCTGGCTGTATGGCAACAAGCTGTAGAGCCTCCTTCTGGGGCCATCCCTCTAGCTCTCAGTTCCTTTTGTTCCAAATCAGAGCACTAGGGTTTGAGTTACTTAGGATCTCACATGAATCATTCTTGGGGAACTAGGGGCAGGGTAATGAATGCTACTAATTAGCCTGCTAAGTATCCTCTGTAACTAGAGGATATTTGGTTGCAACTAGAAAGCTGAGGTAATTATCTCTTTATTATGTACGAATCTTATTTACATGAGCCACATGGGCATTTATGACCGATTAGCTCAGATAAATGGACATCCAGGCTAATGACAACATCACAAATTCATTCCCTGTAGAATCCTTCTGTTTTAGGGCTGTAAACTCTATTCCTTGTAGTATGAGGTGGCCAGCAAGTCTGGAAACATAGATAATACTATTTTTATTATGTACGATTTATAACCCATTCATTATGCTTTTCCCTGTGTTTCAAGAATTTGGTGGCCACCCTGGAGACACTTCTTGGGGTATCTTTACCAAAACTCAACATACCAGCTCTCAAACCATTCTACCTTTCTGAGACGCACCCCATCCACAGAAGTGGGCTTCCAGGGACTCTGCCCATGTGAGTGACTCACCTAGCTGGCCTCAGGTGATTGGACAGAGCTGAACACTTGTTTCAAGCAGGGCCAATCAGATTCCTTCTCCCAGAAGGAAGAAATGGAGAGACAGGCACACGGTCTCTGTGAATGAGAGAACAATCACCTCTAAACTTGTTGCTGTGGTTCAGCCATATTCAGCCTTGTGGATAAAGAAGCAGAGAAAGCAGGACTCTAGTGTCAGAGAATGAGCTAGATGTGCAAAAAAAGTGGAGGAAAGATGAACCAAGGGTGCATCTTGGGAATGCGGATGCTTTTTCGTTCTCAACTTTGCCCTTCCTAAGGTCTGGCTGTACTCCTGCGTTTGGTTCCTCAACACACTTTTGTATATGTATACCAAATTCCCCCTTTGTGCCTAAGTGGAGTCCTTTTGGTTTCTGTCACTTGCCGCCCAAGAGTCTTAACTAATATGACTTTAGATCTTGTCCACACTCTCCCCAGGGAATTCCATTGGTCATAAGGGTCAGGAAGGAATACATAGATAAGTATGAATCCATTGTCACTGAAGTGGAAACAATTTAAGAGCAGTCTCTTCTAGAATGATACCAATACTATCATCTGTAAACACAAATGCCAGTTGCATCCCGTCCTGCAGAGCAAGGAAAAATCCTCTTTCTATTCCAGAATTGACTTTTTTCTATTAGAAAAGAGTTTCCCTAAGGTACTGACAGAAGAATCTGCTCTTTGAAAAACAATTTCAAATCCTTATACGCCAGCAGATCTGCACTAAATGAAAAGTTGCCCTCAGATATCCATGGCTGCAATGTCCTCAGAAATTGTTTGCACCGTCCTTTACCAAAACGAACTCTATCAAGTATAACCAAATAGACTTGCTTTCCCGGTCTTGGTTCTATGTACAATGCCACCAAACTGCATTTTATTTGATGAAAAAGGTGATGTTTCCAGTTTCAAATGGTTAGCAAAAAGTAGGGGAATTAAGGCTTCTTATTTTAGTGTAATGTGCCTTCTTGTGTTTAGATGGTAACTTCATAAGGGCGAGCAAAGAGTATCCCCCCAAAATGGTAAAATACTTTAAATATAACAAGAAACACAAGACATAAGGAAAGTAAAAGTCTAGGCTGGGCACAGTGACTCACACCTATAATCCCAGCACTTTGGGAGGCTGAGGCAGGAGGATCACTTGAAGTCAGAAGTTGGAGTCCATCCGGGGCAACATAGCGAGACCCCATCTCTACAAAAATAAAAAATTAGCTGGGTGTGGTCACATGCAACTTTTGTCCTAGCTGGTTGGGACCCTAAGGCAGGAGGATCTCTCGAGCCCAGGAGTTCAAGTTTGCAGTGAGCTATGATCGCACCACTGCACTCCAGCCTGGGCAACAGAGCTAAACTCTGTCTCCAAAAATAAATAAATAAGCTATATTTTTTAAACAAGAAAAAAATTAAAAAGGCTAACAACCCAAATAGCACAACCAGAGGCAGTGGGTGTGGGGCAGATCAGTAGGCAAATTCCTTGAGGGCAAGGGCCCTTTGCCCCAGAGCCAAGCACTTTGCCTGGAATAGAACAGGAAATAAATGTTTACAGAGTAAACCGATTGTATGAACACATGATTGAAAGTATTGATAAAATGAAAGCCAGAAAACTATATTACCCATTGCTAATAGGACACAAATTGGTTGCTGTCAAATTTAAAGTATTAAATACTCTTGAATTTGTCCACGCAATTGAATCTGATATAGCCTCTGGATATAAAAAGTAAGATTCTAAAAGCTCATCAGGCTCCCCTAGTTACTGCTTTTTTTTTTTTTTTTTTTTTGAGATGGCATTTCGCTCTGTCGCCCAGGCTGGAGTGCAATGGCGAGATCTCGGCTCACTGCAACCTCCACCTCCCGGGTTCAACCGATTCTCCTGCCTCAGCCTCCCAAGTAGCTGGGATTACAGGCGTGCTCAAGTGATCCGCCCGCCTCCGCCTCCCAAAGTGCTGGGATTACAGGTGTGAGCCACTGCGCCTGGCCGCTGCTCTTATACTATTTTGAATGTAGGCCGGCCGTAGTGGCTCACACCTGTAATCTCAGCACTTTGGGAGGCCGAGGCAGGTGGATCACCTGAGGTCAGAAGTTTGAGGCTGGTTTTAGTAGAGACGAAACCCCGTCTCTACTAAAAATACAAAAATTAGCTGGGTGTGGTGGTGGGCACCTGTAATCTCAGCTACTCAGGAGGCCAAGGCAGGAGAATCTCTTGAACCTGGGAGGCAGAGGTTGCAGTGAGCTTTGATCATGCCATTGCACTCCAGCCTGGGTGACAGAGCGAAACTCCATCTCAAAAAAAATTTTTTTTAAAGAATATAGATATAAGCCACAACCCGAGGACCCCAACCTCCCCACTGCATATGTGAATAGGGAGTTCACTATGAACTCTTTCTACGTGACCACTCTTGAGACCTTAATGGCTGCTGTACTTGGGCTGCCGAACTCCATAAAGGACAAGACTGAAAGATTCACCTCCGACCTGGTGTTTGCAGCCTGAGGCCAGTCCTGTCACAGGTCACAGGGAATCACTGCCACCCGTTTTAATTACAGTCTCTGGAAGAAGAGGCCAAACCCCTTCTGATTTGCAGAAAGCCTGGTTTCTTTATCTTATTAACAACAACATATCCCAGCGCTCCAGTGATTACAGACCCATTCCTGAAGCAATCAAATTGCCTATTTGAAAGAAAGACTATTTCCTTTCCCTAATGAATGTGAACAGTCCCCCAGAGCCTGAAGGTATGGCTATGAATGCCCCACTGTAACAATGAAAAACTATTATAAATAAATGACACAGAGCTGCTCTGTTCTTAAAAATCACCACATGATCAATTTGAGAGACATGCATGAAGATGGGACTCAGGAGATTTTGTTTTAATTATTCTGCCCGAAGGAAAACAATACTTTGCTCTTTGCTGGCACCGCTGTACAGAGAAGCTTAAAGAGACTTTGAAAACATGATCCTGTTCATCCTTCTCAAATCACAGGCAGACACAGTTGCCCTCATTTTTTGAAAGGGGAAACTGAGGTGTAGACAAATGAGTGTTTTCTGTGTTTAGCAGGCTATTTAAAGACTCATATATCATCATATCCAACATGTTTTTATGTCTCTCCCCTACTCAGCTGTTCTGATCATTGTATTTGAAAACTCACCAAAAAGGGGAGAAATTAACAAAAGGCTATAGAGAAGGTGAGCTTTTACTTTTATAAGCTGCCAACTTCTTAAAATAATTTTAAAATGAGGTGTGTGCACGTGTGCCTGTGTGTGCATGTGTGCGCACACACATACATACACATGTTTGAGTATGCCTTGGTATTGGGGTCAGGAAATAGTAAGGATAGAAAGATAGGAAGAAGTGAGGGCACTTCATTGCAGCCACCAAACCCAGGAGTACCTGCCCCTCCCCGAAGGCTGCAGCCTATTAGCCAGAGGGCCTGGGATATAGCCAGCGACTGGGGCTGGATTAGCGAGGTTGATGAAAAATTATGTACTTTATAGTTCTGTCAGACCAGGGTACCCTTGGAATAAAATCTTTTAGAATTTGAAAAAATATCCACTTACTAGTGAATACAGGACCCCCATCTGAGACCTACTGCTGCCCAGGATGGCAGTTTATAATTAATATTTCATCAGGGGTCAAACTGCAGACCACCAAGAAGACCCTGTGAGACTGTATTGAAAAATCAACTTGTTACCCTTTGCCATTTTTTAAAAAAGAAAAAAGTGAATCCATTTGAAATTCATAGATAGGAGTCTGCGACTGCAAAATGTCCAATAAGATTAACTAAAAATTCCTCAGGAGCCTGAATATTTATATTTCCAGGGATTCTTTACTGTAGTATCAGTACTTCTTAGAAGGGTTTGTTGTTTGTGGATGGCAAGTGCCTTTGCACTGCTTCTTTGTACAATTCTTAGCCACATGACTTTCCTCAGGAGTTGACAGAATCCCCCACCCCCCCAAAAAAATTCAGAGGAGCCTTATTTTTGCTTACTTTTAAAGGAAGAGAACACAAGTTATTTTAAAAGGTTTCTGGAATTTGGCTATCTAGATGGTTTGACAGTGTTAAGTGAATCAACTAATCACATTGACCAAATCACTGGCTAATTCAGTAAAGCAATCAGCTTAACTAATTGTCCAACTGATGATCAAATCAATGAACCGGTCTTGTTTTGGATCTTTTGTTTTTCGTTTGCTTTGTTCTTGACATTGGGTAGGCACAGCTCAAGTTGTGCAAGCCAGACATTCTCACCAATACTTATAGGAAAGAAGTGGACAATATACTTAAAAATGTGAGAATCCGTATGGAAAACAGAACTTCATTAAAGAATTAGATGGAATTAAATGGGTTAAGCTCATCAGAAAAAAAAAAAAAATTAAAGGAAAAGGCTATTCTTACCAGGGAATGAAGTCTCTGCAGAAATTGATTATGTAGAGAGTCCCTTTGGGTCTTGGAACAATTAGCTCTCAGAAAATTAGAGGATAGCCTTTGGCTTCTGGGGATTCGAATGTAACAGGTGTCTGCTGTCCCTTAGGAAATTCTTCACTCCTTCTAGCTGCTCATTTTTTGGCTGCCTGCCCCTGCAGGGTAAACCCAAACCCCTGAGAGTTAAAGATTTTGAGTCATAGAGAACCTGAATAATTGGATTCTCGGAGGGCATTACTTTTGCAAGATTCCGCCACAGATGTACTTCTGGGGTGTTTTCTGTGATAGAAAAAAGAAATCCCTTCTCCTACTGAGAAAAGACAACAACTAAGAGGCCGTATTTCCTACAGTGGGTAACGGAGAGGAGACAATATTTGTTTCTGTCCCTGTACTAACCTCATTCTTAGGACAGCATGAACACTGGGGGAGGTGACTAGGCCTCCGTCTTTCAGATACCTGAGAAAAGTGAAACGTGATCTCTGTGGTGATTCAGGTAGAGTTATTAGGCATGGACAGAAAGCAGGGAGTGCACAGATGCCTTTGTGCAAAGGAGAGTGATTTTCTCATTTTACCTGCTGAGAAAGAGTAGAGGTATTTATGCCAGGATGGGTGTTATTAAACAGATGAAGGACAATCTGACAGAGTTAATTAAGGATCTTGAGTGTCAGGATCCAGAGAAAGAGATATCTCGTGTAGGAGGCAGGTATGGGAAAGGTAAGTCCGCAAGGGAGGGTGAGTGCTTTTCCCACAAAGGGGAGGCAGCACATTCTTGCTTCAGGGTGAAGGATACAACACATTCTGAAATGAGGTTTGGAATATTGTGTATTTTTAGCTGCTGCTGTGAAAATTCCTCCTAAGGAGAGAGCCATCTTTGGGGAAATTGCCTCTCCAAGTCTCCCTGGGTAGGGGCTGAGCCTCCAGGGTTTGGCTAGGCCAAGGCCCAGCTCTCAGAGGCCAGGGTGAGGTAAGGCTGCCTGTAGAGGATGGAACCTGGGAAGAAGGGGAAGAAAGAGATAGAAAAAGGCTTCCAGAGGGACCTGGGTATGAAATGACTGGGTCTACGCGGGATGTGACTCCTCTCTCTGGCTCTTCAAATCTTCATAATAATCAAACTGACAACATGTTTGGTGGAAATAGATTTTTTTTTTTTAAACCAGTGAAGTTGGGCCCCTAGAGTAGAACAGAGATACAATGTGTGGAAGTAGGGTCTGGAGCAGAGGACCTCTAAAACCACTATGTCTGTGCTAGGGACACAGGAACCATAGTGGGCCCCACCCAATATCTGAGTTTCAGAGTAAAACAAAATGAGGCTTTGAGTGTGCTGTATTTTAATATGTGGTTGCAGAGATCAACACGCAGCAGGAGAACCACTTTGCAATATAAAAATCTGTCTCCAGGCTGGGCGTGGCGGCTCACGCCTGTAATCCCAGTGAGAGGTGACAGCGTGCTGGCAGTCCTCAAAACCCTCGCTTGCTCTCGGCGCCTCCTCTGCCTGGGTTCCCACTTTGGCCGCACTTGAGGAGCCCTTCGGCCTGCCGCTGCACTGTGGGAGCCCCTTTCTGGGCTGGCCAAGGCCAGAGCCGGCTCCCTCAGCTTGCAGGGAGGTGTGGAGGGAGAGGCACGAGCGGGAACCAGGGCTGTGCGCAGCGCTTGCGGGCCAGCTGGAGTTCCGGGTGGGCGTGGGCTTGGCTGGCCCTGCACTCTGAGCGGCCAGCTGGCCCTGCCGGCCCCGGGCAGTGAGGGGCTTAGCACCCGGGCCAGCGGCTGCGGAGGGTGTACTGGGTCCCCCAGCAGTGCCAGCCGACCGGCGCTGTGCTCGATTTCTCACCCAGCCTTAGCTGCCTTCCCGCGGGGCAGGGCTCGGGACCTGCAGCCCACCATGCCTGAGCCTCCCACCCACTCCATGGGCTCCTGTGCGGCCCGAGCCTCCCTGACGAGCACCACCCCCTGCTCCATGGCGCCCAGTCCCATCGACCACCCAAGGGCTGAGGAATGCGAGCGCACGCGCAGGACTGGCAGGCAGCTCCACCTGCAGCCCGGATGTGGGATCCACTAGGTGAAGCCAGCTGGGCTCCTGAGTCTGGTGGGGATGTGGACAGTCTTTATGTCTAGCTCAGGGATTGTAAATACACCAATCAGCACCCTGTGTTTAGCTCAAGGTTTGTGAGTGCACCAATGGACACTCTGTTATCTAGCTGCTCTGGTGGGGCCTTGGAGAACCTTTATGTCTAGCTCAGGGATTGTAAACACACCAATCAGCACCCTGTGTCTAGCTCAGGGTTTGTGAGTGCACCAATCGACACTCTGTATCTAGCTGCTCTGGTGGGGCCTTGGAGAACCTTTATGTCTAGCTCAGGGATTGTAAATACACCAATCAGCACTCTGTATCTAGCTCAAGGTTTGTAAACACACCAATCAGCACCCTGTGTTTAGCTCAAGGTTTGTGAATGCACCAATCGACACTCTGTATCTAGCTGCTCTGCTGGGGCCTTGGAGAACCTTTGTGTCCATACTCTGTATCTAACTAATCTGATGGGGACGTGGAGAACCTTTGTATCTAGCCCAGGGATTGTAAATGCACCAATCAGCACCCTGTCAAAACAGGCCACTCGGCTCTACCAATCAGCAGGATGTGGGTGGGGCCAGATAAGAGACTAAAAGCAGGCTGCCCGAGCCAGCATTGGTAACCCGCTTGGATCCCCTTCCACACTGTGGAAGCATTGTTTTTTCACTCTGCAATGAATCTTGCTACTGCTCACTCTTTGGGTCCACGCTGCTTTTATGAGCTGTAACACTCACCGCGAAGATCTGCAGCTTCACTCCTGAGCCCAGGGAGACCATGAGCCCACCGGGATGAATGAACAACCCCAGACGTGCTGCCTTAAGAGCTGTAACACTCACCGTGAAGGTCTGCAGCTTCACTCCTGAGCCAGCGAGACCACGAACCCACCAGAAGGAAGAAACTCTGAACACATCTGAACATCAGAAGGGACAGACTCCAGACGCGCCACCTTAAGAGCTGTAACACTCACCACGAGGGTCCGCGGCTTCATTCTTGAAGTCAGTGAGACCAAGAACCCACCAATTCCGGACACACCAGCACTCTGGGAGGCCAAGGTGGGAGGATCACCTGAGGTCAGGAGTGCGAGACCAGCCTGGCCAACATGGTAAACCCCGTTTCTACTACTAAAAATACCAAAATTAGTGGGGCTTGGTGGCGGGTGCCTGTAATCCCAGCTACTTCGGAGGCTGAGGCAGGAGAATCACTTGAACCTGGGAGGCAGAGGCTGCAGTGAGCCACTGCATTCCAGCCTGGGCAACAAGAGCAAAACTCTGTCTCAAAAAAAAAAAAAAAATCTTGAGTGGTGATTCTTACTTAAGTGCACACATTGGCACTTCTTTATTTTGAGGGAACTGTGGTAGTATCTATCAAAACTTAAACTAGGAACAACCTCCAACTCAATAACTGCCTTATAGAAACACTCAAATATGTGTATACTTCAAGGAAACTGCCTTATAGAAATGCTCAAATATGTGTACAAACACATAAGTGCAAGGAAGTTGTTTTGAAGCATAAATTGTAAGAGCAAAACCTTGGAAATAACCTGATTGTCCATAAATAGGGAAATAGTCAAACTGATTATTATACGATTATGTAATCTTCAGTATACTAATTTTTTTTTAATTGGGGCAAAATTCACATAACATAAAATTAACCACAAACCATTTTTAAGTGTACAATTTAGTGGCATTTAATACATTCATAGTGTGCAACTGAGACAGCCAAATGCTTAGGCAGATAAGAAGGGGTCCCCAGAGAATCTCCAACCTGCCCCACAAGTGTTTACATCGGATGCTTTCGTGCAGATGAGGGACTCTGCCCAAAGCTTTGTCTGGGCATGCCCACAGTGGACTGGAGCTCCACATGCGCACTGGGGGAAGTGGGTGGAGCCATGGGGAATTGGCACCCTACACAGGGGAGGAGCCTGCTCTCCCAGGTTCCTGTGTGGTGGCCAGGGATTCAGTCTGTGAGGTGGACGGCATGTTACAGGTCTCCATCTCACTTTGCTGAGTGTTTTTTTTTTCTTTTTTTCCTTTTTGCCCAATAAAGTCCTGCTCTACTCACCCTTCAATGTGTCCGTGTGCCTAAATTTTCCTGGTCGTGTGACAAGAACCTGAGATTTAGCTGAACTAAGGAGTAAGGTTCTACAATACAACCATCACCTCTCTTTAATTCCAGGACGGTGTTATCACTCCAAAAGGGAGCCTCATACACATTAAGCAGTCACTCCTCATCACCCTTGAGAAATGATTTCTTGAATTTTTGAGACAGGGTCTTGCTTTGTTGCCCAGGCTGGAGTGCAGTGGTGCAATGATGGCTTACTGCAGCCTCAATCGTTCAGGCTGAAGCGATCCTCCCACTTCAGCCTCCCAGAGTAGCTGGTATTACAGGTGTGTATCACCATGCCCAGCTAATTTATCAATTTTTTGTACAGATAGGGTCTTACTATGTTGTCCAAGCTGGTCTTGAACTCCTGGCCTCAAGCCAGGAGTTTCCCAAAGTGCTAGGACTACAGGTGTGAGCCACCATACCTGGCTGAGAAAAGATTTTAAATGTCAGAATAGTATGAACAGTGTCACCCTATATATGTATGAAAACCCTCTAAACTATGTCCTATGTTTCCGTCTACTGACAGAGGCATTGCAGAATAGTGGTTCTAGGCAGAGCTCCAGAACCAGGCCGCCTGGCTTTCAAATCCTGGCCCTGACACAGACCAGCTGTGCATCACTGGGGGTGTGTTTAGCCTATCTGTGCCTCTGTTTCCACAGGTGTAAATTGGGCATAGTTGTGAAGAGGAAATCAGTAAGGACAAGCCTAATACAGTCACTGTTTAGTATACTTACTTCTGTGTTTGAAGTTTTCTTTTTAAAGTCAAAATCATGGGCAAATAAACCTATTGCCAGTGTAGAACACACATTCCTAGACTACTCCCTTTCAGGACACCAGGTGAGGGCTACCCCCCATCAGTGCTTGCCTCTTGCTTAAAGCTAAGGCTGCAGGGAGGATGCATATTTTCACGCCAGCACAGAGCACACTTTAAATCTCCTCAACAGCGTGGCAGAAATGCAGGCTTTAAAGAGCAACAAAATCCTGACTGACAAGATTCAAGGGAAGTACCTGATCAGGGAAGTACAAGTACAAGATTCAGGGAAGTAACTGAAAAATGTAAGTTTTAAGACTTACATTTGACTCAAGGGCCAGCAGGCATTTCAGACAGCAAGAGGGAGGGTCTCTGTGAAGGTGAGATACCCAAAGAAGAAGGAACAGAGGGAAGAAGGAAGGAAAAGGAAGAAGGAAGAGGGGAAGGAATGGAGAAAAGAAGAAAAGGAAGAAGGGAGAGAAGGAGGAAGGAAGGAGAAAGGAAGGGAGGAAGGAAGAAGGAAAGAAGGGAAGGAGGAAAGGGAGAAGAAAGGGAGGAACAAAGGAAGAGGGTAAGAAAAAGGAAGAAAGGAAAGAGGAGAGAGAGGGAATAAGGAAGGAAGAGGAAAAGAAAAAAGGGTTAAAAAATAAGTTAGGATGAAGGAAAGGAAGAAAAGAGAAGGTGAGGAAGTACAAGGAAACAGGTGAGCCCCAGCCCTGCTGTGATTTCAGTTCTCAGATCTAAAGTGTTCAAGTAAAAACAAAGCACAGGCATAGCCTTCTTTTTTTTTTTTTTTCTAGATGGAGTCTCGCTCTGTCACCCAGGCTGGAGTGCAGTGGTGCGATCTCAGCTCACTGCAACCTCTGCCTCCCGGGTTCAAGCGATTCTTCTGCCTCAGTCTCCAGAGTAGCTGGGACTACAGGTGTGCGCCACCACACCTGGCTAATTTTTTGTATTTTTAGTATTTTTAGTAGAGATGGGGTTTCACCATATAGGCCAGGCTGGTCTCGAACTCCTGACCTCGTGATCTGCCTGCCTCAGCTTCCTCAAGTGCTGGGATTACAGGCATGAGCCACCGCGCCTGGCCAGCACAGGCAAAGCCTTTCAACCAAAAAATCAAGGGAGAACTAAGAGAAGTATTTGCGATTTCAATTTTTTTCTACTGAGTCCTAATCTAAATGGAGGTCAGAAACTGGACAATACAAAGCTGCCATGCGTCAAGGATGGAACAAGCACAGCCGCGGCCAAGCTCGCACATTCCTAGGTGCTTTCCAGGATGCCCCTCCAGGGTGCGTGCGGTGGCCTCCAGGATGCCCCTCCAGGGTGCGTGCGGTGGCCTCCAGGATGCCCCTCCAGGGTGCGTGTGGTGGCCTCCAGGATGCCCCTCCAGGGTGCGTGCGGTGTCCCAGCCCCCAGAGGTGCCTGCGGAAACTGTTGCAAGGGTGATCCCCTGATAAACCTTTCACTTTGTTTCTGAATCGGAACACAGCCCCAAGCGGACTTGGGGCTGCTGGGCTGCCAGGGGTTTTTAAATATTTAACAAGGTTTGGAGGCAGTGAGCACAAAGCTCAGGTCCACCCAATTTCTTAGCAGAAGGTGGAAATGCAAGTATGGAATTGTCTTGCAGAAAAACGCAGTTTTGAACTTCTGTCTTTTCAAAGACAATATTTTAAAACTCAAATGCTACGAAACTACCAGATAATGAGGTAGTTAGATGGAATTTTGCTAGCATATATTTGCAAATATTTTAAGAATGCTTTGTATGCTTCTGTTGACTTAATGAAGTGATTGAAAAGGGTTAAGCCGTGTTTGGTATCTTCAAAATGGCGATTTTGCTTCTGATAACTTTCCGGAAAAATTAAAGGTGTTGTGAAGGATAAATTATAGTTTGATTTGAGTCGTCTTGTTAAAACGTCATTCCTCTTTCTCAGCAACCTACTTCCCGTCTTATTAAGCCAGTTGACTAGATAGGTCTAGGCAATTATGACGATGATTTACTATCTTCATGCTCCATTGTCACTGGGAGCCAAGGGATGGGGGAAGGGAATTCACATTCCCATCTTACGTGTCTCTTGGAGGGACAATCAAGTCCTCAGCTGTAGCGTTAAACACAGCAATAGAAAGCAGAGACACAGTAAAGCATTTTCACTGCTCTTATGAGCTGAGATATAAAATGAGATTTATTTGCAACAATCTGATAGAGAAAATTGAGTCCTGAGAATTGATGTCCTAGAAAGGCTTTCAAGTCAGCCAGGAGTTACTACAGGACGTGAGTCACACAGCAAAATATCAAAGAGTTGGAGGAGAAAAAAAATTGAGCTTTGACATTTTCTGCAGCCGCTGTTAAAGAAATTGACCAATGTGTACAATACGAATTATGGTCACAATTACAATCTTCTCCGATCCAGTCTTTCCTAACAGTTGGATACCTTGGATCCTTAGATTGATGTCATCATTCAGCTTTTTGCTTTTTTAAAATATTCAGTTCTACTGCAGATGGGATGCTAAATAAACAAACCCCCTAAATGGCTCTCTCCTTTCCCCCCAGAGGTTTAATCCTTATAAATAACTCCGAATAATTGTGATGTATCTTCTGGCATTTCACATATTCTGAAAATTACCATTGAAATTTGAATTTAATCATATAATAACCCCCAAATATATTTTAAACTGAGAGTATAAACTAGAAGTTTTGGTGTAATCTCATTTACTCAGGAATTCATTTAGTGGCCACTATTTGTCATGATTTTAATGTGGGTCTGACATTGGTAGGTCATGTTCGGAGTGAAGATATCTGCAGTTTTTCAATTTGCATAATCCAGTTAGTGCTTCCAGAATGTCTTCCATGTCTCTTCATGTTTGCAAATTACCAGAGGTCACAGGTAAAATTTTAAAACGTGAGAGTTGTTCATGAACATACTCGGGCTTTGTCAAAATCAGGATATCTCCCTTCCCTTTGTAGTTTACTTTTTTTTTTTTTTTTTTTTTTTGATAAGTAATGGGTCTGAAGCTTCAGGACACAAGATGACCAAAACCAGTTTTTCTGCTGGGCCCTCTGAATTCTACCCAAGATAATGCTACACATTTATATAACGCCCACACCTGCTTATGCTGCAGTAATTCTTTCAAAAGTTCTAGCAATTTGGACTCCTCTTTTTATTTAATTTGGGGATTTAGTCGCTAATCTACAGTTACTTCTAGAAATAAGCAGATGACTGCTTCAAAAAGCAAAAACTTTCTGACACCTTTTATTACCCTCTAGATGAAAATGAGGACGGTAATAACTTTCAAAGGTAACTGATACACTCAATGGTGGCTCACCACCTCATTTCAGACAACCAGGGGGGCTCAGTGCACAGCTGCTCTTTTATTCTCTTCCAAGAGAGTTTGTGTAAGAACTTTGCAAGCATTTCCTTTACAATTTGTCTTTCTGGGAAAATTGCATATGGCGTTGGTATAACTTGCTTAATAGTCACAATTTATTAATTTCATCATTTTTTCTCAAGAGAGGTAGAAAAAAATGACTAATCGTGTGGTGGGTGACAGAGAGTCTTTCTTTGGACCATAAAAGGTAACTGGATCAAGTCCCCAAACAATGTTACTGACTTAAAAATTCACATCTGCACTGTATTTATAGTTACCTTATTTTTTGACCCATTGCTTATGCTTGAACAAGACTCTTTTTTTTTTCTTTGAGACAGAGTCTTGCTCTGTCACCCAGGCTGTAATACAGTGGCACAATCACGGCTCACTGCAGCCTCCATCTGCAGCCTCCATCTCCTGGTCTCAAGCAATCCTCCCACCTCAGCCTCCCTAGTTGCTGGGACCACAGGCTCATGCCACCATGCCCAGCTAAAAAACAAAACTCCCCGCGCCGCCTCACCAAAAAAACAAAACAAAACAAGGCTCTTAAGTTCAATTTTCTAAGTAAAAATTTGTGAAACTATTTTTGTTGTTTCATTACCATTCGTTTCTAAGACCAAAGGATACATATTGTTCTCTGCTTTCTTCTCCCTAAAGCCAAACTTTTTTTTTCTTTCTTTCTATGGTTACGTCACGTTAATTTTTTTTTTTTGAGACGGAGTCTCGCTCTGTCACCCAAGCCGGAGTGCAGTCACACAGTCTCAGCTCACTAAAAGCTCCGCCTCCTGGGTTCAAGCGACTTTCCTGCCTCAGCCTCCTGAGTAGCTGGGGCTTCAGGTGTGTGCCACTACACCCAGCTAATTTTTGTATTTTTAGTAGAGACAGGGTTTTACTATGTTAGCCAGGCTGCTCTTGAACTCCTGACCTCATGATCCGCCCCCCTCCACCTCCCAAAGTGCTGGGATTACAGGCATGAGCCACCACGCCCGGCCATGTCACGTAAATTTTAATGAGACGAAATATCTATCAAGCTTAAAATCATATGAGAAATTTGAAGGAAAATGATTGTAGATTTTATTCGGAAAAGATACTCTGAGTCATCAGTTATTCCTTTTTTTCTGATTATTAAGGCTGATAAAAAAAAACCTCTTTATTTTGAAATATGTATGGGCTCACAGAAAGCTGCAACACTTAACACATAGAGTTCCATGTGGTGACATCTTATATAACCATAGTACCATATTAAAACCAGTAAACTGGCGTGGAATAACACTAGTAACTAGAGTATAGACCTTACTCTGCATTCTCCAGTTTTTACATGCACTCATGTGTGTGTGTATTTATAGTTCTATGCAATTTGACCCCAGTTATAGATCAGTACATAATTACTGTTGTAGCTAACACAACAATTAGGATACAGAATTGTTCCATCAGCACAAAGGAACTCCCTCATTCTACCCCTTTGCATCCTCCCTCTGTCCGCTGTTCATAATCCCTGGCCACCACTAATCTGTTCTCCATCTCTACACTTTTGTCATTTCCAGGATGTTCTATAAATGGAGTCATACAGTATGTAACCTTTTGACATTGACTTTTTCACCCAGCATAATGTCCTTAAGACCCACCCAGTTTGTCGCATGTATCCATAGTTTATTCCTTTGCGTGGCTGAATAGTATTCCACCGTATGGATATGCCAGAGTTTGCTTAACCATTTGCCCTTTGAAAGACATTTGGATTGTTCACAGTTTTTTTGCTATTACAAATAAAGCTACTATCAGCATTCATATACAGACTTATTCTCTGTGTATATGAGCATAAGTTTTCATTTCTCTGGGATAAATGCCCAAGAGGATATGATTGCTAGGTTATGTGGCAAATGCAGATTTAGTTTTATGAAAAACTGTCAAGAAATTTTCCAGAGTAGATGTACATTTTAAACTTCCACCAGCAGTATAGGAGGGGTCCAGTTTTCCCACATCCTCGCCAGTAACAAACTTTTTAGATGAGTAAGTGAACATGAAAACATTGTGAGATGACAAAGGCCACATATAGACTGGGCAAAGTATGTGAAAGGAGATATTTGGCTTGTATATGATCCTCAGACCACTTTTTCAGGAGAGATGGCAGCAACATTTGCTGTAATATAAATTTCCCCTGCTTTTATCAGCCTGTAGCCATGAATCAGCAGTGGCTTCAAGTGTTAGAAAACTCAACTACAGCCATTTAAGCACATGGGGCTATTTTCCTCACAGAACAAGAGATGCAGAAATCAGCGACTGCGGAGGCTTAAAGATGATGGCTGCTGCTGCTGTTGCTTCAGGAATCATGTTCACATTCCTCCAGGAAGAAGACAGAAGGAGAAAAGGCAGTGTTTCTATCACAGAAAAAAAAATTGTTTTTTTTTTTTTTTCAGGAACACCACTAGTGTTCTGTTTTGGTCATGTTGCCCAGAACACTGCCTCAGATCCCCTCATGGCTGGAACAACATGGTAGGGAGAAGGGCCTTGGAATGCTGACTGGGTCAGGAATTCACTATTATCTGCCACAGGGGACCGTCAACATTAATGGTCAACCTTTGCCAGCTTAAGGCTTCCCCCAGTGATGCATGGCCTCATCTTATTGTAATGTCCTCCATCGTAAAGCATTTCTGGGTATTTCTATGGGGTATCTCACTTGTGCTTATAAGCAAAGTCCGGTCCCACTGCTCAACACCATTGTTCTCTGCAGGTCCTTGTGAGGTACAATGTTATCTGCAGGGCCCTCCCCTCCCCTAAGCTTCCGCCCTGGTCCTCTGGTTGTCACCATGGAGGAACTAGAAAGTTCACGCAGTTGGGGCTGCATTCCTTGCCAAAGTGGGGAGAGAGCTCTCCCCCCTGCTTTGGGCACTCTTTGTCATGCTCTGTGCCATGCGTTTCATGACTACCTTTCTGAACCCATTTCCTCACTTGAGCTTATGAACGTTCACTCTTCATTGGTTCATACATTGTCCATGGGGCTGGACAGGTGACCAGACACAAGGCCATCCGTTCCACTGATAATGTCTTTCTCATTCTTACATTCCCACAAAAGTACAACCTAACATGCCATTTCTTCTTTTCTTTTTTTTCTTTCTTTCTCCTTTCTTTCTTTCTTTCTCTCTCCTTCCTTCCTTCTCTCTCTTTCTTTCTTCTTCCTTTCTCTCTCTCTCTCCTTCCTTCCTTCTTTCTCTCTTTCTTTCTTTCTTTCTCTCTCTCTCTCTCTCCTTCCTTCGTTTCTTTTTATTTTTCTTTCTTTCTTTTTTTGAGATAGTCTTGCTCTGTCACCCAGGCTGGAGTGCAGTGATGCAATCTTGGCTCACCACAGCCTTGATCTCCTGGGCTCAAGCAATCCTCCCACCTCAGACTCTTGGGTAGTTAGTACTACAGGCGCCACCACACCCAGCTAATTTTGGTAGAGACGGGATCTCCCTATGTTGGCCTGGCTGGTCTTGAACTCCTGGGCTCAAGCAATCTGCCCGCCTCAGCCTCCCAAAGTGCTGGGATTATAGGCATGAGCCACCGTGCCTGGCCTAGCATGCTCTTTGCGTGGCAAACCAGCTCATGCAAATAAACAGCTGTGTAGGGGACTTCGCCAGCCTCACCTGTCCAGACGTGAATCTCAGTGTAAGCTAAGAAAAGACCAACTGTGCACACTGTCTTCCTATTGGATCGCCTGTGTGAATTCAGTTGGTCTGACTGAATCACTAACTCCGTCCTCCCTCACTGCTCACTGTTTCTTTCCCTGGTGTTTGTTTATGTTACAATTAAAAATGACTGTTTTCCAATCAAGGATGTAGACCCAGTTAGAGCTTCTTTAGATTCCAGTGGGACAAAGGAAGCTCCCTGTTTTATACTTGGTCTTACCCAAAAGGACAAGAAGTGATCCCTCCTCTTTTCATTGCTGCCTTTTTGGCTTAGCGCATGCAACAGCAGTTGGGATGTGTGTTAGTTACCACGAAAATGCCAGTTGCTATAACAAAGAACCTGATAGAACAGAGATTTAAGCAAGAGAGAAGTTTATTCTCTCTCAGGTCTCAAAGCTGATATGGGACCTCTACCATGTCAAACATCCAGCCACCCATGCTGTTGTTACTCTGCCATACTCAACACACAGCTCCAATCCCTGTGTCCAGTATGGCTGCTCTGGCTCTCACCATCATGTCTATAACTAGCCAGCAAGAAGGTGGAAAGTAGAATAGAAGGAAATATTTTTTTCCTTTTATGGGCATGACCAGGAAGTTCCCACACAATTTTTGCTTAAATCCTGTTAACCTGACTTTAGAAGCATGGCCCTACTTAGCTGTAAGGGAGGTGAGGCTGGGAAGTATGGTCTTTATTCTGGATATTCTGTTATCACAACAGAATTATACACTTTCAGCATCTAGCAGAATCAGGTACAATGTCCTCTAGATTTGGGGCCAGACAGGAATGCTACAATTTTGGGTGGTGGTTCTCAACCAGGGCAATTTTGCTCCCCTCTACCCCACTCCGCCCCCATCCCCTTCTAGGAGACATTTGGCAATGTCTGGAGATATCATTGTTTGTCACAACTGTGAGGATGTACGTTACTGGCATCTAGTGGATAGATGCTGCAAATATTCTGTGGTGCACAAGACAACCCCCAACAACAACAAAAATTATACATCCTAAAATGTCAATATTGTTGAGTTTGAGAAATCCTGCCTTAGGAATCTATCTTTACAAAGTCTTAGCCCACCACATGTTAATCTCTCTCAGCTTTCATTTGTGGCTTTTCCAATACAATTTCTGAGATTCAGGCATATCAATGTGCTTCCAATAAATCAGAACTGTAAGACACTGTTAGCTCTGTTTGCCATAGGTCATTTTAACAAGAAAATGAAACTTTTTTGACCCCTATCCATAGTTCCACGACCACCATTACTTACCCAGCTTTAGTTCTGAAGAGAAAGGTTTCCTTCTTTGGGTTTTCTGAAGCTATTTAATAATATACAATAACCCACTAATCCAGAGTAAAGAAGAAATCTGTTCAATTAAAGGCAAGTGTAATTGTGTATAATTAATCATAGTCTTCTTAAGGGAAATAAACATAATTTGTTTTTAGTAAGAAGGAATCTATAATTATTCGGTGACAGAGGAAAAACCATTCATTAATATATCATGTTTACTTTGAATGTAGTGAAATGCATTGTAGTTTTTGCTGTTAGTTTTAGGCATGAAAAACTGTGTGTTAAATCTTGTCATTTCTGGTTCTGATAATCTGCTTTGATGACAGATTAAAAATGCAGTTTGTCATATCAGGACATTAATCTTAAATAATCTACCTGAGAGAACAGTACCAAACCCTCCGGAGAGGTTTCCAACATGAGATGGTGACACTTCTTAATAAGCTCAGGATTAGTGATGTAACTTGTCACTGGTTCAGCTGGAAAAAGTAGAAAAATGACACAGTTGCTGCAGTGACCACTCAGGAGTTGTGTTCTATAAATCTGGAAAATCAACTTCTGGAAATTCTCCCCTGAGATGAAGATGTACTGTGTGTCAGCCATGCATCACAGAAATCTTTCATTATTTTAGGTTGTTATTTAGACATCATATATTTTTCTTGTGGACAGACACAAGCATACTGTTCTTCATTTCCTATTCTTCCGGATCTGAGCACTTTCCTTTTGGGTTCATAGGACTTTGTAATTAACTCTCTTAAAACATCATTTCACAGGGAGTCACGTGCTACCTTTGCATTTTTATTCCATTTCTACCTATTTTATTTTTCATATCTTTGTTATTTGCCTTTCCAATGAGACAGTGTCTTGAAGAAAATGTTTATTTCTTTTATTTTGTTTATCCCACAACATTTAGTACAATTCCTTATATGTACTTATATGTACATCGTTATTGATTGTCGTGTTTTCCTTTTGTTTAATATCATGGCTATAACTGTGCTCTTGTCACGAGTAGACTTAAAAACCATTGTAAGACTGCATGCAATTACACTGTTATTATTATGATGGAATACAAAAGAATTTGGAACACAAAAGAGTAGAAAGGCCGGGCGCGGTGGCTCACGCTTGTAATCCCAGCACTTTGGGAGGCCGAGGTGGACGGATCACGAGGTCAAGAGCTCGAGACCATCCTGAGCAACATGGCGAAACCCCGTCTCTTTTAAAAATACAAAAATTAGCTGGGTGTGGTGGTACATGCCCGTAGTCCCAGCTACTTGGGAGGCTGAGACAGGAGAATTGCTTGAACCCGGGAGGCGGAAGTTGCAGTGAGCGGAGATTGCGCCACTGCACTCCAGCCTGGCGACAGTGGAAGACTCCATCTAAAAAAAAAAAAAAATTGTAGAGAATAAAAGATCGGAATGTTGTGTGACTGTGATGTATTTTAGGTAGGGAACTAAACACACATATGTATATTAAAACAATATACAGAACTTTAACTTGTTAATAATCTCTCTCTGCTTTCATTTTGTGCTTTTCTAAGAAAATTTCTATTGTATCAGCAGATATAACAAATGATCTACCTGGTAAGATCATTTAATGCAAAATGTGTCTGAAATATTAAGCTTATGTGGCAATGAATGAAAACTTTTTAATATCCTTGCTCATTTGTGACATAGAAGAACATGCAGAGCCTTTGGCATCCAGGCAAAGACTCAAGCCCCTTGTCACACTTCACCACTTACTGTGTGTCTGTGAGCAAATTACTGTAACCTCAACTAGCTTCATTTTCATTGTGTGTAAAATGGAGATTATGATACCTTCCTTTGAAAAATTAAATTAAATAAATTATCATATACATCACCTAGCACACTGCCTGGCAGTGTCAGAGTTCTTGGGACACAAGCAATAGAAACCCACCCCGCCAAACTTAAATGAGAAAAGCCCATTTATTAGAATAATACTGGGGACCTCACAGAATCAAGGAAGAGTTAAACAACTCAGTTTCAGAACTGGGGGACTCTGGGCATCTTCGCAGCAGGAAGTCCTGACAGCTTTCTGGGTACAACATCTCCATGGATGACTGGGCTCATCTTCAACCACTCTTGGTTCTTCTTAAGATGTATATTTTTAGGAGAAAGATGCTTATTTCTCTGGACTAGGTTACCTGATTTTTCAAAGGCTGGAGGGTTGGGTTAAGTCACTGGCAGCCTCACTAGATCATCAGGAAAGTGGGAGTGGAATTCTCTAGCCACTGGACTCCAGCCTGGGTGACAGAGTGAGACTCTGTCTAAAAAAAAAAAAAAACCAAAACAACAAACAACAACAACAACAACAAAAACAGCCTTCTATGGCTTTCTATTTTCTTTAAGATAAACACCGAAATCTGCAATGTGTCCTATGAGGTTTAGCATAATCTGACCTATGCTTAATCTCTTTTCCTCATCTTATAGTTTTCTATTCCCTTCTTTCTCAAGCTTCAGGCACATTACTGAGGTTCAGTTTCTGGAATAGTTTCCATCTGGGTCATTATGTAGCCAGGTGCCTAGACCTCTCTTCTCCACATTTAACAGCTCCTGCCCCACAGCTTTCTTCACCTGATTAACCCTTTCTCATTCACCAAGACTCAACTTAAGTGGAACTTCCTAGGGAGTTTCTCCTGATTGCCCAGGCTAGGCTAATTGCCCATTATTCATTTCTACGGCCCCTCCACCTGCACTTTCTTTTCTTAACATTTTTCATAACTATAATCACTTGTTCAGCACACATCTTGCAGCATGAGGGGAATAACTGCGGTTCACTGCTGTCTTCCTTGGCTCTGCCACAGTGAAGGGAGTGCAACACATTCTCACCATGCATCCGTGGGCTCAGGTCTTCAGATATATGAATCCCCCAGATTAACAAAGACGTGCTAATTAAATATTAATTTAAATACTTGAACACAGCTGATCACATAGTTTTATTTATTATTTATTTATTTATTTATTTATTTGAGATGGAGTCTCACTCTGTCGCCCAGGCTGGGGTGTAGTGGCGCCATCTCGGCTCACTGCAACCTCCACTTCCCGGGTTCCAGCGATTCTCCTGCCTCAGCCTCCCAAGTAGTTGGGATTACAGGCGTGTGCCACCAAGCCTGGCTAATTTTTTTGTATTTTTAGTAGAGATGGGGTTTCAGCAAGTTGGCCAGGCTGGTCTCGAACGCCTAACCTCAGGTGATTCACCAGTCTTGGCCTCTCAAAGTGCTGGGATTGCAGGCGTGAGCCACTGTGTCCGGCCATCACATAGTTTTAGAGTTAGTCTTCTCCTCATTGATGTGGACCTGTGTTGTGATTTTTTTAAGCGTGAAATATCTGTAATATGAAGTATACATTTTCTGCTACTAAGTTATTCTTAGATCATGTGATGAAATTAAATATATTGATATTTTGTGGTGCGTCACAAAAAATTCCATGTCCTTGACAATGGAAACAATAGACACTGGGGACTTCTTGTGGGGGTTGGGAGGGAGAAGCGGGACAAAGGTTGAAAAACTATTGGCTGCTATGCTCACTACCTGGTGGATGGGATTATTTGTATCACAAATCTCAGCATCATGCAATATACCCATGTAACAAACCTACACATGTGCCCCCCAAATCTAAAATAAAAGTTGGACTTAATAAAAAAAGAAGAAAGAAAATTATATTTCACAACTGTATTGGTATAAAGGTGAATATATTAATATTATACATTAGACGTTTTGTCCAACCTAAAAGAAAAAATAAAAGTATTGGTTAAACACAAAAATAGGCCAGATACGGTGACTTACACCTGTAATCCCAGCCCTTTGGGAGGCCGAGGCATGCAGATCGCTTGAGTCCAGGAGTTCGAGATGTGTTTGGGCAATATAGTGAGATCCTATCTCTACAAAAAAATACAAAAAAATTAGCCAGGCATGGTGGCATGCGCCTGAGGTCCCAGCTATTTGGGAGGCTGAGATGAGAGGACTGTATGAGCCCAGGAGGTCAAGGCTACAGTGAGCCAAGATTGAGCCACTGCACTCCAGCCTGGGTGACAGAGCGAGATCCTATCTTGAATAAATAAATAAATAAATAAGACAAAAATAAAAAATAAAACAAAGCGAGAGGAAAGAAAAACATTCCATGTCTTCCCTGTGTCATCTATGCTATTGCTGTTAGGCTGGTGTGTGTTAACATCTCTTCTTCATAGATACGATGAGGATGAGACACCCCTATGGTGATTCATGTCCAATACACACTGCTTTGCATGTGTATCTATTTCTGTTGGATTCACCACTTCATCAATAGCTTCAAAACGTCTCCCAGAATTCCACATAAGTCCAGACTTGTGCTAAAAAGGAAAATGAGGATGTAATAGATGCTAACAGGGAAATACGCTTTATTATGTTATTCTGAGGACTGGAACTTTAGAAATATATTTGAGGATAATCTTTTACAAATAAATAAACTTGTTCAGGTTGAACCCTCAGACCTCAGATATATATTTTTAATACATTGATTTGAAAGAAATGGAAGTTAGAAGCCAGAATTTATTGATTTATTTACTTTTATTATTATTATTTTTTTGAGATGGAGTCTTGCTCTGTTACCCAGGCTGGAGTGCGGTGGTGCGATCTCAGCTTACTGCAACCTCCGCCTCCTGGGTTCAAGTGATTCTCCTGCCTCAGCCTCCTGAGTAGCTGGGATTACAGGCACGTGCCCCATGCCCGGCTAATTTTTGTATTTTTTTGTAGAGACAAGGTTTCACCATGTTGGACAGGATGGTCTCAAACTCCTGACCTGAAGTGACCCACCCACCTCGGCCTCCCAAAGTGCTGGGCTTATAGTCATGAGCCACCATGCCAGACCCAGAATTGTGACTGACATATTTTGTGTGAGATACAAGAAGTAAGGAATATCAGAAGAAAAACAAAAACAGAAGAAAATGTTTTCTGACCTGAGAAACCAGAATAATAATATAAGGCAAGTCTCTCAATAGTGATGGCTAAACTATGGCTGTCTGATGCATAAGTCCAGAATGCCTATTTCCTATTGAAAGGAGGTGCTACTAATTATTAATAATTGTAAGGCGATGGCATCGTGCTAAGTATTTTATATAGGATCAACCTATCTTATGGCTGTCAATAACCTCATGCCAGTATTATTTTCCCTATTTTTTGCATAAAGAAATCTTAACCCAGAGAGTTTAATAACTTGCCCAAGATTACACAGCTTGTGGTAGAGCCAGAATTCAAATTCAGTAGACTAAACCCAGAGTTATATATGATGCTATATTGCCAGTTTTATATATATTTATGGAATTTTGCCTGAAACAGTTAGAGTGTATGTTGTGAATGAAAAGTATTCATGTTGTCATCTGTCACTTTTTTTATTTTTGGAGACAGGGGGTCTCTGTCTGTCACCCAGGCTAGAGTGCTGTGGCATGGTCACAGCTGACTGCAGCCTAGACCTCTTGGGCTCAAGCAATCCTCCCACCTTAGTCTCCCAAGGAGCTAGGACCACAGGCACGCACCACTACACACAGATAATTTTTCAATTTTAATTTTGTAGACACAGGGTCTTTCTGTGTTGCCCAGGCTGGTCTCAAACTCCTGAGCTCAAGTGATCTTCCCACCTTGGCCTCCTGAAGTGTTGGGATTACAGGCGTGAGCCATGGTGCCAGGCCTCTGTCACCTTCTAAGCCAATTCTTTTCAACTGATTTATTCCATCTCTATTTAGTAGAAGGGAAAAAGGATACATTCCATAGTTTTGGTTAAGGATCATCTACTTTATACTCATTTATTTAAAATTATTGTGGTTTAATGGCTAGCCTAGTAAATTAGCCAAATAAATTAATATGTCATTTTTAAAAATAAGGTGAATTTTGGCCCATTTTTTCCCACTCATAGGTTATATAGGGACCCATAAATATGTACTCCTCAACTCAGTAAGTTAAGCAAATTATGAGTATTACTTGCCAGAGGGGACTGATTCATATTCCTTATAGGATTGGTGTCTGTTTCACTTCTTAAAAATTCGTATCTCTCTCCTCATACATTATCACCTCCTCTTCCATTTCTCTTCATATTATTATATGTTGGGTGCTGGTTCTGGGACTCACTACTGGTTACTTGGAACAAAACATTTACAGATTTCATGGGGCATTGAGCTCAGCTAATAATATTTGAAAAAGAGAAAAAGGCAGTAGTCTGTTAAGGAGACTAAATGGTGTACATGTTGCATTTAAAACAGAGCTTATTTTGAGCAAAGATCCCCTAGGGGGATGCTGCTTGTATGGTGTATCTGATCTGCTGGGGAGCACATGCCCAGCCAAGCCTCCTTTAATAAGGCCGCCCACACTGAGCCCCTGTGGCAATGGTGCTTGGCTGCGGGTGCACCTTCCGCCTTTGAGCACCCCACTCACTCACATGGCAACCTGCCTCCCCCGAGAACTGCTCTCCACAGGCGCTAATCTATCCCCTCATTAACAACCAATCCAATTCTCTGTCTTGAACAAAGGGAGTCAGAGTTTAATCCCTTGAACTGAAAAGTCCTATGGGGCTCAGCCATTTTCAACTGTGTGATTAGTAAATAAAGTGGGTCTGCAGGAAGGAGAAATTTAAAACAGAGGACAGCAGAGAAGGGGGCTCTTACGGCCTCAGAGAGCATTAAGGGGGCAGAGGGATGTGCTGCTGTGGTCCCTGGGGCTCCCAATGAGGCCCATCTCTAGTTCCACGGGGTCCCAGCTTGCTTTTTGTTGATGTCATATTCTGCATCATAAACACATATTTGAATTGCTTTCGAGGGCTTCTCTTTCTTGCAGCCAAAAAAGAATCTCAACTACAATTACAACTATCTAAAGTCAGTTTCCAGATTTGGATTTATGTGTATATGGTACATTTTCAGGATTCCTGGGAAGATGAGGGAGAGACAATATCATGTAGTGGTTGGGGAGAAGGCTCTGTAGCGAGACTGCTTGAGTAGAAATTCTACAAGTTCTGCCACTTACTAGTTGTGTGATCTTGGACAATCTAACATCTCTGTGCTTTGGCTTCCTTGTTTGCAAACACAAGGGTAGCAATATTTTTCTACATCATAGTTTGCTGTGAGAATTAAACACAAGTAGACAGTGTACTTGGCACATAGCATTTAAGTTATCCAATGAGCATTTGCTGTTATCTTGGTAAGGGCTTACTTTTGTTTTTTGTTGTTGTTGTTGTTGTTGTTGTTGTTTTTTGAGACAGAGTTTCACTGTTGCTGCCCAGGCTGGAGTGCAATGGTGCAATCTTGGCTCACCGCAACCTCAGCCTCCCGGGTTCAAACGATTCTCCTGCCTCAGCCTCCCGAGTAGTTGGGATTACAGGCATGTGAAACCCGGCTAATTTTGTATTTTTAGTAGAGACAGGGTTTCTCCATGTTGGTGAGGCTGGTCTCGAACTCTGGACCTCAAGTGATCCACCCGCTCTGGCCTCCCAAAGTGCTGGGATTACAGGCGTGAGCCACCGTGTCTGGCCAGTAAGGGCTTACTTTTACACACCCACCCACCCACCTACACACTCTCACAAACACATGTATACACATACATATAATAATGCATACATACCTATAATGTATACCTATAATAAAATATACACATGTGTATATATGTATACATATATAGATGTCTACACACACACATGCCCCCCTGCCTATTTGGCCTGAGCCTGAAGCTCTATGTTCCTATAGCACTTCATTCACATTTACAGCCTTTATCACACTGTATCGTAATCTGCTTATTTGTCTGTTTCTCTCAACACATGTGAGCTCCACAATTCAGGTAATTGCCTTCTTTGCCCTCTTATCCCCAGAGCTTTACATCTGATACTGGGGATGTTCCTGAGCTCGCAGTAGATTCATATTGTTGGACAGGTAGATGCTAGATGATATTTCCCTGTTAGATTGTCATCCCTTTAGCTTAACACTTGGCTCTCGGCTCAATTTACATGTCCCTAGGTGACATAACACTTTATGCTGTTACATTATTTACCACCTAGAGGGAATGAATTTCCAAGTCCTCCCTGAAAGTAAGCTTTGGCAAGAAGATAGGAGAGGACCTCGAGGGGTCTGGATGCTGCAGGCCATGGGCAAGTGACGAGGATGAGATTCACAATCTTCCTGTTTCTGCTCTGGAATAGGTCTCATAGTAACAACCTCTCCCCAACTCAACTCACACAATCAGCAGTGGCTGTGTGATATTACTTAGCAGCACTTTGCAGCTTGCCTGTAGTAGAGAAGAAAGTAAACAGTCACATTGTATCTGCTGGGACTGCCATAAAAAAATACCACAGACTGGGTGGTTTCGACACCAGAAATTAATTTTCTCACAGTTCTGGAGCCTGAAAGTCTGAGATCAAGGTGCAATCGTGTTGGTTTCTGGTGAGGCTTCTCTTCCGGGCTTGCAGATAGCTGCCTTCTCACTGTGTCCTCACATGGCCTTGTACAGGGAGGCAACAGAGAGAGAGAGAGACAGAGAGAGAGAGAGAGAGAGAGAGAGAGAGAGAGAGAGAGAGAGAGAGATTCCCAGCACAAGCTCTCTGGTGTCCTATTGGATTAGAGCCCTACCCTTAGAACCTCATTTAATCTTAATTATCTCCCTAAGGGCACTATCTCCAAATACAGCCACATTGGAGGTTAGGACTTGAACATATGAATATGGCAGGAGAGGGGGGAGCGGGGAGGGACACGATTCAGTCAATAACATACATTAATCCCAAGTGGAGGCTTATTTTAATTAAGTTTTGTGTATGGCCCAAGTTTTCTACTCTGCATAACTGTTTAATCAAAATCCAAACTGAGAGATGGGTCTCTGTAGCCTGTAGATGAGAAACAAAAAGCAGTGATCCTTAAAATGAGATCCCTACAGGCACACGGGTGCCTTCTGGAAATGCAGAAGCCATTACCTGCAAGTCAGTTTCAAATGTTAAACCATACAGTATCGATTCTGGCTTTCCCAGGTGACTTGCAAGAGTGAGAACGTCTTTCAGAGCCCAAGTGCAGTGAAGGCTGCCAGGCCCGTGCCTCTGATACAGATCTAGGAGTCTGAGTAGCCGCAGGGCCTGGATGGGAAAGGCTCACTTAAGTCTGGGAAATGCAGCAGGTGAGTTGAGAGCCACGTGAGACTATGCAGCCAGAAGGATAGAGGGGGGAAGGCCCTGAAACAAAGAGATGGAAATGGAATAGTGAGAGGCTGGGGTCAGAGGATTGAGGCCAGTCTTAAAACTAATTTCAGGAACACTGAGTTCTCCTCTTCTATGTGGCTTGGCAGGCGTGCTGCATTTGGGGCCTGATTTTAAGTATCCAGAGCTGGCTTTATACCATTATAAAATTTTTGGCTGGGAAAAAAAAAAGAGTTTCATAAAATTTCAGGCATTATGCTCTCCCATGGTACTTCCTGGTGAAATGTCCAACCTGTGATCTCATCTAGGCGTAATACTAACTCTACTTTGACTAACAATCTCTTTCATTATTAAGGGTGAATTTTTAATTCAGAATTTTATTCTTCATGTATAAATTATGTTATCACCTAGTTGGCTTTGTAACATAATGAATGGATAGTAGCTGTAGTTATCATTCTTTGCAATCTTTCTTTGTTATTATTCATTTACTTTATAGAACATTATGTCCTGAAAGAAGAAGCCTTCTCTGACCCCAGGCCTCCATATTGGATCAATGCCCCTAGTTATGATCCCTCCTAGCAGCCTGTACTTCTCCTTTATAGTTCTTCCCACCATTGGAATTAAATAGTGATGGCATGATTAATTGTTTAATGTCTGTCTTCCTTGCCAGATTATTTTCCCAACGAAAACAGGCACCAGGTCTATCTTAATCATAGCTGTATCGACACTGGTTCTTGCTTATAGCAATAAATTCCTTTTAAGTGAGTTATTTCATTCACTCATTGATTCATTTGTTAACTCATTTATTTAGCATTCACAAGCCCTAGGAACTGTGCTACAAACAGGGAAACAAAAACCAATGTGATCATTTCTGGATTCAAAGAGTTGGCAATTAAAAACAGAAAGTTTTTAACCATTTTATTTTATTTTTTATGTTTTTTTAAAAAAGATGAGGTCTCACCATGTTGCCCAGGCTGGTCTCAAATGCCTGGGCTCAAGTGATCCTGCCGCCTCCATCTCCCAAAATGCTGGGATTACAGGCGTGAGCCACTACACCTGGCACTTAACCATTTTAGGTGAAAGTTCCCCTTGAGAACCCAGTGAAGGAAGTGGACCCTCTTTCAAGAAGCTACTCATCTAAAAAGCACATGAGATTTTGTATTCAGCTTGGTAGGTTCACAGATCCTTGAGAATCTATTCACTATCTTCCTAAAATTATGTGGATTCTGACGTCACAGTAACTCCATGAAATACAGACTTGAAGACACATACAAGGTAAGAGGACGGGTAAAGAAGGACATCAGCATGTCCTCCTTTGGGTCAGGAGAAGCTTCCATTGCAAGAGATGTTTGAGCCACATTTTGAATGATAAATCAGATGTTACCAGGGAAAGCAGTGGGAGCATTCGAGGTTGAGAAGACAGTGTTTGGAGAAGCATGGATGTGTAGAAGTTGGAATGGTATTTAGGGAGTAGAATCAGCAGGACTTTGTGACTGATTGGATGTGGGATGTTGAGAGAGGGAAGGAATAAACTCCATGCTTCTGCCTTAGGCAACTGAGTGCCAGGTTTAGGTCTCGGTGGGCAGCCTCAGAGGCATAAACGCCAATTCAACAAAATAACAAGCTCATGGGCCACATTTTTTGTTCCCAATCAAAATGAAATAAACTTTTGTAAGTGATAAAAAGTACATTCCTTACAATTTAGATTACCCAGCAGATTGGATACAAGAATGCCAATGAGGAAATCAACATGCTTTTTAATCATAAAAGTTATATCTGTGCAGCCACACTAAGGCAGCTTTCTAATCTTTCTTCTTGAAAGAAGAGCATGGTCTGTATGGAGAAGTTAGCTGGCCACATGCAATTTGGGTCGTGCAGATTATCATCACTGCCTGAAGAATCCTGGGAGACTGCTTGCTGGCAGGAAGGGTTATGCTTCAATTATGGATCTGATAAGCTGGATGTGCTTAGTATGGTGCATTTGTAAAGAGGATTCTCAATGAATATTCAATCATAATTCATAAATTTCTTATAAATAAATTTTCCTGCATATTTGGAATCTTGGGCATTATAAATCTTGACGTATGAAAAAAATATTCATGAAAGGTACAACCCCCTTATAATTAGTTGCAGATTCAAATTTCGTATAACAGGGCAGTAGGCTTTAAATTACATCTTTTTCAATAACAGTTCCATTGGGATATAATTTGCATACGATACAATTCACACGCTTAAAGTGTACAATGCTTTCAATGAGTTTTTATTTACTTTAAAAAGTTTATGTTTTCTAACTGTTAGCAATTAAATGGTATTCCTTTTGTAATCAGAAAAGTAATACTAGGTATGCATATTTAAAAATTTGTATAACAGTCCTTATACATAAGGAATTTTCTCCTTCGATTGTGGGAGCCAAGAGAAAATATATCCTATGTGGATTTAAGTTAAAGTATAACATATGGTTAAAATATTACCACAAAAGTGGCATGTTTAGTGAGAAGGAAAGACTAAAGGTGGGTCATTCTAATGGCTTCCTTCAATGTCCTGCTGGGTAGGGGAGACCCAGTTTAATTTACAGATCCTCACTTCACTATCAGGGGCTTACAGAGAAACTTCCCCTGCTGTAACCTTCTCAGCTAATGGGTGATGTGCTGTGATAGATGTATTCTCACCCGGGATAGTGGTGATATTGTATTAAGAGGGAAAAAAAATAAATAATAACCTTGAGGTTTAACCTGAGGTATGTGTTGAATAAAAAGCCCAGCTTATCCATTTACAGTATATATACAGTGAGAAAAGTTGGAAGGTTTTCAGAATTCTGAATGTCACCTCATATCATGTGTTAGTGATCTTCATGATAGATGGCATAGATCTAAAAACCATTTTTTTTTGCTAAAATAACAATGTGTAGAAAAAAAAATAATCATTTTCCTAGCAAATGGAGAGAACTGTTCAAAAGATAAACCTCTCTGGTTTGACCTAAGGTGCAGGAATACAGTTGGCATTTAGGCTGACCCTTATATTGGTAATTTATGTAAAACAGTTTTTTCTTTCCAAGATTGCATAGTGTATAGTAGGAAAGTGAATAGACAAATTTGATCTGACCCATTTTTACATCACTGGGAAACTGTTTGTTTGTTTTTTAGAACACTGTTATTTTGAGACAGGGTCCTGCTGTGTCATGCAGGCTGGACTGCAGTGGTGCAATCATGGCTCACTGCAGCCTTGACCTCCTGGACTTACATGATCCTCCCAACTCAGCCTCCCGAGTAGCTGGGACCACAGGTAGGCCACCATGTCCAGCTAATTTTTTTTTGTATTTTCTGTAGAGATGGGGGTCGGGGGGGTGGGGGTCTTGCTGTGTTTCCTGGGTTGGTTTTGAACTTCTAGACTCAAGCAATCCTCCTGTCTCAGCCTCCCAAAGTGCTGGGATTACAGGCATGAGCCACCACGCCTGGCCTGCTAATAGTTCTTAAATGCAGCTCTTATCTTATTACTTCTGCAGTTAAAGGCCTGTTTAATGCTTGGCACCTGACTTTAAAGCTGACTATAATATAGCACCATCCCAAATTTCCTCAGGCTTGTTTCCTCATTGTTTCAAACATATATTGTTTCAAAGACACAATTTTTATGTGTGACTGTTTGCTTATATTGTTTAACTTCCTATTGTATTTGCTTTTAATAAAGTCTAATAGATGCTATGAAAACAGCCTTACAATCTCTTTTTCTTTTCATGAAGCTCACTGTCTACTACAATGCTTAGTGTGCCATTTAGGAGGACCTATGAGGAGGGAGTTTTGCTCAGGCTTCTCTGCTGCATAACCAGGAGGCTGATTTCTTACAGAAATTACCACTTGTAATTATATTTCCTTTGTTGCTTTCGCTGGCAGGAAACTCTAAGTTTATGAATCTCTTCTTTAATACTAAATAGATTCTTATAGCATGACTTTATTCGTATTTTTTCCACTGACCTAATTTATTGTTCTGGCCTTGTGGGAGAAGGGGCAGTGGTCCTCTTTGCCTTTTAAATTCAAATACTCATGTATTTTTGCAAACCATTTCAAATCTTTTTTTGGATCTAAATGGAATAGGAATAACAAATTTAAATTAATGCTCAACTTGCTTATTTATAGACTTTTTGCTCTTGTTTTCCTTTTTTCAAACCTCATCCAGCCCTCAAATCCAGCTTTTCCATGCACCCCTTCATTCTTCACTGATCTCCATTTTCTCGGAGCTCTTGTGTTAATATAATTTTGCATTTTACTAAGTATGATTTTGGATACCTCCTAGTGTTTCATGTGTATTAGTCCTGTAGTTCTGGGTTGTAGTTTTTTTAGTGGTAGGGACCATGGCTCATACTTTTCTGAATCTAGTAAAATAATATTGTATCAGAAATGCTTTCTGTTTACACTATAATTGTAACAAACATTGAATTTTTTAGCTTATTAACTCTCAGAGCACCCAGTACATCTTATTTAGAATTGCAGGAACCCATTTTTGTTTCTCTACAGCAGCCGAAGCTTGTTTCATAGATCTTGCAAGACTATTCAATCATTCAGTTAAAATTCCTTGACCTCCTGCTGGATGATGTTCGACAGGGCATTCATCTTCACGACACCCTTCGCGATGAATGGTAACATCTGGGCGGGTAGAGGTCCATTTCTACAGCAACCTGGGGGAGGAACAGGTAGGGTAGGTTTTGGTGTGGGTGCGATTCTTGGGGACTTCTTCAACAGGTAGGACATCAAGTCTGTAGCCAAAACAACACCTGGGCGAAGGGCAAATACCGGAGCCCCGACCGGCTCACGCCCAGTAATGCTTTCTCTGGGTTCTAACTACGTGATCAGGTCGTCTTGGTTTGCCAGGGAAAGCCCAGCGTCTTGACAACCCTGTCAGTTCCGAACAAACCGGGTCGATTGGTCACCGGGGCTCGAATCCCGACTGATATGACCCAGCGGGGACAGAGGATCCCCCTCAGTGCCACAAGTACATTCCCCACCGAGCAGCGCGCCTGCGCCAGTTGCTCTCATGCGTCAAGACTACAGGTCCCAGCAAGCATCGAGGCCCTCTCCAGGCCATTCTTCCGCCGGCGGGGAGCTCTCGTCGGCGTATTTGTTAGGTGTGGCGCGGAAGAGTCCGTGCGTGATGACGTCGACGCGGCGACGTCGAGCTCTTCCTCCTTTTCACGGCGTCTTGCATTACTATTGTGCGGCTGCAGGAGGTGTCGAGCGGCGTTATTTTTTTTTGCGGTTTGCCTTTTTTTTTCTTTTTTTTTTTTTTGGAACCGCGGTTGTTTAAAAGCCTGAGGGAACCTGGAGAGGGGCTCCCACTCCCTACCCTCTTTCCTCCGAGTTTGTGACTCCGAGATGGACAAAGTGTGTGCTGTTTTTGGAGGCTCCCGAGGCATTGGCAGAGCTGTGGCCCAGTTAATGGCCCGGAAAGGCTACCGACTGGCGGTCATTGCCAGAAACCTGGAAGGGGCCAAAGCCGCCGCCGGTGACCTCGGCGGTAGGTACCAAACTGGAGTTGTCCAGTTGTATGGCCGCGGTCCAGGCGCCTAAAGAAAATCTCCTTTGTAAAAAGAGCGGGTCTGGCCTTTAGGGCTCTAGGGTTACTCGA
The DNA here is from genome assembly GCF_000001405.40 of Homo sapiens. Lineage (NCBI taxonomy): Eukaryota > Metazoa > Chordata > Mammalia > Primates > Hominidae > Homo > Homo sapiens. The sequence goes on along the minus strand of NC_000004.12, from coordinate 169,009,836 downwards.
TGTAGCCGCGTGCAGGCGCTCTCCCGTTCCAAGGGTAGAATGCGTCTCGTGCAGAAACCCGCGATCTCCCTATGCCTCGCAGAATGCCGGCCACGCAGCTTGCCGCCGAGGGCTGAACACTTGGGGTGTTCTTTGAGACCTCGTAGTCTTTTGAGGCCCCGCTATACGCACCCTCCGCCCTGCGGCTAGTGCTAACGCTGAGGAGCTTCCCTGTTGTGGGAGAGAGCCACGTAACAGTTTACTTTTAATGTAGGGAAAAGGGCGAGTTCTCGGCCCCCGGAGACAGGGCTGGGTCGAAAGGAGTTCAGGCAGGAAAGGTGGGAGTGCAGGTACCAACGGCTCCCTTCAGTTTTGCCCAAGGGCCGTGCCTTGGCCCTGCGCGAATGCACAAAGCAGTGTTTGATAGAGAAACCCTTTTGAGTACCAGCCAGTTTTGAGATATACCTGGTTTGCTTTAATGTTATTAAATTGTTTTGGTGAGTTTTGCAAATGGACAATTGAACTTTGTTCTGCCAAATTCTTTTTTATTGCATTTAAACTTCAGGGTTTTTTATTTCCGGCTTATTATGAATGGATTAGTCATTTTGTGAATATAACTCTTCATTGAGTTTAGGGAGAAATAGGACGTTAGATCCGAAGATGCTATTTGTTTAATCACCAGAATGGACAAAATTATACTTCATTTACTATCAGGGAGGCATGGGGAGAATAGAGGCCTAGGGGTGCGTCTTGTGGCTCTTACTGTTTTTGTGTATCTGGTTTTTTTTTTTTTTTTTTGAGAGGGCTTCCCATTATGTTGCCCGTGCTGGACCCCAACTCCTGATTTACTGGCTCTAGAGATCTTCTCGCCTCAGTCTCCCAAGGACCTGGGACTATAGACGCCAGGTGTGGCTGTTCATTTTTAAGTTAACATTATTGATCGGTTTGGTATCACCTGTTCAGTGCTGGTTGGGAGACTATTGGGCTCTCTAAAAGAAAAAAGATTCTGTAAGTTATAGGTCAGGGAGAGTGTCAGTGAATGCTTCTTGAAGCTCATATTCCTTACCATTCTAACAAAGGAGGGGAAGAGTGGTGACCCTTACTGTGTCACCCCAAGCCATCAGTGTTTGCTGGACTGGATTGAAGCCATTAGTTGGGCTTTCAAAGGTGGTTGTGGACACAAGTCTTCGGGTGAAAACCAAGAGTAAGAGAGACACAGGATGCTTTTGGGCCCTGCATTCCTTTGAATCGTGTTCCATGAGTGATTGGTTTTCATCTAGAAAGTATAATTCCCCGGGTCGCTTACTGTTTCCAAAGGCTTGATGGGGTAGTGTTGGTGTAAGCATATTTATCAAGGTCAGACAGAAAATAAAGAATTGTTTTAGCTTTTAAAAACAATCCTACATTTTAGAGTATTAAAATGGTAGATTACATAGGGAATGCTTTGTTTTCCTTTGAAGTGTAGTTTTTTTTTGGCATTTAACCATTTTTTAAAAGTGGTAAGTAACAGTTGCTTTTAGTAAAAAGTGTTTTTTTCCCCCCGTGGTTTGTAGTTTTAGCATTTTTATAGCTTCCTGTGTTGTCTCATCTCTCCTGATGGTCAGGTTTGAATAATAGTCGTTATAATATATGTGCCATAGTGCATCCGTAGCACTTAAAAAGAAGAAACCCAAGAGTTCCCGTTCAGGGCCAAAGAAACTAATTCAACAAAAACCTGACAGAATTAGACATAAATTTCAAAAAAGGAATATAAAACCCAGAAGACTGTCGAATTGGGTAGCATGAATTCAGTGTTAAAGCTATAAATATTAGATGAATCTTACAGAGCCTTTATAACTTGAAAAAGCCCTCCCCCCTTTGTTGATTAAAAAGAAAATTTTAAAATTAACTTTCTGTAGTAGTACTTTATTTCCTCTTTGTTCCCGCATCCCAGTTTCATTAGACCAACTCTATGAAAGCCAGGCCTCATGACATTACTTTTTTAATCTTTAGGTTCTAGATTAGCACAGGCCTGCCATCTTAGATAGATGCTTAACAAATGTGTATTGAGTAAATTTAAAATTTGAGTTATAAGTAATTCTTATTTAACTTTGTTGTGTAGGAGATCATTTGGCATTTAGCTGTGATGTTGCTAAAGAACATGATGTTCAAAATACATTTGAAGAGCTGGAGAAACATTTAGGTCGAGTAAATTTCTTGGTAAATGCAGCTGGTATTAACAGGTTGGTCACAGATTTAAATAAGTTTCTTATATATATATTTAAAACTTTTATTCCTAATATGTCTTTGATTGGTATAAGTTAATATGTTTATTTTGCTTCTAACTGGGAGAAAAAACTATTTTAAAACTTGTCAATCCATAAATTATTTTCCTTTATATTGAGATACAACATATAATAAATGTCCAGTTGAGTCGATTTTAACATTGTAATCATCACCCATATTGAGCCGTAGAATGTTTCCAGTGCTCCAGAAGGTAGTGTCTTCTCAATACTTCCTTGTTGGTAACTGTTTTCTGAGTTTTGTCACCACAGATAAGTTTTGCCAGTTTGTGAACTTAATACTAATAGAATCATGGAGTGGATATTATTTTTTAAAAGATGAATTTAGGAGAGAATATTTAGATAACATATTAATTTTCTTGCTAAACAAGGCTTAGTATGGCAGTTGCTCAGGCCATTCAAACTATTTTGGCTATATGTTACTACTTTTTAGGGGTTAAGAATATTTGCCACTCAAGCTGAGAAGGGGTAGCAACCTGTCTTCCAAGTGGATCCTTTCTGGTTTATCAATTGTTATTTTAATGTTTCTCAAGCCAAGTTCAAAATGGGACTCTAGGTATTCTAGCTATTCTAGCTCAGATAGGAAGCACTTCTTGCACTCTCAGTAAAAATGTTACATTAGTCTTGACCTTTTTGGTTTTTATCTTGTTATTATATGCTATTATATGCTGTTTCTTTTTGTAGGGATGGTCTTTTAGTAAGAACAAAAACTGAAGATATGGTATCTCAGCTTCATACTAACCTCTTGGGTTCCATGCTGACCTGTAAAGCTGCCATGAGGACTATGATTCAACAACAGGGAGGGTCTATTGTTAATGTAGGTGAGTCTTCACCTTTGTGAATTTATGATTATCCCATAATACCATACCATAAAAATATTTAATCCACGAATTTGTGATTTATTGTGAAACATGAATGAAATTTATATTATCTGTGGAAAAAAGGATTTAATTAATTGATTAATGAGTAAAATAAGAATCACACATTCACATCCCTATAGGAGTCAGGCAGGTGTTAAATGAGTGACACCACTGAGTACTAGAAAAATGACAGTACCAGCCATGTGATAAATGATATCCAGCTTCATTGTCCAGAGCCCATATGGAATGGTGGAGGCCACCACTTAGATTCAGTAGATTGTTGCCGTGCAAGAATGTGGTCCCAGTTTTGCCAGCAATTTTGATTTTTCAAGAGAAATTGGATCATTCTGATTTTTATGTGAATTTTTTTTTTTTTAAATAGAGACGAGGTCACACTATGTGGCCTAGGCTGGTCTTTAACTCATGGGCTCAAGTGATCCTCCCGAAGTGCTGGGATTATAGAGGTGAGCCACGTGCCCAGCCAGGAACCTGATTTTTAAAACATGGACAAGGAATTAAAGTAGACAGTGGTGGCTAAATAATATTGTCTACAGCAGTTTCATGGGTTACTGTTAAATCTTGTGTAGAGGTTTAAAGGAAGATAAAATTTCTCTGTTTTTAAGAATGGATGTAAGTAACCCCTAGTTTTCAGTTCATCTAACCCACAGGGCAGATAAGCTGTGGAGTATATGCCTGTAGAACTTAAAATGCAAAATGACTTGAAATTTTATTTCAGTTTGGTAATTTGGAAATAATAGTATACCATCTGCTTTTTATTTTCAAATGGTAATACCTTAAAAGGCCACAGAAGGGAGATGCTGCTCCATAAAAGTAAGTGACCCTGTTCTTTTAAATGTAGGAAATGGTTTTTCAAGCCAGAATTTAGAGTTTTTCTGTTTTGAAAGTGAGAAAAGGAAAGAATACTATGCTAATAAACTAAGGGGACATGAGAGCATTTTGGACATTTACTCTTAAAAATTTAAGGGATCCGTTTTCTTATGTAAGAGATTAGTCAATGAGTCAACCTTTGCCTTTTAACACAGCCAGATAAGGACTTTGGATACTTACAAGCAGGCAAACAGGCCTGTATCTGTCACCTGATAACCTGAGGTATATTTGTTTAACTCTAAAATCTTCTTTTTTTTAGGTGTATTTAAAAAACCCATTAGTCCTCCTTATGCATGCAAAACTTTTAGAATTGAGCTAAAAGTAAATAATAGATAGTAAATTGAGAATCTTACTACAGGAAGGACTACTTTAAACTGCCAGACACTTCATTGGTATTTCAGAAATTACCACTTTTTGACCTGATGAACAGTAGTGCGTGGCACGAATCAAAGCTGCTAAAGCAGCTTGTGTTTTTTTTTCTTTTAAAAGCCACTCATATTTAGCAGTTGGGGGTTGTATACTAACTTTAGTGACACTACTGTTAATAGGTTCTGATAACCCGCTACCATCGGACCAGCCCTGTTTTGGTATTTTTTTCGTGCATGTATTTTTCTTTTTTTGTGTCTCTGTATTTTTCTTTCTGATAAACACCCCTCTATCCATATGCATTTCTTCAGTCTGATGTCTGTTCTCTCTGTGTACTTCACAGTTCTCTTCCTTTGTTATTAATTGGCCTACAATATATAATGTAGATAAATATTCTAATACTGAACTTGTTGATTCTAATAGAGAAATGTTTGGAATGTTTTCTTTTTTTAAAATTACTTTAAAAAAATTTTGTGAGGTCCTTGATTAATTTTTGTATCATAAGTACAGGTCAGTGGTGCAGAAAATTACTTCCCCACTTCTGTTTTGCAAGAGTTTATTTGCATATAGTTGATATTTGAATTAAAAATTATTATTACATATTCATTAGATGTGGTCACTCAAGAATCTTCAGTAGGCAGTACAGTTTACAATATATCACTGAATGTAATGAAATTGCACTTTTACAAAAAGTGTATAATTGAAGCTTTGCCAATTTAGATTGACAGTACAAGCATGTCTCGCAGATATTGTAGCTTTGGTTCTGCTCCACCGGAATAAAGCGAATATGTCAAGAATGTAAGTCACACAAATTGAATTGCTGCAATCTCATGATAAAACAAATGGGTGAGGAGTTGCTTCTTATGTATGGATAAACAAAGTTGTTTCTCAAGATGGAATCTACTTGTGAAGATGTGAATACTGTTGAAATGACAAAGGATTTAGAATATCCTATAAACTTAGTTGATAAAGCAATAGCAGGGATTGAGAGGAGAGGCTCCAATTTTTAAAGTTCTACTTGGATAAAATGCTATCAAAGAGCATCACATGCTGCAGAGAAATCTTTCATGAAATGAAGAGTCAATCAATGTGGCAAATTTTGTCTTATCCAATTGTTTAGTTTCTCAGTGCATGTAAAAGTTATATTATGGTCTATTAAGTATGCAGTAGCATTATATCTAAAAAAAATGTAAATACTTTGTTGCTAAAAAAATACTTTATTGCTAAAAAATGCTAATGATCATCTGAGCTTCTGGCAAGTCATAATCTTTGCTGGCGGAGGGTCTTGCCTTGATGTTTATGGCTGCTGACTGATAATAGTGGCTGTGGCAATTTCTTTATTTTTTTTATTTTTTTATTTTATTATTGTTATACTTTAAGTTTTAGGGTACCGTGCACAATGTGCAGGTTAGTTACATATGTATACATGTGCCATGCTGGTGTGCTGCACCCACTAACTCGTCATCTAGCGTTAGGTATATCTCCCAATGCTATCCCTCCCCGCTTCCCCCACCCCACAACAGTCCCCAGAGCGTGATGTTCCCCTTCCTGTGTCCATGTGTTCTCATTGTTCAGTTCCCACCTATGAGTGAGAACATGCGGTGTTTGGTTTTTTGTCCTTGCGATAGTTTACTGAGAATGATTTCCAATTTCATTCATGTCCCTACAAAGGACATGAACTCATCATTTTTTATGGCTGCTTAGTATTCCATGGTGTATATGTGCCACATTTTCTTAATCCAGTCTGTCATTGTTGCACATTTGATTTGGTTCCAAGTCTTAGAATAAGACAAAATTTGCCACATTGATTGACTCTTCATTTCGTGAGAGATTTCTCTGCAGCATGTGATGCTGTTTGATAGCATTTTATGCAAGTAGATCTTTAAAAATTGGAGCCACTCCTCTCAATCCCTGCTATTGCTTTATCAACTAAGTTTATAGGATATTCTAAATCCTTTGTCATTTCTTTCAACAGTATTCACATCTTCACAAGGAAGAGATTCCATCTTGAGAAACAACTTTGTTTATCCATACATAAGAAGCAACTCCTCACCCATTTGTTTTATCATAAGATTGCAGCAATTCAGTCACATCTTCAGGCTCCACTTGTAATTCTGCTCCACTGAAGTCTTGAACCCCACAAAGTCATCCATGAGGGTTAAAATAACTTCTTTCAAACTTCTGTTAATGTTGGTATTTTGACCTGCCATGAATCACAAATGTTCTGAATGGCATATAGAACGGTGAATCCTTTCCAGAAGGCTTTTAATTTACTTTGCCCAGATTCCTAAGAGGAATTACTATTTATGACTGCTATAGACTTATAAAATGTTTCTTAAATAAGACTTGAAAGTCAGAATTATCCCTTGATCCATGAGCTGAAGAAAGGATATTGTGTTAACAGGCACGAAAACAACATTAATCTCCTTGTACATATCCATCAGAGCTCTTTGGTGACCAGATGCATTGTCAGTGAGCAGTAATATTTTGTTTGTGGCACCCCAACAGCAGTAAACATCAAGAATCACTGATCACAGATCATTATAACAGATGTAATAATAATGAAAAAATTTAAGATGGTATGAAAATTACCAAAATGTGACAAAGAGACACAGAGTGAGCACTGCTCACAGTGAGCCATGGTGTTGGAAAAGTGCTAATAGAATTGCTTGTTGCAAGGTTGCTACAAGCCTTCAATTTGTTAAAAAAAAAAAAAAAAAATGCAATATCTGCAAAGCACAATAAAGCAGAACAATAAAATGAGTTATGCATGTAATTCAATTTTAGTGAGATTTAGCTTCAAATGAACTAGTTTTTAGGGTGAAAACGAGAGCTTTCTGCCTTATGTCTGTGTTGTAGAATCATAAAATTAGTCAGCTTTTGTCTGACTTTTTCTGGCTTTAACCTCTACCTGCTGGAAGCCTTTATAAATACCACAGAATTTTCATCATATCTGACCTACTCAGAGATTAGAGTGCATCCCCTTCACGTAGTGAATCAATTCGCAAGCACCTGCATTGGCAGTTTTGTATCAGCTGCTTTCAGATGCTATTTTCTGTATGTATCTGGAGCAGACTTGGACTCTTAAATCTTCCGTAAATGACTGATGACAATGGTTAGAATTTCTAATTTTAACAAAGGACAAGGTGAAGTGGGTTTTACCTTTTTGTTTACTATAAATTATCTAAATTTTCAAGTAACCCCATTAATTGAATTTAATACGCTTTTTTTTTTTTTTTTTTTTTTTTTGTCCTAGGAAGCATTGTTGGCTTAAAAGGCAACTCTGGCCAGTCCGTTTACAGTGCCAGTAAAGGAGGATTAGTTGGATTTTCACGTGCTCTTGCTAAAGAGGTAGCAAGAAAGAAAATTAGAGTGAATGTAGTTGCACCAGGTTAGTGAAAACTTTATTAAAATAACTTGATTATGATTATTGTTTTATAGGGAAGCCATTATTTGGAACATTAGTAATTGACATCTGGGTAGAATAGTTTGTAAAATGATTGTGAAAAGAATCAAATAATGAACTGGGGGACTCAAAAAAATTTTTTGTACCTCATATTCTATATAAAGTCTATGTGTTAGCCTGTTTGCATTGCTCTAAAGGACTGTCTGAGGTAATTCATAAAAAAAAGAGGCTTATTTGGCTCTCGGGCCTGCAGGCTGTACAAGCATGACACCAACATCTGCTCAGCTTCTGGTGAGGCCCAGGAAACTTTTTTTCAGTCATGGCGGAAGGTAAAGAGGTAGCAGCCAAGTCATATGGGGATAGCAGGAGCAAGAGAGAGAGGAGGTGGCAGGCTCTAAACAACCAGCTCTGGCATGAACTAACAGTGAGAACTCATTATTTACCATGTGGAGGGCACCAAGCTATTCATGAGGAATCCGCCTCCATGACCCAAACACCTCCCGCTAGGCCCACCTCCAACATTGGGAATCACATTTCAACATGAGATTTGGAGGGGACAGACATCCAAACCATAAGAGTCTTTATTTTTAAATTTTGCACTAGTGGAATAACTTAAGGTGGAGAGGGTCTTAGAAATAATTTTTTCCAGTCATTTTTGTAGATTAGAAAACTGTACCTGGGATTCAGAGTGACTTGCCTAAGGTTACACAGCTAGTTTATGGAAGAACTGTTACTAAAAGCTTTGTCTTTTGATTTCCACCTAATGGGAGCTTAAAAATAATGTCCTACCAGGTATGGTAGCTCATGTGGGAGGCTGAGGCAGGAGTATTGTGAGGCCAGGAGTTCCAGATCAGCCTGAGCAACATAGCAAGATGCTGTCTGTACCGAAAAAAAAAAAAAAAAATTAGCTGGGTGTGGTGGTGCACACCTATAGTCCCAGCTATTTGGGAGGCTGAAGCAGGAGGATTGCTGGAGTCCAGGAGTTGGAGGTTGCAGTGAGCTATGATCATGCCATTGTACTCCAGCCTAGGTGACAGAGCGAGACCCTGTTGAGACCCTGTCTCTATAAAAATTAAAAAAAAAATTCTTTTTAGATTTTCTTTATATCATTACACAAACTTTAGATAGTTTTGTCCTTTTACTACTATGGTCTGTCTAAACTATCTGGAACCTCCCATTTTCCTAATTTTTACTTTTCCATTATTTGCCTTTCGCCAGGGTACTAGTTGATAAAATTGCCTGGATTAATGAAGAGGGTAATAAAAAGGTGCTAAAACTCAAAAATATATGATCACTAATTAGCTGGTGTGCTAGAAATTTTGATTAGGTATTTACTTGGTTTTTGAGTAACACAAGTGTTTTTATCTACCTCTGCCAGTTAGCCATGGAATCTTTGTCCTAGCCTACTGTAGGTACTTAAGAATTAATCACCTATATAAGAAAAGGCAGTTTATTTTGGTTTGCTGGTCCTTTGTAAGAAAGAGAGGGCTGAAGTAGACCTTTGCTACCTTTCCCTTTCCGGTCACTAATGGCTCCAGCTTGGACCTTACAGTTGGTGTTTTCTTTGGCACTGAAGTTGAGCCAGCAGGTATCAGGGATTTATCAAAATATCCTATTAACCCTTTTGGTCTATAGTGTGTCTTTATTTCAATTCTTTTCTTTTCTTTTTTTTTTTTCTCATAGCAACTAGCTACATTCAGACATTCTAAATCTATGAATATTTGATAAGTGACTGTGGTTCAGATACATCTATTTGCTGGGAGTAGGGAGAGAAAGAAAAAGAAAAAACAATCCAGAAGCAGCATTGTTGTTATCTTAGCACTGTTTTCTCTTTGTGTATGCTTTATGCAAGCTGATTGATTTTTAGCGTTAGCCTAGATGAACTATCTGTGGAATAAATTATTTGTGGTTTGGAACTACATGTATTTGCTTCCTTCTCTTTTCAGGATTGGAATACTGTGGGTAATGAAGGGTTAATTTTAGTTCATGATAATACAAAAGCTGAATGGTTTCGGGGAATGGAAGTGTACTTAGCTAACAATAACTCATGCAGCAAACTTTCTGGCATGTCTCCTACGTGTAGGGACTGAGCTAGCTCCCCAAATTACAGGAATGAATAAGATATTTCTGCACAAGGAGCTAAGTATAGTGAAAAAGACTGACATGTAAACAAATAATTGCAGTGTCATATGACGAATATAAAATAGAGGTACATATATGGTGCTATAGAAATGTTGAAGAAGGAAAGAATGCTTAATTTTGTCTAGTTTAGAGTAAATAGTTGTCAAGGCAGTAGACTAAATAGTGGGAATCCAGTTTGCATACTAAGGGGAAGTTTTAAGATTGTTATGGAAGTGTGGTTGTAGTCTTTCTTTCTTAAAGATTTTACTTTCCAGTGCAGTTTTTTTTTTTTTTTTTTGAAAGTGGTGGTTTTATTTATCACTCCCCTTTTTTGTTGAGCATACAACCCTTATAGAGCATAATATATATTTATATATTATGGATTTCCAGTGCAATTTATACTACAGATAAAAACCTGTAGCTGAAAATGTGGCCATTTAATAGAGTGGCCTTTATGTATATTTAGCAGATTTGATGGTATGAATATGCATCATTTGTCAGAAGCAAAGTGCAACTTGAAATAGTAGAATTAAATCAGTTCTGTGGATTACTTACCAACTTTATTTTAGATAGTAATTTCAACCAGATTCTTCAACAGATCTTGTAACACAGCTAACAAACATCACAGTTAACAAATATGTGTCCTTTTATGTCAGTTTTCCTGGTCACCTTCAAATGGAGTTTCCAATTAGCAGGAAAACAGTTTAAAAGCAAATTATAACAGGAAAAGCAAGGAACAAGGAAAATAATAAATTAGGCTGCGATTCATTGCCTAATACTGTTGACTTTTTAAAGATCAATAGCTGCTAATCTTTGGTATTACTTTAAATATAAAATAAACTGTTCATGGGAAATCATACTGATTGGAAGATATTGAATATTAGAAATAATATTTGATAAATGGAAACTGTAATGGCTGTATTACCTTAAAAAATATGTGTTTTGAATAGATAATACATATAGTACGAAATTCAAAAGTACAAAAAGGCATAAAGAGTCTTTTCTCCTCTGGACATTCAGTTACTTAAAAGTAGTTGCTGTTAACTACAAAGTTTCTTTTGTATTTCATATATAAGCCAATAAAGCATGCTGGGCATGAGTGTAAGAAAACACAAATTGTATCATGCAATTCACAGCTTTCTGTATCTTCCTTTATTCATAGAACAAGATACCTTGGTGATGTTTCTGTGTTATTCCATATAGAGCTGCTTCACTTTTTTAAATAACAGCTTTGTGGAAATACAATTCACATACCATACAATTCACCCATTTAAAGTTTACAATTCAGTCAATTCAGTGGTTTTAGTATAGTCCCAGAATTGTTCAATCTTCACCACAGTAAATTTTAGAACGTTTTCATCATCCTTAAAGAAATCCTAAACCCATTAACATTCATTCCCTATTTCTTTCCAATCTCCCCAGTACACTAAACTACTTTCTGTATCTACAGATTTGCATATTCTGGACATTTCATATAAATTGAATCATGTAATATTTGGTGTTTTGTGACTGTTATGTCACTTTTAATGACTGAATGAAAACAGAAAATGATGTTTGTTTTAAAGGTATACCTAATTTATTTAACCTGTTGCCTTTTGATGGACATTTAGTTTTGTTCTGAACTTTTTCTGTTACAACTAATGATGCAGTGACAATACTTGTATGGAGTTTATTTTGCACATTTGCAAGTATATGAGTGTAATCTTGGGACTGGAACTGCAAAGGCTTCAGAGGTATGTGCATTTTTAATTTTGACAAATAGTATTATGTTTATTTCTACAGGATACCTTAAGTGTTTCAGTACTTTATTTTTTAAGTTGAAGAGCTTTTATGTTTACTACTTGGAGAAAATCTTGTTGACAAAGATTTGCATGAGTTTGTTAGCTACTCAGAGAAGATATTCTAAGTGTTCTTATGTGCTGTTTGGAATGAAGTTGATTTCCCACTCTGCTTCCCTCTACAAATATAATATTAAGACATAGAAATTTGTTCTAGTTAAAATCTTGGTTTAGCTTTTTGGTAAGAGCCTTATTTCTTCTCCCTTAGAAAAGTGTTGGGTTGTTTTTGTTCTTTTTGAGTCCTAGAAACTTACATCAAAGAGTGGACATCTTATCTGGCAGATACATCAAATAGTGCCCCATCTCACAATTGTTAGTACTAGTGATAGGCTAAAATCCTGATGCCTTTTTAAATATAAAGGCTCTGCTGTATATAAAAATGTTGAAAACTAAAATAATGACCTAGGGATATGGAAATGAGGTGTTTCTATTTATAGTTTATAGCTAGTCAGAAATCGATAAAGGATATAATCTTTTTAAAAAAATTGTTTAAAAATTTTTTTGAGATGGGGTTTCATTCTGTTGCCTAGGTTGGAGTATAGTGGTGCAGTCTTGGCTCACTGCAGCCTAGACCTTCTGGGTTCAAGCGATCCTCCTGCCTCAGTAGTAGCTGGGATTACAGGCATAAGCCACCACACCTGGCCTATATCTTTAGAGTTTATCAAATATAAATCCTCATTGGGCAGGAGCCATGCATTTACCTTTTTGAGCAAGAGTGTCCCTGTTCCTAAAGAGTTCCTATAAAAATTGAACTGGGTTTTTAATCACATATATGGAACTAAACTAGAAGTATCTTTGCTCTAAATTGGTTTAATGCTTGTCATTTCAGTTATCTTTTCGTCGAGTTAAGAAGTGATAACTTTGTAGCCAATTGGAAACCTCTGACTGTCCAGGTGATGCAGTAGCATCATTTGTTGGACAGTGGCATCTACTGGTAGTCTGTAAATTTTATAGCCTAGTTTGAAAGGCATTGTTAATATATACCTAGCAAAAAGGGGAGTAGAGCACAATTTCCAGAATTTTATAAATGAAGTGAAAGAATGATATGGGGGAGAGTCCTTTGGGGCCAAGGAGAGAGAGCACAGACCGGAAAGTAATACAAGTAGTAAGAAGGGTGTGTGAGTTGTTTAAGGACTATTAATCTCTCTCTTCAGGTCTGTGATACATGATATGGAACCTAAGAGACCATTTATATGTCATGTCCTGGGTTGTGAATATATTTATAAATGAAGATCACGTGGTTCATAACCTTTAATATAAAATGACATGGAAGTTCCATACAGCCCAGAGTAATTTATCATTAGAGACTAGCTTTACATTTTTAATTTAATTTCTGATAAATTTTATTTAATTTCTGATAAAGTGGGGACAGATACATGAGTTTTAAAAAGCTACAGACAGATTATTAGGGCAGTAAAACTATTCTGTCTGCTACTGTAATGGTGGACACATGATATTATGCATTTGTCCAAACCTGTAGAACTGTACAGTCTAAAGAGTGAACCCTTAGCTTGTGAAGACAAAATGGTATTAATAAATGAATACATAAATATATAAAATAAAGAGTGAACCCTAATGTAAACTATGGACTTTACTTAATAATGTATCAATATTGGTTTATCAGTTGTAATAAATGTGCCACACTAAGGTAAGATGTTAGTAATGGGAAATGGAAAGGGGGGGGTGATGTGAAAAGGGGGTGCATGGGATCTATCTGAACGTTGTGTTCAATTTTTCTGTAAACCTAAAATTCCTCAAAAATGTAAAGTTTATAAATTTTTTAAAAAGCTACAGAAAATGAAGAGAGGCTCTTTGGACATGTTCATGTCCTCCATAGAAAATAACATAATCAAAGAGGAAAAACCAGCATTGGTGAATTCATCCCTTCCTTTCAACTTGGCCTCTCTCACCCACTTTACTTTTAGTGCAGAGTTCAGTGATGGCTAGCAGCTGTCCCCTGATATTTGTTATTCCAAGTATCCATTCATAGGTCTGGGGAGAGATTGTGGCAAGCTTTCCCTAAATAAATCACACCCTTATCTTCTAAGCTTGAGCAGTGGAGGGAGACTTTTCATTCGAGGTGGGTGGCTGAACATCATCATTCCTGTTCTGGACTTCTTGTAATCATGTTGGATTCAGAGGGCACCACTCTCTCTTGTACAGATCTGACCTAACATAGACATAGACTATAGCAGAGATGAATCCAGGCTATAACATTTAACAAGACCTTATTAAAAGCTTCAAGATGTTAGCCTTTATCTGTTCCATATCTAGCTTACTTGGTTGTTTTTGGGGGATCACATGTCTGTCCTCCAAACTGGAAACGTCTAACTCTCCAGGAGATGCAGTAGCATTATTTGTTGGACAGTGGCACCTACTGGTAGTTTGTAATGTTTATAGCCTAGTGTGAAAGGCATTGTAAATGTATACCTAGCAAAAAGGGGAGTAGAGCAAAATTTCCAGAGTTTTACAAATGAAATGAAAGGATGATATGGGGGAGAGTCCTTTGGGGCCAAGGAGAGAGAGCACAGACTAGAAAGTAATACAAGCAGAAAGAAGGATGTCAGCCCATGTCTGTGTGGTAGAGGTCATCTTTCCATCTCACTGGGATTGTCCCTGAAAGTGTCTCACTGCTTAGGTCTCCTTGCCTGTCTAAGGCTTGGAGACCTTCCAGTATCTCATGCCTTATTCTAGATCTGCTTTTTTCCCCGAGGTGAAAAAACCTGTTCAAATGGTCACTCACAACTTTTGTGGCCTTACTTTTTGTCTCCGAAAGGACAAACATATCAGAACTAACATCCACCCAGAAGAAGGGCTGATCAGTTCCTTTCAACACAGCATGGATGAAAACCCAGGTTAGCGTTAGTGCTTCTTGAATTGGAAGTATTCTAACCTCTATGTACCTACCAATGTAAGAACTGAGGGCCCTTTTAAGGGAACTTACATTCCTAAAGTTCAAGTCAAGTTGTCATGAAGAGTACTTAATGAGGCATACTTTTAATCTTTGAATCGTAGTGTTGTAGGGCTAAAAGAAACCTCAGGCCAGGCTGCATGGTGGCTCACGCCTGTAATCCCAGTACTTTGGGAGACCAAGGCAGGCTGATCACCTAAGGCCAGTAATTTGAGACCAGCCCAACCAACCTGGTGAAACCCTGTCTCCACTAAAAATACAAAATTAGCCTGGTGTGGTGATGCATGCGTGTAATCCTAACTACTCGGGAGGCTAAGGCAGAAGAATTGTTTGAACCCGGGAGGCGGAGGTTTCAGTGAGCTGAGATCATGCCATTGTACTCCAGCCTGGGTGACAGGAGCCAAACTCCGTCTCAAAAAAAAAAAAAAAAAAAAAAAAAATTAGCCAGGCGTGGTGGTAGGCGCCTGTTGTCCCAGCTGCTGGGGAGGCTGAGGCAGGATAATTGCTTGAACCTGGGAGGCAGAGGTTGCAGTGAGCCGTGATTGTGCCACTGCACTCCAGCTTGGGTGACAGAGCCAGACTGTCTCAAAAGAAAAAAAGCAAAAAAGAAAAAACAGAAAAGAAACCTCAGAGATCTGTCATTTTCCACCTATTACATTCATTTTATGATACAGAAATGGTCATTCAGTTGCAGATAGTACATGACTGTTGGGATCAGGCCCCCAAATCTGGCCATAAACTGGCCCCCAAACTGGCCATAAACAAAATCCCTGCAGCACCGTGACCTGTTTGTGATGGCCATGACACCCATGCTGAAGTTTGTGGGTTTACCGGAATGAGGGCAAGGAACACCTGGCCCACCCAGGGTGGAAAACCGCTTAAAGGCGTTCCTGAACCACAGACAATAGCATGAGCGATCTGTGCCTTAAGGGCTTGCTCCTGCTGCTGATAACTAGCCAGACCCATCCCTTTATTTCGGCCCATCCCTTTGTTTCCCGTAAGGAATACTTTTAGTTAATCTATCATCTATAGAAAGAATGCTTATCACTGGCTTGCTGTCAGTAAATATGTGGGTGAATGTCTGTTTGAGGCTCTCAGCTCTGAAGGCCGTGAGACCCCTGATTTCCCACTCCACACTATATTTCTGTGTGTGTCTTTAATTCCTCTAGTGCTGCTGTGTTAAGGTCTCCGTGACCGAGCTGGTCTTAGCACGTGACTTTTCTCGGGTGATAGCTTTAATAGTATCAGCAGAGCAGGGAACAGAATCTAGTTTAATGTGTCCTAATCCAGTGGTTTTTTTTAACCACAAAATACTGCCTTTGAGAAAAGGCCAGGCCAGCAGAGTCAGAAGTTGAGCCTGGGATTTGCATAGTCACAAGGTCTTTCTTGCAAACCATTTCTACTGTAGTTTATTGTGTTTTTCTGTTTTTGTTTTTTGGGTTAAAATGCATCGATTTTTATGCTGACAGTTTGTGAGAGTTACTGGGAAGTATTCTATGCTAATTTTGCTAGAGTTTGAAAAGAACTTAAAGGATAATTGTGTCTATCTTTGAGAAGATAACATGAACTTTTACATGTTTTTGACAATTTTTATTCATTCTGCTTTTATTACAAGTGTGAGATGAGGTTTTCTTCCTAGGATACTCTCTGAGGCACTTTTGAAAATACTTTTGTTGGCTGGGCACAGTGGCTCACGCCTGTAATCCTAGCACTTTGGGAGGCTGAGGTGGGTGGATCACCTGAGGTCAGGAGTTCAGGACCATCCTGGCCAACCTGGTGAAACCCCGTCTCTACTAGTAATACAAAAATTAGCTGGGCATGGTGGCGTGTGCCTGTAGTCCCAGCTACTGGGGAGCCTGAGGCAGGAGAGTCGCTTGAACCCAGGAGGCGGAGGTTGCGGTGAGCCTAGATCGCACCACTGCATTCCAGCCTGGTGACAGAGTGAGACTCTTGTCTCAAAAAAAAAAAAAAAAGGAAAATACATGTGTCTAAAGACAGAAAACTTTGGACAGCGAGAACCCCCATGATATTGTTCTTAAGCTGATTGGATTGCCTGTTGATTATTGTGGCTCTTCACTGTAAATTAAGTTTCATTTATAGTTTGTTGGAAATTCTGCAGAGGCTAGTATCAATATCTGTGTTAGCTGCTTCTCCTTTTATTCTTGCATTCCTTCTGGCCTTCTCATTCTTCTTAAAGATGAGAGGATATGAAGGAAATATTGCTGACTTTTAAAATAAATGTGGTAAGATGTTATGGCAGAGAAGACTGTATTTCACTGTGTAATTTCACAGTGAAACATACATAATACAAAATTAGTTTTGTTATTCCAGGCCTTCATTACAGACTATCTGAAGGTAGTACTGTGTGCATTTTTTCAACAACTTTTTATCTGAATACAAAAATAATATATATATCTGTTGTAGACAGTTTGGAAAGAGCAGAAAAATATAAAGAAAATAAAAATCATTACCTGTAATTCTAGTATCTAATGATAATCACTGTTAATATTTTGGTATATAGTACTTTTTTCAGTCATTAGTATAAGTTCTTTGTTGTGTTTTTAATAGTGGTATAACTTAATTCATTTGTAACCTACATTTTATACACAAATGTTACTTTCAGATTTAAGTATCCTTCTATAGCATAATTTTTATTTTTTATTTTTATCTTATTCATTTATTTGTATAAATACAAATGAATGCAGGTGCAGATGCAGTTTGGTTATATGCATAGATTTCATAGTGGGAAGTCAGGGCTTTTAGGGTATCTGTCACCTGAATAACACCCATTGTACCTATTAGGTAATTTCTTATTCACCTCTGTCCCACCCTCTCACCCTTCTGAATCTCCATTGTGATCACATCCATGTGTACACATTCTTTAGCTCCCAGTTACAAGTGAGAACATATAGCATTATTTTTAATACCTGCATTATTCTGTTGTATGGCTGTATCATAACTTATTTAACCAGTTTCTTATTGAAAGACATTCAGCTTGTTTCAGTTTTTTCCTAATGAAAGTGTCATTCATAAGCTTCATGATAGACAAATCTGTGAATATTTTTCACAAGACTTTTAAGAAAATGCGTAGATATTTATAACTGCAAACCTAAAGAAAGGAAAGTTAAGTAATTACATAGTATTGCATAATAAACCAATGGCCTAATGTTAATTCTTAATTCATTGTTTACTTCACATTTATTATGGTACTTTAAAAGGTAATATATTTAGGTTTATCTATAGTTTGAGCTATAAATGATTTAGTTTTAACAGGCAATTTGAAAACTGTATTTTTGAGATTGCACATTAAATGTTTACTTCACACGTCATGTTGAAGTTTTAGTCCATCTATTTTTCATGACCTTAAAAATTTTTTTCTATTCTTTTCATGAGGATTAATATTGCTTTCTTTTTAAAAACCCAAATGATTGAGTAATATACAGGATACTGATTATATGGGCTAAGCATTTTATTAATACGTATTTGTATGTCCTGTATTAATCTTGTAAGATTTTCTTCATAAGTCTACAGTTCTCCCTGGTATGTATTTGTAGTTATTTAGGATTGGTTGGTTATATATTATGTAGTTAGTTCTTTATACTGTAGAACCTAATACATTCTTTAGAACATTTTCTTGGCAGGCTTTACTGAATTTGAATTTTCTATGTTTACTTGTATCAGAATTGGATATGACCGTAAGATTTTAAAATCCAGATATGGGAAATACTGGCCTTTCTAATCATCAGCTACCAAATCAGTTCATGTGACCACTTTTGTGATGCCTTCCTTCCCTTGACACTACTTTCTACTTTTCTATCCCTACCTAAGTGAAAATTAATGTATTCTATGATATTTTATATATACTTCTATCAGGATATTCACCAGACTTCTTTACGTTATAATCGGGTGTGCAAGTGACCATTTCCTCCACAAATCATAGGTTCCCCAAAGAGTGGAATTTTGTTTTATTCATGTTTGTGTCTACCTACTTATATTTTGCTAGGTGGGCCAGATACTTGGGGGTCAGATATTTTAGTGTCCAATAAATATTCATTGAGTTAAATTGTATAAAAATGTAGGCTTGGTGTCTTGATTACTAACAAAACTATTTTGTTTTGTTTTGCTTTTTTTGAGATGGAGTTTCACTCTTGTCGCTGAGGCTGGAGTGCAGTGACACAATCTCGGCTCACTCCAACCTCCACCTCCCAGGTTCAAGCGATTCTCCTGCCTCAGCCTCCTGAGTAGCTGGGATTACAGGCGTCCACCACCACCCCCAGCTAATTTTTTGTATTTTTAGTAGAGACGGGGTTTCACCATGTTGGGCAGGCTGGTCTCGAACTCCTGCCCTCAGGTGATCTGCCCACCTCGGCCTCCCAAAGTGCTGGGATTACAGTCATGAGCCACTGCACCTGGCCAACAAAACTATTTTATATAAACAAGGTTTATTAATAATTTCAAATTATAGGGTGGGTATGGTGGCTCATGCCTGTAATCCCAGCACTTTGGGAGGCTGAGGTGGGCCGATCCCTTGAGTCCAGAAGTTTGAGATCAGCCTGGCCCAACTCTACAAAAAGTACAAAAACTAGCCAGGTGTGGTGGTGCATGCCTATAGTCCCAGCTACTTGGGAGGCTGAGGCAAGAGGATCACCTGTGCCCCAGAGGTCCAGGCTGCAGTGAGTCGTGTTTGCACCACTGCATTCTAGCTTGGGTGACAGAGTGAGACCCTGTCTCAAAAAAAAATTTTTTTTTAAATAATTTCAAATTAAAATTTTCAGAAACAAATTTATTATTTTTTTTGAAATTCAGCAGATGTCTTAGTGTGTACCCTTTTCAACTAAACAAACATTTCTCTTTTAGGATTTGTACACACAGATATGACGAAAGACTTGAAAGAAGAACATTTAAAGAAAAATATTCCTCTTGGGAGGTTTGGAGAAACTATTGAGGTGGCACATGCGGTTGTGTTTCTTTTAGAATCACCGTATATTACAGGGCATGTTCTGGTAGTGGATGGGGGATTACAACTCATTTTGTAATTTGCAGATTATTCAGTTATAGGGGTGATTAGCATCAAGGGCACACTTTGGCTACTGATTAGACAATTATACCTACATGGGTAACATGTGCTAATCAAACCTGCTGATGCTACAAATGTTAATTTCTGTCTTTATAAAAATATGTCTCAAAAGAACAATGTGTGACAAATTGTGGTTTTTTTTTTTTTGGTCTAAGTTACATCAGTGTTGTTTTGTTTAAAAAGCCTTCATGAGATACAATTCACATACCATATAATCACACATTTAAAATACACAATTCAGTGGTTTTAACATATTTAAATACATGTGCAATCATCCCCCCAGACAAATTGTGTTTTCTAAAGGATGTGTATCACTTACCTTTGGTTACCTCATAGACTGTAGCAATCTTAGTGTATAGACATTTTGCAAGTCATATAAACAAGTATTGATTTATATATTTTGTCTCAAAAGTGGAAAAATTATATTGTCTAATTATGATGAATTATTTTCTTGTATCAAGCTGAATTTTCTAAAAGTTAACCTTGTGGGCTGTTGCCAAAATAAGAGTATTTAGAGGACACTGATTAGTTGTCAATACTTTAGCAAGCCCACTAAAGATAACTATATTCCTTTTGCATGTGCTTGGGTGATCAGTTTTTATACAGGTTGCAAAACATAGTATTCATTAAAGACATGAATTTAGAATTGATTTCTTTGAGTGGTATTTCTCTTGATTGAGCAGCTAGACAAAATAATCTGCAAATTTAAATGTGGCGCATTTGACTCATTCTTGAGAAATTCTCATAAGTGAAGAGGATTAGCCCTTAAGGTTTTAATACCTGGTACAGTAGTGAACCGCACAGATTTCATGAACTTAGGATGTGTTTTTTATTCATGAAAAACTTAGAATAGTGAACTATTAATATTTAAAAACGAGAAATACAACATTTAAAAAATTAAGAGTATTTTGCATTAGTGATTATGATTCTTATCCCAAAATTCTAGAAAGTAATAAATTCTGTATGAATAAGCATAAAAAATAAATAAATATGCAATAACATTAAATTAAATGTCTTTACAAGAAGCAGTGAAGGCACTGGTCTTAAGTGAGAATATTTGCCTGGGAGTAGAGATAAAGACACAAACCGAATGTGAAATACCAGGTAATAATTATTTTGCATTAAACTCTTTTTATCGGGAATAGTATGATATTTTCAGTGTCACTCCATTCATGTTGATTTGGAGCTGACAGTTATTTTGTGTAAGCAGAGATTTAATTTTATATTGAAAGTCAGTGCAAAATTATGAATAGGATATACTAATAAATACAAAGTAATAACAAAAGTCAAAGCAGTGTTCTAAATAAAAATTCTGGGTTCCTTAAAAATTATTTTAAATTTATCTTTGAAATAGTTTTCTTAGATTAATCTCAGGATATGAGAAAGTCAATTAAGTGTGAGTAAAGTTAGTATCATTAAACAAATTGTCTATTAAATGCAAGACGTGGTAATATACAGAATTTATCAGGCATTACCAAGTCTAGGCACATATAGGAAATGCAGCACTCAGAATGGTTTCAATGTAGTAGTTGATGCTTGTAAGGTAGGGGAGCTTATTCAGACATAGTAGATAGTTTCTCTAATGCTGTCTCAATTGCTGGCCTTTGGCTACCTGTACTTCCCCATTATGGCAGCCCATTCAGTCTTGAGTTTTCTTCTCTGGACACCTTATGCTCTGAAATCATGAGCGAGGCTGATTCAATTGGTGATTTGGGTAGAAAGCAGTATGTTTTGCTGACATTAAGATGTAGGTTATAGATAGGTTTAGCCTTTAAGTGTATGTTTTTATACTTTAAAATAAGAAATATAACCTTTTAAGCTATTCCACCTCCTCCCCCAGCCTATCTCAAACTGGTGGAATATATGGAGAGATCTTGAAAGAGGTAAAATAAACCTTCACTGCTCCACTCCAGGTGAATCCGCCCACTCCCACTGACCTAGTAGAATTTGTAATTTAATACTTACCTTCTATTTCTGAAATCAGTTGTGAACTGTTGCCTTATGTTCAGAGGTTTAAGAACCTCAGTGAATTCATTTTTTAAAATCTGCTATTCTGAGAAGCATTGAATGAATTCTTAACAAGAAGACTCATCTGTAGCTGTTTGCTGACTCCTATGAGCCCATAAGGGTTCTGTGCTTAGCATTAACAAAATAAGGTTTATAGGTAAAGCCAATGTATTAATTTTTTTTTGCATGGAGGGCTTTAAAATTTGTGCTCTTTTTCATATTTTATTCATATTCAATTTATGGTTTGTAACTGCTTTTTAGGGAGATAATTATATGTTATAAATTAGTTTTGGGGGGAATAATTGTGCAAAGAGGATAATTTAATTTACGTGCTTCTGTTATTCAGAATAAAGAGAGAAGACTACGCTGCATATTCAAGAGTTGTACCTTAACATTGGTGAAACATTTTTTCTAAGATTTTCAAAAGGAATATGTGTAAATTGAGAAATCATAACCACTGTCCTAACTTGGTAAACAAACTGTTCTTAAATAAAGTATTTAATGATTTTAAACTTTCTGATGTTAATTTTATCTTTCTCTGCAACTATAAGAGTAGAGTTTAAAAATTTGTCTTTCAATTCAATTGTAAAACTTTTGAGGGAAGAGACCATACTGTGTTCATTCATTTAGCTAATTAAGTAACTCAACAGATACTGAGTGGGTACTAAATATTTTGTATTTGTTTTGATACCCACACCTTGCCTACTCATCTCTGAGTATATTGGATATATGCAGTAAAATATTCTTTAGTCATTACATTGTGCCATAGTTGGGGAGATCATTGAGATAAATCTGTTCTGACTCTCAGTTCATATCTTGGAATATTTCTTGATCAGATTCCTTTGGCTTTTTATGCGACTTTGATGCTTGCTTTCACTTTATAACTGAATTTGCAAAGTGAATCGACTATTTTCTCTTAGGCAGTATGCTTTCAGTTTGAGTAATTGTTAATACCAGCAATTTAATTAGAAAGCTTTGGCCTAATAATCCAAATGGAGATGGTATCAGTATTACCTGCAGAATATTTTTAAAAATAAATTTGAAACATACATCAGGAGACCCCCTCCCTGGAAATTTGAATAAGTGGTAGGCAGGGTGAGGGAAATGTGGAGATACATTTAAGACACTTATTTATTTATTTAATTAAATTAATTTATTTTGAGATAGGGTTTTGCTGTGTTGCCTCGGCTGGAGTGCAGTGGCATGATCACAGCTCACTGCCATCTCCAACTCCTGGGCTCCAATGATTTTCCTGCCTTAGCCTCCCAAGTGGCTGAGACAACAGGTATTAACCCTGCGTGACTAATTTTTTATATTTTTTTGTAGAGACAAGGTCTCACTGTGTCACCCAGGCTGGTCTTGAACTCCTGGCCTCAAGTGGTCCTCCTGCCTTGGCCTCTGAAAGTGCTGGATTACAGGCGTGAGCCACCATGCCCGGCCAGGAAAAATTCTTAAGTATTCAGATTGTTCATTCATTCACGAAATATTTATTTATTCATACTACATATGTAACACTGCTAGTAATAGGAGGTAGAATGGTGACAAAAAAACAACAAAAAACCGAACTCGAAGTTTCTGGAGCTCACAGAGTAATACAGTATGGTGGGGTCAAGCAGACTTAATCACACACATATAAAATTGCAACCAAAATATGCATTATAAAAATGAGAAGCTCTTATTGCTATTAAATAATTAGGGGAATTTGACCTATTCTAGAAGGTCAGGAATGGCTTCTCTGAGGCAAGGATTGTTGAACTAAAGTTAGAGTACAGTTGGCCCTCAGTATCTTTGGGGATTGGTTCCAGGATCCTCTGAGAATACCAAAATCTGTGGATGCTCAAGTCCCTTACATAAAATGGTGTAGTATTTGCATATAGCTTATGCATATCCTCCCATATACTTTACATCATCTCTAGATTACTTACAATATCTAATGCAATGAAAATAGCTGTTATATTGTTTTTTATTTGCATTATTTTTAATTGTTCTTATTTTTATTGTTCCCCCCCCGGATATTTTCTTTTTTTTCCTTTCCAACTTTATTTTAGATTTAGGGGGTACATATGTAGGTTTGTTATATGGGTAAATTACATGTCACAGGGGTTTGGTGTACAGATAATTTTGTCACCCAGGTCATCAGCATAATACCTGATAGGTAGTTTTTCAATCTTCTCCATCCTCCCACCCTCCACTTTCAAGTAGGCCCCAGTGTGTATTGTTCCCTTTTTTGTGTCCATGTATACTCAGGGTTTAGCTCCCACTTATTCTAAATGAATTAATGCAGGAACAGAAAACCAAATGCCACATTTTTGCATGTGGTATTAGGATACTTAGGATAATGGCCTCCAGCTCCATTCATGTTGCTGCAAAGGTCATGATCTCATAATCTAATTTTTTTTTGTAGCTGTGTTGTATTCCATGGTGCATATGTACCACATTTTCTTTATCCAGTCCACTATTGATGGGGATCTAGGTTGGTTCCATGTCTTTGCTGTTGTGAACAGTGCCGCAATGAGGGCATGAGTCTTCATGGTAGAATAATTTATATTCCTTTGGGAATATATGCAGTAATGGGATTGCTGAATCAAATGGTAGTTCCATTTTAAGTTCTTTGAGAAATCTCCAGACTGTTTTCCACAGTGGCTGAACTAATTTATATTCCACCAGCAGTGTATAAACGTTCTCTTTTCTCCACAACCACCAGCATCTGTTGTTTTTTAGCTTTTTTAATAATAGCCAATCTGAGTGGCGTGAGATGGTATCTCATGTTGGTTTTGATTTGCATTTCCTTAGTGTTTAGTGATAGTGAGCATTTTTTCGTATGCTTGTTGGCTGCACGTATGTCTTCTTTTGAGAAATGTCTGTTCACATCCTTGCCCATTTTTTAATGTTGTCATTTTTTGCTTGTTCATTTGAGTTCCTGATAGATTCTGGATGTTAGACCTTTGTTGGATGCATAGTTTGCAAATATATTCTCCCATTTTGTAGGTTGTCTGTTTACTCTGTTGATAGTTTCTTTTGCTATGCAGAAACTCTTTAATTATGTTCCACTTGTCAGTTTTTCTTGCATTTGCTTTTGGAATCTTCATCAAGTTTTTACCTGGGCCCATGTCCAGAATGGTATTTCTTAGGTTTTCTTCTAGGGTTTTTGTAGCTTTAGGTTTTACATTTAAGTCTTTAATGCGTCCTGAGTTGATTTTTGTGTATGGTGAAAGGCAGGGGTTCAGTTTCAATTTTCTGCATATGTCTAGCCAGTTATCCCAGCACCATTTATTGAATAGGAAGTCCTTTCCCCATTGCTTGTTTTTGTCGACTTTGTTGAAGATTTGATAGTTTTAGGTGTGCAGCTTTATTTCTGGATTCTCTAACCTATTCCATTGGTCTGTGTGTCTGTTTTTGTGCCAGTACAATGCTGTTTTAGTTACTGTAGCCTTTTAGTATATTTTGAAGTTGAGTAGTGTGATGCCTCCAGCTTTGTTCTTTTTGCTTAGGATTGCTGTTGCTATGACTCTTTGGCTCTTTTTTGGTTCCAAATGAATTTTAGAATGGTTTTTTGTAATTATGTTAAAAATGTCATTGGTAGTGTGATAGGAATAGCATTGAATCTGTAAATTGCTTTGGGCATTGTGGCCATTTTAACAATATTGATTCTTCCTATCCATGAGCATAGAATATTTTTTTTTCATTTGTTTGTGTTGCTTCTGATTTTTTCAGCAGTGTGTTATAATTCTCATTGTAGAATTGCTTTACCTCTCTGGTTAGCTGTATTGCTAAGTATTTTATTTGTGTGGCTATTGTGAATGGAATTGCCTTCTTTATTTGGCTTTCAGCTTGGATATTATTTGTATAGATAAATACTACTGATTTTTGTACATTGATTTTGTATCCTGAAACTTTCCAGAAGATGTTTATCAGATCTAGGAGCCTTTGGGCATAGACGATAGGGTTTTCTAGTATAGCATTACATCATCTGTAAAGAGAGATCATTTTACTTCCCCTCTTCCTATTTGAATGCACTTTATTTCTTTCTCTTGCCTGATTGCTCTGGCTAGGACTTATAATATTATGTTGAATAGGAGTGGTGAGAGTGGGCATCCTTGTCTTGTTGCAGTTCTCAAAGGGAATGCTTCCAGCTTTTACCTGTTCAGTATGATATTGGTTATGGGTTTGTTTAGATGGCTTTTATTATTTTGAGGTATGTACCTTTAATGCTTAGTTTGTTGAGGGTTTTTAAGATGAAGAGATGTTGAATTTTACCTAAAGCCTTTTCTCTGTCTCTTGTGAAGATTATGTAGTTTTTGTTTTTAGTTCTGTTCATGTGATAATCACATTTATTGATTTGCCTATGTTGAATTAACCTTGCATCCCAGGAATAAAGCATACTTGATCATGGTGGATTAGCTTTTTCATGTGCTGCTGGATTTGTTTTGCCGGTATTTTGTTGAGGATTTTTGCATCTATGTTCATCAGAGATACTGGCCTAAAGTTTTCTTTTTTTTCATTATGTCTGTGCCAGGTTTTGGTGTCAGAATGATGTTTGCCTCACAGAATGAGTTAGGAAGGAGTCCCTCCTTGACTTTTTGGAATAGTTTCAGTAGAATTGGTACCAGTTCTTTTTACATCTCGTAGAATTCAGCTGTGAATCTTTCTTGTCCAGGGCTTTTTCTAGCTGGTAGGATTTTTATTACTGATTTACTCACTGTTTGTTATTTGTCTGTTCGGGGTGTCAATTTCATCCTGGTTCAATCTTGGGAGATAATATGTTTAAGAATTTATCCATTTCTTCTAGGTTTTCTAGTTTATGTGCATAGAGGTGTTTGTAATGGTCTCTGAGGATTAAAAAAAATTTCTATGGGGTTGGTGGTAATGTCCCCTTTGTCATTTCTGATTGTGTTTCTTTGGATCTTGTCCCTTTTTAAAAAAATTAGTATAGCTAGCAGTCTATCAATCTTATTTATTCTTTTAAAGAACCAACTTTTGGTTTTGTTAATCTTTTGTATGGTTTTTCTCATCTATTTCATTCAGTTCAGCTCTGATTTTGGTTCTGTTCTTCCGCTAGCTTTGGAGTTGGTTTGTTCTTGTTTTTCAGGTTCCCTAGGTGTGATGTTAGGTTGTTAATTTGAGATCTTTCTAACTTTTTGATGTATGTGGGCATTTAGTGCTGTGAACTTTGCTTTTGACACTACTTTAGCTGTGTCCCAGAGATTTTCATATGTTGCATCTTTGTTTTAATTAGTTTCAGATAATTTCTTGATTTCTGCCTGAATTTCATTGTTTACCCAAAAGTCATTCAGGAGTAGATTGTTTAATGTCCATTTAATTGTATGTTTTGAGAGATCTTGTCAGTATTGATTTCTGTTTTTACTGTGCTGTGGTATGAGAGTGAGGTTGGTATGATTTTGGTTTTTTGAATTTGTTGAGAATTGCTTTATGGCCCAGTGTGTAGTCAGTTTTAGAGTATGTTCCTTGTGCAGATGAGAAGAACGTATATTCTGTTGTTTTTGAGTGGAGTGTTCTGTAGATGTTTGTTAGGTTCATTTGGTCAAGTACCAAGTTTAGATCCTGAATATCTTTGTTAGTATTCTGCCTCAGTGATCTGCCCAGTACTTTCAGTGGGATGTTGAAGTCTCCTACTATTAGTTTATGGTTATCTACATCTCTTTGTAAGTCTCTATGAACTTGTTTTATGAATCTGGGTGCTCCAATGTTGACTGCATATATATATATTTAGGATAGTTAAGTCTTGTTGAATTGAACCTTTTTATCATTATGTGATGCCCTTCTTTGTCCTTTTTGATCATTGTTGGTTTAAAGTTGGTTTTGTCTGGAATAAGAATAGCAACCCCTGCTCCTTTTTGTTTTCCATTTGCTTGATAGATTTCTTCCATCCCTTAACTTTGAGCATGTGAGTGTCCTTCTATGTGAGATGGTCTCTTGAAGACAGCATACAGTTGGGTCTTGCTTCTTTATCCCGTTTTCCATGCTGTGCTTTTTAAGAGGTGCATTTAACCTGTTTACATTCAAGATTAATATTGTTATGTGTGGAATTTATCCTGTCATCATGTTATTAGCTGATTGTTATGTAGACTTGATTGTATTATTATATTTGCTTTATAGTGTTAATAGAGTGTGTACTTGAGTGTGTTTTTGTGGTGATCAGTAATGGTCTTTCATTTTCATATTTAGTACTGTCTTATGGACCTCTTGTAAGGCAGACCTGGTGGTAACAAATGCCCTTAGCATTTGCTTGTCTGAAAAGGATTTAATTTTTCCTTCACTTATGAAGCTTAGTTTGGCTGCATATGAAATTCTTGGTTGGAATTTCTTTTCTTTAAGGATGCTGAATATAAGCCCCAAATCTCTTCTGGCTTGTAGTGTTTCTGCTGAAAGTTCTGTTGTTAGCCTGATGGAGTTTCCTTTGTATATGACCTACCCTTCTCTTTCAGGGATGCTAATGAGTCATAGATTTGGCATCTTTACATAATTCCATATTTCTTGGAGGTTTTGTTCATTTAAAAAAATTCTCTTTATTATCTGACTGAGTTAATTTGAAGAACTGTTCTTTGAGCTCTGAGATTCATTCCCCAGCTTGATCTGTTCTGCTATTAATACTTCTGATTGTTATGAAATTCTTATAGGCAGGTTTTCAGGTCTATCAGCTCAGTTTGGTTCTTTCTTTTCTTTATTTTTATTTTATTTTTTTGAGACTGAGTCTCATTCACTCTGTTGCCTAGGAGTGCAGTGATGCGATCTCGGCTCACTGCTACCTCTGCCTCCTGGGTTCAAGCAATTTTCCTGCCTCAACCTCCCGAGTAGCTGGGATTACAGGCATGCACCACCAAGCCTGGTAATTTTTGCATTTTTAGTAGAGACTGGGTTTCACCATGTTGGCCAGGCTGGTCTTGAACTCCTGACCTCAAGCAATCCATCCACCTCGGCCTCCCAAAGTGCTGGGATTACAGGTGCGAGCCACCACGCCTGGCCTGGTTCTTTCTTAAAATGGCTATTTTCATATTTTTATCTTTTGAATTGTTCTACTGGATTCCTTAGATTCCTTGGAATGGGTTTCAGTTGTCTCCTGAATCTCGATAATCTTAATTGCCATCTAGATTCTGAATTCTGTGTCTGTCATTTCAGCCATTTCCTTCTGGTTAAGAATCAGTGTTGGGGAGCTAGTGTGGTCATTTGTAAATAAGGAGACTCTTTGGCTTTTAGAGTTGCCAGAGTTATTGCACTGGCTGTTTCTCATCTGTGTGGGCGCTAATGTTCCTTTAATCATGGTGTAACTTGACTGTAGTCACTTGCCTTCATTTCTGGATGTTTTCAGAGAGCCAACTCTGTTGAATTCTTTTTTCTTTCTTTTTTTGAGATAGAGTCTTGCTCTGTTGCTTAGGCTGGAGTGTGGTGGCATGATCTCAGTTTACCACAACCTCCATCTTCCAGGTTCAAGTGATTCTTCTGCCTCAGCCTCCCGAGTAGCTGGGATTACAGGCATGTGCCACCACACCTGGCTAATTTTTGCATTTTTAGTAGAGACAGGGTTTCACCATGGTGGCCAGGCTGGTCTTGAACTCCTGACCTTGAGTGATCTGCCTGCCTCTGTCTCCCAAAGTGCTGGGATTACAGGCGTGAGCCACCACACCTGGTCTATTTGTGGCTGAATTCTTGTCTGTGTTTTCATAGGCGGTATATTAGCAAAGTATTTTTGGTGTTGAAGTTTGGGCTGTGATGTGTTTAAGCATACTGGCCAGTAGGTAGGCTCTTGCTCAGCCCTGTGGCTCCTTTGTATTTCCTTCCATTTGCAGTCATGTACCTTCTCAGTGCTCCAAGTGAGCCTCCTCTCAAGTGGGAGAGGAGGGTGTGGGCTCCTCTCCCACTTGAGTGCTGCAGACCTCAGCTTGGTACTCCCAGGCTTGGCACTGCAGCCCTGGGGCAAGCCAGACTTTTTGTTCTCTTTCCGTCTTGGGGGTAGCAGAGAGGGGGACCTTGGCAGTGTCAGTGGTAGAGGGCTTTTCATGTGTCTCTTTTGGTTGCACCCCAGGGATATACATAGCCATTGTCCATCAGAATAATCATCCCAGTGTGTTGTGGGCCCAAGCTGGGGGGGCCCTGCCTGGTGAAGAGCAGGGGAATTGGGGGCTCACAGGGAAGACAGACTAGCCTCTTCATAGGGCAGCTGCTGCATGCTGGAGGTGAGAGTAAGGCACTCAGGGTCTTTCTTTCTTCCCCAGTCTGAGGGTAGTTAGCAAGGGCAGTACCATTGCAGTGGCAGTGGCAGAGGAGCTGTCAGTTGCCTGTGGGAGCTCCGCCCCTGGGAAATGCAGAGCCACTGCGAATGGGAATATTCAGCTGGGGGTGGGGCAGCTGCTCTGGGGGCCAAAGCCAGAGGCCCTACATGGTGAAGAGTAGGCGGTGGGGGCTCATAGGGAAGAGAGACTGGTTCCTCTCCCTGTGGTGGCTGCGACATGCTGGAGGTACCAGTGAAGCAACCAGGCTCTTTGTTCGTTCTGCAGCCCAAGGGCAGCTAGGGCCGTACCGCTGAAGCCCCGCAATGGCAGAGGGTTGTCTCTGGGATTTCCCCACCAGGCAAACACAGAGCTGCCACTGACTGATCAGGCGGGGGCTGGGTGGCTGTGCTGGGGGCCCAGTCCAGGAGGCCCTGTGTAGTAAGGAGTAGCACATGGACAGGGACCTGTGTGGAAAACAGTCTGGTTGCTTTTCTATAAAGGAGCTGTGCTGTGCTGGGGGCCTGTGATAGTCCTTAAGCTCTTCTTTCCATTCCAAGCCAGAGGGCAGTAGGGTCAGGGGCTGCAGTAGTGGCAAAAAATGGCGGGCCTGCCTGCTGCCACTGGGAACTCCATCCTAGGGAAGTGCAGAGCTACTACCAGCTGAGAGCTCAGTGGGGGTGGGGTGACTGTGCTTGGGGTGTGGGAGCAGGGAGGGGGGCTTGTTGGGGGCAAGTCTGAAGGCCCTGCCCAAGGAGGAGTAACAGGAGGAGGGACCTGCGTGGAAAATAGTGTGGCCTCTTTTTCTGCAAGGCATGCTATGCTGTGCTGGAGGCTCAAGATAGTCCCTAACCTCTTTGCTCCCTCCTGATTCTGATAGCAGTTGGGGTGGGGGCTGTGCAGCAGCAAAAATGGCAGGCCTGTCTTTTACTCCTGGGAGCTCTGTTCCAGGGAATTGCAGAGCTGCTACCAGCCTGAGAGCTCAGGCAGGGGTGGGGTGGCTGCATTGGGATCCCAGGCCAGTGGGCTTTGCCTAGGGAGGTGTAGTTGGGGCAAGGCCTGTAGTTCGTCTGCTTCTCAGTACTGTGGATGCAGCCTCTCTCCTGGGGGTATGCGTGAGAACCTGGCCTCCTTTGTTGGCAAAGCTACAGCTGCTGGTGCAGGAGTGCTCACGGTTCCAAGACCCTTGGCCCTCCATTTGTGCCTGAGTGGCACACTCCACACGCTTTCTGTGTCAGCCTGGAGGCCACAGGGGAAGGGGGTCAGGGGAGGTCTCCAGAGCCTGAAATTGCAAAGGTTCATGGCAGAAACATGGTTTCCTGGGGCTCTTATTCACCATTTTCCTGCAGGGGGGAGCCTCACTTGGCACTGTGCCAATCCCAGGTGGGCAGCTGTCCTGTCTTTTTTCTGTTTTATGTTGACTACATTGCTTCCTTTATGAATCCCAACATGTCCTCTTGGACTGTTTAGTTAAAGAGCTAGTGTTTACTGGCCACTCTGTCTCCCTTCTGTGAGAGCAGCACACACTAGCTGCTTCTAGTCAGCCATCTTGCCACTCCCCTCCCCCAAATATTTTTGATCTGCAGTTAGTTGACTCCAAGGAAGTGATCACACAGACACAGAGGGCTGACTGTAAAGCCTTTCATTCAGAAGGAACAGCATGGGTAAAGATCTTTTGGTGACAAAGAACATTGTGAGTCAGGAATTGAACAGCCATGGAATGCAGAGGAGGAGAACATGGGTATGAGATGAGGCTGTAGGTCTAGATGATGCAGATCTTTGGAGGCCATGTTAAGGGTTTTGAACTTTATCCTAAGAAGTATTGAAAGATTTCAAGTAGGAGGATACATGATGTATTAGGAAAGATGATTCTGGCTATAGTATGGAGAAAAGGTTGAAAGGGGCTCAAACAGTGCAGCAATACCCATGTTTGTAGTACCCATTACCTCATGTGAGAGGTAATGGAAAATTGAGTCTAGGATAGTGAGAATAGAAATGGAGACAAGTGGTCAAATGAGATTTAGGAAATCAACAATACTTTGTGATGAACTGAATCTAGGAAATGTGTTTCTGATGTATAAATCTGGATGAGTGGTGGCGCCATTCGCAAAAAACACTGCATAAGAGCAGGTTTGTTGGTATTCGGCAGGGAGATCATGAGTTTAATTTTAAACATGCTGATTTCAGGTGCTTTGGAGATAGGATAGGAGACATCAAGTATGTATGGGTCAGAAACTCAGAGGGGAAATCCGGGCAAGAAATATATCATCTGTGTAGAAACAGTTACTAAAGTTTTGAGCAATAAGGAATGGAAGGGATTGCTTAGGTAGAGAGTTTAGAGTGAGCGTTTAGATGATAATTGCAAATACTCAGTATTTACTATTGTCAGGCACTGTTCTATGTGTGGGCATAGGATGGAACCTTGAGGAACACCAGCAGCATTTACTGACGGGTTAGAGATAGATGAGCCTGCAAAGGAGTCTAAGAAGGACTAGTTGGAGCAGTAAGTAGAAAATCAGGAGAAAGCTGAGTGCTAGAAGCTGATGAAATAAACTTTTCTTGAAGGAAGGAGTTCTTGATATCAATACTGCTAGGCATATAAGATGGATTGCTAACAAGAAAATCATTGGTAACTTCAATAAGAATTGTTTTTGTGGGGGAGATGCTGGAAAAGATGGCAGATAGGAGACAGGACTAATGTGCAGCTCCCGCTTAGATGGACAGAACAGGGTCTGGAGACTCACACTGTGAACTTTTACTCCAAGAACCACCACAGGAACATATCAGGAAAACTGAAAGAATTCACAGACCCTTTGTAAGAAGTGGCTTGTCACTGCAAATGCTGTGAGACAGCAAAAAACTGTGAGTTCCCAAAGTGTGAGGGGGGAAAAGTTGGCTTCCGAACACACATACCCACTGGGGAAATGTGTCAGGCCTCTGAGCCCAAGCTAAGCCATCATATCCCCTGTGACCTGCATGTATACATCTAGATGGCCTGAAGCAAGTGAAGATCCACAAAAGAAGTGAAAATAGCCAGTTCCTGCCTTAACTGATGACATTCCACCATTGTGATTTGTTCCTGCCCCACCCTAACTGATAAATTGACTTTGTGACAATACACCCTCCCCGCCCTTGCGATAATATACTTTGCGATATTCCCCCACCCTTGTGAATGTACTTCGTATGATACACCCTCCACACCTTTGAGAAGATGCTTTGTAATATCTTCCCCCGCCCTTAAAAAGGTACTTTGTAATATCCTTCCCTGCCCTTAAGAAGGTAATTTGTAATATTCTTCCCACCCTTGAGAATGTACTACAAGATCCACCCCCTGCCTACAAAAAATTGCTCCTAACTCCACCTCCTATCCCAAATCTATAAGAACTAATGATAATCCCACCACCCTTTGCTGACTCCTTTTTCAGACTCAGCCCACCTGCACGCAGGTGAAATAAACAGCCTTGTTGCTCACACAAAGCCTGTTTGGTGGACTCTTCACATGGACGTGCATGACAAAATGGATTTAGGGAGCCAAGTGAAATATAAAAGTAGAAGAAGCAGCAGGAGGAGCCCCGTAGGTACTCCCAGTCCTTAGCTCGAGCCCATGGAAGCTATTCCTGGCGTTACCTCACAGAGGTCCTTGGGGAAGGGAAGGCAGCCAGCAGAATTGGGAAGGGGCTACAGAGTGAAGGAACCTCCTAGCTGAATTTTGTGATAATTTTGACTAAGCGTGAACTTCCCTGAGTAGCATCTGGGGTGAGGGGCAAATGGGAAGTGCATATATGAGCGCAGAAGATGCAGCTGAACATGTTGGCAGGTGGGGAGGCAAGGCCTGAGAGCCCTGCTTGCTTTCTCAGCAGGAAGGCTTGTAGCTTGTGGCAAGATCTCAGCCCAGCTTGCTGGCTGACTGGATATAACTCCAGTGCGGTTAGGGAGGCATGGTGGGAGTGAGACTGGTCTTGCTGACTGTGGGGGAGTTGGGTGAGGTCTGTCACTGTCAGCTTTCCCCCACTTCCCTGGCAACCTGTATGATGCAGCAGAGGCAGCCATAATCCCCCTGGGAACATAACTTAATTGGCCTGGGAGCCACCCTTTCCCCACTACATAGTGGCCACAGCAAGTCCCGCCCAGGGAGAATCTGAGCTCAGACCTGCCTAACCCTGCCCCCACCTGATGGTTTTTCTCTCCCCATCTTGGTAGCCAAAATCAAAAGATGTAATTTCTAGGGAGCTCTGTGGCCCTGCCCATTACCCAAGAAACCTGAGTACTCATCCTGGCCAAAGTAGGGCAAAATTATATCTCCCTTCTACTACTGCAGCTGGCAAGCTCTTGAAAGCATCACTTCCTCGCTAGAGGCCAATGAACTCAAGCCACTACAGCAACTCAGAACAACTCTGCCCCAGAGAAGGAGAATACAACAGGTAATTCTACCACCTGCACACCCTAGCTAACTAGAGGTCCTGAGTCTATCCTTGTGACAACTTCACTGCTAACATAACCAGCATTCAAGAAAACCAGTGCACTAAATTACAACCAAGGACTCCCACAGAGTCCACTTTACTCCCCTGCCACCTCCAATGGAGCAGGTGCTGGTATCCATGGCTGGGAGACCTGAAGGTGGATCACATCACAGTACTCTTTGCAGACATTCCCCATTGCCAGCCTGGAGTCTGGTAGCCCTGAAGGGTGGCTAGACCCAGAAGGGCAGTAACAATCACTGCAGTCTGGCTCTCAGGAAGCCCCATTCCTAGAGGAAGGGGGAGAGAACCACATCAAGGGATCACCCCATGGGACAGAACCTGAACAGCAGCCATTGAGTCCCAGATCTTTCCACTGAAACAATCTACCCAAATGAGAAGAAATCAGAAAAGTAACTCTGGTAATATGACAAAACAAGATTCTTTAATAGCATCCCCAGGAGATC
Organism: Homo sapiens; assembly: GCF_000001405.40. Lineage (NCBI taxonomy): Eukaryota > Metazoa > Chordata > Mammalia > Primates > Hominidae > Homo > Homo sapiens. Next base: position 168,974,952 of record NC_000004.12, on the reverse strand, counting down.
ACACTAGCTCTCCAGCAATGGATCCAAACCAAGAATAAATCTCTGAATTGCCAGAAAAAGAATTCAAAAGGTTGATTATTTAAGCTACTCAAGGAGATACCAGAGGAAGGTGAAAACCGACTTAAAGAAATTAAAAAAAAATAAAGGATATGGAAGAAACAGTCTCCAGAGAAATAGATATCATAAAGAAAAGACAATCATAATCTGGAAATGAAACAGACACTTAGTGAAATGCTAAATACAGTGGAAAGTTTCAGCAATAGAATTGCACAAATAGAAGAAAACATAAGAGCCCAAAGACCAGGCTTTTGAATTAACCCAATCCAACAAAGACAAAAGAGAATAAAAAAAATGAACAAAGCCTCCAAGAAATTTGGGAATTATGTTAAATGACCAAATCTAAGAATAATTGGTGTTCCTGAGGAATAAGAGAAATCTAAAAGTTTGGAAAACTTATTTGAGGGAACAATCAAGGAAAACTTCCCTGGTCTTGCCAGAGATCTAGACATCTAAATACAAGAACCTCAAAGAACACCTGGAAAATTCTTCACAAAACATCATCACCTAGGCACATGGTCATCAGGTTATCAAAAGTCAAGATGAAGTAAAGAATCTCAAGAGCTGTGAAGCAAAAGCATCAGGTAATCTATAAAGGAAAACCTATCGGATTTCCAGCAGTTTTCTCAGCAGAAACCCTGCAAGGCAGAAGTGATTGGGGTCCTCTCTTTAGCCTCTCTTCAGCCAAGAATTTTGTATCTAGTGAAACTAAGCTTCATAAATGAAAGAGAGATAAAGTCTTTTTCAGACAAAGAAATGCTGAGCGAATTCGCCACTACCAAGCCAGCATTACAAGAAATGCTGAAAGGAGTCCTAAATCTTGAAAGAAAATCTTGAAATACACCAAAATAGAACCTCCTTAAAGCATAAATCTCACAGGATCTATAAAACAATAACACAATGAAAAAAAGCCCAAGGTATTCAGGCAACAACTAGCATGATGAATAGAATAGTACCTTACATCTCAATACTAAAGTTGACTATAAATGGTGTAAATGGTCCACTTAAAAGATACAGAATGGCAGAATGGATAAAGATCATTCAAGACTACTATGAACACCTTTATGCACACAAACTAGAAAACCTAGAGGAGATAGATACATTCCTGGAAATATACAACCCTCGTAGATTAAACCAGGAAGAAACAAATTCTGAACAGACCGATAACAAGTAGCGAGATTAAGAGTAATTAAAAAATCGCCAACAATGAAAGGCTAGGACCAGATGGATTCATGACTGAATTCTATCAACATTCAAAGAAGAATTGGGGCTGGGTGTGGTGGCTCACGCCTGTAATCCCAGCACTTTGGGAGGCCAAGGCAGGTGGATCACCTGAGGTCAGGAGTTTGAGACCAACCTGACCAACATGGTGAAACCCCATCTCTACGAAACATACAAAAATTAGCTGGATGTGGTGGCAGGTGCCTGTAATCCCAGCTACTTGGGAGGCTGAGGCAGGAGAATTGCTTGAATCCAGGAGGTGGAGGTTGCAGTGAGCTGAGATCACACCATTGGATTCCATCACAGGCAACAAGAAAAGAATTGGTACCAATCCTACTGAAACTATTCCAAAAGATAAAGAGAGAATCCTCCCTAAATCATTCTATGAAGCCAGTATTACCCATATACCAAAACTAGGAAGGAACATAACAAAAACAACAAAAAAACTACATATCAATATCCCCAATAAACATAGATGCAAAACTCCACAACAAAATACTAGCTAACTGAATTCAACAATATATTAAGGATAATGCACCATGATCAAGTGTATTTCATGATGGGGACGCAAGGTTGGTGTAACATACACAAGCCAATAGATGCAATACACCACATAAACAGAAGTAAAAACAAAGATAATGATCATCCCAATAGATGCAGAAAAAGCATTTGACAAAATCCAGCAGCTTTTTATGAGTAAAACCCTCAGCAAAATCGGTACAGAAGGAACATACCTTAAGGTAATAAAAGCCATCTATGACAAGCTCACAACCAACATTATACTGAATGGGGAAGCGTTTAAAGTATTTCCTTTAAGAACTGAAACAAGACAAGGATGCCCACTTTCACTACTTCTATTCAACACAGTACTAGGAGTCCTAGCCAGAGCAATCAGACAAGAGAAAGAAAGGGCATCCACATTGGTAAAGAGGAAGTCAAACTGTCACCGTTTGCTGATGATATGATCGTATACCTAGAAAACCCTAAAGACTCATTTGGAAAGCTTCTAGATCTGATAATGAACTCAGTAAAGTTTCAGGATACAAAATCAGTATATACAAATAAATATCACTGCTATACACCAACAGCAACCAAGCTGAGAATCAAATCAAGAACTTAACCCCTTTTACAACAGCTGCAAAGAAAATAAAATATTTAGGAATATACCTAACCAAGGAAGTATAAGATCTCTACAAGGAAAACTACAAAACACTGCTGAAAGAAATCATAGATGACACAAACGAATGGAAACACATCCCATGCTCATGGCTGTGTAGAATCAATATTGTGAAAATGACCATATTGCCAAAAGCAATCTATAAGTTCAATGCAATTCCTGCCATAATATCATCACCATTCTTTACAGAACTAGAAAAAGCAATCCTAAAATTCATGTGGAACCGAAAAAGAGCCTGCATAGTCAAAACAAGACTAAGCAAAAAGAACAAATCTGGAGGCATCACATTACCCGACTTCAAACTATACTACAGGCTATACTTATCAAATAGCATGATACTGGTATAAATATAGACCAATGGAACAGAATAGAGAAGCCAGAAATAAAGCCAGATACTTAATAGCCAACTGATCTTTGACAAAGCAAATGAAAACATAAAGTGGGGGAAAGCACACCCTATTCAACAAATGGTGCTGAGATAATTGGCAAGCCACATGTGGAAGAATGAAACTGGGTTCTCATCTCTCACCTTATACAAAAATCAATTCAAGATGAATCAAAGACTTAAATCTAAGACCCAAAACCATAAAAGTTCTAGAAGATAACACTGGAAAAACTCATGTAGACCTTGGCCTAAAGAGTTCATGGCCAAGGACCAAAATGCAAATGCAACAAAAACAAAGATAAATAGATGGGATTTAATTAAACTAAAAAGCTTCTGCACAGCAAAAGAAATAATCAGCAGCGTAAACAACTCACAGAGTGGGAGAAAATATTCAGAAACTATCCATCTGACAAAGGGCTAATATTTAGAATCTACAGGAACTCAAATCAGCAAGAAAAAAACAAATAATCCTATCATAAAGTGGGCTGAGGACATGAGTAGACAATTATCACAAGAAGATACACAAATGGGCCAGGTGCAGTGGCCCATGCCTCTAATCCCAGCACTTTGGGAGGCCAAGGCTGGTGGATCGCTTGAGGTCAGGAGTTCGAGACCAGGGCCAACATGGTGAAACCCTGTCTCTACTAAAAATACAAAAAAAAAAAAAAAAAAAAAATGAGCTGGGCATGGTGGTGTGTGCCTGTGATCCCAGCTACTCGGGAGGCTGAGGTTGGGAGGATTGCTTGAACCTGGGAAGCAGAGGTTGCAGTGAGCCAGGGTTGCACCACTGCACTCCAGCCTGGGTGACAAAGTGAGACCCTGTCTCAAAAAAGATAAAAAATAAGATATACAAGTGGCCAAGAAACATATGAAAAAATGCTCAACATCACTAATTATCAGGGAAATGCAAATCGAAACCACAATGTGATACCACCTTATTCCTACAAGAATGGCCATAATTAAAAAATAAAAAAATAATAGATGTTGGCATAGATATGGTGAAAAGGAAACAGTTTTACACTGCTGGTGGGAATGTAAACTAGTACAACCACTATGGAAAACAGTATGGAGATTCTTTAAAGAACCAAAAGCTACCATTTGATCCAGCAATCCCGCTCCTGGGTATCTACCCAGAGGAAAAGAAGTCATTTTATGAAAAAGACACATGCACACGCATGTTTATAGCAGCACAATTCACAATTGCAAAAATCTGGAACCAGCCTAAATGCCCATCAACCAACGAGTAGATGAAGAAAATGTGGTATATATATATATATATCATGGACTACTACTCAGCCATAAAAAGGAATGAAATAACAGCATTCGCAGCAACCTGGATAAAGCTGGAGATTGTTAGTCTAAGTGAAGTAACTCAGGAATGGAAAACCAAACATCATATGTTCTCACTTATGAGTGGGAGCAAAGGCATTAGGAATGACATAATGGACTCTGGGGCCTTGCAGGGAAGGGTGGGAGGGGGGTGAGGGACAAAAGACTACACACTGGGTGCAGTGTACACTGCTCAGGTGATGGATACATCAAAATCTCAGAAATCACACCTAAATAACTTATCCATGTAACCAAATACCACCTGTTCCTTAAAAAATTGAAATAATAATAATTTGAAAAAAATAGTCTATTCAAAAAAAATGTTCTTTTGTGGATTGATGAGGACATAAAACAAAAATCAGGTAGGGAAGAAATTGAAATTGGTTCTTCACATGATACACAAAGGTAAATTCCAGATGGAAAAAAGTACTTAAATATCAAAATAAAATGCTTGGTAGAACATATGGAAGTGAATATTTTTCTGATTCTGGGGTGTGGCGGGAATTCTTAAACATAAAAAAGAAAAGTTTGGTCAAATTGACTATATTAAAATTAAGTCCTTTTATTTATCAAAAAAATCCCTTAAAGATAGCAAAGACTGATTACAAACTGATAAAAAGTTTATGCAATATAGATAACTAATAAAGAGTCAGTATCAAGAATATATAATGCAACAATAAATCAATAAGGATAACCCGTTAGGAAAATGGGCAAAAGATAAAAAACAGGCGTTTCATAGAAGAGGAAACACATAGCCAGCATGTGTTGAACCTGTGTTCACACTAGAGATATGCAAATCAAGACCACATGAAATTTCGTTGACATTTGAGTGGCAAAAATTAATAAGTCTGATAATATCAATTGATATAGGGCAGGCCTTCTCCAACATCAGCAGGAATTACCTATGAATCTTTTTTTAAATGCATCATTTGATTTAGTAGATTTGGAGTGGGGCCTGAGATGCTGTATTTCTAACAGATTTCCAAGTGATGCTGATTCCACTGGTCTGTGGACTACAATTTCAGTTGCAAAGTTGAAGAGTATGTAGATCAGCGGGATCTCTTAAATATGAGAGGTCCGTTTTTGTTGTTGTTGCTGTTAGCCGGCAGCCAGTCTTTGCTTCTAGAGGCTGCCTGCATTCCTTCTCATGTTTCCATGGGCAACATGGAGGCTCAGTCCACTAGCAGTGGCAGGTTGAGTCCCACTCATGCTTTGAATCTGTTGAACTCTATCCTTCTGCTGCTGTTTTCTGACCAGCTAGAAAAAATTTCTTTGCTTTTAAGGGTTCATGTGATTATACTGGGTCTAGCCAGATTATCCAGGATAATCTATATTTTGAAGTGTATAACCTTAGTTATATTTGCAAAATCCCATGAGCCATGTCACGTAAAATTCACAGGATCCAAGGATTAGAGAATAGGCATCTCTAGGGGGATCATTCTGTTTACCGTAATGAAAAATTATGATCTTTTGCTCAGTTCCCAGACTTGGACCAGTTCTCTGATCCAGACCTAATCAATTGAAGGGTCTCCTTCATGAAGAACCCTGCAATAATACAGCAAATGTACACAGAGCAGCTGTCCAACCTTTCTCAAAGGAATCTATGCTCACTTGTCCAAGTAACAGTACACTGGAGAAAGGAATCTAACCAGGTGTTTCAAAGATTCTTGGGAATACAGTCAAGCTAACATTGTTGCTTGGGTACCCAAAACACCACAGTGGCTCTGATGTTAATGGGAGCATGTGGAGATGGGGTAATGAATGGAGTGCTGGCCCAAATCTGTTTTACACTTCGGTCCACTGTGTCCCTAGACATACTCTGTGGTCATTTTCCCACTTCCTGAATGCATAATCAGCATGGACATATTTAATAACAGGCAGAACCATCACACTGGTTCTTTGACTTATGGAGAGAGAATTATCATGGTAGGAAAAGACAAATAGAAACCACTGACCCTTCTCTTTCTCTGCAAGATAGTAAATCGGAAATAATACTATATCCTGGTAGAATGGCAGAGATTAATGTCAGTCTCAGTGACTTAATGGCTGAAGTGTGGTGATTCCTATCATATTCCTACTTAATTAATGAGACTGTCCTTGCAAAGGACTGATGGAATGTGCTAGGTGATGGTAAACTATTACAGTACATTCAATCAAGCAATTTCCTGGCCACAGCTGCTATACCAGAAACGGTATCTTGACTAGATGAGATGAACACAGCCTGTGGTACTTCATAAGCAACTATTGACATGGAGAGTGCATTCTTTCAGTTCCTGCCTGACAGGAAAGAGAATCAGAAGGAGTTCACATTCACTTGGAATTGACAAAAGTATACATTTATGGTTGTGCCCTAGGGCTGTATCAACTCTTCTGCCCTCTGTCACAGTATAGTCCAAAGGGACCTTGATTGCCTGGACGTTCAGTGAAACATCATGATCCACTCTACTGATGATAGCATGTTAGTCAGTAACACACTTTGGCAATGCCCTACAAACCTTTTCTCCCTTGCATTTTTATTACACTTGTTTGGTAAAACCATAATTTACATGATAAACTTTTGATTTTGTTCCTGTAGAAAATATAAGGGCTATGTTAGAAAGTCATAAAAAAGGGCAGTTTGGTTTTATGCTAAATTCACGATTACCAACCTCAAATGATGACTTTTATTTTCTCTAAGAAATTACTTGGCTGGCTTTTGGTGTGGCAAAGGAAAGGCACTAGTGTTTGAGGAGAGTAGAGGAGGTTTGAATTTGTCATTATGGAAAGTGAGAGAGTGAGGTGGTTAGAAGAGAGTATAAAGATCAGGTAGTGTTGAGGGCCGTCTTTGGAGATGAGCTACCACAACAGTTGAGGCATGGAGTATCCTATAATCATGTTTCCTCCCATACTCATTTTTGGAGATTTCCTGGCATTAATAATTGCTTTGTTTTATATTTGTGTAGTTTGAAATGTGTCTATTATTATTCTGTCTTCAAACTCAACAGCACTCTAGAATTTCTCTCAATACCATGGTCTATCAGTTTTTGTTTGTTTGAGATACACTTTTTAGTACCCCCTCTTGCCTACTCCCCATCCACCTGCTCCAGTACAGACTGAATGGCTTTTAGTGTGCTGCACAATTTTTAAAGTGGGACTTTCCTTCACCACCATCCTAGAAATTTCTTTTGGCTTATTTCTGTTTTCAATGACCTGTTTCCTAGGTAGCAGAGACTGCTGGTTGTTTTCCAAGGTCCATTATTCCTTTCCTTCATAATAATAGAACTCCCTGTTTTTTTAAAATTATACTTTAAGTTCTAGGGTACATGTGCACAATGTGCAGATTTGTTACATAGGTATACATGTGCCATGTTGGTTTGCTGGACGCATCAACTCGTCATTTACATTAGGTATTTCTCCTAATGCTATCCTTTCCCCAGCCCCCAACCCCCTGACAGGCCCCGATGTGTAATGTTCCCCGCCCTGTGTCCATGTATTCTCATTGTTCAACTCCCACCTATGAGTGAGAACATGCGGTGTTTGGTTTGCTGTCCTTGTAATAGTTTGCTTAGAATGATGGTTTCCAGCTTCATCAATGTCCCTGCAAAGGACATGAACTCATCCTTTTTTATGGCTGCATAGTATTACATGGTGTATATGTGCCACATTTTCTTAATCTACTCTATCATTGATGGACATTTGGGTTGGGTCCAAGTCTTTGCTACTGTGAACAGTGCCGCAATAAACATATGTGTGCATGTGTCTTTATAGTAGCGTGATTTTTTTTTTTTTTTAGATGGAGTTTTGCTCCATTGCCCAGGCTGGAGTGCAGTGGCGCAATCTGGACTCGCTGCAAGCTCGGCCTCCCGGGTTGCCATTCTCCTGCCTCAGCCTCCTGAGTAGCTGGGACTACAGGTACCTGCCACCACACCCGGCTAGTTTTTTGTATTTTTAGTAGGCACTGGGTTTCATCGTGTTAGCCAGGATGGTCTTGATCTCCTGACCTTGTGATCCGCCCGCCTCGGCCTCCCAAAGTGCTGGGATTACAGGCGTGAGCCACTGTGCCCGGCCCTGTAGTAGCATGATTTATAATCCTTTGGGTATAATGTAATGGGATTGCTGGGTCAAATGGAATTTCTGGTTCTAGATCCTTGAGTCGCCACATTGTCTTCCACAATGGTTGAAGGAATTTACACACCCACCAACAGTGTAAAAGAGTTCTTATTTTTCCACATCCTCTCCAGCATCTGTTTCCTGGCTTTTTTCTTTTTTTTTTTCTTTGAGACGGAGTCTCGCTCTGTCGTCCAGGCTGAAAGGCAGTGGTGCGATCTCGGCTCACTGCAAGCTCCACCTCCCGGGTTCACACCATTCTCCTGCCTCAGCCTCCCGAGTAGCTGGGACTACAGGCATCTGCCACCACGCCTGGCCTTTTTTTTTTTTTTTTTTTTTTTGTATTTTTAGTAGAGATGGGGTTTCACCTGTTAGCCAGGATGGTCTTGATCTCCTGACCTCGTGGTCCGCCCTCCTCGGCCTCCCAAAGTGCTAGGATTACAGTCGTGAGCCACGTTTCCTGACTTTTTAATGATCGCCATTCTAACTGGCATGAGATGGTATTTCATTGTGGTTTTGATTTGCATTTCTCTGATGACCAGTGATGATGAACATTTTTTTCGTATGTTTGTTGGCTGCATAAATGTCTTCTTTTGAGAAGTGTCTGTTAATATCCTTTGCCCACTTTCTGATATGGTTGTTTTTTTCTTCTAAATTTGTTTAAGTTCTTTGTAGATTCTGGATATTAGCCCTTTGTCAGATGGGTAGATTGCAGATATTTTCTCCCATTCTGTAGGTTGCCTGTTCACTCTGATGATAGTTTCTTTTGCTGTGCAGAAGCTCTTTAATTAGATCCCATTTGTCTATTTTGGCTTTTGTTGCCATTGCTTTTGGTGTTCCAGTCATGAATTCTTTGCCCATGTCTATGTCCTGAATGGTATTGCCTAGGTTTTCTTCTAGGGTTTTTATGGTGTTAGGTTTTATATTCAAGTCTTTAATCCATCTTGAGTTAATTTTTGTATACGGTGTAAGGAAAGGATCCAGTTTCAGCTTTCTACATATGGCTAGCCAGTTTTCCCAGCACAATTTATTAAATAGGGAATCCTTTCCTCGTTGCTTGTTTTTGTCAGGTTTGTCAAAGATCAGATGGTTGTAGATGTGTGGTGTTATTTCTGAGGCCTCTGTTCTGTTCCATTGGTCTATATATCTGTTTTGGTACCAGTACCATGCTGTTTTGGTTACTGTAGCCTTGTAGTATAGTTTGAAGTCAGGTAGTATGATGCCTCCAGCTTTGTTCTTTTTGCTTAGGATTGTCTTGGCTATGTGGGCTCTTTTTTGGTTCCATATGAAGTTTAAAGTAGTTTTTTCTAATTCTGTGAAGTAAGTCAGTGGTAGCTTGATGGGGATAGCATTAAATCTATAAATTACCTTGGGCAGTATGGCCATTTTCACGATATTGATTCTTCATGAGAATGGAATGTTTTTACATTTGTTTGTGTCCTCTTTTATTTTGTTGAGCAGTGGTTTGTAGTTCTCCTTGAAGAGGTCCTTCACGTTCATTGTAAGTTGTATTCCTAGGTATTTTATTCTCTTTGTAGTAATTGTGAATGGGAGTTCACTCATGATTTGGCTGTTTGTCTATTATTGGTGTATAGGAATGCTTATGATTTTTGCACATTGATTTTGTATCCTGAGACTTTGCTGAAGTTGCTGAAGTCAGCTTAAGGAGATTGGGGGCTGAGATGATGGGGTTTCTAAATATACAGTCATGTCATCTGCAAAGTTTTAGTTTGATACATGGATACCAAAACAAAAACAAAAAACATGTCCCAAACTGCCTTAAAGCTAAGTGTGGCTATGTGACTGAAAGCTGACCAATGAAATATAAGCCTTAGAGTCTGGTTCATGGTAACTCAAAGTGCTGAACACAGTGATCTACACATACTTGCACAATAAATATTTGTTGACTTACTAAATCAATGTTTCTTCAACCTTGGAGACCCTTCTTTCCTGACAGAGCTTTTCTTGCTTATTGAAATCTTAGTTTTCAAGGCTACTCTCAAATACCATATCATCCAAGAAGTTTTCCTTGTCCTCTCCTCCATTAGAGTTATTTCTTATATTAATGTTTATACTTCAGTTTGGGGAATTACAGCTGATACTCATTCTCTTGATAGTGACTTCTGTGTGGTTGTTATAGTGGCTGGGTTTCTTTGATATGAAGAGTATTGCATACTATTCTATGACATTTTTACCACTGCTTACCAAAGAGAGAAGGTGCATTGGCTTGTGGGGAGAAAAATACCTTTTTAGGCTTTACTTGTTTCCATTGGATTGTGTGTTTCGATTGAAGGTCGTCTTTATTTTTTATTTTCCTTGCCTTGCTCTGTGTCTGGCATTATGACATAAGAAAATCAATTGATTTTGACAAAACTTAGTGGCCTCAAGAAAGCTGAGGTTAAAGGGAAGAGAGTTTGAGAGAACATATGCATACTCAGACCTTGGTTTTCTACAACAGCCTAAATTTTAACCAGACAGTTGTCTAATCATGCAACACAAGCAAGGGGAGTGTAGTTGAATGATATTGTCAGAGTATTGTTCTGTGATGGCTCAGATGCCATTTCCACAGAAATATACCTGCTTGCTTGATCATGCTGGTCAGAGCAAAATTTCCCACGTGCTGGATGCCATTTATGCATTTAGCTTGATGGGTTACTATACTACTGATGATCTATATTTCCTGTCAGTTGCATTTTAGTTATTCCATCCTGGGAATACTGCCATTCATTGTGATTGGATTTGGATGTTCCCCAACTGTTCTTGGGCATGACATTAAAAAAAAAGGTTTTTGAACAACCAGCTAATCTTTATTGTGCATGGAGACACAGTAATTATACTCCCATAGGCGCTTTTTGTTTCTTTGGTCTTGGAGCATCCCTCAGCAACCTATTCTGTGGCTGATGGTACAGTAGCTATTAATAGTTTATACAGGAGGTTGGGCGCGGTGGCTCATGCCTCCCACCACTTTGGGAGGCTGAGGTGGGCAGATCACCAGAGGTAAGGAGTTCGAGACCAGCCTGGCCAACATGGTGAAACCCTGTCTCTCCTAAAAATACAAAAATAGCTGGGCATGGCGGTGGGCACCTGTAATCCCAGCTATTTGGGAGGCTGAGGTAGGAGAACTGCTTGAACCCAGTAGGCGAAGGTTGCAGTGAGCTGAGATCACACCATAGGACTCTAGGCTGGGTGACAAGAGTGAGACTCCATCTCAAAAAAAAAAAAAAAAAGATTTATACAGGAGTTTCTGAATTTGCTAATGTTCTTGGGAACTCAGGTGCTCTAATTGTCAATCCATTGTGGCATAAGACATCTGTGTTCTGTTATCTTCTCTGAATGAGTAAGTAACTCTGCTTTCAACAGTTACCCACCTTTTTGAAGAACATCTGACTAATTTATGAAGTATCTGGATTTTAAAAATTATTAGCATTTTAATTTTTCCTAGCTGAGGTGCTATGATAACATCAGGATAAAACTGGCTTTTGGCAGTCAGTTGTGCTGAAATCAACCACAATTTAAGTCAGGGCTTGACCATCCAAATCTTTCTGAGTGCTTCCTCAGTCCTTTCCGTTAGTTTCAGTGGAATGAACATGGATTTTGAAATACTGGAATTAAAATTCTGTTTTAGCACTTACAGTTTTATTTGGACAATTATTTAAACTATCTGAATGATAGGTTCCTAATGCTCAAAATGAGGAGTATACTTGTTAAAGTATAAGTGTTTGAAATACTTTGTATCTAGTAGACATTTAATACAGGTTAGTCCCCCTTCTCTTCTCTGTCTTTAAGAATTCCAAAACTGTTTTTGCCCCTTGGGTTCTATGACATCTCACTCCTGATTTTCTTCCTCTTTCTGATTTTCTTTATTGATTTCCTTTATGTGCTCCTTTACTCTGCTGGTCTCTTAGCTGTTGATTTCTCAAAGTTCTGTCCTGGGCTGTCTTCTTATTCAACACGTTTCCATTAGCAATCTAGATACTTTTTATAAAAATGCTTATAATATCCAAGTATATCTTCACTTTAGCTTTTTTTATAGTTTGGATTCATATATTTAACTGTATTTTTCTTGAATATCCTACAGATTCCTCAAATCCAACATGTACAAAATGGAACTCATCATCTTTCTCTACCAACCAGCAATTCTTCTGTGTTCTTAATCTTAATATTCACTCTCAATTATTTAGTGGATCAAGCCAGAGACCTGAGTATTATCCTCAAGTCTTTCTTCTCTTCCATCCCGTACATTTACTCATTAATCATATCTTATTAAGCCTAATTTCCAAGCAACCTTGAGTTCTTCTAACCCCTTCCATCCTGATATCCATTGACGTGGTCCAGACTTGGAAAAGTATATCAGCAGTAAATCAGAATGCCTACTTTATAACATCTCCACCTGTCTTGAGTTATAAAAACACTTTGCTGTGAATGTAATATATGGTTGTGTATTTTCCATAAAATATTTCGCTTTCAAGAAGGGGAGAGAGTAGAAAAAAAAATCCTTAGTTTTTGACTTACCTTTTAATTTTAGGATTTTATTTGAAATACATAGTAAAATGGTTTTCCTTTGTGTTTTCTTTCATTGCTGTACTCTTTCAGAGATTACCTAATTTTTAATTGTTTACATCTTTTTTCTTTTTAAAAACGTTTAACTCTTTAATATAATGGTTTTTTTTTTGGCCTGCTTGCCTTCCTCCTCTCCTTTCCTTTCCTCTCCTCTCCTCTCCTCTCCTCTCCTCTCCTCTCCTCTCCTCTCCTCTCCTGTGCTCTCCTCTTGTTCTCCCCTCCCCTCCCCTCTCCCTTCCTTTCTTTCTATGACAGAGTTTCACTCTGTTGCCCAGGCTGGAGTGCAATGGCACGATCTTGGCTCACTGTAACCTCCGCCTCCCGGGTTCAAGCAATTCTCCTGCCTCAGCTTCATGAGTAGCTGGGATTACAGGCGCCTTTCGCCATGGCCAGCTAATTTTTGTATTTTTAGTAGAGACGGGGTTTCACCATGTTGGCCTGGCTGGTCGCGAACTCCTGACCTCAGGTGACCCACCTGCCTTGGCCTCCCAAAGTGCTGGGATTACAGGCATGAGCCACCACACCCGGTCTCTTTTTCTTTTCTTTTCTTTTAAATATAGTGTTTTTAAAGCTATTTTAGTTCATGGATCTCATGGAGAAACTGGAAACTGTGGACTTTCCACCTAGAAAAGTACACATATTGAATTTTACATTTTTAGGGGTTTCACAGTAGACAGCCAGAAACCTGTCCGTGAATGTTTTAGATTCTTTTGGATAAAGCATCTCTAAACTGTCTAGAAATTCTTTTTTGTTCATAATATAATATTCTATAGATATTGAGACAACTCTTTACATACAAGACAGAATAAATTTAGATATATATATGTAGAAAAGACATAAGATTTACAGTTTCTAACTTACTTTTCAAACACTTGGCATAGGGATGAAAACTTGGCACTTAGCTCCTTGTTTAAATCTGAATCTGCAACTGAGCAAGGTATTCATATGATTTATGTCTCAGAGTTAGTGCCAGTCATAGAAAAAAAATTTCAATAGGACAAAGAAAGCGTCAGTATCATCTCTTGCCTTTCAGTTGGTCAGTGCTGCTTTTATGCTGTTACCTAGTACCCATAACCACCGTCTTGTAATACGTGATCACTTTCTAGGCTCTAAAGTTGGCTGTCCCCATCAAATTCTCTTGTGGAATTGCTCAGCAAGCAGTTTGAGATTGGATAGAGCTCATTCAGATTTTGGTGTTCATGACTAATAATTTCGACCGGAAACAGCTTGTGCTTATAGAGTTGTGTTATTATCTAAGTTGAAATAGATGCCACCGCATACCTACCAGCATAATCTAGCAACAGGAAACATGCTCATTTTGGTAAGAGGTACTCTCTCTTCTAACATAAAGACTTTTAAATCTCAGCAAACTTATTTCTTTCTTGTGGCAATCTTGTTTTTAAGAAAGTACATGGATTTAAGAAAGTAAATATTAATATGATCACTTACACTATATTCAAGAGTAGTTTCATGTAGTACTTATTCTAATAAAGGTGTTTTTAAAAAGGAAATAGTAAATAGCATCTATACAGCATTTACTGTGTTCTTGGGTTGGAAGACTCAATATTGTTAATTGATCTGTATATCTTTTCAGTACAACTGATAGTATACAATAGTAGAAAAATGTATTTCTTCTATCTGAATGCCTCTGGTGAACTTCTCTGGATCCTTTAAGACTTCCTGAATATTTTATACATTCTCTAGTTATAGCATATACTGCATATATTAAAATGATTTACTCATTTTTCCACTAGATTGTGAGCTTATGTAGTATTTGTTATATGGTTCCATGTTTCTCCTCCCTTGTTTTGGTACTTTCAAATAATAGTAGACACTGGAGAAATGTTTACTGCGTTAAAAACAAAAACAAAAGTGGTTAACTTTGAGATAATGTGGCTATAATGTGTTTATGAAATAATAATTCCATGTAGAAATTACCCTCTTTTACCAGATAAATTGTACCAAAGACAGAGAGTTCTGCTTCTTGAATGGCAGCAAACAATAGGAAAATGGGACTAAATTCCATTTACAGTAGCATTAAAAACCATAACACTTAGGAATACATTTAACAGAAGTATAAAACCTGTATGTTGAAAATTAGGTAATATTGATGGAGAGAAATTAAAGATCTAAATAGACAAATTTACCATGTTCTTGGGTTGGAAGATTCAATATCGTTAACATGTTAGTTTTCTCTAACTTGATCTGTGTATAAATTCAGTACTATTCAAATACAAATTTCAGAAGGTTTTTTTTTTTTTTTAATAGAAATTGAGGCTGGGCGTGGTGGCTCACGCCTGTAATCCCAGAACTTTGGGAGGCCGAGGCAGGTGGATTACGAGGTCAGGAGTTTGAGACCAGCCTGACCAACAAGGTGAAACCCCATCTCTCTAAAAGTACAAAAATTAGCCGGGCATGGTGGCACATGCCTGTAATTCCAGCTACTCAGGAGGCTGAGGCAGGAGAATTGCTTGAACCCTGGAGGTGGAGATTGCAGTGAGCCGAGGTCATGCCACTGCATTCCAGCCTGGGCAACAGAGTGAGACTCTATCTCCAAAAAAAAAAAAAAAAAAAAAGAAATTGATAAGCTGATTTAAAAATTTGTGGTAATGTAAACCACCGAGATTAGCCAAAGCAGTTTTATAAAAGGTGAACAAAATTGGAGAAATTATACTACCTGATTTTAAGATGAACTATGATGTGACAGTAATCAAGACAGTGTGGTATTGGTGAAAGGATAGATATATAGATCAGTGGAACTAAAGAGAGAACCCAGAAGTGGAGCCACACAAGTATGGTCAATTGATTTTTGACAAAGGTGCCAAGGCAATTTCAGTGAAGAAAAGGAAAGACTTTGAGCAAATGGGGTTGGAACAACTGGATAGCCATGTGAAAAAAATGAACCTTAATCCCTACTTCACACCATACAAAAAAATTAATTTTAATGGATACGACATAAATCTAAAAACTAAAACTATAGAACTTCTGGAAGAAAATGTAGGACAAAAGTGACTTTGGGGTAGGCAGTGATTCCTTAGATAAGACACCAAAAACATAAACCATACAGAAAAAAAATGGTAAATTGGGTTTTATAAAAATCAAGAAATTTTGCTCTTTGGAAGATATCATTAAGAAAAGGAAATGAAAAAGAAAGTCACAGACTAGGTGAAACTATATATATACATATATACATGAAAAAGGACTTTTGACCAGAATATATAACAGACTCCTAAAACGAATAATAAGACAACAAAATAAAACATGGCCAAATGATTTGAATAGACCTTTCACAAAAGATATCTGAGTAATTGTAGATATGTGAAAAGATGCTCAGTAGCTTTAGTCACCAGGGAAATGCAAAGTAAAACCACAATGAGATACCACCAGATATCCATTAGAATGGCTGAAAGGAAAAAGGCTGACAATACCAATTGGGGATATGGAGCAACTAGAACTTTGTTGCCGGTGGGAATGTAAAATGTTACAAACTGCAAAACTGGCATTCTCTTAAAAAGTTGAACATAAACTTAACATAAAATTCAGCCATTCTACTCCTACATATTTTCCCAATATAAATAAAAATACGTGTTCACACAAAGATTTGTATATTATTGTTCATAGCAGTTTTATTCGTAATAGCCAAAATTGTAAGCAATCCACATATTCATTAATAAGAGAATGGATAAACAAAATATAATCTATCCATACAATAAAATATTACTTAGGAATACAAAACAACTATTATACACATAGATAAATTGCAAAATAATTATGCTGAGTGAAAGAAGCCAGATTCAAAAAAGAGTATGTATTCGTCTGTTCTCATGCTACTATAAGGACATACCTGACAGTGGGTAATTTTTTTTTTTTTCCTGAGATGGAGTCTTGTTCTGTCACCCAGGCTGGAGTACAGTGGTGTGATCTTGGCTCACTGCAACCTCCGCCTCTTGGGTTCAAGCAATTCTCCTGTCTCAGCCTCCCGAGTAGCTGGGATTACAGGTGCTCACCACCACGCTGGCTAGTTTTTGTATTTTTAATAGAGACGGGGTTTCACCATGTTGGCCAGGCTGGTCTTGAACTATTGACCTCGTGGGTAATTTATAAAGGAAAGAGGTTTAATTACTCATAGTTCCGCAGGGCTGGGGAGGCCTCAGGAAACTTACAGAGGGGAAGCATGGCAAGCATGTCCTTCTTCACATGGTGGCAGCAAGAAGTGCTGAGTGTAGGCAGGGAAAACCCCTTATAAAACCATCAGATCTCGTGAGAACTCACTATCACGAGAACAGCATGGAGGTAACTACCCCCATGATTCAATTACCTCCCACTGGGTCCCTTCCACGACATGTGGGGATTATGGGAACTACAGTTCAAGATAACATTTGGGTGGGAACACAGCTAAACCATATCAGAATTCATATTGCGTGATTCCAGTCATATAAAATTCTAGAAGATGCAAACTAATCTACCATAGCAGAAAGCAGAACAACAGTTGTCTGGGCCTGGGAGTGAAGGCAGGGGTGGACTACAAGGTGCATGAGAAAACTTTTATAGGTGGTGGAAGTAGTTTGTATCTTGATTCTGGTAGCAGTTTCGTGGGTGTATATGTTTTCACAATTCAGATACACTTTAAATGAATGAGTTACACCTCAGTTAAGTTGGTAAAAACAAAGGGAGGATAGCAGTGATGGGAGAAGGTTTCTGAATTTTGGTTGAGGAAACAACCTGGGGCACACAGCATTGGAGAACAAAATTTCCCCCTACCTACACTAAGGGGTACAATGTTTAGTCTTGTAGTGACTAGTCATATGTCATCTAGTGTGATGTTTGTCAAAGCGATTTTTTACTCTTTTAATTAGAAGCCTCTTCAAGAGTAAGTAAATCATTTTTAATTTAGCCTAAATAAGAATGTTTAATATTGGTTTCCTCCTCTGAAAGCTTTTGAGTGATAAAGGCTTCAAGTGAATGGTGGCGATGTAGTGTTCAGAATATATTCTGAAGAGACAATTTCTTCTTCCTGAGAGTGATGGAAATCTATGCCTCATCTTTAAATCACTTTAGCTGACGCACATATTATTTAAGTATCTGTGGGCATATTTGAAATTAATACCTACTGCTTTTGCCAGGGGGAAGATAGGAATCTTGTTCATGTATATCTTTACTGGAATTTTGAGTGATGTCTTATACTACTCATCTACTATAAGGTGATTATGTTACTAATTCTTAGTGCCCTTTCATAGATGTGAAACATCTCAGTATAGGGTTTCACGTATTTTGCAGGGAGGTTAATGGAAAGATAAGGCCTTTGGAGCCAGATAGTTCTGGTTTCAAGTTCCAGTTCTGTAACTAATCGTGCTTTTGGCAAATTATATCCTTTCTCTAAGCCTGTTTCCTCACCTGGAAAAGAGAATAACCCTTCCTACACTTATTGTAAGGATTAAATGAAATAGCGTTAAGGTACTGGTGTAAACCTGGCATATAGTAAGTACTTAGTAAATATTATTTCCATTCTGTTTTTTTTTTTTTTTTTTTTTTTTTTTTTTGAGACAGGGTCTGGCTGTGTCGCCCAGGCTGGAGTGCAGTGGTGCAGTCTCAGTTCACTACAACCTCTGCCTCCTGGGCTCAAGCAATCTTCTCCCCTCAGCCTCCTACATAGCTGGGACTATAGGCACACGCCACCGTGCGTAACTAATTTTTGTGTTTTTTTTTGTGGAGACAGGGTTCTGCCATGTTGCCCAGGCTGGTCTTGAATTTCTAGGCTCCTGCCTTGGCCTCCCAAAGTGCTAGGATTACAGGTGTGAGCCACTGCACCCAGCCTATTTCCCTTACTCTTGATAAGGAATGCTGGTGTATTGTATCTGGGGTCCTCCCTGTATCTGGGGTCCTCCCAGTGCTGGAAGCATTATGTTTCGTATTCCAGTCTTTTCCACTTTGCTGATATACATTCTGAGCCTTATTTTTCAAGTCCTATTTTCAAATTTATTCATTTTGATCTGAAACATATGGGTTCTGAGCAGTATGATTTCTGGTTTGTTCACAAAATGTTAACTCTGATCTATATTGCTGAACATATCTCAGAGAGTGAATACTTGTTCTAAAAGCAGTGCTGCTGTGCCGATTGTATTTTATATACATCAGACACTTTAATCCCCTTACTTAAGGGGTCAGTTAGAAGTAAATATTTGTGCCCATAGGTTATTAAGGAGCTGCCAAGCAACCATGAAATTTTCCCATGGTACTAGGGTCTGACTCATTTTAATCTCACCTTTCTCTGTGGTCAAGTTGTACTGAGCTCAGATTAATCCCTTGTGGCCATTGCTGCTGCATAGCTGGCAGCTTTTATGCTCTAGGCCCATAGTCCATGGTCTGTCCTGACCGGTCTCTTGACATATGCACTTGATGTCAGTTCTAAGGCTGGTTTTCCCAGCCTTTAATCTTTGATCCATAGTTGGGGCAGGTTGGGGCTAGGGATGGGGATATATTCCTACAGGATACTTTGGAGTGCTACCTTCCATAGTAATCCTGCTTTGCTTTACAATTTTCCACTCACTCACTCTTGTGAGTGAGAAATGTGACCTAAGCTACAACCTGAAAGCAATGAAAGAGAAAACTATAGTAGCATAAAATATGTTCAGCTGTCTTTGAAAGAGTGTCTACTATCCATAGCTCCAGCAATACTGTTACTTTTAATCACAAAAACCACAATTACTTTTGCACCAACCTAACAGTGTTTGTTTAAATTTAGCTTTTCTATTTATCAGTTATATATTAACATTATTTGGAGAGTCATTTCCTATTTCTCAAAGAGAATCACTTTAATCTCTGATTCATTTGGTATTAGCCCCCTTATTTATAATTTATCATATTTCTTGATTTTTCAGAATTAGGCCTCATGTATTGACTTCTCAGTAAGGAAGAGGAGGATTTACCTCTCTTTGACTAGCACCCTACATTGCTGTATGCAAGCATACTTCCCATCCTGCCATCCTCCAATATAGTTATATCATAATCATTAACTACATTATGACAATTACATAAATATAATTCACAGCTAAACTATGTAGGATTTGATAGTTACTTTTCCTTGCCTGCACAGTATTTTGTTTTTCCTGGAATTGATAATTCTATTTCTTGTTCATTTAATTAGTTATCTGTGTTCTCAACACTAATTCATTAATTCCGAACCATTCTCAGTTGTATAAATATCCTGTTCATATCATTCAGAAACATTGAGTAATTTATCATTTTCTTATCTTGAATAAATATTTCCTGGAGTCTTCTGATCTGTTCCAATCTTGACTGATTGTTTTCTGCTGCATAGCTGTTGTTTAGGGGCGGTATCATCTTGTGGATTTTCTTTGCCTATCTAATACGTTGGATCCTCTCTTCCATGGATCTCATGTCTTCCTTTTCATGGTTTATGACTTCATTTGGTGGAGTACATCTTCAAGTAACTTTCTGAAAAAATGTGTTTGGGAGACAAAATATTTGAGACCTTCAGTATTTGCAGATGTTTTAATTTCCCATATACTAAATTGACTGAGTGTAGAATATGCTATGGTTTAAGTACCCCCTCCAAAACTCATGTTGAAATTTAATTGCCATTGTGATAGTATTAGAGGTGGTACTTTTAAGAGGTGATTAGGTTATGAGGGTGGAGTTTGCTTGCCTTTCTGCTTTCTGCTATGGGATGATGCAAAAAGAAGGCCCTCACCAAATGGCCAAGCAGATGCTGGTACTATGTCTCAGCCTTCAGAACCATGAAGCAAATAAATCTCTTTTCTTTATAAATTACCCAGTTTGTGGTATTCTTTATAATATCAGGAAATGGACTAAGACAGAATACTAGCTTGGAAACATTTTCCTCAGAATTTTGAAAGAATTGTTTCATTGTCTTAAGTCTTTCAGTGTTGTGCTTAAGAAGTTTTAAATAAAATGTATTTTATTTGTGTGTGTGTGTATTTGCCTCTGGAAATGCTCAGGACATTTTCTTTGCTTTCATTGTTATAACATTTTATTGTGGTAGTCTTTGATTTAGGTCTTTTTTCATCTGTTGGTGGATTCCATAAATCTCTCTTTCTCTCTTTTTGGTCCTACTTTCTGGGAGATTTCCCCAGTTTTATCTTCAAACTATATTTGAGTCTTTAATTTTAGCTACTTATTTTTTACTTTCTGAGAGTTCCTTTTCTAAATATTCCTTATCTATAGCATCCTGTGCTTGTTTCCTGGATGCAGTGTCTTCTGTTATTTCTTTGAGCTTGGACAAATTAATAATAGAAGTTTTCTTCTCTATGTGCTCTAACTTTCCAAGCTTCTGTATTATTTAGATCCCTGTCATATTAGATGCTGTCTTAAAATGTTTGGCAATCTTTGGCTATCTTCTTAGGCTTAACAGTGGAGTGTTAATAAGCAGATTGGGCTGGACATTGTGGCTCACTCCTATAATCCAAGCACTTTGGGAGGCTGAGGCAGGAGGATCACTTGAACCCAGGAGTTCGAGACCAACCTGGGCAACACACGAGATCCTGTCTCTATAAAAAAAAAAAAAAATTAGCTTTGCAGGTGGTGCATGCTGTGGTCCCAGCTACTTGGGAGGCTGATGTAGGAGGATTGCTTGGTCCAGAGACGTTGAGAGGCTGCAGTGAGCTGTGATTGTGATTGTGCCACTGCAAAGGCAACGGAATGAGACCCTGTCTCCAAAAAACCAAAAAAAAAAATGCAGATCAGAGTGAATGTAGGTTTTATTAAGCCTCTAAATCTACTGTTTACCTCTGGATCCAGCTGCCAATTTGTAGGAAATAGAAATACTGAGGACACAACCCTGCTTGCCCACTGTCTGGAAACAGAAATAGATGCGGTGCTTTTGCGGGGGGGCACGGTGGGAGTAAGACCGGCCTTTCGGATTGTGTGGGAGCTGAGTGAGGCCTGTGACTGCTGCCTTTCCCTCACTTCGCTGACAACCTACATGACTCAGCAGAGGCAGCCATTATCCTCCCAGGTACACAACTCCATTGACCTGGGAACCTCACCCACATCCTCCACAGCAGCTGCAGCAAGACCTGCCCAAGGAGAGTCTGAGCTCAGACATGCCTAGCCCTTCCCCCACCTGCTAGTCCTTCTCTACCCGCCCTAGTAACTGAAGACAAAGGGCATATACTCTTGGGAGTTCTAGGGCCCTGCCCACTGCCAGTTCCTCTCCATACTACCACAGCTGATGCCCTCTGGAAAGAGCCACCTCCTGGCAGGAGGCCAACCAGCACAAAAATAGAACATTAAACCACCAAAGCCAAGAATCCTCACAGAATCCATTTCACCCCCCTGCCACCTCTACCGGAACAGGTGCTGGTATCCATGGCTGAGAGACCCATAGACAGTTCATATCACAGGACTCGTGCAGACAACCCCCAGTACCAGCTTGGAGCCTGGTAGACTTGCTGGGTGGCTAGACCCAGAAAAGAGATAACAATCACTGCAGCTCGGCTCTCAGGAAGCCACATCCATAGGAAAAAGGGGAGAGTGCTACATCAAGGGAACACCCTGTGAGACAAAAGAATCTGAACAACAGCCTTCAGCCCTAAACCTTCCCTCTGACAGAGCCTACCCAAATGGGAAGCAACTAGAAAACCAACTCTGGTAATATGACAAAACAGGGCTCTTTAACACCCCCCCAAAATCACACTAGGTCAGCAGCAATGGATCCAAACCAAGAAGAAATTTCTGATTTACCCCAGAAAGCATTCAGGAGGTTAGTTATTAAGCTGATCAGGGAGGCACCAGAGAAAGGTGAAGCCCAATGCAAGGAAATCCAAAAAATGATACAAGAAGTGAAGGGAGAAATGTTCAAGGAAATAGATAACCATAAAAAAAAAATCAAAACTTCAGGAAATATTGGTCACACTTATAGAAATGCAAAATGCTCTGGAAAATCTCAGCAATAGAATTGAACAAGTAGAAGAAAGAAATTCAGAGTTGGAAGTCAAGGTCTACAAATTAACCCAATCCAACAAAGACAAAGAAAAAAGAATAAGAAAATATGCATAAAGCCTCCAAGAAGTCTGGGATTATGTTAAACAACCAAACCTAAGAATATTTGGTGTTCCTGAGGAGTAAGAGAAATCTAAAAATTTGGAAAACATATTTGGGGGAATAATTGAGGAAAACTTCCCCAGCCTTGCTAGAGACTTAGACATCCAAATACAAGAAGCACAAAGAACACCTGGGAAATTCATCGCAAAAATATCATCACCTAGGCACATTGTCATCAGGTTATCTAAAGTTAAGACGAAGGAAAGAATCTTAAGAGCTACGAGACAAAAGCACTAGGTAACCTTTAAAGGAAAACCTATCAGACTAACAGCAGATTTCTCAGCAGAAACCCTACAAGCTAGAAGGGATTGGGGCCCTGTCTTCAGCCTCCTC
The DNA here is from genome assembly GCF_000001405.40 of Homo sapiens. NCBI lineage: Eukaryota > Metazoa > Chordata > Mammalia > Primates > Hominidae > Homo > Homo sapiens. The sequence goes on along the minus strand of NC_000004.12, from coordinate 168,951,721 downwards.
AAACAAAAACAATTATCAGCCAAGAATTTTGTATCCAGTGAAACTAAGCATCATGTATGTGGGAAAGATAGTCTTTTTCAGACAAACAAATGCTGAGAGAATTTGCTACTACCAAGCCACCACTACAAGAACTGCTAAAAGGAGCTCTAAATCTTGAAACAAATCCTGGAAACACATCAAAGCAGAACCTCTTTAAAAGCATAAATCTCACAGGACCTATAAAACAAAAATACAATTTAAAAAGCAAAAACAAAAAACCACAGTACACAGGCAACAAATAGCATGATGAATGGAATGGTACATTGCATCTCAGTACTAACATTGAATATAAATAGCCTAAATGATCCACTTAAAAGATACAGAACTGGCCAGGTGCAGTGGCTCACGCCTGTAATCCCAGCATTTGGGAGGCCGAGGCGGGTGGATCACGAGGTCAAGAGATCGAGACCATTGTGGCCAACTTGGTGAAACCCCATCTGTACTAAAAATATAAAAATTAGCTGTGCGTGGTGGTGGGTGCCTGTAATCCCAGCTACTTAGGAGGCTGAGGCAGGAGAATCGCTTGTACCTGGGAGGTGGAGGTTGCCGTGAGCCAAGATTGCACCACTGCACTCCAGCCTGGTGACAGAGCGAAACTCCATCTCAAAAAAAAGAAGAAAAAAAGATATACAGAACCACAGAATGGATAAGAACTCACAAACCAACTATCTGCTGACTTCAAGAGACTCACTTAACACATAAGGACTCGCACAAACTTAAAGTAAAGCGGGGGAAAAAGGCATTTCATGCAAATAGGCACCAAAAGTGAGCAGGGGTAGCTATTCTTATGTTAGACAAAATGAACTTTAAAGCAACAGCAGTTAAAAAAGACAAAGAGGGACATTATATAGTGATAAAAGGCCTTGTCCTACAGGAAAAGATCACAGTCCTAAATATATATGCACCTAACACTGGAGCTCCCAGTTTTATAAAACAATTACTAACAGACCTAATAAATGAGATAGAAAGCAACACAATAATAGTGGGAGACTTCAGTACTCCACTGACATCACTAGACAGGTCATCAAGAAAGAAAGTCAACAAAGAACGGATTTAAACTATACCTTGGAACAAATGGACTTAATAGATATATACAGAACATTTCATCCAACAATCGGAGACACTTTCCATTCAGCAGTGCATGGAATTTTCTCCAAGATAGACCATATGATAGGCCACAAAACGAGCCATAATAAATTCAAGAAAATTGAAATTATATCAAGCACTCTCTCAGACCACAGTGGAATAAAACTGTAAATCAACTCCAAAAGGGAAACCTACAAAACCATGCAAATACATGAAAATTAACCTGCTTTTGGGTCAAAAATGAAATCAAGATGGAAATTTAAAAGTTCTTTGAACTGAATGACAGTAATAACACAACCTATCAAAACCTCTGGGATACGGCAAAGGCGGTGCTAAGAGGAAAGTTCATAGCCCTAAATGCCTAACAGAGCACAACAGACATTCTAAGGCCACACCTCAAGGAACTGGAGAAAGAAGAACAAACCAAACCCAAACCCAAACCCAGCAGAAGAAAGGAAATAACCAAGATCAGAGCAGAACTAAATAAAATTGAAACAACAACAAAATGCAAAAGATAAATGAAACAAAAAGCTGATTCTTTGAAAAGATAAATTAAACTGATAGACCATTAGGAAGATTAACCAAGAAAAGGAGAGAGAAAATCCAAATAACCTCAATAAGAAACGAAATGGGAGATATTACAACTGACAACACGGAAATACAAAAGATTATTCAAGGCTACTATGAACACCTTTACCCACATAAACTAGAAAACCTAGAAGAGATGGATAAAGTCCTAGAAAAATACAACCCTCCTAGCTTAAATCAGGAAGAATTAGATACCCTGAACAGACCAATAACAAGCAGCGAGATTAAAATGGTAATTTAAAAATTAACAAAAAAAAGTCCAGGACCAGACAGATTCACAGCAGAATTCTACCAGACATTCAAAGAAGAATTGGTACCAATCCTTTTGACACTATTCCACAACATACAGAAAGAGGGAACTCTCCCTAATTCATTCTATGAAGCCAGCATTACCCAGATGTGGAAAAAGCATTCGACAAAATCCAGCATCCCTTTATGATTAAAACTCTCAGCAAAATCAGCATACAAGGGACAATACCTCAATGTAATGAAAGCCATCTGTGACAAACCCACAGCCAACATAATACTGAGTAGGGAAAAGTTGAAAGCATTCCCTCTGAGAACTGGAACAAGACAAGGATGCCCACTCTCATCACTTCTCTTCAACATAGTATAGGAAATCCTAGCCAGAGCAATCAGACAAGAGAAAGAAATACAGGGTATCCAAATCGGTAAAGAAGAAGTCAAACTGTCACTGTTTGCTGACGATATGATTGTTTACCTCGAAAACCCTGAAGACTCCTCCAGAAAGCTCCCAGAACTGATAAAAGAATTCAGCTAAGTTTCTGGATACAAGATTAACATACACAAATCAGTAGCTCTTCTACACACCAAAAACAACCAAGCAGAGAATCAAATCAAGAACTCAACCCCTTCTACAATAGCTGCAAAAAAATTTAAATACTCTGGAGTATACCTAACCAAGGAGGCTAAAGACCTCTACAAGGAAAACTACAAAACACTGCTGAAAGAAATCACAGATGACACGAACAAATGGAAATACATCCCATGCTCATGGAAGGGTAGAATCAATATTGTGAAAATGACCATACTGCCAAAAGCAGTCTACAGATTTAATGCAATCTCCATCAAAATACCACCATCATTCTTCACAGAATTAGAAAAAACAATTCTAAAATTCTTATGAAACCAAAAAATTGCCCACATAGCCAAAGCAAGGCTAAATGAAAAGAACAAATCTGGAGGTATCGCACTACCTGATTTCAAACTATACCATAAGGCCATAGTCACCAAAACAGCATGGTACTGGTATAAAAACAGGCACATAGACCAATGGAACAGAATAGAGAACCCAGAAATAAACCCAAATACTTAACAGCCAACTGATCTTCGACAAAGCACACAAAAACAAAGTGGGGAAGGGATACCCTTTTCAACAAATGGTGCTGGGATAATTGGCTAGCCACATGTAGGAGAGTGAAACTGGATCCTCATTTCTCACCTTATACAAAAATCAACTCAAGATGGATTAAGGACTTAAATCTAAGACCTGAAACCATAAAAATTCTAGAAGATAACATTGGAAAAACCCTTCTAGACATTGGCTTAGGTAAGGATTTCATGACCAAGAACCCAAAAGCAAATGCAATAAAAACAAAGATAAATAGCTGGGACTTAAACTAAAGAGTTTTTGCATGGCAAAAAGAACAGTCAGCAGACTAAACAGACAACCCACAGAGTGGGAGAAAATCTTCACAATGTATACATCTGACAAAGGACTAATATCCAGAATCTACAGTGAACTCATTAAGATAAAAACAAACAGTCCCATCAAAAAGTGGGCTAAGGACATGAATAGACAGTTTTCAAAAGAAGATATACAAATGGCCAACAAACATACGAAAAAATGCTCAACATCACTAATGATCAGGGAAATGCAAATCAAAACCACAGTGTGATACCACCTTACTCCTGCAAGAATGGCCATAATGAAAAAATCAAAAAACAGTAGGTGTTGGCATGGCTGCGGTGATCAGGGAGCACTTCTACACTGCTGGTGGGAATGTAAACTAGTACAACCACTATGAAAAACAGTGTGGAGATTCCTTAAAGAACTAAAAGTAGGATTACCATTTGATCTGGCAATCCCACTACTGAGTATCTACCCAGAGGAAAAGAAGTCATTATATGAAAAAGATACTTGCACACACATTTATAGCAGCATAATTCACAATTGCAAAATCGTGGAACCAACCCAAATGTCTATCAATCAATGAGTGGATGAAGAAACTGTGATATATATGTACGGTGGAATACTGCTCAGCCATAAAAAGGAATGAATTAATAGCATTCACAGCAACCTGGATGAGACTGTTATACTAAATGAAGTAACTCAGGAATAGAAAACCAAACATCATATGTTCTCACTGATATGTGGGAGCTAAGCTATGAGGACGCAAGGGCATAAGAATGACACAGTGGACTTAGGGGACTTGGGGAGAAGGATGGGAGAGGGGTGAGGAATAAACGATTACAAATAGGGTGCAGTGTGTACTGCTCGGGTGATGGCTGCACCAAAATCTCACAAATCACCACTAAAGAACTTACTCATGTAACCAAACACCACCTGTACCCCAGTAACCTATGGGGAAAAAGAAAAGAAAAGAAACATTGAGGACAGAGGAACATACGGAATTGCACCATGAGTAATCAGCAAAATTCAGGGTGCAGAACACTCTACTGGCCCAGTCTGCTTTTATCAATAGATAAATTGTAAGAAAAAGAAAGTGATGGGAAGGAATTTTTAGACTAAAAGAAACTATAGAAACTTATTAAATTTTAAAACGGGTAAACCAAACTGTACATTCAAAGTGATTAAGATGGTAAATTTTACATTGTATATCTTACCCAATTTAAAAAAAAACATGACAGGGGCACGACTAAACTCTATGTCTATGAGGCATGTAGAGGGACTTCTGAGGTGTCTGGCAAAGTTTTATTTCTTGAGGATGATAATTTCAAGATTGTTAGCCTTATAATAAATTGCTAAGGTATATATTTGTTTTATGTGGTTTTCTGTATCTGTGTTTTAAAGTAATTTTTAAAAGCAGATTGGAAGCTCCATGTGCGTAGTTGGGATTGCGGGTAGTAGTCTTCACTGTGGGATGGTGTATGTGGACAGACTTTTTAACTGCTGGAACCCCAATGTCAGTTTCTTTAGCTCATCAGTTCTCAAATGCTTTGGTCGCAGGACCATTTTACATGCTTAAAAAATGACTGAGGACCACAGAGAACTTTTGTTTATGTGGGTTACATTTGTCAATATTTACTAATAGAAATTAAAATTGAATTTCAAAATATTTATTCATCAAAAATAACAAGAGTAAACCCGTTACATGCTAACATAGATAATCTATTTTTAATGAAAAATGACTCTATTTTTTAAAGTAACATATTGGAAGAGTGACATTACTTTACATTTTTGTGGATCATTTTAATGTCCAGCTTAATAAAAGACAGGTGGATCCACATCTGTTTCTGCCTTCAATATCTTACAGTATCACACATGGTGCAGCATTTGAAAACTCCACTGTGAACTTTTGAGAGAATTAGAGTAAAACAGGCAAATGACATTGTAGTATTATTTTGCAAATAGATTTGACCTTGCTCAGGCTCTGAGAGGAGGGAATCTTTGGAGTTCCTGGACCATACTTTGAGAACCATTGTTATAGCTGTTTTTCTCTTGACTGGTCAGATTCTCCAGAGAAGACTCTCCTGCCTGGAAAGCTGACTGTCAACATTCCTGACCATCAGTCTTCTAACTAGCAGCATTCTGGAACCCAAAGAGGGAAGAAAGCTGTAAACTTTCATTTTATTCCTCAGTTGTTAGCATGGTAGTCTGTAATAAACTATTCCTGGTATCTCTCAGCCAAGGAAGCTTATATTTTAAGGTTCCGTCTCCTATGCAAGGTATAGGAGAGGATGAGAGAAGTCTAATTGCTCTTTTAAGCAGTGCCCTTCTGTTGACTTGCAGAAGTACCAAAATCAACTAATTTTATTGTCTTTTAGGAATTCTGTCATGGAAGTTTGGTTGTTTTTCACTTTTTCCTATTTCTGGCCAAAATTCAGCTTTGCGGGTCTGCTGTAAGTTAGTGCCTAACTCCCATCTGCTTTCTAGCGTTTGTCTCCTCTTCTTTCTTGTTCTTTTGGATTTATGCCTTTAAAAAATAAACACAAAATTGTCTAAGTTTTTGTTGTTGTTTGGGGACATAGTAGGGCTCAAGGTACTACCTTTAACTGGAAATCCCAGCAGTGCCATTTAAATGGTTGTTTCTCTAGCATTTATTTGTATTTTGTGGTAGTATATTATTTTCATGGGATAAATGCATGTCCTTAGAGAGGCTTTGCCTTTCCCATCAGATAATCCTCATTCTCACACGGGGAAGGATTCTAGTGATATTATCCAGCATCCTTGGGAGCCTGAACAAATCAAGTGAGGCTGCCTCTGCTGAAGCAGTAACCACCAATTCAGCAGATCAAGAAAAACAAAGTTCCTAAGGCCCCCTGAAGATAATCTCATTAGCAGAGAACAGACTGTCTTGGTCTGTTGTTCTCACCAAGTAACTGTAAAGAACCATGTGCAAATACCACTGTCTTTCCTGAAGGAAGATTATTTATTACTAACTTTGTAGAGATTCTTCGAGGTTCTTGAGAATACAGTGGATAAATTCAGACCTTAGTATCAATTGAGCAGGGAGGGAATTAAGATACCTGATCCTCCTAAGACAGTGGTTCTTAAGCTTTGGTGTGTATTAGAGTCATCTAGAAGGTTTGTTAAAATGCAGAGTGCTGGGCTCCACTCTCAAGAGGTTCTGATTCAGTAGGTTTGGGGTAGTGTTCAGGAATTTGCATTTCTAGGAAGTTCCTGATAGACTGGGGGTCACACTTGGAGTACTGCTGTATACAGGAGCTAACCTTAAAACTTTCCAAAAGAAGGAATTTAGTGAAAGAATGGTTATTGTCTAACACAGTTATTTCTAGTGAAGTAGGCAAACTCTTTAATTAGATAAGGTTTTAACAGAGAATATGAATAAAACAAAATGTCACATGCTACAAATGAAGTCATGAAATGTCACATGCTCTGAACAGCACAAGTTTATGATTGATATTTCTGGTTTTATTTGCTTGACAGGCTGTATTTATGAGAGTCAGTAAGAAACAATTGAAAACTAGACCACATAGGAATATAAATGAATACACATAAATTCCATTGCACTTTAGAGGCATGTTGGCATTAAACATCATCTTGTCCAATTCTTTATAAACACGAAAAGAATTATCTGTGACACTTTTTTTCCTATTAAATTCTTCCATGTTCTTTTCTTTTGAAGAAATACAGTTTATGAAAATGTATATATTGTCTAAATTCATTATTAAACTATCCCTTATGGTTGAGGAACTTAAGATCTCATAAGAAAAATAAGGTTGCGCGACTCAGATTGAGAGTAAACTCATAAAACTTTTTTCTTTTCTTTTCTCTCTTTTTTTTAAATTTTCTTCTTTTCTTTTTAGAGGCAGGGTCTCACTTTGTCTCCCAGGCTGGAGTGTAGTGATGTGATCATGGCTCATTGTAACTTCAAACTCCTGGGCTCAAGCAATCCTTCTGCCATAGCCTCCTGAATAGCTGGGACTACAAGCAGCACCACCAGGCCCACGCCTGGCTAATTTATTTATTTTTTATTTTATTTTATTTATTTCTTTATTTTTAGAGATGGGGGGTCTCACTACATTGCCTAAGCTGGTCTCAAACTCCTGGCTTCAAGCCATCCTCCCACTTCGGCCTCCCAAAGTGGTAGGATTACAGGTGTGAACCACTACACTCAGGTAAAAACTCAAAACTTTATGAGTGAACTCATAAAAATAGAAGTATTTTAGTGTTTGCTAAAATAATTAAGATACTTTTTCAAAAGGGAAAGTCAACATTTTATAAATTTAAAAAGTACTAAAAAGCATTTATTAGCCTTTGATTGCTTGAAATCTTGTAGAGTCTCCCTGTTCAATACTTTCTGTCATATTCTTGTAAAATGGTATTGCATTATCAGAGGCGTTTTGTTTTTTGTTTTTGTTTTGTTTTGTTTTGAGACAGAGTTTCCCTCTTTCACCCAGGCTGGAGTGCAGTAGCTCCGTCTCGGCTCACTGCAGCCCCCACCTCTCGGGTTCAAGCGATCCTCCTACTTCAGCTTCCTGAGTAGCTGGGACTACAGGTGCGTGCCACTATGCCCAACTAATTTTTGTATTTTTAGTAGAGATGGGGTTTCACCATGTTGGCCAAACTAGTCTTGAACTCCTGACCTCAGGTGATCCACCCGTCTCAGCCTCCCAAAGTGTTGGAATTACAGGCATGAGCCACCATGCCCAGCCTGTAGTGGTTGTTTAGTTCCCCATTCACATGTTCAACTTCTCTCTGATACTTGGGCTGGAAGTTGTTCACTCCCGGCATATTTTGATGGTTATGATGTAAAAGATTATGGAGGACCTTTTAGAGCTCTGCTCAACTTACCAATGGCTGAGTTAGCTTTCTCAAGCATGACTATAATGTATGTTGAGTATGGTCATTTGGCTTTGCTCCTGGGTGCTTTCAGTGGAAAGGACCCTGTATGAGTTCCTTGGTTATTGATAGCCTTTGTGCGGTGGCTTTCTCAAATGCCAGTTGTAGTAGTGATGTACTGGGTGTATGAGCTGGCTCACTACCTTCTACAGGGCTGGGGTTGCAGAGGTCTCAGGAAGCTTGTCTCATTCTCCAGTGCTGTACCCTTTTGTCAGCGGCTTTGTATTGGGTTGTGTAGTTTGACCTTCAGGCCTATAGGTGGCACTATTGTCAGTAGGGTGCAGATATCTCTGATATATTGATTTCCTTTCTTTTGGATAAATGTCCACTGGTAGGATTGCTTAATCGTATGGTAGTTCTCTTTGTAGTTTTTTGAGGAATCTCCATACTGTACTCCATAGAGGTTGTGCTAGTCTACATTCCCACCAACAGTGCATGAGTTCCTGTTTCTCTACCTTCTTGGCAGAACTTATTATTATTTTTTCTTTTTGTTAATAGCCATTCTAACTAGGATGAGATGATATTTCATTATGGTTTTGATTTTCATTTCCTTGATTAGTGATGTTGAGAATTTTTTCATATATTAGTTGGTCATTTCTATGTCTTCTTTTGTGAAATATCCGTTCAGATCCCTTGCCTATTTTTTAATAAAAAATATTTTTGCTGTTGAAATGTTTGAATTCTTTGCATATTCTGGATATTAATCCCCTGTCAGGTGAAGAGTTTGCAGATATTTTCTTCCATTGTGTAGGTTGTCTGTTCACTGTGTTGATTATTTCCTTTGCCGTGCGCAAGCTTTTGGTTTGATTTAATAATATTTATTTATATTTTAGTTTCCTGTGCTTTTGAGGTCTTACTCATAAAATCTTTTTCTAGACCAATGTCCTGAAGCATCTTCTCAATGTTTTCTTCTAGTTGTTTTGTAATTTTGAGTCCTACATTTAGGCCTTTGATCCATTATTTTTTCTTTTTCAATTAGGATTTGAATGTGGAATTTTAAAATTTCTTTTTTCTTTGTTTTCTTTTTCTTTTTTTTTAAATTGTACTTTAAATTCTGGGATTACATGTGCAGAACGTGCAAGTTTATTACATAGGTATACATGTGCCATGGTGGTTTGCTGCACCTATCAACCCATCATCTAGGTTTTAAGCCCCTCATGCATTAGGTATTTGTTCTAATGCTCTCCCTCCCCTTGCTCCCCACCCCCCAACAGGCCCTGGTTTGTGATGTTCCCCTCCCTGTGTCCATGAGTTCTTATTGTTCGACTCCCATTTGTGAGTGAGAACATGTGGTGTTTGGTTTTCTGTTCCTGTGTTAGTTTGCTGAGAATGATGGCTTCCAGCTTCATCCATGTCCCTGCAAAGGACATGAACTCATTCTTTTTTATGGCTGCATAGTATTCTATGGTATATATGTGCCACATTTTCTTTATCGAGTCTATCATTTATGGGCATTTGGGTTGGTTCCCAAGTCTTTGCTACTGTAAATACGGCTGCAGTAAACATACATGTGCATGTGTCTTTATAGTAGAATGATTTATAATCCTTTGAAGGATATGAACAGACACTTCTCAAAAGAAAACATTTATGTGGCCAACTAACTATATAAAAAAGCTCATCATCACTGGTCATTAGAGAAATGCAAATCAAAACCCCAGTGAGATACCATCTTATGCCATTTAGAATGGCATTATTAAAAAGTCGGGGAACAACAGATGCTGGGGCGACTGTGGAGAAATAGGAAGGCTTTTACGCTGTTGGTGGGAGTGTAAATTAGTTCAATCATTGTGCAAGACAGTGTGGTGATTCCTTAAGGATCTAGAACCAGAAATTCCATTTGACCCAGCAATCCCATTACTGGGTATGTATCTTTTTTTATTTTTCAGTTAGGATTTTGATGTTGAATTTGATCCATTTTAGTTGATGTTTGTGTAGAGGGATGTTGAATTTTACCAAATGCTTTTTCCGTATCTGTTGAGAGGATCATATGGTTTTTGTCCTTTATTTTGTCAATGTGATGTATCATGTTTACTGATTTGCATATACTGAACCATCTTTGTATCCTTGGGATATATCCTACTTGATCATGGTGTATAATCTTTTTAAAAAAATTTTTTTATTGTACTTTAAATTCTGGGATACATCAGAACGTGCAGGTTTGTTACATAGGTATACATGTGTTGTGGTGGTTTGCTGCACCCATCAATTGGTCATTTACATTAGGTCTTTCTCCTAATGCTATCCCTTCCCCAGGCCCCCACCCCCGACAGGCTGTGGTGTGTGATGTTCCCCTCCCTGTGTCTATGTGTTTTCAACTCCCACTTATGAGTGAGAACATGTGGTGTTTGGTTTTCTGTTATTGTGTTAGTTTGCTGAGAATGATGGTTTCCAGCTATCATTGATGGTCATTTGGGTTGGTTCCTAGTCTTTGCTATTGTGAACAGTGCTGCAGTATACATACGTGTGCGTTGTCTTTATAGTAGAATGATTTATAATCCTTTGGGTATATGCCCAGTAATGGGATTGCTGGGCCAAATGGTATTTCTGGTTCTAGATCCTTGAGGAATCGCCACACTGTCTTCCACAATGGTTGAACTAATTTACACTCCCACCAACAGTGTAAAAGTGTTCCTATTTCTCCACATCCTCTCCAGCATCTGTTGTTTCCTGACTTTTAATGATTGCCATTTTAACTGGCATGAGATATCTCATTGTGGTTTTGATTTGCATTTCTCTAATGACCAGTGATGATGAGCTTTTTTACATATGTTTGTTGGCTGCATAAATGTCTTCTTTTGAGAAGTGTCTGTTCATATTCTTCACCCACTTTTTGATGTTTTTTTTTTCTTGTAAATTTGTTTAAGTTCTTTGTAGATTCTGGACATTAGCCCTTTGTCAGATGGGTAGATTGCAAAGATTTTCTCCTATTCTGTAGGTTGCCTGTTCACTCTGATGATAGTTTATTTTGCTGTGCAGAAGCTATTTAGTTTAATTAGATCCCATTTGTCAATTTTGGCTTTTGTTGCCATTGCTTTTGGTATTTTAGTAATGAAGTCTTTGCCCATGCCTGTGTCCTGAATGGTATTGCCTAGGTTTCCTTCTAGGGTTTTTATGGTTTTAGGTCTTACATTTCAGTCTTTAATTCCTCTTGAGTTAATTTTTGTATAAGGTGTAAGGAAGGGGTTCAGTTTCAGTTTTCTGCATATGGCTAGCCAGTTTTCCCAGCAGCATGTATTAAATAAGGAATTCTTTCCCCATTGTTTGTTTTAGTCAGGTTTGTCAAAGATCAGATGGTTATAGATATGTGGTGTTATTTCTGAGGCCTCTGTTCTGTTCCATTGGTCTATATATCTGTTTTGGTACCAGTACCAGACTGTTTTTATTACTGTAGCATTATAGTATAGTTTGAAGTCAGGTAGCATGATGCCTCCAGCTTTATTCTTTTTGCTTAGGATTGTCTTGTCTATGCGGGCTCTTTTTTTGGTTCCATATGAAATTTAAAGTAGTTTTTTCTAATTCTGTGAAGAAAGTCAGTGGTAGCTTGATGGGGATAGCATTGAATCTATAAATTAGTTTGGGCAGTATGGCCATTTTCATGATATTGATTCTTCCTATCCATGAGCATGGAATGTTTTTCCATCTGTTTGTGTCCTCTCTTATTTCGTTGAGCAGTGGTTTGTAGTTCTCCTTGAAGAGATCCTTCACATCCCTTGTAAGTTGGGTTCCTAAGTATTTTATTCTCTTTGTAGCAATTGCAAATGGGAGTTCACTCACGTCTTGGCTCTCTGTTATTGGTGTATAGGAATGCTTGTGATTTTTGCTCACTGATTTTGTATCCTGAGACTTTGCTGACGTTGCTTATCAGCTTAAGAAGAGTTTGGACTGAGATAATGGGGTTTTCTATATATGCAATCATGTCATCTGCAAACAGAAAATTTGACTTCCTCTCTTCCTATTTGAATACCCTTTATTTCTTTCTCTTGCCTGATTGCCCTGTCCAGAACTTCCAGTACTATGTTGAATTGGAGTGGTGAGAGTGGGCGTTCTTGTCTTGTGCCGGTTTTCAAAGGGAATGCTTCCAGCTTTTTCCCGTTCAGTATGATATTGGCTGTGGGTTTGTCATAAATAGCTCTTATTATTTTGAGATACATTCCATCACTACCTAGTTTATTGAGAGTTTTTTGCATGAAGGGGTGTTGAATTTTGTCAGAGGCCTTTTCTGCATCTGTTGAGATAATCATGTGGTTTTTGTCATTGATTCTGTTTATGTGATGGATTACGTTTATTGATTTGCATATGTTGAAGCAGCCTTGCATCCCATGGATGAAGTCGACTTGATCGTGGTAGATAAGCTTTTTGATGTGCTGCTGGATTCTGTCTGCCAGTATTTTATTGAGGATTTTTGCAACGATGTTCATCAGGGATATCGGCCTGAAATTTTCTTTTTTTTGTTTTGTCTCTGCCAGGTTTTGGTATCAGGATGATGCTGGCCTCATAAAATGAGTTAGGGAGGATTCCCTTTTTTACTATTGTTTAGAATAGTTTCAGAAGGAATGGTACCAGTTCTTCTTTGTACCTCTGGTAGAATTTGGCTGTGAATCCGTCTAGTCCTGGACTTTTTTTGGTTGTTAGGCTATTAATTACTGCCTCAACTTTAGAACTTGTTATTGGTCTATTCTTCCTGATTTAGTCTTGGGAGGGTTTATGTGTCCAGGAATTTATCCATTTCTTCTAGATTTTCTAGTTTATTTGCATAGAGGTTTTTATAGGATTCCCTGATGGTAGTTTGTATTTCTGTGGGATTGGTGGTGATATCCCCTGTGTCATTTTTTATTGCGTTTATTTGATTCTTCTCTTTTTTCTTCTTTAGTAGCCTGGCTAGTGGTCTATTTTGTTGATCTTGTCAAAAAACCAGCTTCTGGATTCATTGATTTTTTGAAGGATTTTTCGTGTCTCTATCTCCTTCAATTCTGCTCTGATCTTAGTTATTTCTTGTCTTCTGCTAGCTTTTGAATTTATTTGTGCTTGCTTCTGTAGTTCTTTTCATAGGGATGTTAGAGTGTTGATTTTAGATCTTTCCTGCTTTCTCTTGTGGGCATTTAGTGCTATAAATTTCCCTCTAAATACTGCTTTAGCTGTGTCCCAGAGATTCTGGTACATTGTGTCTTTGTTCTCGTTAGTTTCAAAGAACTTATTTATTTCTGCCTTAATTTTGTTATTTACCCAGTAGTCATTCAGGAGCAGGTTGTTCAGTTTCTATGTAATTACGTGGTTTTGAGTGAGTTTCTTAATCCTAAATTCTAATTAGATTGCACTGTGGTCTGACAGACTGTTTGTTATGATTTCCATTCTTTTGCATTTGCCTAAGAGTGTTTTACTTCCAATTATGTGATAAATTTTAGAATAACTGTGATATGGTGCTGAGAAGAATGTATATTCTGTTGATTTGGGGTGGAGAGTTCTGTAGATGTCTGTTAGGTTTACTTGGTGCAGAGCTGAGCTCCAGTCCTGAATATCCTTGTTAATTTTCTGTCTTGTTGATCTGTCTGGTATTGACAGTGGGGTGTTAAAGTCTCCCACTATTATTGTGTGGGAGTCTAAGTCTCTTTGTAGGTCTCTAAGAACTTGCTTTATGAATCTGGATGTTCCTGTATTGGGTGCATATATATTTAGGATAGTTAGCTCTTCTTGTTGCATTGATCCCTTTACCATTATGTAATGCCGTTCTTTGTCTCTTTTGATCTTTGTTGGTTTAAAGTCTGTTTTATCAGAGACTAGGATTGCAACCACTTTTTTTTTTTTTTGCTTTTTTTATTTGCTTGGTAAATATTCTTCCATTTATTTTGAGCCTATGTGTGTCTTTGCACGTGAGATGGGTCTCCTGAATATAGGACACCGATGGGTCTTGATTCTTTATCCAGTTTGCCAGTCTGTGTCTTTTAATTGGGGCATTTAGTCCATTTACATTTAAGGTTAATATTATTATGTGTGAATTTGATCCTGTCATTATGATGCTAGCTGGTTATTTTGCCCGTTAGTTGATGCAGTTTCTTCATAGTGTTGATGGTCTTTACAGTTTGGTATGTTTTTGCAGTTGCTGGGACCAATTGTTCCTTTCCATGTTTAGTGCTTCCTTCAGGAGCTCTTGTAAGTCAGGCCTGGTGATGACAAAATCTCTTAGCATTTGCTTGTGTGTAAAGGATTTTATTTCTCCTTCGCTTATGAAGCTTAGTTTGGTTGGATATGAAATTCTGGGTTGAAAAGTCTTCTCTTTAAGAATGTTGAATATTGGTCCCCACTCTTTTCTGGCTTGTAGGGTTTCTGCAGAGAGATCTGCTGTTAGTCTGATGGGCTTCCTCTTGTGGGTAACCTGACCTTTTGTGATCCTCCAAAGGAGGATCTTTCTCTCTGGCTGCCGATAACATTTTTTCCTTCATTTCTTCAACCTTGGTGAATTTGATGATTATGAATCTTGGGGTTGCTCTTCTCGAGGAGTATCTTTGTTTTCTCTGTATTTCCTGAATTTGAATGTTGGCCTATCTTGCTAGGTTGGGGAAGTTCTCCTTGATAATATCCTGAAGAGTGTTTTCCAACTTGGTTCCATTCTCCCCGTCACTTTCAGGTGCACTAGTCAAACGTAGGTTTGGACTTTTCACATTAGTTCCCTAATTCTTGGAGGCTTTGTTCATTCCTTTTCATTCTTTTTTCTCTAATCTTGTCTTCATGCTTTATTTCGTTAAGTTGATCTTCAATCTCTGA
Organism: Homo sapiens; assembly: GCF_000001405.40. Lineage (NCBI taxonomy): Eukaryota > Metazoa > Chordata > Mammalia > Primates > Hominidae > Homo > Homo sapiens. The sequence continues at coordinate 168,936,681 of NC_000004.12, read as the reverse complement.
TATCCTGTCTTCCACTTGATCGATTCAGCTGTTGATACTTTTGTATACTTCACGAAGTTCTCGTGCTGTGTTTTTCAGCTCCATCAGGTCATTTATGTTCTTCTCTAAACTGGTTATTCTAGTTAGCAATGCATCTAACCTTTTTTCAAGCTTCTTAGCTTCCTTGCATTGGGTTAGAACGTGCTCCTTCAGCTCGGAGGAGTTTGTTATTATCCACCTTCTGAAGCCTACTTCTGTCAGTTCGTCAAACTCATTCTCTGTCCAGTTTTGTTCCCTTGCTGGTGAGGAGTTGTGATCCTTTGGAGGAGAAGAGGCATTCTCATTTTTGCAATTTTCAGCCCTTTTGCATTGGTTTCTCCCCATCTTCGTGGATTTATCTACCTTTGGTATTTGATGTTGGTGACTTTCAAATGGGGTTTTGGTGTGGACATCCTTTTTGTTGATGTTGAATCTATTCCTTTCTGTTTGTTAGTTTTCCTTCTAACAGTCAGGGCCCTCTACTGCAGGTCTGCTGGAGTTTGCTGGAGGTCCACTCCAGACCCTGTTTACCTGGGTATCACCAGCGGAGGCTGCAGAACAGCAAAGATTGCTGCCTGTTCTTTCCTCTGGAAGCTTTGTCCCAGAGGGGCACCCACCAGATGCCAGCTGGAGCTGTCCTGTATGAGATGTCTGTCGACCCCTGCTGGGAGGCGTCTCCCAGTCAGGAGGTGTCTCCCAGTCAGGAGGCATGGGGGTCAGGGACCCACTTGAGGAGGCAGTCTGTCCCTTAGCAGAGCTTGAGCACTGTGCTGCAAGATCTGCTGCTCTCTTCAGAGCTGGCAGGCAGGAATGTTTAAGTCTGCTGAAGCTGCACCCACCGCCACCCCTTCCCCCAGGTGCTGTGTCTCAGGGAGATGGGAGTTTTCCCTATGAGCCCCTGACTGGGACTGCTGCCTTTCTTTCAGAGATTCCCTGCCCAGAGAGGAGGAATCTAGAGAGGCAGTCTGGCTACAGTGGCTTTGCCAAGCTGTGGTGGGCTCTGCCCATTTCAAATTTCCTGGAGGCTTTTTTTTATACCGTGAGGGGATAACTGCCTACTCAAGCCTCAGTAATGGCAGACACCCCTCCCTCACCAAGCTGGGGTGTCCCAGGTCGACTTCAGAATGCTTGGTGGCAGTGAGAATTTCAAGCCAGTGGATCTTAGCTTGCTGGGCTCCATAGGGGGTCAGATCCACTGAGCTAGACCACTTGGCTCCCTAGCTTGAGCCCCCTTTCCAGGGAGTGAATGGTTCTGTCTCGCTGGTGTTCCAGGAGTCACTGGGGTACGAAAAGAAACTCCTGCAGCTAGCTCAGTGTCTGGCCAAATGGCTGCCCAGTTTTGTGCTTAAAACTCAGGGCCTTGGTGGCACAGGCATCTGGTCTATGGTTGCAAAAACCGTGGGAAAAGCGTGGTATCTGGCCTGGAATGCACCGTCCCTCATGGCACAGTCCCTCACGGCTTCCCTTGGCTAGGGGAGGGAGTTCCTCCACCCCTTGCACTTCCCATGTGAGGTGACACCCCACCCTGCTTCTGCTCGCCCTCCATGGGCTGCACCCACTATCTAACCAGTCCCAATGAGATGAGCTGGGTACCTCAGCTGGAAATGAAGAAATCACCTGCCTTCTGCATTGATCTTGCTGGGGGTTGCAGACCGGAGCTGTTCCCATTTGGCCATCTTCGGTGTATGATCTTTCTGATGTGATGTTAGATTGAATTTACTAATATTATATTGAGGATTTTTGCATGTATGTTCATTAGGGATATTGGTCTGTAGTTTTGTTTTTTTGTTATGTCCTTATCTGGTTTTGGTGTCAAAATTATGCTGGCCCTGTAAAATAAGTTTGGAAGAATTCCCTTCTCTTCAATTTTTGGAATAGTTTGAGAAGAATTGGCAGTTTTTTTTCTTTCTTTTTTAATGTTTGGTAGAATTTAGCTGAGAAGCCATCCAGTCCTGGTTTTTTCCTTGTTGGGAGGCTTTTTATTACTGATTTATTATCATTACTTTTTATTGATCTGTTCAGGCTGTTTCTTTTTGGTTCAGTCTTGGTAGCTTGTGTGTCCAGGAATTTATCCATTTCCTCTAGGTTTTTAAATTTATTGGCATATGGTTGTTCATGATAGATTCTAATGATCCTGTGTGTTTCTGTAGTATCAGTTGTGACAGCTCCTTTTTTGTTTTTGATTTTGTTTATTTGGGTCTTCTCTCTGTATTCTTAGTCTAGTGGCTAGTTGATTTTGTTTATTTTTTCAAAAAACCAACTTTTTGTTGATCTTTTGTATTTTTAAATCTCAATTTTGTTTAATTCTACTCTAATCTTTATTATTTCTTTCCTTCTGCTAATTTTGGGTTTGGCTTGCTTTTTTTTTTTTTTTTTTTTTTGTTTTTTTTGCTTTTCTAGTTTCTTTTAAAACTTGTTTTGGAGACTGGGTCTTGCCAGTGGCTTTTCACAGGCCAAATTGGAGTGTGCTGTAGTCTCAAATTCCTGGCCTCAAAGCAACCTGGCCCGAGCCTTCTGAGTGGCTGGGGCTATAGGTGTGCACCACTATGCCCAGTTTTTTCCTAGATTCTTAAGATGAATCATTCGGTTATTAGAACTCTTTTTACTTTTTTGATATAGATGTTTATTGCTGTAAACTTCTCTTAATCATGCTTTTGCTGTATCACACAGGGTTTGGTATGTTGTGTTTCTGTTTTCATTTGTTTCAAGGAATTTTAAAATTTACTTCTTAATTTCTTCCTTCATCCATTGGTCAGTCAGGAGCATGTTGTTTAATTTCCATGTATTTGTACAGTTTTGAATATTCTTCTTGTTATTGATTTCCAGTTTTATTCCATTGTGGTCAGATAGGACACTTGATATGATTTCAGTGTTTAAAAATTTTTTGAGCTTGGTTTGTGTCCTAATATATGGTCAATCCTGTAGAATGTTCCATGTGCTGATAAAAAGAATGTGTATTCTATTGCTGTTGGGTGAAATGTTCTGTAGGTGTCTGTTAGGTCCATTTAGTCTGTAGTACAGTTTAAATCCAATGTTTCTTTGTTGATTTTCTGTCTAGATGATCTGTCCAGTGCTGAAAGTGGGGTGTTAAAGTTCCCAACTGTTATTTTATTGAGGTCTATCTCTCCTTTTAGATCTAATAATATTTGCTTTATATATCTGGGTGCTTCAGTGTTGGGTGCATATATATTTACCATTGTTATGTCTTCTTGCTGAATTGATACCTTTATTATTATATAATGTCCTTCTTTGTCTCTATCACTTTTTACTTAAATAGCCTGTATTATCTGACATAAGAATAGCTACTTCTGCTCACTTTTTGTTTCTGTTTGCATTGATTATTTTTTTCCATCCCTTCACTTTCAGTCTTTGTGTGTCTTTTACAGGTGAGGTGAGTTTTTATTTGGCAGCATATAGTTGCATGGTTTTTTTATTCATTCATTCATTCAACGTCTTTTAATTGGGGAATTTAATTTATTTACATTCAAGGTTATTTATTGGTAGGTGAGGACTTAACTCTTGTCGTTTTATTGATGGTTTTCCGGTTGTATATTCCTTTCTCTTTAATCCTCCTTATTGTTTATTTTTGTGGCTTAGTGGTTTTCTGTAGTGATAAGGTTTGATTCCTTTCTCTTTCTCTTTTGTATATCAGCTCTACAAGTGAATTTTATAATTTCATTTGTTTTCATCATGGTGGTGGTTATTGTCTTTTCACTTCCAGATCTAAAACTCTCTTGAGTGTTTCTTGTAAGGCTAGTCTTCCCTTAGCTTTTGCATATCTGAAAAAGACTTTATTTTCTTTCATTTCTGAGGAATAGCTTTGCTTATATTTAATAAAGAATATTAAAGCAATATTCTTTACTGGCAATATTTTTCTTTTAGTACATTGAATATATTATTTCTTTTTTTCCCGGCCTGTAAGGTTTCTGCTATCTGCTGTTGGCCTAATGGGTATTCCCTTATATGTGACTTGACGTTTTTCTCTTGCTGTTGTTAGAATTCTTTCTTTGTATTTGACTTTTGACAATTTGACTATAATGTGCCTCAGAGAGGAACTGTTTAGGTTGAATCTCTTTGGGGACTTTAAGCTTCTTAGAGCTAGATGTTCATCTCTTTTCCAAAACTTGGGAAGTTTTTTGCTGTGATTTCATTAAATCTGTTTTCTATACCTTTTTCCTTCTCTTCTCCATCTGGAGTTCCAAAATGCAAATATTTGTTCACTTAACAGTGTCCCATACATTCTGTAGGCTTTCTTTATTCTTTTTTTTTTGTCTGCATGAGTTATTTCAAAAGGCCTACCTCCAAGTTCAGAAATTCTTTCCCCTGCTTTGTCTAATCTGTTGTTGAAGCTCTTGATTGCATTTTTTATTTTATTCATTGAATTCTTCAACTCTAAGATTTCTGTTGGGTTTTTTTTTTTTATGTTCTTTGTTGAATTTCTCATTCAAATCATGAATTACTTTCCTGATTTGAGGGAACAGTTTAGCTATATTCTCTTTACCTCACTGAGCTTCCTTAAGATTATTATTTTCAATTCTTTTTATGGCATTTCACATATTTCCTTATGATTAAGGTGTGTTACTGGAGCATTATTGTGTTCTTTTGGAGGTATCATGGTTTCTTGTTTTTTCATGTTTGATATGTTCCTTGATGTTGATTTCTATGCATCTGGTAGAACAGTCACCTCTTCTAATTTGATGAAAGGTTTTGTAGGGAAAGACGTATTTGTATTGGAGGATCTTATAGTGTCAGTTAGGGGGGGTGTGTTGGCTTTGGTTCTAGGTGGATGCAGTACTGTAGTGTCTGTGCAGATTCTTCAGCTGTAATCCAGTCTGCTGATGTTTGTAAGTGCCCAGTGGCCTAGGCTGTGAGAATTTGTAGCAGTGGTGGTGCAGCTTTGCTGGGGTGGGCTCACTGGATTGTTTCTCAAATTGGGGGCATGTGTGTGAACGGTGTCAACCAACTTGGGGTCTTGCTTGCTGGGATTGGGGCCACAGGGATGTTTCTCAGGCCCTGGGTACAGGCATGCTCATTTGGCCTGGGGGTGTGTCTGCCAGAGGTGGGCCAAGTGGGCTGTTTCTTGGGCTTGGGACAGTGGTGTGCCTCTCAGCCAGCCAGGGGGTGTGTCCATGGGGGTTGACCCCATGGGGCTCTTTCTTAGGCCCTGGGCATGGTCATGTGACAGCTCACCTGGCCCAGGGGTGTGTCTACTGGAAGTTAATCTCCCAAGCTGTTTCTCAGGCCCTGGGCATGGGCACAGGGCTGCTGGGAAGGTCTAGGGACATGTATGCTGGGATTGGGCCCACTGGACTGTTTCTCATACCCTAGCCTGGGCACAGTTCCACTGGGTAGGCCTGGAGGCATGTCCATGGAGGTAGGGGGCATTGGGCTGTTTCTCAGGCTTAGGAGATAGGCTGGTACTGGTTCTGGCCTGAGGGCATGTCAGGTGCTTAGCAGCTCAGGGGCCCAGTTTGGCCAGCTCAAGGGTAGGTATGTATGCTTTGGGAGAATTTGCTAGACTGTTTCTCTGCCTGGAAGTTCAGGCAATGATGGTTGGTTTTCCTGCTGTGCAGAACCAGAGTCACAGCCAATCCTGGGCCCAGGTTCTGAGCCTCCAGGGTTGTGGCATTGCAGCCACCCATGTGTGCTTGGTGGAATGACAGAGCCGCTGGGCTGGAGAGGTGCATTTGCTACTGGGCCCCACAGCAGGCACCTAAGGGGTGGAGAGTACATATCTCATGTTCCTAATCCAGAGGAATGCAGCTGTGCAATCGACAGTGGCTCTCTAAAGTCGGTTCAGGGCTTGTGAGGACTGTGGAATTCTCCTGTAGTAAGGATTGTAGGTGTTTGCAGTGGTAATGGGGGCTGATGGGGCTCTGCTTACGTTTTCCCAGCAAAGGAAAGTTTCTCCTCTTGACTCCAGGCCAGTCAGAGTTGGGGGATGCAGGGGCATGGGCAGCAGAGACAAGGTGTCTCCATGCTGCCTTCTGGACTTTCAGTGACCGCAGCTACCCCCACTGCACTCCAGTGCTCTTCCTTTGACACTTCAGTTGAATGTTAACTGTTTGTTCATTTGTTGATCCTTTCTTGGGGGGATGAATGCCAGGAACCTCTAGTCAGCCATCTTGCTGACATCACTCTTATGTAACTTCCCTTCCTCGTCAAATGCTGTTTTTCATATTTATCCCTGCCAATAGAAGTAAATCCATTTCTTTACCTTTAACTCTGAATAGTAAGTAATATTTCATTGTATGAATTAATTAGTTTTGTTCCTTCTTCTACTAATGACAAATTAGGCTTTCCTCAAATTTTTTATCCTTTTCTACGTATTTAAGCTTCTGTAGGGCCTGGTTCTTAATTTTTTTGGTGCCATATGCCTTTTTGACCCTCTGGTAAATCTTCTGGATCCCTTCTCAAAATAATGTTCATGGAGGCATAAAATACATAAAACAAATTATTTTTAAGTAATTATCAAAGTATTAAAAACAAATTTATAATACAAATGCCTATAAATTACATCTATTGGTAACTCTAACAACTGCCATAATTTTGAAGTAATGCTGAATTTAGATGGATTTTAAGATATTTCAATATTTGTAATATAATTTTTACTAGGACAGTCCCAGGTATTTTATACTGTTGTGTTTTGTTGCCTACATTCATAATTGAAGGAAATTCTAAATTTCAGCTAGGGGGTAATGTTTTTCCCATCCAAGTTCACAAATTTTAACCATCTGTGGAATTTTGTTAGGTGTGTACACATTTTGTAATTGAAATTTTACTTTAGTTTCCAACTACACTAAAATAATAGCTGAAATTTATTGAGCTCTTACTATGTGCCAGGTACCATGTCAAAATTATCATCCCATATAATCTTCACAGCAGCACAAAGAGAGGGGTGCTATTTTAATCTCCATTTTCCAAATAAGGAAACTGAGGCTTGGGGAGGTAAAGTAACTTGCTTATGGGTCACACATGATCAAAAGAGCTAGGATTCAAATCCTGGTTGGCCAACTCCAACACTCAAGTTCCTCACCACCATAATATAGAAGTTGTATTTCTATAATTTAAAGGGGTCAAACTAAATTTACATGATGATAAAGGAGGTTGTAGCTACTGAGCAAGCCAAGGGGATTGTCATGTTATGCATGTTCATAAAAGGGAAAATCAAGGACAAATTCAGCATTAAAATATATAATGAATCTTGTAAACTACATAGCAAGTCATGGGGTATAGAAGACAATGTGAAATACACAATTCTAGTCTAATTCAAATGTATCCTCAAAGCTCCATTATATTGCATATGTAAAAGATGAAATATTTTCACCTTATGGAGGCTGTGAATTAGATAAATGACCAGCTTTCTCTTTCCCGTAGTAGGAAAGCCTAGGCCCAAATATGTTGTCCGTCTGTTGTAACTATGTAGATATTAATGCTATATGTGTATATGAATATGGGTGTGTGTGTGTGTGTAATATCTCATTCCTTGTTCCATTTATACTTACTTTCTTCCTTTTCCCCTCACTTTTAATTTATATCATCTTGCTGTATTTTATGTATCCTTGTACGTCATGGCACTGGTGTGTATTTACATGCATACCTACAGTACATTGCTGTGGCAGGCAGAACTGTAAGATGGCCCCTAATATCCCCATCCTCTGGTGTATACACACCTTCTCTCAGTTATTCCAATCAAATGGCGATTTAGCTGCTGCTTTGAAGGGATTTGCAGATGTAATTAAGGTTCCCAAAGTCAGGTGACTTTAAGAAAGGGAGATTATCTGGATGGGCCTGACGTAATTTAAAAGGGACTGGGCCTTTGACAAAGAGAAAGTGTGAGAGGGATCTGAGGTGAAGGAGATTCTCACCACTAACCCTGAAGATGGAGCGGGCTACATGGCAAGGAATACAGGCGGCCTTCAGGAGCTGAGAGAGAGAGCTCCTGGCTGAGGGACTAAAGGAGACGTCTCTTCTACAATTGCACAGAGCTATCACAACCACTTGAATTTTGAAGAGGATCTTGAGCTCCAGATGAGAATACAGTCCAGCTGATACAATGATTTTAGCTTTATAAGATCCTGAACAGAGAACCCAGCTACATCCTGCCCGAACTTGATTTACAGAACTGTGAGTAATAAATGAGTGATGCTGAAGCCTCAAACATCACTCAAAGTTTATGCTAATTGTTATGGCAGCAACAGAAAACTAAAACTGAATATTTATTTTGCTTCACAAAACTGCAACTATTATTTGTCAAATATTTATTGATGTTAAATCCACATTACACCAGCACAACAATCCAAAGTAGTATGATTGATTGATAGTACTTTTTTTTTTATAAATACAATATAAAGGTGGCAAAATAATGCTAGTTAATCCCAAACCCAGCAAATCAGCAAAAAAAGGTCACATTCAGAAAAATTTGGCAAGTAAGACATAAGTCATAATTCTACAATAGAGATAGGTCCATGAGAGACTGTGTATGGTATCTTAAATTCCATATTAGCAATGCATATAAGTGCGGTCAAAGAAACTTGAACCACACTGCATAGAACATCTGCCACCCGGTGCTCAAGCCTATTAATCACTTAAACCTTGGTTGGTTGGTGTTCTTACAAAGAAGTAGAAAGCTGTACATGTGAAACAGTAATATGAAATATATGGGGTGGTACACAGATATAAAATTATTTTAAAAAATACTACGTATGAATTGAGTAACTGAGCTAAGAGAGGCCACTTATAAATAATGAAAGATACATGTGTTTTGCATAAGGAATACAGTGTTTTCTTTTCATAGCAAAGTACCATTAAAGCCTCATGTTTTATACTACTAGGTCAAATTATTTTTTCTCCTTTTTAAAATTTATCGGTTCCGACTTAAAACCATCAAGTCTGGTCAGAATCAACTCAGTCTAGCTGATGCAAAATCATATGCATTCAAAAAGCAGTCTTTACCGAGATGCCTTTACAAACCTTGGAATCCAGCACCTTCTTAAGGCAAAGTTTCATGGCAGCAGGGAAGTGAACTAATAATTTTCATTTACCACATCTTGGTGTCTTTGAAAAAATACTTTATGGCACAAACCTGTTTTTGTCTCTCCTTATGTCTCCACTTCCTTCAAGTAGACTAGATGCTACAGGCAATTTCTCATTTATGCCACCATGCAGTCTCAATCCATTTTCAACTTGCTCTACATACCTAAAATCTTCCACTACTACACAAACCTCAGACACACTGCAATCTCCACAGCATGTGTGCTCCACAGCATGTGTGCTCCACACTTCCAGCTGGCCCTGGGTTCCTTGACTTGTGAATGGCAGTGTTTTTTTCACCTATGTTTGAAGAAAACCAAAGAAAAGCCTGGCCTTTGCTACCTCTCCTGTGCCTTCTACTTTTATCTAAATGAACACACTATAATCATGCTGGTTGCATTTTCCTTCATTCTCCTCCCTACTCCTTCCAAACCCCTGATTCCTCCAAATACTATATATGCCTTGGTCATTTGGGTGGTTTGGATGCTTTCTGTGGAATGAACTGTAATATATTTCTGCTTTATTCAGAGCACTTTATATTATTTATATTTAAATTAGCCTTTTAATATGGTTTGTAAATAAGTTTCCTACCAAGGTAGCATGAAAACACTACACATAAAGAAAAAAAATGTTAAGAACTAAGGTATTAACCTTGTTAGAAAACTCTTTTGATATTAACATTTAAGGCAAGTAGTTCCTTCCTTATGATTTAATATAAAAACATTTGCAAAGACAAGGCATTTACTTGGATTTCTTTGTCATCTCTTCTTCTTTCATCCTTACATATTGCACTTGGTTCACTGTATCTGTCTGAATACACTGTGCTTCAGAATCATTGTAGTACTGTTTGTGGTACAACTCCCTCATTAAACATTTCACACTATCAGGCTACACAGCACCTATATCTTGTGTTTAAAGGCACTTGTAGATAATACAAATTGTAGTTACCTGTGAACAATTGATTTCCTTTAGTATTTTGGCATTTTGATCACTTTAATCACAGCAATTCCAAAGTTTTAAATTGGACAGTAAATGTGTATTTTCTGTGCAATGTGTATATTTGTATTAGCATTATCTACTTAAACTAAGTTTGGTATATCAAGTAAGAAAAATATTATTTTGGTGTTTTTTTTTTAATTTCTTATAGTCAAAGGTATGTTTCTGCCTTTTACATAATGTGACAAAGGAATATGTTGGTCAAGGCAATGGCTGTTTCAGTGTTTCAGCTTTAACAAGAATGCTGGATTACAGGTCCTCACTTTCTACCAAGGCAGTATTCAGTGTCAGGTGAGATGGGTTGGCCTCAGGTTGGAACGCTGCTTTGATGTCTAGTCCCTGGTCCGAAAGTGCTGCATAGCGACTGGCTGAGGGCCGTACTTTTTTTGGCTTGGTGCTCTGTGACTGCTGATGCCACTGGGCTACAAAGAAAAAGAGTAAATTAAGATTTTTAATCAAGATATACTTGGAAAGCCTTTAGATATTTCAAATAAATACAGAATGTCTAGATAGATGCAAGGCACCTGAACACATCCATGGTAGAAACATGGAAAATTTAGGAACACTTTTGCATTTTACTCACATGTTGCAGATTTACTGTCTATACAGGATAGTGGGAATAAAGCAGCTAGATTACAAAGGTCAAGTGTAGTTTATCTTTTTTTTTTTTAAGTAAACACTGCAGCACAGGGAATCCTTTGGAATAGCTGATAAGCTTCCTAATTCTCATCCCCCCTCTCCTTTTAAAAAATATTTTCTCTAAAATAATTATAGCACTTAGGAATTCTGCTGGATGTGGATGCTTTAACACTAATCAACTGAAAGGAATCGTACAGTAGGGAAGGTTGAGGCCACACATTTCTTGATGACCCTCACATAGTTATTTCAAGAAGAGGCAAAATCTGAAATAAATTCTTAAATAAATTCTTAATTTTTTTCTAGTGTTTTTTTTATGTCAATGGATAACATAATGCTGATTGTACTAGACTGTAAATTCAATAGGAATAATTTTCTTTAAATTTGGGATGCATGTACACAAATATACAAACACAAGTCTACTGCTGGCTGCTTAAGATATATTAATGAGAAAAGCACTAAGCCACAAAAGTACGCATTCCAGGATCAATGGAACACACGTTTAGAGTGCATTAGGACACTGCGATAGAATATAGGAAGAAATGTTAAAAGGCAGTCATTTGCAGAACACAGTAACAAGAACATGTGAAAAACATGGTTATGCCTTTGCCTACTGTTAACTCCTAAGGATGCTTGAGTAAGGAAGCCACAACTAACTAGCCAATGTAAGAGAAATCAACATGCATATTTTGCTAATAATTCAAAGTTCCTGAATGATACTTGGGTATTTGTTCTCCTGGTGTGGTTCACTATTAATGTCGAGAAACTACAAATAGAAAGAGAGAGAGAGCAATATGAATTTTTTTGACAAATAAAACACAATAGTTGTTTATAAAGAGTAATGTGATTTGCTGTCCAGATGTCTAATTTTTCATAATTTAATGAGTAAACGCAATGAAATGAGATGAAGTGGCACTCACTGTAAACGTCCAGCCTGGCAGTACAGGACACAATCCCTGCTTCATTCTTGGCTGACACAGTATACCACCCAGCATCTTCTTTTGTGGCTCCCTGAATGAGCAGGCAGATGTAGCCGTGGTTGTCCTGGTGCATGCTGGAGAAAAGGATAAAGTCATTAGGGTTCTAAATTTTTTAAAAGTGGCTTTGGACATGAAGCATCATTTTTAATTAGATCATTAGAAACAGAATTGTGCAAGTAGCTGATAATAGGGTCATACTTATTCTGTAGAGATTACTAGCTCCATTAAAGTTAATGGGAGAAAGAACAGACGTCAAGAGTTGAATACATCTGTGTGCTTAATTCCTAGTTGAGGATCTGCCTTTACAAAAACCACTGAATAGTCTTTTATCACTAAAGCAAATGAATTCATCTTTTCTTTTAGATAGAATGATAAACACTTTTAAGAAATCACCATTAGATCAAACACCCATAGCTTCCTTCTAAAAGCTTAATCCTACATTGGGTAACGCATGGTTTTTGTCTTTGATTGATTTCATCAAAAATCAAAACATCTATGTGGCTTTTACACATAGATTTCCATGCTATATAAAATGTATCTTTTGATACATCATTAGGACTGAACAGTTAAGGATCAGGTTCTCATTGTGCAGTCTTACCTCACTCGGTCAGTGCTGTGAGTGAGTGATTCATTTTCTTTCTTCCAAAATATCTGAGGTGGTGGCACTCCCAATACACGACATTCCAGCCGCACTGGGTACCCATCAGCAACTCCTGTGTTTTGGAGCTTCTCAATAAACACAGGGGGTTTGTGTGCTTCTTTAGCTAAGAAAACATGAGATGAATTCTCTATCAATGATATACAAAAGGAGCACTAGAAAGAATTCAGAAGGCTTTTGGAATATTGCTTGAATAGATCTTTTATGATACCATTTTTTACTCCAGGTGGTAAGATGCTAGTCCCCTCTCCAAATTATTCTTTTACCAAGCAAAGGTCTGTATACTTCATTCCGCTCATTTATTTCCTCAATTAATTCAAGTCTGATAGGCTCACACTGTCCACTGGCCATCTGCTTCACAGAATGCCTGTCTGACCAGCTGTGGGAGACTCCTAAGTCATTGCTAGCATCTGTGATGGCTTCACTACTAGTGATTATGTTACCGATCATTCACAGCCTCAACCAACTACTGCCACCTAGTGGTGCTGAGGACAAGTATTTCTAGGAATTTGACCACTTAGATTCCCTCACTGCCGTTTGCCATGTTTGCCATGAATATTCTGAATATTTGTAACTCTTAAGTGAGACATGCCATAGAATTTAAAGGGGGCAATTTAAAGGGGAGGCATCTTTATCTAAATTTGGCAGCTTTAAATAGTTACCTGTAAACTAGGAATGTATATCCTATAAATTACAAATTCCACTTTGTATTCTTTGAAGGTTATAAAAAAGCTTTATTATAACCTTGAAGGAAGGAACCCATTAAAAAAAAAAGACAACTTTAGTACTATTCTGAAAAATTCAGGACTGATTGTTAATAACACTCTGAATAATACCATCCAATGGGAAATTGTTTTCTTGGATCAGTTGTAGTAGTGGTGGAAAGTACTTCAGAGAATGAATAAGGTTTACTTATTTTCTTTTGAACTACCAACAATGAATCTGAGAATGCATTCCTTTTCCACCACTACTCCCTCATCTGGAGTGACAGATATATCACAGCAAAGCAGCTAGGAAAGAGCTCAAAAAGGATGAAAATTCTACCTGAACTTTTCAAATGCTTAATACTCTCCAACACCACGAGTTAGTTAGAAGGTTGGATTTTTATTGAATTTTACATGGTTGCCCATCCTAGGCTATTCTGGGAGAAGTGGGAACAGAAGCTCACTTTGTATTCTTTCTGGGGCTCCAGTTTTGCAAAGAACATAAAATGTATAAAACAAGTCTTAATGTCATAGCAACTCATCAGTAAGAATAACATCTACCACTTTGCAGCATTGCTGTGCAGGGTACTAGTTATGCAGAGCTTCATACACATTTTTATGATTTAATCCTTAGGAAAGCACTGTGAGGCATTATATTCCCATTTTATATATGGAGAAACTAAGTCGCAGAGATAGCTATTTGCCAAATGTCACACTAGTAAAATCGACAAGAGCCGGGACTGGAGCAGATCTGACCCCAAAGACTTTGCTTCCAATTACTGTGCATCACCGTCTTCTGACAGGAGTGCCAGCTGATGCGCACTGAGGTATCTATGTGATCAAAAGGCATATTTAACAGCAGAAAAGTGAAGTTTTAGTTTGAGGTTAGAGGAATGAAATCAATTGTAGCATGTAAGAATATAGAGTACTTTGTACAAAACTTGAAAGCATGGCTAACCTGTAGCACCACAGTCCACATATTTACCACATTTTTATGTGAAAACATCTTGGTACCATTATCAGAATCATAATCCAAGAGTTTTGTCAAGACTTCTTGGGTTTTATTCTCATTGCTACTCTATTTCTTGAAAGAGCTCAGTGACGTAGTGTGTTTAGAAGAGCACTAGGAGTCTTGTGTTAAATCTAATCATCAGCTTACTAAGTGGGACCCTGGAAAATTCAGAGAAGATTTGCTCTGATTATCTCATAAGGCTCATGTGAGGGCCAACTGATACATAATGTACATGAAGCACTTTGCATAAAGAGGTAGAAGAAATAAATGTTTTGTTATGTTCTTTCTTAAAAGAGATCAGGTACTCAACACCTAACTCTTAAGGATGGTATAAAAACCTTTCCATAAATGTGTTTTCCTTTTAGGCTTCTCAAAGCATAAGACTTCATGTAACAGCACTTTTACAGAATTTACCTACACAATAATCAGTGAAAAAGCAAATCTGAGTGTAGTTTGACAATGACTATGAGGGTAGATGACAGTGTTGTTTTAAAAACCAGGTGTGTGTGTGTGTGTGTGTGTGTGTGTGTGTGTGTGTGTGTATATATATATATATATAAATATAAAACTTTATATATAAGCAAATTCTTTGGTTCTTGGAGTCCATGCTGCTGTTACTATTTCTCTATGTAACACTAGGGGCCACTATACACACAGGAGGTCGAATGACCCAAAAGAGCTAATAAAATCTTTTTCTCTCTTTGCCAGGTTAGTGGGAGAAATGAAAGATTTCTGTTTCTGTTTTGCTAGGCCTTATAACCATGTCCTCATTGGCTATTTTGATGATACAATCTATTTTTTCAATACTTTATTTTCCGTATTGGTTAGTAATGTAGAATTAGTTTACATTTGTAAGTCTGATGTTCATTCTGTCAGAGAGCAAGGATTCACAGATGAGCCTACCAGCAACCACAAGCTCCAGGCTGAATGAGTTCTGTCCTGCTCGGTTGGTAGCTATACATGTGTAGATGCCGGCATCACGTGACGTGACTGGCTCTATGATCAGAGAGTGCACCCCGTTCTCACGCACCAGCATCTTGTGAGCACTGTCAGGGCGTACGGGCTTTCCATCTAGTTGCCAGCTTAGATCTGGGGTTGGTAACCCACTGACCTAAATCATAAAAGAAATACATGTAAATTTTTGTATTAAAACAGAGTGAAATCACTGGTAGCTAAGAAGTCTGCATAAATTCCTCCTTCAGTAGTACAAGAGGTGGCTTTTTTTTTTTTTTTTTTTTGGACAGAGTTTCACTCTTATTGCCC